>NC_000017.11:37560980-38185980 GCF_000001405.40 Homo sapiens
TATTAAGGTTTTTTGAATTAGAATACTTATAGTTTGAGTATCTATTATAAACATCACTACTATACCATATTGTTTTGTCCATTCAGTTTTTTTCTCCTAAACACACAGACACACACACACTAAAATAAAGGGAATGCCACTGAAAGAACCATCGAAAACCCCTTTTTTATTAAAAATGGAAATAATTTATCCTTTTGAGGACTCAAAAACTTACCTAAAGGTTTATTCTCTGCTGTCTGTTCAAGTTCTCTGAAAGCACTATATTTATCACCAGGATCTATGATAGAAAGGACAGAAGCTCAGTTAAGGTTAGGAATCTTGAAATCACAGCTCCAGGAAGTGAGGCAGATTGGTTTAACCAAACACTATTAACATGTGGTATACAGGCATTTTACATATTTAGCACAGAAGACCACCACTTAAAGATTCATACAATTTAAATAGTATGCAATTTAGCATTCACAAGTTTATGAATTTACCAACTTTTTACCTCCAGGTGGAACAGTATTTTCAGAGGACTTGTCAGCTGCAATTCCTTTAAACACAGCATATTTGTCCATTGAAGGCAATGCTTTAGTTCCAGGAAGTGGCATCAACAAAGAAGGGGCACTGAAGGAAAAAATAAACATATTTTGATGACATTGAATCCCTCCTTTATCATCTAAAAGGAAGTTAGAATTAAAATGGCAAACAGGTATTTCATTAAAACTCATGGCTCTCTGCTTTAAAAGTTAGAAAACTATATAGTATACATATATACCACAAATAAAAAAAAAACCATGTCCTTTTTCAAAAAACAAAACAAAACAAAAAACATTACCCAAACAATCATTTTTTTCTTGATTAAATGAAGAGGGGTCAGATCCATGCTGACTGTCTAACCATCTCTTTAAGCCGTAATAACAACTGGAATGGCGTTGGAAGTAGATTATTAAAGAATGATGACTTCCTGCAATTTTAACTTAAGGTCCATAAAACTGCAAAAGTGAACTGTTCCACATATGTATACTCAATATTTTAAAATAAATCATGTTAACCTTAATATAAATTATTAACTTCAATGGGTTCAGAGTGCAGAGGTAGAATAGTTGAGATAAAAATCTATTTATGAAATGCTGTTCAAGCCAAAATGTAAATTGTTTTTCTTCTGATTGTACTGCACTGCCTACTGGCAGAAGTGCATACATCTGATAAGCTGCCATAGAGTTAATACAATTTGCATTTTTACAAAGATCACATCAGCGGTTCTAGAAGCTATCTTTGTAACAAAACAACAATCACTTCAAAATTAGATAAAGATACTTTTGCCTGTGGACATATTTCGTGCTGGATGGAAAAATAGCGTAATGAGTAGCATCTGTGCAGGTAATTCTTAGAAGGCTTAAACACATACTATAAAAGCATTACTTTTTCTTCTTCTTCTTCTTCTTCTTCTCTTATCAGACCCAGGCAGCTCCCTGGAAGAACCACCTTTACATATGAATGACTACATTCCACCACTAGTTTGTGTCATTCAATACCATGCACAAGTTATATAAATGGATTTCTATTGAGTTCTTCGCCCTGGAGCAAAAATCTTTCCACAGTCATTTAAACCTTCTTATCAGTGGCTTACAAGCAAGGTAAAAACTAGGCTCTGGTAGCTGCATGCTAATGGGGTACACAGTCCTTTAGGGCTTAATGCCATCAAATATTATGATTTCACGTCACCACCAAACAGCTGCTACATAACTGATCTTGACAAATGAAATAAGTCATCACCTATACATTGTAAGTGGACTTTTTAAAAGTTCCATAAGTAATTAAAGTACAGTTCACTGTACAGAATGTTACATGGGAATAAAGGAAATTAACATCTTAGGGAAAAAAAACCCCCAAAGTTGAATGATTTCTTTATTTTTCATGACCCTCCAGCTTTAGCTACGGTCTTTTAAGGCTCAATGGTAAAAATCTTTCTACTAAATGTTACACTTAATTGATTATTAATTTTAAAATTATATTCACAGAATTGGAAAAAAAAACAACAACAGAATCTTTAGGGTAATGAACTACTGCTTGCTGATTAAAGTCAACAAAATTCCATTCAAAAAAAGTTATGACTCAAGACTGTAATTTTATGCATACTGCAAATGAATATTTCATTCCAGTTCTTTCTCTGAAGTTATTATTTTAAAAAACCACTGTAATCACCATGAAAGTGTTTATGCCAGTTACATAGTAGTCATCAACCGCTCCAAACATGAAGACGGTATTTCTACACTTTCACACTAATGAAAATACTCAAGTGAGAAAGGCATATATGATTTTACACTTAAGAACCTGTATTCTACTAAAAGGTAAGACTTAAAAAATTCGGCCACAAAAAAGTATTTTACATTTTCTCTAGTGAATCTATTAGTGTTTTACAATCACTCCATATGACTGTGGTAGATAGCTTTATTTAGTTGCTTACCCTGCTAAATATATACATTTAAAAAGAAATATTTTGATTTCAGCAGAATAAACTAACCAACCCCAAAGTCCTATATGTTAACCCTTTGTGAACTTTTATTTATTTATTTTTTTGAGACAGTGTCTTGCTCTGTTGCCCAGGCTGGAGTGCAGCGGCATGATCATAGCACACTGCAGTTTCGACCTCCTAGGTTCAAGTGATTCTCCTGCCTCAGCATCCCAAGTAGGTGGGACAGCTGGTACTACAGGCATGCACCACCATGCACAGCTAATTTTTGCATTTTTTGTAGAGATGGCATTTCCATAGGTTGTCCAGGATCAAGTGAAATCCTGGGCTCAAGTGATCTGTCCGCCTTGGCCTCCCAAAGTGCTAGGTTTACAGGCAAGACCCACTGCACCCAGCCTTCCCCGCCAGCTTTTTTTTTTTTTCTAAGACAAATTCTTACTCTGTCTCCCAGGCAGGAGTGCAGTGGCGTGATCTTGGCTCACTGCAAACTCCACCTGCCAAGTTCAGCAATTCTCCTGCCTCAGCCTCCCAAGTAGCTGGGATTACAGGCACACACCACCAGGCCTGGGTAATTTTTGTATTTTTTTTTTTGTAGAGATGGGGTTTCACCATGTTGGCCAGACTGGTCTCAAACTCCTGACCTCAGATGATGTCTGCCTCGGTCTCCCAAAGTGCTGGGATTACAGGTGTGAGCCACTGTGCCTGGCCAACCCTGGCCCCCTTGTTAACTTTTCTATGATCAATGTCCCATATCTGCTTTGTTGATTAGGCTCCCAAGTGCCTGGCACATAGTATTTTCTGAATGAATGACTGGATGATGTTGCTGCCTTCCAGAGGCCCTTCAGGTCTTATGTGCAGGCTCAACTGCCATCTCTCCTTTGACTATCTAGTTTAACACCGAGTCTAGCCAATTTCTCAGATATAAACTGTTCAGTGTCTATAACTCTAAACCCTGAGTAATTCTCATCATCTCACAGCAAGATTACCATGGCAACTGAATTTATTCTATACACAGTAGCAATAATCACTTTCATTGTGCCACTTCTTACTCATAAAATGCTTTAAAATAGAGTATGTCATAAGTCATAAGCCATCCCACAACTGGTGCCGTCCTTAACTAATGTTATTTTCTCACAGACCAACAATGTTCTCCATCCCGGTCTACTCCTAAAACCTTACTTGCCCTTTCATCTTCTCTAACAAGTAATGCCCATTTTCTGTCCAAAATGGTCTTTCCTAGGCTTAGCTATTCACACCATGATTTAACAAATCTCTTTTTAAAACAATGTGGAGTACAGATTATCATAAACTAGGGAATACATTTTATATGTACATTTAAGGACTAATCCTAAGAGAACGTTATCAGATAATTTAAATACCAGATAAAACTAAGTGTCTTTAGAGCAGGAACTGTGGTTTTTGCTTCTGTATTTCTCATGCCTATCCCAGTGTCTGGCATATAGCAAATGCTAAATAAATGTTTGCTGGATGAATAAATGAATAATGAGTATGAATTCTAGATAAAACCAAAATAGTTTCATTCAGCTGGGCATGGTGGCTCACGCCTGTAATTCTGGCACTTTGGGAGGCCGAGGCAGGCAGATCACCTGAGGTCAGGAGTTCAAGACCAGCCTGGACAATATGGTAAAACCCCATCTCTACTAAAAATACAAAAATTAGCTGGGTGTAGTGGCGCGTGCCTGTAGTCCCAGCTACTAGGGAGGCTGAGGCAGGAGAATCACTTGAACCTGGGAGGCAGAAGTTGCAGTGAGCCGAGATCGCGCAACTGCACTTTAGCCTGGAGACAGAGCAAGACTCCGTCTTAAAAAAAAAAAAAATAGTTTCATTCAAGGAAAGTATGGAAGTAGTCAAGTCAGAGCTGTATGTAAGAGGAATAGCTGCAAAGTATCAATGGTGCCCAGGCTGGAGTGCAGTGGCGTGATCTCGGCTCGCTACAACCTCCACCTCCCAGCCGCCTGCCTTGGCCTCCCAAAGTGCCGAGATTGCAGCCTCTGCCCGGCCGCCACCCCGTCTGGGAAGTGAGGAGCGTCTCTGCCTGGCCGCCCATCGTCTGGGATGTGAGGAGCCCCTCTGCCTGGCTGCCCAGTCTGGAAAGTGAGGAGCGTCTCCGCCCGGCCGCCATCCCATCTAGGAAGTGAGGAGCGCCTCTTCCCGGCTGCCATCACATCTAGGAAGTGAGGAGCGTCTCTGCCCGGCCACCCATCGTCTGAGATGTGGGGAGCGCCTCTGCCCCGCCGCCCCATCTGGGATGTGAGGAGCGCCTCTGCCCGGCCGCGACCCTGTCTGGGAGGTGAGGAGCGTCTCTGCCCGGCCGCCCCGTCTGAGAAGTGAGGAGCCCCTCCGCCCGGCAGCCGCCCCATCTGAGAAGTGAGGAGCCTCTCCACCCGGCAGCCACCCCATCTGGGAAGTGAGGAGCATCTCTGCCCGGCAGCCACCCCGTCCGGGAGGGAGGTGGGGGGGTCAGCCCCCTGCCCGGCCAGCCGCCCCGTCCGGGAGGGAGGTGGGGGGGTCAGCCCCCTGCCCGGCCAGCCGCCCCGTCCGGGAGGGAGGTGGGGGGGTCAGCCCCCCGCCCGGCCAGCCGTCCCGTCCGGGAGGTGAGGGGCGCCTCTGCCCAGCCACCCCTACTGGGAAGTGAGGAGCCCCTCTGCCCGGCCACCACCCTGTCTGGGAAGTGTGCCCAACCGCTCATTGAGAAGGGGCCAGGATGACAATGGCGGCTTTGTGGAATAGAAAGGCGGGAAAGGTGGGGAAAAGATTGAGAAATCGGATGGTTGCCGTGTCTGTGTAGAAAGAAGTAGACATGGGAGACTTTTCATTTTGTTCTGTACTAAGAAAAATTCTTCTGCCTTGGGATCCTGTTGATCTGTGACCTTACCCCCAACCCTGTGCTCTCTGAAACATGTGCTGTGTCCACTCAGGGTTAAATGGATTAAGGGCGGTGCAAGATGTGCTTTGTTAAACAGATGCTTGAAGGCAGCATGCTCGTTAAGAGTCATCACCACTCCCTAATCTCAAGTACCCAGGGACACAAACACTGCGGAAGGCCGCAGGGTCCTCTGCCTAGGAAAACCAGAGACCTTTGTTCACTTGTTTATCTGCTGACCTTCCCTCCACTATTGTCCCATGACCCTGCCAAATCCCCCTCTGTGAGAAACACCCAAGAATTATCAATAAAAAAATAAATTAAAAAAAAAAGTATCATATACGAAAGTAAACTATTACATGGAGATAATGCCACACAAAATTGCTAATATCCCATATATCTCAGGTCTGGCTACCATCTTAAAACTTTCTACCCCCAAATTTTAATTTCATCTACAAACAGTTTTGCTCAGAGAAATAAACCACCCATTTGATAAATTAGGTTTATAACCCACATACTATAATATAGTCATCCAACAGATCTTTATTAATTACATATGATGGGGCCAAGCACTACATATATAAACATGAATAATTGTCTTCAGATACTTACAGCCTAGAAAGGGAAACAGTCAGGTAAACCAGCAATTACAATTAGGGCACAGACATTCATCAGGTACTACAGCAGTAGCAAAGGAGGTGGGAATTGGTTAGGAAAAACTTCCTATATTTAGCTGATTTCTGAAATGGAACTATAACTATAGGGAGATCAGGTAAGGGTATTTCAGACTGAAGCGAACAGAATGGATAAAGCTTGAAAGAACATGGTCAGTTTGGAGTCATGCTGGCAAGGCTGGAGTGTAAGTCATGGGGAATAGCAAGAGTTGAGAGTGGGCAGGAGTTAAGATCACACACTGTCACACAGAGCTGACAGAGTTAATGGTGGTAAAGGAGAGATGACAGAGCCAAAGTAAATAGCATGCTTTTAATTTGGTGACTGAATATGGTGACATCATTCACCAAGGAAGGGAATAACGATTTAACACATTTTTATGTGGCTTTGAGTAGGAAAACACTAAAGGTAATTTCATGCAGTGAATTTGAGGTGCCTTGACTCATTCAGATAGGGATGCTTAGATAGCAGTAGTACATATAAATTTTGTTTGAAGGAAGAGATCTGAAGTAGAAATACAATTTATGCGTCTAGAAGGTTTAACTTGTGTTGGTGCAGCAGTCCTGGAAATACCAGCACTCTATGGTCACATTCCTTATATGTTTCTTCTATATGTTATGTACATGCATTTAATATATTTTTAAAATCAGGAGAATAATCTCTTTTCCTAATTTGTAATTCTCTATAATGCCTATCCCTTAGTTCTTGTTACAGTGTGTATGCAGCAAAGTGCTGACTAAGAGATAATCAATTGGCTAAAGGGGAAGAGATGAGCGAAACTGCATAAACAGGAACAGAGGAGACATGGAATATGTATTCTGACAATAACAAATTCGAAAAATAAAACCAAAGGAATTCATATCGCTTACTCTGGTGTCTGATGTGTTCCACTTTGCAGAAATATCTAAATACTTTTTTTAAAATGCCGTCTGGGCATGGTGGCTCATGCCTGTAATCCTAGCACTTTAGGAGGTCAAGTAGAGAGACTCACTTGAGGTCAGGAGTTTGAGACCAGCCTGGCCAACATGGTGAAATGGTGAAACCCCATCTCTACTAAAAATACAAAAAATTAGCTGGGCATGGTGGTGGACACCTGTAATCCCAGCTACTAAGGAGACTGAGGCAGGAAAACTTGGGAGGTGGAGGTTGCAGTGAGCCGAGATCACGCCACTGCCCTCCAGCCTGGGCGACAGAGCAAGACTCCATCTCAAAAAAAAACTAAACATGCTGACAACATACTGAATCAGTTACTGTACCTGAAGGTTAAGGTGGCGTGTAAAACCTTAGAGAAATGTTTATGCAGCTGTCTATGCAAACAACAGAAATCTGAAGGCTTAAAAGACACTAATGTCAAATATACAAGAAATGTGAATGAATATGATTAGAGTTCTGAATTATGATTCTGTGGAAAAGCAACAGTACATAACATTACAAAAATGTGCAATTATGTGCTCCTGCCTAAAAAACTTTTTAACAGTTGAAGACCTTGCTGTAATATAGGAACACGAAGTCATCACTGCACAGGTGATCTTAGCTATAATAAAGGTTTGGCACAGGTAAAAAAGAATATTGGCAGGCAGGTGTGTACTTACAGGAAACAGTAGGAGCTGAAGTTTAAGATGGACAAAGGGGAGAGAAGTTTGAAAAGTAAAAGTATTAATACAGAGGGAATAAACACAGAAAGTAGTAGAGTAAGGAGTCTTAATTTTTAAATTTCTCACACCTAGCCTTCCTATTATGGATGCCTCTTTCTTAATGGTTAAATGCAATGTTAAATATATTAAACTCTTTTCTACCTGTTTCCATGCTGGGAGTTACTTGTTTTTGAAGAAGCAGGCAACTCTTGGAAATCACTGAATGAGTCATCAAGGGATCCTGACTTAGAAGCATCTTGAAAATCCTGGAAGTCATCTTCTTCTGGCTTTACTACCTAGGTTTATAAAGGTCATTTAAATAAATAGCACTGACTGACAAAATAAATACACAACAAATCAAAAGTCAATCTCAAAGACTGCCTTTAAAATTTCTCAGTTTAGATACATTAACTCAAGTGCTTACGGCAGGAATCCTGTTTTGTATTTTTAAATACTCTCTGGTACAAATGGTAAAAGACTGGTTTAAATAGCTAATTTAGGCTGGGAGCAGTGGCTCACGCCTATAATCCCAGCACTTTGGGAGATCGAGGCAGACAGATCTCCTGAGGTCAGAAGTTCGAGACCAGTCTGGCTAACATGGCGAAACGCCATCTCCACTAAAAATACAAAAATTAGCTGCGCATGGTGGCATGTGCCTGTAGTCCCAGCTACGTGGGTGGCTGAGGCCAGAGAATCACTTGAACCCAGGAGGCAGAAGTTGCAGTGAGCCGAGATTGTGCCACTGCACTCCAGCCTGGGCGACAGAGCAAGACTCTGGCTGAAAAAAAAAAAAAAAAAAAGCTAATCTATACATTTGTAAAATAGCTGAATGATATTCATTGGGTTACTGAGCGCCTACCATCTTTAAAAGATATATCTAGCCGGGTGTGGTGGCGGGCACCTGTAATCCCAGCTACTTGGCAGGCTGAGGCAGGAGAATGGCTTGAACCTGGGAGGCAGAGGTTGCAGTGAGCCACGACCGTGCCACTGCACTCCAGCCTGGGCAACACAGCAAGACTCTGTCTCAAAAAAAAAAAAAAACTAAAAAGGAAAGGTCAAAATGCTACAAAAAAAAAAAAAAAGACATACAGCTATATCATGCATGTTTGCAAATTAAGTGACACAAGCTCATCATAACCAATCACATACATGTACAAAGAGTGGACACTGACTCCTAATCCCACACTCCAGAAGTACTGTTAACAGCTCATTTGTTTTAAAGACAAATGAGATTACACTATATTGCTCTATACTTTAACTATATAACAAAGACACATTTCCATGCAGTACATGTAGATCTATCTCATTCAGTTTAATGATTACCACTGTGTGAAGGAATTGAAATTTATTTAACCTTTCTCCTCCTGTTGGATATTTAGCTATTTCTACTTTTTACTCTAACAAACAATGTTACAACAAAAATTCTTGTATATCTTTGCTAATTCGAGTTACTATTCTTGGGATAGATTTCTAATAATGTGACTACTAGGATAGAAGATATAGACATGCTGAGGCTTTTTTTTTTTTTTTTTTTTTTAAACTCAGTCTCCTTCTGTTGCCAAGCAGGAGTGCAATGGTGTGATCGTAATCATAGCTCACTGCAGACTTGAACTCCTGGGATCAAGTGATCCTCCTGCCTCAGCCTCCAGGGTAGCTGGGACTACAGGTACACACTATCATGCCCAGCTCAACATGTAGAATTTTGATTGCTATTGCCAAGTCTGCCTTTCAACAAGGCTGTACCAATAAGCCTAGAGTGTATTAGTCACTTTTACCCTACTTTTTCAATGACATTAAATATTATATATTTAAAACATTTTTGCTAATCTGAGAAGTGAAAAACTAAAGTATTTTAATTTCAGGTTTAGCAGTTTTTCTGAAAGATACAACCTAAGAATTTAAATGTGCTCACCATAATCCAGTAACCTACTCTATGTATCCCCGGAAAAAATGGTGCCCAGATTCACTTTCAGTGATTATCTGAAATATGCACAGCTTCGCCATTTACCTGATTTGCAGGGTAGGTTGGTATGAAACCACTAGAAGCCTGGGCTGCAGCTCCACCCACTGGTCCAACAAGGTTAATGCCCATGACTGGCTGTCCAAGGCTGAGGGGCATGGAGCCCGCAGGACCTGAAGGTATCACAGTTGGCTGACTCACCGGTGTAGGCAGAGTCATAGAAAAGCCACTTAAAGTTGGAATAGGAGCTGCTGGGAACTGGTTTAAAGCATCAGGACTCATTGCAGGAACGCCCCTCTACAAATGATAGAAAGAAAATGGATTAGAGGATTGTAAACCACATACGGTCGAAATCTGGCAGAGACCGAAAGGTAAAAAAATCTGTAGCCTTTGCATGTTTCCACTCCAACTCTCAAAACTCATGAATTTGATTTAAGAAAAAAAGTTACAAGGTCAATGCAAACCTAATACTTAAGAAAGAAATGGCCAACACATATCAGTTCTGACATTTTCACTTTCTGACAAGTTTGGTTAATTCTATATGATCAAATCATTTAAAATGACTTTGCAATAAAAGAAAAATTTATACCAGACTGAGAATACTTTATCTGTATCTATGAAATTTTAGAGAAGAATTTCAAAACACAGAGTAATTTCACCTATTACTGACTAACTTTCAAGTTCAGAGAATGTTAATATTAAAAGTCTTTAGGCCAGGCGTGGTGGCTCATGCCTGTAATCCCAGCACTTTGGGAGGCCGAGACAGGTGGATCACTTGAGGTCAGGAGTTCGAGACTAGCCTGGCCAACATGGTAAAACCCCATCTCTACTAAAAATACAAAAAGTAGCCGGGCATGGTGGTGGGTGCCTGTAATCCCAGCTACTTGGGAGGCTGAGGCACGAGAATCACTTGAACCCGGGAGGCGGAAGCTGCAGTGAGCTGAGATCTCGCCACTGCACTCCAGCCTGGGCAACAGAATGAGACTCAGTCTCAAAAACAAACCAAAACAAAAAGTCTTTAAACAAAGGAATAACTTGCTATTATGCACATCTTATAAACTCTACATTTTTGAAGTACTATATCCTGAAAATGATCTAAATTTTAATGTACAAGGAGTTACACAATGTAGTAAAAAAGATTTCATATCCTTGCAATTTATATTAATAAAGTTATTTGATCTAACTTAAGAAACATTGTTTACCTGTGTTACCGCTATCATGGCTAGAACGGTATAAAGTTCTTCTTTTGTAAGTTTGCCAGGTGTAGTTCGATTAGCTAAGGCCCATATCTGTCCAAGAGTTTCCCTGGGAAGCCCAGATGACATCAGAATGGGATACAGTTTGGCAGTATCTATTCCAGTTGGAGTCATTGTGGTTTCTAAGATTTTCTTATAGGCATCTATTAAAGGAAAGACCAGATTACAAATGGAAACACATTCCAAGTGATTTATTTTTTGGGATGCCATTGTTGGTATACAAGAATAATCTTCAACAAAACTGCTTTAATAGAACCGAAGCCATGTCAGGGTTTAAATTGCTTTAAACATATTCAAGTGCAGCTGGGCGTGGTGGCTCACGTCTGTAATCTCAGCACTTGGGAGGCCAAGGCCAGCAGATCATCTGAGGTCAGGAGTTCAAGACCAGCCTGGCCAACATAGTGAAACCCCATCTCTACTAAAAATACAAAAGTTAGCCACACGTGGTGGCATGTGCCTGTAAGCCCAGCTACTCAGGAGGCTGAGGCAGGAGAATCACTTGAACCCCGAGACAAAGGTTGCAGTGAGCTAAGATCACGACTCTGCACTCTGCACTTCAGCCTGGGCAACAGTGAGACTCCGTTTCAAAAAAAAAAAGAAAAAAAAATTTGAGATATTCAAGTGGAAATGTCCAGCAGACAATTAAGAGTCTGAAGTTTGGTACTAAAGATAAAATTTAGGGCTAGAGGTAAGACAAAGTCTTATAATTCAGTAGAAGATTGTAACAAGACAGCATGCTTTGGACTTTACAAGAGAAGCTGTAGAGTAATGATGGTGGGAACAGTTTGAAAAGAGCAATGGGAAGTAAGAATTATACCAACATCACTCTTCTCCAGTAAATTAGAGGCTGTGAGAGAAAACACCATTGGAGAAGGTGCTACGGAAATACAGCCTTTAAGGAAAGACCCAGTTTCTGTTAAGGTGAGGAAGCAGAACAAGTGTCTTAAAAAGGGGGGTACAGTTGGTGAGTTTTTGACAATAACATGGGTTTTCCAAAGGACCAAGTGGGAAATGTTGTTAGATACAGGGCTAAAATAAAGAATGCCAATATTGCATGGGACATACTTATACTAAAAAATTATTTGCTGTTTACCTGAAATTCAAATTTAACTGGGCATCCTGTATGGTTATTTACTAAATGTAGCAAGCTTAGTTAGGGAAATGAAACTTAGTAGGGCTAAGGGGGACAGAGAAACTGTTTAAAACAAAAATTTTACATCTGGGATTATAAGTATGGATTACAGGTTAGTGGGCTCTCCATAAGAACACATATTTTTGGCCAGATGTGGTGGCTCATGCCTGTAATCCCAGTGCTTTGGGATGCTGAGGTGGGCGGGTCACAAGGTCAGGAGTTCGAGACCAGCCTAGCCAATACGGTGAAATCCTGTCTCTACTAAAAATAAAAAAAATTAGCCAGGCGTGGTGGTGCACGCCTGTAGCCCCAGCTACTCAGGAGGCTGAGGCAGGAGAACTGCTTGAACCCAGGAGGCAGAGGTTGCAGTGAGCCGAGATTGCGCCACTGCACTCCAGCCTGGGTGACAGACTGGTTCCGTCTCAAAAACAAACAAACAAACAAAAAAAACCATATTTTGACTAGAAAGTATACATGCATGTATGTTTTCTAGTCTTCTAAGGAAGAGGGCGAAAGTAAAGTAATACAAACTGGCAGAAAATGGATAAAACTCCAAAATATACCAAGATCTAGATTTCATTCGTTTGGCTTGAGGACAGAGAAGAAAAGATGCAAACTGTCTAACAGGCATTTGGAAGAAAAGCCATTATTTTAAAGTACAGTTGAATTGTACATACTATTTTGGTAACAGCCTTTTGTCATTATGAGTAGTATCAGAAAATGCATTTGAATGAAAACTATAAAACATTAATGCAATAAATTGAAGGGGACATAAAAAAATAGAGAAATATTCCATGTTCATGTTTTGGAATAATCAATGTTGTTAAAATGTCCATAGTACCCAAAGCAATGGGTAGTACAGATTCAATGCAATCCCTATCAATACCAATTACATTCTTCACAGAAACAGAAAACATAATCCTAAAATTTATATGGTACCACAAAGGACCCAGAATAGCCAAAGCCATTCTGAGCAAAAAGAACAAAACTGGAGGAATTACAGTACATTACTGTATATTACCTGACTTCAAATTATACTACAAAGCTATAGTAACCAAAACAGCATAGTAATAACACAAAAACAGACACAGAGACCAATGGAACAGAATAGAGAACCCAGAAATAAATCCACACATCCACAGTGAACTCATTTTTCAGAAAGGTGCCAAGAACATACATTGGGGAGGGTCTCTTCGATAAACGGTGCTGGAAAAACTGGATCTCCATATGCAGAAGAATAAAACTAGACCCCATCCCACACCAAATAAAAAAATCAAATGGAAATGAATTAAAGATTTAAATCTAAGACCAGAAACTATGAAACTACTAAAAGAAAACTTGGGGAAACTCTCCAGGACATTCGTCTGGGCAAAGATGTCTTGAGTAATAACCCAAAAGTAAAGGCAATCAAAGCAAAAATGGACAAATGGGATCACATCAAGTTAAAAAGCTTTTGCACTGCAAAGGAAACAATCAACAAAATGGACAACCCACAGAACGGGAGAAAATATCTGCAAACTATCCATCTCACAAGGGATTAATAACCAAAATATATAAGAAGCTCAAACAACTCAATACAAAAAAAGCTAATAATCTGATTTTAAAATGGGCAAGACAACTGAACAGGCATTTCTCAAAAGAAGACATGCAAACAGCAAACAAGTTTATGAAAAGAGGCTCAACATCACTGATCATCAGAGCAATGTCAATCAAAACTACAATGAGATATCATCTCACCCCACTTAAAATGGCTTTTATCCAAAAGACAGGCAATAACGAATGCTGGTGAGGATGTGGAGAAAAGGGAACCCAAGTACACTGTTGGTAGGAATGTAAATTAGTACAGCCACTATGGAGAACAGTATAAAGGTTTCTCCATAGTGGCTGTACTAATTTATAAGCCAAGATTCAAAAGCAACCTAAGTGTCCATTGACAGACGAATGGATAAAGAAAATGTGGTACATATACACAATGGAGCACAATTCAGCCATAAAAAAAATTGAGATCCTGTCATTTCCAACAACATGGTTGGAACTGGAGGACACTATATTAAGTGAAATAAGCCAGGCATAGAAAGACAAATTTCATATATTCTCATTCATTTGTGGAAGCTAAAAATTAAAACAACTGAACTCATGGAGACAGAGAATAGAATGATGGTTTCCAGAGGCTGAGAAGGGTAGTGGTGGGGGGGAATAATGGGGATGGTTAGTGGGCATAAAAATATAGTTGGATAGGAGGAATAAGATCTAGTATTTGATAGCACTACAAGGTAGCTACAGTCAACAATAATTTATTGTACACTTAAAATAACTTACAGAGTATAATTGGAATGTTCATAACACAAAGAAGTAATACATGCTTGAGGTAATGGATACCTTATCTACCCTGATGTGATTATTACACATTGTATGTCTGTATCAAAGTATCTCATGTACTCCATAAAAATATACAATTATGTAGCCACAAAAATTAAAAATAAATTTTTTTTTGTTTAAAGAAGAAAATGCACTTTAAGGATTTTCTTTTCTTTTTTTTTTCTTCTTGGCTCAGCAGTAAAAATACATGTAAAGAAAAAGTAGGTCAGGTGCAGTGGCTCACACCTGTAATCCCAGCACTTTGGGAGACCAAGGCAGGCAGATCACTTGAGCCCAGGAGTTTGAGACCAGCCTGAGCAACATGACGAGACCCCGTCTCTACAAAAAAATACAAAAATTAGCTGGGTGTAGTGGCATGCGCCTGTAGTCCCAGCTACTTGAGAGGCTGAGGTGGGAGGATTGCCTGAGCCTGGGGAGGTCAAGGCTGCAGTGAGCCAAGATCCTGCCACTGAACTCCAGCCTGGGTGACAGTAAGACCTTGTCTCAAAAAAAAAAAAAAAAAAAAGAGTAAACACTATCCTTCACATCTTCCAATGTGAAAAAAAAGATCCCACATGGTCTTTTATTTCATATAGTATTACATGACAAGTCATAGAAAGAATATTTTTAAAAATATAAACTAAGAATTCAGAAAATTACATTAAATATTTTGGTAAAATTCTTGATGTTATTAATTGCTGAAGTAAATATTTGATAATGTCCATTAAAGCATAATAAATCTAAGAGAGCTTTTAGAAATAAAAGTATGATGGTTGATAAAACATTAAAACAAAACTATTCTCCTCTATTTATATAGTTATTCCATATATGAGGCAGTCTTATGAAACACGACATTTATTTAATTTCTGTACTCTTTCAGAAAAAAAGAAAAGTGACAACTCCTCCTGCATTTTTTGTAAGTGCAACAGTAAATATTTACAACTACATTTACAATATTTAAACCAAAATATCCAGATGGGAATCCTGGGTAAAGAAGCTTTTTTACCTGGAACCAAACTCTCATTGTAAATCCAAGGAGGCATTCTGGGCTGAGCAGGATCCTGTGAGGGAAATACTCCCACACCTAGAAGGTAAGAAACATTAATGTATATAGTGGTCCATGGAGAAGATGGCGAAATCACACTGAGTCATGGTTTTTTACAAAGAGCACTGGCTGGAGACACTAAAAAAAGTCACCAATACAATTAAAATACTTGGTCCCCCCTGCCTCCGATTCAGAATAAAATATTTGGTTTTTAAGCAACTCTTGTACGTTAACTATGTTCTAAAGAGTAAATTATACAAAAACTAAAATGTATCAAATCAATACTCTAAATCATATAAGCCTTGCACCATTTAACATGTATTACAAATTAAGGAAAAAAACATGATAGATGATAGTTTAAAATTATGTATCTAAAAATATTTAATTGTCCAAGCTTTACTTGCAGTTTTTACTAATGCTTCTTTGCAAAGTTTCATTGTTTTTTAACCTACATATGATACTGCTGTCTTAAATATATAGGACTTTTGGGGGCTTTCTGTCCAATAAAATATCCTCCCAAAAGTTTGCCTCCTTGGCTGCCCACATTCTAATTCATTTCTGAGGGTTGAATTTATACAATTTAGATCTTTTAGGCAGTGGTGCATATGATTTATTTTAGAGAAACCAAAACTATATTCTCATTGGTGACTTTTCCAGTTACATTTTAACTTTTCAACCTTTATGGAAGAACAGAAAGTATAAGGGGGGAAAAAAGAGAGTTTTTATAAAATAAAAGGAAAGAAAATTTTAAATCAGAAATGATTCCAATTAAGAAAACCAGTTATCAAAATCATTTTTAAAAAGGAGTAACAGTGTGTTGAAAGAATTCAGAGCAAAATCTTAGGGGTTAATTGGAGAAAGGAATGCATTAAATATATTTCAAGCAAAATTTCGATTAGCAAAATCAAGCAGCATTCATTTGAAGATTAATGCTTAAGGTGTTAGCATTTGAGCAACATTTGGTTAAACAAGTTTTTTGCTGAATGCTTCACGAGCTCACCACTCTCTTCAATTGACAGGTTTTGATCTGAAGTATTTTCTGCCTCTGCAGTGGTGGTACCACTTACACATCCATCTACAGCAACCCCGTTACTGGCCATTAAACTGGGATACTTCTTACTGGAACCTGGGCCTAGGGCTTTGTGGCCAACTTCAGAAGTATTTAATTTAATTTGTTCCTGCCCAGATGTACTTATATCACAAGATACTAGGAACTTCTCCTCCAAGGAAGGGCCTAAACAAAGAGCATGAAGGATTATTTGTATATAACTGTATATGTCTAATCTTTTTAACCATCCATCTCCACCCCCATATTCTTTTTTTTTTTTTTTTTTTTTGAGATGGAATCTCACTCTGTCACCCAGGCTGTAGTGTACTGGCATGATCTCAGCTCACTGCAACCTCTGCCTCCCAGGTTCAAGCAATTCTCCTGCCTCAGCCTCCTTAGTAGCTGAGATTATAGGCGCCCGCCACCAAGCCTGGCTAATTTTTTGTATTTTTAGTAGAGACGGGGTTTCGCCATGTTAGACAGGCTGGTCTCGAACTCCTGACCTGAGGTGATCTACCCACCTCAGCCTCCCAAAGTGCTGGGATTACAGAAGTGAGCCACGGTGCCCAGCTCACCCCCATATTCTAAAGGGAGGCCCTGCCACGTATAATGTAAACATTGTGGCCAGGCACCATGGCTCAAGCCTGTAATCCCAGCACTTTGGGAGGCCAAGGCAGGCAGACCATGAGGTCAGGAGTTCAAGACCAGCCTGACCCACATAATGAAACCCCATCTCTACTAAAAATACAAAAAATTAGCCAGGCGTGGTGGCGGGCACCTGTAATTTCAGCTACTTGGGAGGCTGAGGCAGGAGAATCACTTGAACCCAGGAGGCGGAGGTTGCAGTGAGCTGAAATCACGCCACTGCACTCCAGCCTGGATGACAGTGCAAGACTCTGTCTCAAAAAAAAAAAAAAGTAAACGTTGAAATAATTCAATCACTGCACATTTGTATAGGACTTGAGAGACTTCAGAGATTTTAGAGAATGTAAACATAATTATCTACTGTGATTCTAAAGAATTCTATGAGACAGTAGGTGGAAGAGTGTAGTGGAAGGAGCACTACCTTTGAAATCTGACAACCTACATAAGATAACACTTCCACTAACTCCTAGGGAGGCCTCTGGCCAGTAACATCATCATCATCTCTTGGTCTGTTTCCATGTCCATCAAATGAGACAGTCTGGACTAAGTACATGTCTGCCAAGATCCCTCCCAGCACCCTGTCTCAAGCCAGGATGTGTAGCTGTCTCTATTCATTTTATAGATGACAAAATCTAAGGCACACCAAGGACAAATTGACAGTAAATGGACAACCTGGGCTTCTGCCCCCAAGTGCCCTGTCACTGAAGCTGAAAGAGTACTTTCTAAAGAAGCCTTTCCTAGCTCCTTATTCTTAAGAAAATGATATCGGTGAATCTCCCAAACAACAATCTTCTGGAAAAATCAGAAGATTTCTTTTAAAGTTATAAGGCAGTTTAAAGTGCTCCTAGTTGAGGAGCAAAAGTTTTAAATCACCTTTCTGGAATGTCAAGACCCCAGAACTTAAAAATCTAGACACTTGTTTTGTTGAATTTCAACAGCAGTCATACATTTATGTGCATGTTTATTTGCCAACATCACTGGATTATTCTACTTATATAACAGAAATAAGTTATCCCAGGATATCTTAAGAATATTTTCATTAATAATGCTAAGAGTTACCTGCTTCTGGTACACTGTGTGAGGCTGAAGCAGTAGAGAAGTAAGGAATTTGCCCAGGGACGCCATGTAAGGCAAAAGGCACTGGACTCTGACTTGGAGGGAGAGGCTGTGTCCCAGCCTTCTGTGTATGCAACTGGCCAAGTGGGGTGGAGGGGTGGAAAGACTGAAAGGGCTGGGACGTGGAAGAAGGCCCACATGGGGGAACTTCAACAGGCCCCTGCATAAAGTCACTGAATTCTTCTTCATCAAGAAAGGCAGGTGATGGGGAGACAGTTTTAGTAGAATGAGATGATGTGGGGCAATCTGCAAAATGGAAAATGGCAATGAAACACACAAAAATGGAAACCAACAGAGAAAAAGGAATTAAGATGTAGTACAATTCCAAAAGAATATATTGAAACATAAATAGTGGAGGTGAACAAGAAATAACAAGTAACAATAGTCAAATGGAATTGCATGATGCATGTAAAACACTTTGATGTCTATTTATACACAATTTTATGTCTTTTTAAAGGGGAGTTTTAATAGCTATTTTGTATTTGGTTCAAAAAAGGTAAAACTAAAAATACATGTATCTATTCATTTATTTTAGAGACAGGATCTTGCTCTGTCACCTAGGCTACAGTGCTGTGGCATGCTCATAGCTCATGATCATAGCAGCCTGAAACTCGTGGGATCAAGCAATCCTTCAGCCTCAGCCTCCTGAGTAGCTAGGAATATAGGCACATGCCAGCATACCCAGCTAATTCTTCCTTTCTTTTTTTTTTTCATAGAGATGGTGTCTCACTATGTTGCCCAAGCTGGTCTCGAGCTCCTGGCCTTGACTGTCTTTCTTTTATTAGATTAATAATTTTTCCCCTGAGACCATTAATGATTTACATCAAAGTGATGATTATTTTTGCAGTTGAAATGATCTGTTTATCTAGATAATATTATCTCAAACCAATATACATCAGATATAAGAAAACCTACCAATATAGTGCTGAATACATTTTGGACAGATATATACCATGATGACTAAATTTCATTATTTATTAAGAAATTCAGTAAGAAATAATGCACAATACAAAGCTGTAATTTTTGAAATATCATGCCCGATCCACACACTTGCATAGATCATATTTCAGTAAAGTTACCATATGAGAAATAAAAATTACAAAAGAACTTTTTTTTTTTTTTTTGAGATGGAATCTTGCTGTGATGCCCAGGCTAGAGTGCAATGGCATGAGCTCAGCTCACTGAAACCTCTGCTTTGTTCCCCCGGTTCAAGAGATTTTTCTGCCTCAGCCTCTCAAGTAGCTGGGACTACAGGTATGCACCGCCATGCCCAGTTAATCTTTGTATTTCGTGTGTGTGTGTGTGTGTGTGTGTGTGTGTGTGAGAGAGAGAGAGAGAGAGAGAGAGACGGAGTCTTGCTCTGTCGCCCAGACTGTTGCTCTGTCGCCCAGACTTGAGTGCAGTGGCGCGATCTCGGCTCACTGCAACCTCCACCTCCTGGGTTCAAGTGATTCTTCTGCCTCAAACTCCCAAGTAGCTGGGGCTACAGGTGCGTGCCACCACACCCAGCTAACTTTTGTATTTTTAGTAGAGACGGGGTTTCACCATTTTGGCCAGGCTGGTCTTGAACTCCTGACCTCATGATCTACCTGCCTTGGCCTCCCAAAGTGCTGGGATTACAGGTGTGAGTCCCCACGCCCAGCCCAATTTTTGTATTTTTAGTAGAGACGGGGGTTTCTCCATATCGGCCAGGCTGGTCTTGAACTCCTAACCTCAGGTGATCCACCCACCTTGGCCTCCCAAAGCACTGGGATTACAGGCATGAGCCACCATGCCTGGCCAAGACAAGAACATTAAACACATTATTAAGGTGATATTTTCTTGTGAAAAGCATCAATATTAGGATATCATGAAGAGCTGAATCAAACAACTATAGTCAATTTAAGAAAGTAAACCCTGCCTGAAGACTACAACTACCTTTAAAAGATCTTTGGCACTAAAGGATATAAATGTCACTGTGGCTTTTTATTGTTAAATGTAAAATTCACTTATGTAATAAACCTGCTCTACTGGGGCTACATTTAACATGAAGCTCATTAACAATACTATTTTATTGTTGCTTCTTCACATTTATTATTATTATTACTATTATTATTATTATTATTATGATACTGGGTCTCCCTCTGTCATCCAGGCTAGAGAACAGTGGCACAATCTCAGCTCACCGCAACCTCTGCCTCCCAGGTTCAAGTGATTCTCGTGCCTCAGCCTCGCAAGTAGCTGGGACTACAGGTGCCCATCACCACGCCCGGCTAATTTTTGTATTTTTAGTAGAGATGGGGTTTCACCATGTTGGCCAGGCTGGTCTCGAACTCCTGACTTCAGGTGATCTGCCTGCCTTGGTCTCCCAAAGTGTTGGGATTATAGGCGTGAGCCACCACGCCTTACCTTGTTTTGTTTTTGTTTTTGTTTTTTGGAGATGGAGTCTAGCTCTGTCGCCCAGGCTGGAGTGCAGTGGCACAATCTCAGCTCACTGCAACCTCTGCCTCCCAGGTTCAAGCAATTCTTCTGCCTCAGCCTCCTGAGTAGCTGGGAATACAGGTGTGCACCACCACTCCTGGCCCCACATTTTTTTTCTTTTTTTTTTTTTTTTTGAGACAGAGTCTGGCTCTGTCGCCCAGGCTGGAGTACAATGGCATGATCTCCGCTCACAGCAACCTCTGCCTCCTGGGTTCAAGAGATTCTCCTGCCTCAGCCTCCTGAATGGCTGGGATTACAGGCATGCGCCACCACACCTGGCTAATTTTTATTTTTAGTAGAGACAGGGTTTTGCCATGTTGGTCAGGCTGGTCTTGAACTCCCGACCTCAGGTGATCCACCCACCTCGGCCTCCCAAAGTGCTGGGATTATAGGCTTGAGCAACCGCACCTGGCCTCCCCACATTTTA
The DNA here is from genome assembly GCF_000001405.40 of Homo sapiens. NCBI lineage: Eukaryota > Metazoa > Chordata > Mammalia > Primates > Hominidae > Homo > Homo sapiens. Next base: position 37,582,076 of record NC_000017.11, read on the forward strand.
AATTACTTTGAATTGCTTTAATATGACTAAAGTCTATTGTCACAATAAGCAGTCTTTTTTTTTGTCACTGACTTGAAGCTCAGGAGTAGTCTTTTTTTTAAGAAATGGCTCTTGTCTGAAAAATGGAGACCCTGCATACTTCTTTCCTCTCTTTAGGATCAATGCAATAAAACCTGGATGCACTGAAAGTTCTAAGAAAGATGCAAAATATGCAAAATTATTGCCTTAATCAAGTTTGTTTAAAAAAGAAAAAGCCCTCCCACATTGTATTCCAAGTCTCCCAACAATTACCAAGGCTGGATTTAGGTTCTCAATTTGGGTTCCCAGCTACTTAAAATATTTTTTAAATGGACCCTATTTCCTTGGGATATACTGTAAAGACCAAACCAATGTTTCTTTGCATTTGGCTGGAATGTGTGACTTCTACATGGAATATATTTTGGCCCATACCAACTCTAGCAGCTAGGTATATGATTAAAAAGAAGTATAAAAGTTAAATGATGGGCCAGGCACAGTTGCTCACACCTGTAATCCTAGCACTTTGGAAGGCTAAAGCAGGTGGACTGCTTGAGCCCAGGAGTTTGAGACTAGCCAGGGCAACATGGTGAAATCCCGTCTCTACAAAAAATACAAAAATTAGCTAGGCGTGGTGGTGCGCATCTGTAGTCCCGGTTACTCACGAGGTTGAAGTGGTAGGATTGTCTGAGCCTGGGGGGTCATGGCTGCAGTGAACTGTGATCATGTCACCGCACTAGGGCAATAGAATGAGACCCTGTCTCAAAAAAAAAGTTATATGATCAATATAGTTTGTATATTCAGTATTTTAAGATAAACAATCTATAAAGAGAAATTTAAAAGGTGCCTTTGGTGGTAGAATGGCTGGAAACTCTTTTTATAAATACTTTAGGACTAGGTTTTTGGTTTTTTTTTTTTGAGATGGAGTCTCACTCTGTCGTCCAGGCTGGAGTGCAGTGGCGCAGTCTCGACTCACTGCAGCCTCTATCTCCCAGGTTCAAGCTATTCTCTTGCCTCAGCCTACCAAGTGACTGAGATTATAGGGACGTGCCACCATGCCTGGCTAATTTTTTGTATTTTTAGTAGAGATGGGGTTTCACCATGTTGGCCACGCTGGTCTTGAACTCCTGACTGCCTTTCTCTACTTTTCCTAACCTCCAGCCTAGGTCTAGTTTTAGTATTAACTTCTAATATATATTCCTAAATTACTTCTTGACTAGCTTATTCACCTTATAATTTTCATTTTTAGATATGTTTTTCCTTTCTAATCTCAGCCTGATTGCTAATATCTGTTTTCTTTTCAATCTTGTATATTTTATTTTGGGGCATACTTTTGGAATGGGAATCTTAAGTGAAATTAACAGAACAGAGTCAAAGTTGTCCCGGAAAAATCAAGAACTGGTTACTATGCCAGTGATTATTCCCTCTTGATATCACCCATGAAAGGTACTATAATACAAGGGTTCAAGATAAAATTTATCAATGCAACATTTTCCAGCAGAAGATAGTACTTTCTTGGCTGGCTAAATGATTTATGAAAACTGTTCACCTATTAGGTATGTTTTCTTGGAATCAGCTGATAAAATGTCAAAACGTTGAATTTGTTTTTTGTTGTTTTTTGAGATGGAGTCTTGCTCTGATGCCTAAGCTGGAGCGGGCAGTGGCATGATCTCGGCTCACTGTAACCTCCGCCTCCCAGGTTCAAGTGATTCTCCTGCCTCAGCTTCCCGAGTAGCTGGGAATACAGGCATGCACAACCATGCCCAGCTTATTTTTGTATTTTTAGTAGAGACAGGTTTTCACCATGTTGGCCAGGCTGGTCTTGAACTCCTGACCTCAAGTGATCCCACCTGCCTCGGCCTCCCAAAGTGCTGGGATTACAGGCATGAGCCATGGCACCTGGCTTGAAATGTTGAATTTTTAAAAATAATGTGGTAACAATTATGCAAATACAAGACTCATTTCAACTGCTAAATGTTCAAAAGAACAACCAAACCCCAACCTCCAATCCCTTTACCCTGCTCTAAAACAGGGACGTTTCTTTTTGCTTACCTGACAATAAATGATGATAAAAATTACAAAGAAATGCATTAGGGAAACTAACATTTCAAGAAGAGCATTATTATACTCATGATTTTCTTAAATGAGGCATTTTAAGAATTTGTAAGTTTAATCACATTAAGTAATGAAATCAGAGCTAGTTCATAAAAATTACTATAAAACAATGAGAATTAAATGGTAAACTCCTTTATTACATTTGCTCTGAGTGAATAGATTTTACTAATGTTAACATATTTATATACAGAAAACTTACAGGTGAAATTGTCATACTGATATTTAATTAGAAGACAAAGAGGTTTTTTCCTCCCAAGACAGTTGTTATCCAGACCAGAGCTCTTAAGCCACTGTATATTTGAGAACATCCAAATCTGTACTTAGCTTGAAGGAAGAGTTCTACATTGACTTTTCACACACACATATAATGGCGAGGTAAAGAAACAGGGACTACATAAATCACCTTCCCAGAAAAGAAAAATATAATGCCTCTTAAAACTACCTGGTTTCTTGGGGTGCGATGCTGGAGTAGGGTGCATTTTTGCATCTCTGGAAAACCCATCTAAATTTCCTTTTATGGCTTCCAAAGCATCATCTCTACTCTTCTCTCCTGTCTAAGAGACAACAAATATATGCGTATTTCTTTACTTATCCCTCACTGTATCCTAAACCCTCCCAAATTAAGAAAAGCACAGATATTCATCTATTTCCAATATTTTTACCACATACTTCTGATAATGAATTATCCAAGTCAGCAAGACATTGGTAAATGATTAAACAATGACACTCCACAGAAAATAAAAACATTACAAGGCCAATGTATAAATACTTTAGGATAGACCTGTTTGATATTAAGTGTCCTGTGAAGGCTCTAAGAGAAATATGAAATATCACTGAATTCAGGATTACTGCTTCCCAAGAAAAAGATTATAAACATTGCCATGATACTAAAAAAGAGCTGAAAAGATAATGGCTGATAGCCTATTCTCATTGACAGCAGTGTATCTTTACAGAAAATGAAAAACCCTTCACATTAGTAATTAGGTAAACCAAAATGAGAAGAATCAATCACAGCCTCAGCTTGGGCTGGTGCCCCAGTGACGAAATCCACTCAATGAGTGGGAAGAGGCACATTCAGGGTGTGTATGTTCTGGGTGAAGAGAAGTATTGAAATACTACCTTGGGTTTCACACTGCTCAAAAGTCTGAGCTTTTGCTTCTGCTCTTCAAACTGGCGTCTTTTTCTTTCTTCTTCTAAGAGTTTTTGCTGCTGTTCAAATCGTTTCCTGAAGGAAAAATGATCTAATAAAGAACCAGCTCCCGGGATTATACACTGTGTTTTATATTCAGATTTCTAACAGTTTCAGCAATATCATGTTGCACTTCCAGAAGTGTAAATTTCATTGCTAAATATCTAGTTTTCTTACGACAATCCTGTTTCCTCACTATATTAATTCCAAAATATTTGACATGAGTCTAAAGAATGATTTACCTAAATTATGTATATGAATTTATTTCTCATCTAATTTGCAAGAGGAGGAAACAAGCTTTTGCATATAAAAGTATTCTCGAAAAACAGGCAGACAAACATAAGAACACACTTTGCTCTGCATATTAAAAAAGAACCTGCTTGGGAAGGCAGTGTCATACAGCAGAAAGAGTAATGATTTGGGAATCAGGAAGCCTGCCTTTGGGTCCAGGCTTTGCTGGTAACTGTGTAACCTGGACTGACAAGTTGTTTCATTTTCCTGGACTTCACTTTCACTAGATATAAAACAAGAGGGTTGAATTACAGGATCTCTAAGGTCCTTTTTGACTCTAAACTTATAATAATGGTAGTTTAAAGAGGCTTTTTTGTTTTTGTTTTTAAACAGGGTCTCACTCTGTTACCGAAGCTGGAGTACCGTGGCATGATCACGGCTGACTGCAGCCTCAACCTCGGGGCCCAGGTGATCCTCCCACCTCAGCCTCCTGAGCAGCTGGGACTACAAGCATGAGCCACCAAGCCTGGCTAATATTTTGTATTTTTTGTAGAGACAGGGTTTTACCATGTTGCTCAGGCTGGTCTCGAACTCCTGGGCTCAAGCAATCTGCCCACCCCAGCCTTCCAAAGTGCTGGGATTATAGGCATGAACCACTGGGCCAGGCCTTAAGAGTTTTAAAGACAACTTTTGACTGTTTTAGTTTCAAATCTGCACTAGAGATCATTAGACAATTCTTAAGATAGATGCTATAATGTATCTTTGTTATCCTTTAATTCTGGTGATCTCTTACTGCTGCTCTTCGGCAAACTGCTTCTGCATGTCTGGAGTGTACTGTGGGCCTGGAGGACGCATGCCCAGGAAGGGTGCTTGTCCTAGGTAAGGCATTCCCGCTGCTGGCATTGGTCCCATTGGTATTCCTGCCTAGAAGAAACAGACAAAGGCTTAAAAAACACAATTTATCCCTTTAATTATCACACACAAAAATGTGACTTCCATAAATTCTATCTTAATACTCTTATTTGTAAAAAATAGAAATATATTGGATTAAAAGATGCAAAGATGCAAATAAATAAAAGATGCAAATATACAAAGAAATATATTATATTAAAAGATGCTAAAAATGGAAGGCTCCCCTTAATATCTAACCCCTCCATTCCCTTCACTGTCCCAGAGGTGACCACTGTTAATACTCTGATTGGTGTGTTATGGAACTATATGCCCACAAGTTATATTCTTGTGAGCTCACTAATCCTCTTTGAGAAGAGGCATTATATCTTATATATTTTCATATTTGCAATAATAGGTAAGAGCCTGGCATATGGTAAACATACCACAAATGAAATTAAATCTGATTTTCCAATATATATGAGAGGATAATGAATATTTTGATGTTATCAAAGGCCTAATAGTCAAACTTTTATAGAAAATGACACATATTCAATAAAAAATTACATAATATTATAAAGTTTGTTAAAGTGTCCAGAAATAATAATAACACAATAGCTAATCACAAAATTTAATAATATTATGTTTTTAGAGACAGGGTCTCGTTGTGTCACCCAGGCTGGAGAGCAAAGGCGCAATCACAACTCACTGCAGCCTCCAACTCTTGGGCTCAAGAGATCCTCCCGCCTCAGCCCCAGAGTAGCTAGGGCTATAAGCGTGTGCCCTCGATGGCACCTGGCTCAAAATCTAATATTAAGAATGATGACAATGACAATAATTAAATGGCTAATTTTTAATGAGTGAAAACTCTTCTACTACTCAACCTTCTCCCTGAAAAGTTCCTCTTCTGTCCCTAACTAAAGTCTGTCCGTGAAACACTCTCATTTGGAGACTGCTACTTCTCTTCTATATTTCCTGTAAGTGGGGAATATTCCTCCTTGCTTCTTCTAAACCTTTTCTCTTCTCTCTACCTTCAAAAACCTGAATACATTTTAATTTCTCACTAACAGACTTCATCATCTACTATCCGATCTTGTTCATGTCATCTACTGACCCTCAACTTCCTCACTCTTCAGTTGAACACTTCAGACATTGCTGTCTTCCATTCTACCCCCAAACTGCTCTTGGTAACGTCAACAATCACCCACATGGGTAACTCACCTAACACTGTGTGGTCTTCCAGGTCTTTAGCCTCCTCATCACAATCATGCCCAACATACAATTCCAGCTTCCCATTCCATGGTAATACCCATGATCTATCTGCACCAAAGACTGTGTCATGTCCAAAATCTGGATGTTAGGCATCCCGACACTTGACCACCACCTCCTATCCTTCTAGCTCATCTAGATCAGTAATTCTCCTATCTCATTAATATCTCCCACCTGTTAATTTATTTTTTTTCCGTGAGCTTATTTTGTAGGTTCCACCTGTTAATTTTGCCACTTTTCTCATGATTAATCATCTTCATTATATCCTCACTTCCCTTCTTGCTCAACTTAGATTCTAGGGTTCCATATTAAATGCCCTTGTAAATATCCTTAATTCCCTTAATTGTCAATTCCTTAACATGGTCTCCTGGGAAACTTCACCCCTGATTAGAATCAACTAATCGACTTCTCTATGCTTATACAAAAACCACTGAACCATGCTGGAGAGAAAAACATTGAGGATTCACTTTAAATTCTTTTTTTTTTTTTTTTTTTTTTGAGACAGGATCTCACTCTGTCACCAAAGTTGGGATGCAGTAGGGCAATCTCAGCTCACTGCAACCTCCACCTCCCGGGCTAAAGTGATTCTCCCACCTCAGCCTCCCAAGTAGCTGAGACTACAGGCATGTGCCACCACACCCAACTAATTTTTGTATTTTCAGTAGAGATGGGGTTTCACCAGGTTGGCTAGGCTGGTCTCGAATTCCTGACCTCAAGTGATCCACCCACCTTGGCCTCCCAAAGTGCTGGGATTACAGGCATGAGCCACCACGCCCAGCCAGCTTGGAATGCCTTTGGAGGGTTTCTAGCACTGTACAACTGGAGTTACACACAATATTGGTTTATTGCTAACATTCTCTATTCTAAATCTTGGGTGGAGATAGCTGTGTATACTTATTTTAAATCATAGTATTGATCTCTTGCTGCTAAAAATTAGTATCACAGTCCTAGAATTATTCTTTTTTTTTTTTTTACTCATTTCACCCAAAGTATATAAAATACAAAAGAAACTACCCAAATCATAGAGATTAAAAATAAGGCAAAGTATTCTACAAAAATAATAAAGAATGAAAGAAAGAAAGGTGTTATGCATATTGCCTTCTTATTTACAAACTCCTTTCTTGAGGAACATTCAAATTTACTAAATGGCATTTTGTGTTTCCCCTACACCTGGAAAGGAGGGACTGTCTAACTTTTAACAGACTTTTGAAACCTAAATAAACTAAAAGGTTAAGAGATACTAGTCTTTAATTATATACTGAATGGATGACATAACAAAAGAAAGAACTCAGAAATCTGAGATACATTTGATAAACTACTGATGGCACTTAAGATTTCAATAAGTTGAGAAGTATAGTATGACAGTTAAGACTAAAAGAGTAAAAGTGTCCACTTCAGTCAGAGCCCCAACAGTGTTTTGACAAGTTGATCTTAAAATTATACTGAAGGGCAAGGACCACGAATCAGCTATAATTCTGTAAAAGAAGAAGGATGATCCATACTACCAGGTATCAATGCTTATTTCAGGCTAGATAATTAAGGCATAAGATATTTACTGATGCAAGGAAAGACAGATACAGCAATGGGACAAATACATGAGCTCAGAAATTAATCCAAAGCATATAAAGAAATGTGATATTACAGGAATAATCATAGAAATCAATAAATTAAAAATGGGCTATTTAGGGCCGGGCGCGGTGGCTCACGCCTGTAATTCCAGCACTTTGGGAGGCCGAGGTGGGCGGATCACCAGGTCAGGAGATCAAGACCATCCTGGCTAACACGATGAAATCCCATCTCTACTAAAATACAAAAAATTAGCCGGGCGTGGTGGCGGGCGCCTGTAGTCCCATCTATTCGGGAGGCTGAGGCAGGAGAACGGTGTGAACCCGGGAGGCAGAGCATGCAGTGAGCCAAGATCGCGTCACCACACTCCAGCCTGGGCGACAGCAAGACTCTGACTCAAAAAGGAAAAAAAAAAAGGCTATTTATAAATGATTTGGGAACAACTGACTACAATGGAACATAATAAAATTACATCCTTCTACCACACACTGATTCTAAAGAACAATTCTAGGTAGGTTAGAGACTTAATTTGAAAAGACAGGCCGGGCGCATTGGCTCACACATGTAATCCCAGCACTTTGGGAGGCTGAGGCAGGCAGATCACTTGAGGCCAGGAGTTCCAGATCAGCCTGGACAACATGGTAAAATCCCATCTCTACTAAAAATACAAAAATTAGCCAGGCATGATGGGGCATGCCTGTAGTCCCAGCTTCTCTGGAGGCTAAGGCAGGTGAATTACTTGAGCCCGGGAGGCGGCAGCTGCAGTGAGCTGAGATTGCGCCACATTCCAGCCTGGGCGACAGGGCGAGACTCTGTCTCAAAAAAAAAAAAAAGAAAAGAAAAGAAAAGAAACTTAACTTTTTTTAAATAAGAAGATACAGGTAGGGAAGAATGTCTTAGATAAGTCAGAAAAAAAAAGAAATGATTTATCCATCTGTCTTAATTTTGACACAACATGACACTATAAACAAAATTAAGAGATGCCAACAACTAGCAGAAGATACTGGCAACACATGTAACTACAAAGGATTAGAATCTAGAATATATAATGAACACTCAGAAATCAATTAAATCAAAACAGCAAAACATTAGAAGCAATTTAAATGTCTGTCAATAGAACAACATATATTCACTCTATGAAATACCACACAGCAGCTACTATGAATGAACTTGGCATAAATTAAAAAGTCAAGAATTTGAAGGGTACATACGTAAAATTTAAAACCTAGGAAATATGATATATTGCTCATGAGTATACAAATATATAAAATAATACAAGTATAAAAATATGGCCAGGCGCAGTGGCTCATGCCTGTAATCCCGGCACTTTGGGAGGCAGAGGTGGGTGGATTGCTTGAGGTCAGGAGTTCGAGACCAGCCTGGCCGACATGGTGAAACCCCATCTCTACTAAAATACAAAAATTAGCTGGGCAAGGTGGCGGACACCTGTAATCCCTGGTACTAGGGATGCTGAGGCAGGAGAATTGCTTGAACCCAGGAGGCGGAGTCTGCAGTGAGTCGAGATCGCGCCACTGCACTCCAAGCCTGGGCGACAGAGTAGTATAAAAATACATACGAGAACTATAAACACCGAATTCATGATAGTGATAACAACTTCTGAGGAAGGAGAGGAAGGAAAGTATTTTTCAATTCTTTAAAAAAATGTAAAACAAACGTGGCATATTAAAATCTGATAAAGGTAGGACATGACTACCCATATTAAAAAATCCCATGGAATCCACAAAAAAATTCCCAGAGCTAATAAAATGAGTTCAGTAAGGTTGAAGGATATAAAACAAACATAAACAATCAATTGTATTTCTATATACTAGCAATGAATATGTGAACACTGACATTTAAAAAACGCCATTATAATTACTCAAAAAATCAAAATATTTAGATGTAAATCTAACCAAACATGGATGTGACTTTTATGCTGAAAACTATGTAAATGATAGTTTACACAGTCTTCTGATAGAAGAAACCAAAGATCTAAACAAATGAAAAGACATCTCATATTGATATGTTGGAAGACATCAATTCTCCCTAAATTCATACAGAGGTTTAACACAATGCCTATCAAAACTCCAGCAAGAGTTTTTCCAAAGATAGACAAGACTATCCCAAAATTAATATGGAAAGACAGAGGAACCAGAATAGTTAAATTTTGAAAAGAAGAAGAATGTAGGAGGAATCAACCTTATCGTATAGCTACCGTCATGAAGACTGTGTTATTGGTGAAGGAACAGGCATATACATAAAACAATAGAACAGAACAGAGAACCTAGAGAAAGATCCATACAAGCATGCCCAACTGATTTTTGACAAAAATGTGAAAGCATTTCAATGGAAGCAGAATAGCTTTTTCCACAAATGTTGCTGGGGCAATCACACTTGCATAGGTAAAAAGAGAGAGATAAAAAACAACCTCAATCTAAGTCTTAGATCTTACACAAAAATTAACTTAAAATGGATCACGGACTTAAATTAAAACTATAAAACTTTTAGAAAAAAATAGGAGAAAATCTTCAGAATCTAGGGCAAGGCAATGAACTCTTAGAGTTATACCAATGCATGATCCATAATAGGAAAAACTGGTAAATTAAATTTCATCGAAATTGAACTTTTGCTCTGTAAAAGACCCCGTTAAGAGGGTGAAAAGACAAGCTAAAGACAAGAAGAAAATACTTGTAAACCACATATCTGACAAAGGACTAGTACCTAAAAGATATAAAGAACTCTCAAAATTCAATAGTAATACCAAAAAATGCAATTAGAAAATGGTCAGAAGCTATGAAAAGGCATTTCTCTGAAGAAAATGTAATGATGGTAAATAAACAAATGAAAAGATGCTCAACACCATCTGCACATTAAAACCATGCAAATTAAAACCATGAGATATTACAACGTACCTGTGAGAATGGCTAAACAAAAAATAATGACACTAAATGCAGGTAAGGATGCAGTATAATTGAACCTCTGATACATTGCCGGTGGGAATGTAAAATAGTACAGCTACTCTGGAAAAAAGTTTGGCAGCATCTTAAAAAACTGAAAATGCAATACCATGCAACCCAGTAATTGCACTCTTGGGCGTTTATCCCAAGAAATGAGGACATATGTTCACGCAAAAACCTTTATTTGTAATAGCCAAAAATTGTAAACAACTCTGATGTCCTTCAGTGAGCAAAAGGTTAAACAAACTGTCATACATCCACACCATGGACTATTACTCATCGATTATAAAAAAAATGAACTACTGATACATGCAACAATTTGGATGAATCTGAAGGGATTATTCTAAGCGACAAACGCCAAACCCAAAAGGTTAATGATTCAATTTATATAACATTTTTGAAAACACAAAATTATAGAAATGGGGAACACACTAGTGAATGCAAAAGGAGTAAGGTGGGGCAGGAAGGAAGTGAATACAGCTACAAAAGGACAATGTGAGGAGATCCTTGGGGAGATGGAAATGTTCTGTATCTCAGCTGTGCCAATGTCCATATGCTGGTTGTGTTACTATATTTCTACAAGTTTTACCAATAGGGGAACTGGGCAAAGGATTTCTATTATTTCTTACAATAACACAACAGTTTGCAACAGGTTTACACATGTCCATCATGTGCTCTAAACTTGCCTAGATGTTTGAAATGCTTCAGAATAATAATTTTAAAATGTATTGTACATCATGAGGAGTGTTTTCTTTTTATGTGTTTTGGGGAAGGGAGAGATTATAATAATCAATAATAATATAATAATAATCAAGACTAAATTTCTGGCCGGCGCGATGGCTCACACCTGTAATCCCAGCCCTTTGAGAGGCCAAAGCGGGTGGATCACTTGAGGTCAAGAGTTCAAGACCAGCCTGGCCAACACTATGAAATGCTGTCTCTACTAAAAATACAAAAATGAGCCAGATGTGGTGGCATGCACCTGTAATCCCAGCTGCTTGGGAAGCTGAGGCAGGAGAATCGCTTGAACCCAGGAGACAGAAGTTGCAGTGAGCCGAGATTGTACCACTGCACTCCAGCCTGGGCAACAGAGCCAGACTCTGTCTCAAAAAAAAGACTAAATTTTTTTATGTTGACTTTTATCTGAATCATCACTTTTATCTCCAAAGACTTAAGAGATAACTAAAGGAACAATGGGTTTGCTTCATGTATGTCCCTGATTGGTTAGGGCTATTGAGTTTCGGGGTGGGGGGAAATAAAATCTGGATGTTTTTCTCCTTAAAAAATGGTGAGTGGCGGACAGGTGTGGTGGCTCATGCCTATAATCCCAGCACTTCGGGAGGCCGAGGCAGGCAGATCACCTGAGGTCAGGGGTTTGAAACCAGCCTGGTCAACATGGCGAAACCCCATCTCTACTAAAAATACAAAATTAGCCGGGCGTGGTGGCACATGCCTGTAATACCAGCTACTTGGGAGGCTGAGGCAGGAGAATCGCTTGAACCTGGGAGGCGGAGGTTGCAGTGAGCCGAGATCGTGCCATTGCACTCCAGCCTGGGCAACAAAACTCCCTCTCAAAAAAAAAAAAAAAAAATGGTGAGCAGCTTCCAAACAGTATAATGCCTGTCAGCAAGATTAAAGGTTAAAGAAAAAGACTTTGGCTGCTTTGTCTTAGAATCATTAATACACAAGCTTCTGATATTCAGGGACATTATTAAGGTACTAACAACTCTCATAGTTTACTTTTTTCTTATTGTTCTGCATATTAGAGACTCTTACTGTTTTTGGTTGTTTCAAACTCTAAAAACATTTTTCAGATAATTGTGTAAGTCATAAAATAATGTTTATGAATATTATTTTAATTATATTAATTACAATATTAATTATTTTAATTATATTAATTACAATATTAATTATTTTAATTATATTAATTACAATATTAATTATTTTAATTATATTAATTACAATAATATTAATTTTAATTATATTAATTACAATATTAATTATTTTAATTAATATTTAATATTAAAATAAAAATTAATGATTTAAAATTTGTATCAATTGTTATTAAGATTCAGTATTAAGCTTAGGAAGTCTTAATTTAAAATACATTGTATTCTATGGTAGATTGTTTTTAGTTATTTGCTGCCTTTCTTCTTCTTTTTTTTTTTTTTTTTTGAGATGGAATCTCACTCTGTCGCCCAGGCGGGAGTGCAGTGGCGCAATCTCAGCTCACTGCAACCTCTGCCTCCTGGGTTCAAGCGATTCTCCTGCTCAGCCTCCTGAGTAGCTGGGATTACAGGCATGCACCACCACGCCCGGCTAATTTTTGTATTTTTAGTAGAGACGAGGTTTCACCATGTTGGTCAGGCTGGTCTCGATCTCCTGAACTCATGATCTGCCCACCTCAGCCTCCCAAAGTGCTGGGATTACAGGTGTGAGCCACTGCTCCCAGCCATTTGCTACCTTTATTCTAAGAGAACTACACATCCCTATGTGGTTTACATTCGTCCTGGTATATTCCTCCCCTATTGATGTTAAGGCCACATTACTTTGGTGAGCAGAAGTGACTAATAAATGCTACCTCCAAGTGTTAGCTTTAAAAGACATCACAGGGTTTGGCCATCTCTTTTTCCTATGCCAAGAGCCTAGGATGTCCTGGCTGAGGGTCTTAGGATAAAGAAAACATGGAGCAGAGTCAGCACTAACCCATAAGGATATGTATCACGAGTGAGGAATAAACTTTTCTAAGTCACTGAGATCTGGGGACTGTTTCTGCAGCACACCCTAGTGAAAGCTAGCTTAACATGAATTAAAAACCTACACAATTTCAATGTATTCCCTTCCTTCTAGAGACAGATAAAAAATGACACTGGAAGTTTTCCTGACCCTTTAAACACAAAACAGAAGCTTTATTTGCATAATCGACTTCAAAACAACAATGGTTTCAACTTAAAATTCTGGTCATGAAGTCCTAATATCACTTATTTATAAGTTATATACATGTGTTACTGTATAAAAGTATATACTGTATAACAAAACACACAGAAATAGAAAATGTTAAAGTATTAGGTAAATAAGTAAACTAACGCAGAAACAAAAAACCAAATACTGCATGTTCTCACAAGTGGGAGCTAAACACTGGGTGCACATGGACATAAAGACAGGCTCGACAGACATTGGAGACTACAAGACGGGAGAAAGTGGGGGAAGGGTTGAAAAACTACCTGTTGGTACTATGCTCACTACCTGGGTGATGGGTTCCATCATACCCCAACCCTCAGCATCACACAACATATTAGTGTAACAAACCTACAAACGTGCCCCCTGAATCTAAAATATAAGTTGAAAAAAGCAAAAATAAGTAAAGTATTAGGTAAAAAAGAAATACAGTATATGGCCTTCAAGATAGCTGTTAATAGTACAAAAGCAAAAACCTTTTTTTCCTCTGGCCTTTTTTTTTTTTTTTGAGACGGGAGTCTCACTTTGTTGCCCAGGCTGGAGTACAGTGGCATGATCTTGGCTCACTGCAACCTCCACCTCTCGGGTTTAAGGGATTGTCCTGCCTCAGCCTCCCGAGTAGCTGGGACTACAGGCACATGCCACCACGCCCAGGTAATTTTTGTATTTTTAGTAGAAACAGGGATTCACCATGTTGGCCAGGCTGGTCTCGAACTCCTGACCTCAAGTGATCTGCCCGCCTTGGCCTCCCAAAGTGCTGGGATTACAGGCATGAGCCACTGCACCTAGCCTTTTCCCTCACTCTTGGAGGGTGAACACATCTTCATTTTAGTTTGAAGGAAGCCATTTATTTATGCTTATTTCTAATTGTAACATTAAGCTCTTAGCCTGTAGCTCTTGATATATAAACGTAACAACAAACAATAACTTTGTAAGAAACCAACTAAAGAAGCAAGTACCTGCATAGCAATAGGTCCTTGGGACATCTGAGAGCTGTAATTCATTCCCATAATGCCTTGCATATTAGGCTGCATGACAGAGACCATAGGAAATCCTTGTTGCTGCATCGGCATCAGGCCTGCTGAAAATATAAAGACATTATTAAAGTCAATGTGTTTTAAAGTTTATTTTCTTAAAACCATAAGTACCTAAAGGACTTGTTACTTGGCAGGAAGCAGAGTGTAATGGAAAAAGCACAGGGTCCTGAGTGAGACAGATGTGAATATGAATTCCAACTCCATCATTTACTTAGCTGTGTGATCTTGAACAAGTTACAAAACTTCATCTGTAAAATGAAGATAATATCTCTTCTATGGAATTTGTATGCATATTAAAAAACAGTATGGCCTAATTGGGGTACTCAGCCTTCAAGATGGCCTCCAATGACCTCTGTCTCCTGGTATTCATACCCGTGTGTTGTTCCATTCCATACTGAATGGGGCTGATCAGTATAACCAACAGGATACTGTGGAAATGACAGCATGTAACTTCGAAGGCTAGTTATTTTTTTTTTCTTTTGAGACAGAGTCTCACTCTGTCACCCAGGCTGGAGTGCAGTGGCATGATCTCAGCTCACTGCAACTTCCACCTCCTGGGTTCAAGCCTCCCAAGTAGCTGGGACTACAGGTGCCTGCCACCACGCCCAGCTAATTTTTGTATTTTTTAGTAGAGATGGGGTTTCGCCATCTTGGCCAGGGTGGTCTTGAACTCCTGACCTCAACACCCGCCTCAGCCTCCCAAAGTGCTGGGATTACAGGTGTGAGCCACTGTGCCTGGCCTGAAGGCTAGTTCTTAAAAGACACTGTAGTTTCCTCCTGGTTCTTTTGGATCACTTGCTCTGGAGCAAGCCACTGCCACGTCATGAAATACTCAATAAGACCTATGGAGAATCCATGTGGTAAGGTACTGAGGTCTTCTGCCAAAAGGCAGCATGAATTTGCCATCTATCTCAGCGAGCCACCTCGGCAGCATCTCCATGAAACTTTCAGATGACTGCAAGCCTGGCTGACATCTTCACTGCAATCTCATAAGAGGTCTTGAGCCTGAACCACCCAGCAGAGCTACTCCTAGATTCCTGACCGAGAGACACACTATGAAATAATAAAATGTTTACTTTTTAAAGTTTGGGATAATTTGTTACACAACAGCAGATAACTAACAAAATAACAGTTAGGAGCATGAACTCTGGGAGCCAACTAGAAATGACACATACTATTTTGGAACCTTGGGCAATCTGCTTCTTTCTATGCCTTGGTTTATCATTTGTAAAACTGTTTAATACTTACTATGCTCAAAGAAATGTTATTCTTCTTCCTTTTTCTTACATGAATAGGTAATATAACAGTTACCACAAAATAGCCATCAGCATGTGCAATGGCAGAAAACTATCACGAATGTATGATTTAGGCTAGTGTTTCCCAAACTTTTCCAAGAGCAGAGGTGAATGAATATACATCCCTTTGGGATTTTAATAAATACTAAATGCTTATTATATGCTAGGCATAGTTCTATGTGCTTGGTACACAAGAAGTGAATAAAACAAAATCCCTACATAGTCTGAGCACAAATTTCATTCTAATTTTGCATTCAAACTACATCTATGTTGGTTCTACCATAAGGAACTTTATATCAAACTGTCAGTTTGAAAAATTAAAGATCTAGGAAATTATACCATGTTTATCTTATGGTTTTTGTGTACCTCCCAGGTTATTTATAACCTAGCCTAATTTCAGAAGCATGGACATCCACATTTGTGGCTAACAGTTATTAGAGGTAGGCCATTCACTTATTCAAGTATTTGAAGCCTACTCCGTATTAGGCACTGTTCTAGGGACATAGCCATGAACAAAACCAGGTCTTCACTCTCATGGAACTTACACTGTAATTAGGAGAGATAGATAACAAAAAAATAAGTACATGTCAGGTGGTGATAAGAGCTAGGGCAAAAAATAAAGCAGGGCAAGGGGGAATGGAGTGGTTGCTATTTTACATAGGGCAATCAGAAAAAGTTTTACCAACAGGGTAGTATTTCAACAAGAACCTCAAGTAAATAAAGAACCAAGCCATGCAGATGTTTGGGAAAAATATTCCAGACCAAAGAACACCAAGTACAAAGATCACGAGGTGTCAGGGAGAATTAGAATACACAGATTGAAAATAGCCACAGTAAGATGTTTTCCGTCTTATTTCTTTGGACTTAAAGTTTTATTGATTTTAACTGATTTTATTTTATTTCTGAATGGGTAACTCAGATATCTGGCATAATATTTCAAGGCACAAAAGTGTACACAGTAAAAAATAGGTCTCTTTCTCTCCTCTGTCTCCGGTTCAAGTACTCATGATCTTGTGGCCATGACCTTGCTGTCGGTTTCTTACATATGTTTTCAGAAATGATCCATGCATAATTTAAAGCCTTCAAATGATCAAAAAGTCCATTCTAACAACTGTTAAAAAAAAATCTCCAAACCAATTCCAAATTCCCTAAGAAAAAATATCAGGCAACACTTTGGGGTCTCTTCTTGTCCAGTTCCTTTGCTCCATATGCATATTTTTACTTGAAAGTGTATAGAAATGCAAAATAACAAACATGATAATGGACACATAACTCTGTAATACCTTCCTAAAGAACAAAAGATCTCAAACCATTTGATCTCAATCTGGGACACATCTAATTACAGATAGCTTAAATAATGCATAAATGTGAACACGATGAAAAGAATACAACTGAGCCTTGGAAAAACTTACCTGAAACCCAACCACCATCACTGATTATAAATGAAGACAAAGTCAGGATGAGCCACTGACCACCTGCTACTGAGCTGCTCTTTATCTTTTATCTCTACTGCTGACCTAGGAGTCTCTGTTTCTTTAGCAAATCTATGACAACCAATCAACGCTGGCTTTTTAAGAAGAGCCAGTTTTCAGAAGCAGCTTGGTGTGACGGGAGAGGGAAGACTGTCAGAGTGAAAGAAATGAGCGGAAAGAAGCCAGATGAAGGCAGATCTATTCCTTCTTCACTGTTGTGTCCCAGTTGCATGGCAGCATGGGTCAAAATTATATTCCTTCACTACTATTTCCTTGAAGATAAAGCTAGAATTGATATTGGTGGGTCCTAGTCTGAGACCAAGAGAGAAAAGGTATACTTAGAGAAATTTCTAGGAATAGAACTGAGACTTGGCCGGATGTGGTGGCTCATGCCTGTAATCCCAGTGCTTTGGGAGGCCAAGGCAGGAGAATCGCTTAAGCCGAGGAATTTGATACCAGCCTGGGCAACATAGGGAGACCCTGTCTCTACAGAATATTTAAAAATTAGCCAGGCGTGGTGGTATGCACCTGTGGTCCCAGCTACCTGGGAAGCTGAGGTGGGAGGAATGCTTGAGCCTAGGTGGCTGAGGCTACAGTAAGCTATGACTGTGCCACTTATACTCCAGCCTGGACGACAGAGCAAGAGACTCCATCTCAAAAATAAAAATAAAAAACCAAACAAAATCCTGAGACTTAAATACTTAAGCTGAATCAGACTATGTGATCTCTTTTAATTTCAAAATTATATATTTATAAAACATGATTATAATAAGATACTATCATATAGATAAAAAATAGCAGTGTAAAACAACTAAAGATGTTTGTTTATTCATTCAACAAACATCTACAGATAACCTATTGTGCTGAATCAACATGCTGGGTGCTACAAATAATGCTAGATGAGCATTAGACAGACATGGCACTAACAATCTAGCAGAAGACTAGATAGAAGGAGAAAGACATCATTAAGTGAATTACAGCTCGTTTCATTTTTATCACCTGTTCTTTAACATTCTTGTCCTAAAAGTCTTTCACCTCTGAGGTTAAACAATCTATGAACATAATGTCTATGTAAGTTTGGGAGAAACGAGGAGTGATCCTTATTACTCCCAAAATTATATAATTTTTGAGAAAATTTAAGAGTAGCTGTCATATAGGACATACAGGTTTAAGAGTGCAGAAAATTTTACTCTATTCAGCAGCAACAGAACTTATTTTCTATTTACTTATTTAATTCCCAGATTCAGAAACACAAGAGTGAAAAATAAAAGTTCAAAACTTAAGCTCTCACATACCTTGAGGGGGTCTTATCCCACCTGCAACAGGAAACATGAAGCTGAAAACAGAATAAAAATACATTATAATCTTCGTATGTACAAAGATTTCAAATAACACGTGTACTTTTTTATATGGATAAAAGACTTGTAGATGGGACCTGGTGTTTGTTCTGCACCACAATACTGAATTGCCCAACATCAGTACACTGAGCATCCATAGGATGCATGTCAGCATGCTACTGCAGACGGAAACTTGTTGAAACAAAAGACAGAAGACCCTGAAATTAGTCCTGGCTCTGTCACTTCGTGTCCTCTCTGGATTCCAGTTTCCCCATCTATAAAATGAGAGAGTTTAGATTCAATTCAGTCAACATCTATTGAGTGTCAACTACATGAAATGATGGAATCTTATAATCAAAAATACACATATGCAGGCAAATAACTATACCACAGGGTAAATGTGCTAACTGCTATAAGCGAGGTCCAAATTATTAATAGAGATGAGAAGAAAAAGATGAATTTTAATGGGCTATATCTTGAGAAGTTTTATGGAAGTAGCTCTGGAGCTGAATCTTGAAGGAAAATAGAAGCACACTATATATTTTGAGCAAAAGCTCTGAGGCAGAGATGCAGGGATGTTTGGAGAAATGAATGTAGGTTAAATGTTAACTATATGATTTAAAAGCAAGCAGATTGTACAGGGCCTTTATTTTTATTTTTATTTATTTATTTATTTTTGTGAGATGGAGTTTCGCTCTTGTTGCCCAGGCTTGAGTGCAATGGCGCGATCTTGGCTCACTGCAGCCTCCACCTCCTGTGTTCAAGCAATTCTCCTGCCTCAGCCTCCTGAGTAGCTGGGATTACAGGCACCCGCCACCACGACTGGCTAATTTTTTGTATTTTTAGTAGAGGCAGGGTTTCACCATGTTGGCCAGGCTGGTCTCAAACTCCTGACCTCAGGTGATCCACCCGCCTCGGCCTCCCAAAGTGCTGGGATTACAGGTGTGAGCCACCGCACCTGGTCAAGGGCCTTTAAAATGTTTCATTTTATTTTGAATATTATATGAAGTTGTCAGAGGTTTTATTGTTATTGTGGTAACATATACATAACATAAAATTCTATCATTTTTAACCATTTTTAAGTGTATAATTCCATGGCATAATTAAGGACATTCACAATATTGTCAACCATTACCACTATCCATTTCCAGAACCTTTCCATCATCCCAAACAGAAACTCTGTACCCATTAAACAATAAGTCCTCATTTTAGAGCGTAAGAAAGCTCTCTTCTAAGGTTTTTTTTAAGCTGACAACTTTATTTTTATTTTATTTTTTTGAGACGGAGTTTGCTCTTGTCGTCCAGGTTGGAGTGTGATGGCATGATCTCAGCTCACTGCAACCTCCGCCTGCCAGGCTCAAGTGATTCTACTGCCTCAGCCTCCTATGTAGCTGGGACTACAGGCGAGCACTACCAAACCTGGCTAATTATTGTATTTTCAGTAGAGACAGGGTTTCACCATGATGGCCAGGCTGGTCTTGAACTCCTGGCCTCATGATCTGCCTGCCTTGGCCTCCCAAAGTGCTGGGGTTACAGACATGAGCTACGGCACTTGGCCTAGGCTCTTTTGAATAAAGGTTAAGCCTGGGCGACAGAGTGAGATTCCGTCTCAAATAAATAAATAAATAAAGGTTAAAAAGTTAAGCTCTGGCCAGGCGCAGTGGCTCACGTCTGTAATCCCAGCACTTTGGGAGGCCAAGGTAGGTGGATCACCTGAGGTTGGGAGTTCCAGACCAGCCTGACCAACATGGAGAAACCCCATCTCTACTAAAAATACAAAATTAGCTGGGCATGGTGGTGCATGCCTGCAATTCCAGCTACTCAGGAGGCTGTGAGGCAGGAGAATCACTTGAACCCAGGAGGCGGAGGTTGCAGTGAGCCAAGATCGCGCCATTGCACTTCAGCCTGGGCAACAAGAGTGAAACTCCGTTTCAAAAAAAAAAAAAAATTAAGCTCTGGTTGTAGATGAAATAGCCAAGGGCATATATCCAGTAACAAAACAACTAAGGACAAACTTGGAGAATTCTTGCAGTGAAAACTGAGTAGGAAATGGTCATTGAAAACCAAGGGAGTGCTTATAACTGAGAGTTATAACTGAAGAAGGACCACATTTCAACAAGGAAGTAGTTACCAGTGTCTAATGCTGTAGAATAGCGGTGAGAATGAAGATTAAAAAATAAATCACTGCTTTCAAAAATGGTGATTGTTAAGTGAGTTAGTTTCAACAAAGAAAGGGGAAGAGACCCTAGGGAGAAAAAATTTAAGAGACAAAATACATACCTAGTGATTTATAAGGTTTTTAAGGAAATGGGATTAACACGCGAAGGAGCAAAAGGGGGCCAGATGAGGTGGTGCATGCCTGTAATCCCAGCACTTTGGGAGGCCAAGGCAGGCGGATCACTTGAGGCCAGGAGTTCAAGACCAGCCTGGTCAACATGACAAAACCCCATCTTTACTAAAAATACAAAAATTAGCCAGGCGTGGTGGCATGTGCCTGTAATCCCAGCTATCCAGTAGGCTGAGACATGAGCATTGCTTGAACCCAGGAGGCGGAGGTTGCAGTGAGCTGAGATTGCCCCACTGCACTCCAGCCTGAGCAGACAGAATGACAGAAGGAGACTCTGTCTCAAAACAAAACAAAACAAAACAAAGTAGCAAAAGGGATCTGCTTTGAAAAGGAAGTGGGACTTCTTTCTCTGAGCCTGGAAAGAAAAAGGGACAAATCAAGGAAGACTTCTGAGTGAGAAAGGCTCTTAATCCGGGAGTCAAGGATCTGAAAAGGAGGTTTCTAGATACTCTTTAGAGAATCTAGTGAATGGCTGGGTCTGGTGGCTCACACCTATAATCCCAGCACTTTGGGGGGCCAAAGTGGGAGGATTGCTTGAGCCCATGAGTTTGAGACCAGCCTGGGCAACATAGTGAGACCTCATCTCTCCAAAATAATAATAATAACAACAACAACAACAATAAATAACATAAAAATTATAATGGTGATTCTTTTCCAGAAAGTTTTCAATTTACTGTGTCCAGTTCCATCAAAAGAATCACTATCTATGGGCGTTATAGCCTTAGATATAGCCTTACAATGAATTTCTCAAATAATAAGAGATGAAAGAAGAAATTACTCCTTGATTCATGGAGAATGGATGCCGCTTTAGCAGACATGAGAACATTAACCTTCTCATGCATTGCCATCAGAGCTCTTGGGTGACCAGGCACATTGTCAAGAAGCAGTAACGTTTTCAAAAGAAACTTTTTTCTGAGAAGTAGGTCTCAACAATGGGCTTAAAATACTCAGTAAACCATGCTGTAAACAGATGTGCTGTCACCCAGGCTTTGTGGTTCAATTTATGGACTATAGGCAGAGTAGATTTAGCATACTTTTGAAAAGCCCTGAGATTTTCATAGTGGTCAGTGAGTATTGGTTTAATTTAAAGTTACCTGCTGCATTAGGCCCTAACAAGACAGTCAGCCTGTCCTTTGGTGCCAGACATTGACTTCTCCTCTCTAGCTAGGAAAGTCTTAGATGGCATCTTCACCTGCATTGAAAATCTGGCCAGGTATGGTGGCTCATGCCTGTAATTCCAGCACTTTGGGAGGCCGAGGTGGGTGGATTACCTGAGGTCAGGAGTATGTGACCAGCCTGGCCAACATGGTGAAACCCTATTTCTACTAAAAATATAAAATTAGCCTGGCGTGGTGGTGCGTGCCTGTAATCTCAGCTACTGGGGAGGCTGAGGCAGAAGAACCACTTGAACCCGGGAGGCGAAGGTTACATTGAGGCGAGATCACGCCACTGCACTCCAGCCTGGGTGACAGAGTGAGACTCTGTCTATAAAAAAAAAAAAAAAAGAAAATCTATTGTTTAGCGTAGCCACCTTCATCAATGATCTTAGCTCTTCTGAATAACTTGCTAAAGCTTCTACATCAGCACTTGCTGCTTCACCTTGTACTTTTTTGTTATGGAGATAGCTTCTTTGCTTAAACCTCATAAACTGACCTGTTAGCTTCCAACTTTTCTTCTGCAGCTTCCTCACCTATTTCTCAGCCTTCAGCCTTTACAGAATTGAAGAGACTAAGGATCTTGCTTCAAATTAGGCTTTGGCTTAAGGGAATGTTAAGGGTGGTTTAATCTTCTATCCAGACCACTCACCCTTTTTCAATATCAGCAATAAAGCTGTTTTACTTTCTTAACATTTGTGTTTCCTGGAATAGGACTTTTAATTTCCTTCAAGAACTTTTCCTCTGCATTCACAACTTAGTTAACTGGTGTAAGAGGCCTCGCTTTTGACCTACCTCAGCTTTCAACACTTAATGACTAAGCTTTATCATTTCTAGCTTCGGATTTAAAGGGAGAGATGGGCGACTCTTCCTTTCACTTGAACACTTAGAGGCCACTGTAGGGTTAATCAGCCTAATTTCAATACTGTTATGTCTCAGGGAATATGGAGGCCCTTGGAGAGGAAGACCGGGGAACAGCTGGTAGGTAGAGCAGTCAGACTGCACAAAACATTTATCAATTACGTTTGCTGTCTTATACGAGCTGGGTTTGTGGTGCTCCAAAACAATTACACTAGTAACATCAAAGATCACTGATCACAGATCACCATAACAAATAATAATAATGAAAGAGTTTGAAATATTGTGAGAATTACCAAAATGTGACAGAGACATGAAGTGAACACAGGCTGTGGAAAAATTGCGCGGATAAACTTGCTCAATGCAGAGTTGCCACAAACCTTCAATTTATAAAAAACACTGTATCTGCTAACTGCAATGAGGTATGCCTGTATTCAGTTTTTAAAGACATTACTCATATGCTAAAATTGATACATTCAGGAGCAATGAATACATTTAAGTAATCAAGCTGTCAAGATTTTTAAAAATCAGGCTTAAACATTTAAATTAGTCATATGGCCTAGAGGCTCAAAAGAATTGGAAACTCGTGTATATTTTCTTTCTTCCAGCTTTGCCATAAAGTAACTGTGAAGCTCTGTGCAATCTCCTTTACCCCCTGTCTGGTTTCCCCTCTGTCAAATGAGGACGTAGAATCAAGGCTGCTAAAGTCTCAGCTAAGACAATCACATAGACATGAATACATAAACAGATGTATAAAGGTTACTTTGAAAATGAAATAAAAACAAAATACTGTCAAACATGACTTTCTCTAGTAAGAATTTAGCAAATCGAACTGCTTAGTGACCTATGAAAAATTCATATTTTTCTCTGAAATGTTTAGACAACTAATAACAACATGCTTAAAGATTGGTTAGATAAGCAGTTAAGGCATTAATAAGACAGTAAAAGCTTGGCAAAAAACTGGGCAGGAAGGTGACCAACAATTTAATTTCAAAGGTAAAACCACTAATTCTTATATTACTGACATCTCGGTATGAAAGCAGAGCTCTGTCACTTACCTATCTCATCCGTCCCTCCTTTTCAGTTACCTTTGCTACTAACCTAGATTTGACACTAGGCTTCACTTCTTAGGCCTAAACTCCTACATAAAGACTTCCTAATGGATCTCCCCACCTCCAGACTCTGGTTTCTAATTCATCTGATGCAGCACAAGTGAGAGACATCTTTCTAAATGATGGACCATTACGCAATAATTAAATGGTCCTTTAGCAAGACGCACCCCTGAAGTTAAAACTATGAAATGATTTCCCTGAAACTGAATTTCCTTAGTTTAAACTCAAGGCCCTCTCTAGTTTGGGCACAACTCTACTTTGCAGTTTTATCTCACAAAACTCTTCTCTGCCACTCAGAGCCACAGTCATCTGGCACTGCAGGTACATCGTTTCCTTAGTGTTGACTAGGCCTTCCCATCTCTGTGACGATCTCTTGACCGCTTCCTCTTCCTCTAACTCTGTGGGCCAAATGAAATACCACTTCTTTGCCTTTGATATAGCTGAAATCCACAAATATTTACAGAATGTTTTTTATGTGCAAAAATGTGCTAGAAGCAGTGAAAGAAGAAAAGATGAGGAAGCCCTCTAAAAGCTTGTAAAAGATCAGGAAAAAATAGACAAGTTCACAGATGATAACAT
This sequence comes from Homo sapiens, assembly GCF_000001405.40. Classification (NCBI taxonomy): domain Eukaryota; kingdom Metazoa; phylum Chordata; class Mammalia; order Primates; family Hominidae; genus Homo; species Homo sapiens. Next base: position 37,606,455 of record NC_000017.11, read on the forward strand.
CCCAGAAGAACGTGACCTCTTTGTTCCACTTTACTTTGTACCACAGTTATTTTGTACATTCTCCAAGGATGGGGACCATGTTTTGATGTCTTTTTAATTCATTACAGCATCAAGAACAGTACCTTACCCATGTAAGCATTCAATGACTACAGACTAATCCAGATCTTTCAACTCTTTTTTTTTTCTGCCTTGATTAAAGAAAAAAAAAATTTATACTTCTCATCTCTTGGGCAAATTTTGCCCTTTATACAACTCTACCATTTATTCTAAAGTAGCTCATCCAGGACACCAATCAAAAGTAGGGTAATATTAAATTTGGAAAACGTTATTGTGTTTTGCTTAGCCTCTTAGAATATAGAGAAGTATCTAAACAATACAGTCAGTTATAGTTCATGGATTTTCTCCATTAAAGGTGTAGAGAAGTTGCCTGTTTTTTTTCTTCAAATATACTTAGGTTGCCATAATGTTAAGTTTCCTTATAAAATAATTTCAGGGAGGGTGGGTGGCAAAAAGAAAATTAAAAAGGAAATAAAATAACTTCAGCCTTTACACCATTACTCTCTAAAAAAAATAATATTCCTTTTTCTATTGAGGATACAGCTTCTCAGCCTCAGAAAGTTGCCAATATATGTAACATATGTACCATACATTTTTCAAGGTAAGAATCATTTTAACCACTTCTTTCTCTCCTGTATATCGTTTACAGTTTTAGAATGCAGATGTTGCTACATTTACAAAGGGGGGAAATTTTAAAATCATTCTAATTTCTATCAAAATTCAACCCATATTTATTTTAAAAATTTGTGTCCATGGACCAATGATACTCAAATACTGCAAACTAAAGGGAATAATGCACTTGAATTTCTGAACCTGAGGTCCTCCCCATCCAAAAACATTTTTTAAGTAAATAAAAATTTGGGCCTAGATATCAATTCTTCTAAGTTTACATTTTCCCAGAACTTGGTGCCATGATTAATCATATACTTGATCAAATTAATACCATCCAGGGACATTTTAGAAACTGTAATCACATATAGGAAATAAATAGAGGATGCCGGGCGTGGTGACTCAAGCCTGTAATTCTAGAACTTTGGGAGGCCAAGGTGGGCGGATCACTTGAGGCCAGGAGTTTGAGACCAGCCTGGCTAACATGGTGAAACCCCGTCTCTACTAAAAATACAGAAATTAGCTGGGCGTGGTGGCGCACGCCTGTAATCCCAGCTACTTGGGAGGCTGAGGCAGAAGAATCGCTTGAACCCGGGAGGTCGAGGTTGCAGTGAGCCGACATCGTGCCACTGCACTCTAGCCTGGGTGACAGAACGAGACTCTGTCTCAATCGATCAATCAACAAAATTAGCCGGGCATGGTGGCGCGCACCTGTAATCCCAGCTGCTCCGAGGCTGAGGCAAGAGAATCGCTTGGACCCAGGAGGCAGAGGTTGCAGCGGGTCGAGATCACGCCGCCGCACTCTGGCCTGGGCAACAGAGCAAGACTTCCTCTCAAAAAAAAAAAAAAAAAAAAAAAAACAAGACAAAAGAAAAAGAAAAAACAAATAGAAGGGAATTATTACATATGTTTCTTCTCCAGCCAGAAACTGGCTTACACGAAGTATTTATTTTTTAAAAAACCCTCTAATGAAACAACGGAGAGAACAAAAGAGAAAGCAAAAAGTTTAAAAATCTAAAGTTAAAGATGTGCAGAGGAAATGAAAAATGGGGTTACACACAGGTGGTTTATTGAACAGCCACTGCTCGTTTCCTGACAAGCACCTGCAAGAGGTGATAACTTTAAGGTCCTTACACTTTTGTAGTGTTCACGACTCCGAAATTGAAACACTGCATATAAAAAAAAAACCTAACACTTCGTTTTCCAAAGACAATTTAGGATACTGAAGATGCAAAGCTACTTTTACCTCCAAATGTGTGTGCTGTTGTGTGTTGGTTAGTAAAACAAAATCAGACTAGGTCATTATAGAAGTGGAGTGAAAACTTCCTAGAATAAAATATTTCCTTAAATGATAACGAATCTGTCAGCTTGTAAAACGTACATCTCCCTTACCATTCTGGGTATAAGAACCACGGCAGTTCTTGGCTGAAATGTGGCAGAGGGCAGATTTGTTTAAGGGCTGAGTCTGGAAGCTTTGTTCTAATAAATGCGCAACTGCTGTTTAACAGTGCACTTTCTTTGTTTTTAAATGCCTTTTTAAAAAGAAGACAGACAAGTCTTAAGAGTTAGTGTACAAGACAAGAACTCTATCTCAAGACCATTACTAATTCAGAGGTCTTTAGATGTTCCTGCTGTTTGTCGCGGGTTAAGGAAATAAAGAGGACAGGACACTCTAAAAGGGGAAGAGACAAATAGTCCACACACACACCCCCCTTGGAAACAGTCCTCCAGCTTTGTGAACAGATTTTTAAAGCCCTCCCTCCAACATATCCGGTTAAGTCTAGAAAGCCCAAGGAAAGGGAAGACCCTGGTCGCTTCAGAGGCAGCTAGGACTAGGAGCGGAGTCGCGGTTCCTGATTTGCCCCGCCCCCCCCCACCCCAAGAGGACCCTCATCTTCTCTCCCCTCCCACACTGGGCGCGCGCTCGCTCCCCGCTCGATTCCAGGCGGCCGGCGCCCCCAACTGATCCCGGAACACCAGCGTCCAGCACCTGGGCTCCACACGCCCCTTTCGGCCTGGGTCCCTGGGGGATGACCCTCCTCCCGCAGCCCAGTTCCAAGGAAAAGGATCAGGGCTGGAGAAAACTGCCATAACTGCCAAGCGCCCCTCGCCGCCCCCGCGGAGGCCAGCGGGCTCCCGCCCGGCTCTTCACACCTACCCGCCTCCCCCGGCGGACCCCGCGCCAGCTCCCGCGGCCCCGCCGCCACCAGAACCAGCTCCTGGCCGCAGCGCCATCTTGCTCCCGACCTGCCGCTGCCTTCGCCGCCGCCACCTTATCAGCAGCTGTCAGCTGAACACAGCCACTTCCGGGTCAAACACCAGGCCCCACCTCGCCGCGGACCGGGCGATGGGGCGGGGCCTCGCGCCCACGTGACTCCCCCGGCCCTCGGGGAGGCGTGGCGCGCCCACGGCACGTGACCCGGCGCCGCAGGGGTCCCCCAGATTCAATTCTAGCTCTCGGGCTGGTGGGGCGGTCGCGGGCGCCTCTCCAAGGGAGCTGATTCATTGTCTGGTAGGCCCTCTGCAGGGCCCAGCTGGCGGCCCAGTGGCAAAGCGCCGTTGGTCCTCCGTTTGAAAACCATGATCGCGGTTAGTGGAAAGAGTAGGCTGAGTCCTGATTTTTAAACTATACGGTGGGTACACTGGTGTTCTTTTATTGTTACTCTTTACACACAAAGAACAGATAGGTCCTGAAGGGCCCTTTGATAGTCTCGCAGCACTGATGAGTGATCAGCTCTCCCCTCTTTCTCTGGAACTCGGTAGCTTCATGTTGGCACCTATCACAGACGCTGAAGGCATTTAAATTTTATTTTAAATCAACCAAGAGCCCAAAAACCCAACCCATATTTCGAAAAAACTCCAAGGTGTACTACTCTTGTTTGGTTCTGCCATCCTGCCACCTTACAGTCCTTTTGTTTTTCCTATTCTTGCAGGCAAGTGCAAAACAGTGGTTTTTGGAAGGCAATTCATAATTACTCTGAAGCTATTTCGGCATATTTTTTACTGATTTTTTTTTTTTTTGAGACAGGGTCTTGCTCTGTTGTCCAGGCTGGAGTGCAGTGGCATGATCATGGCTCACAGCAGCCTCAGCCTCCCTGGCTCAAGCGATCCTCTCGCCTCAGCCTCCTGAGTAGCTGGGACCACAGGCATGCACCACCACACCGGGCCAATTTTTTTTTTTTTTTTTTTTTTTTTTTTTGTAGAGATAGGATCTATGTTGCCCAGGCTAGTTTCAAACTGCTAGGCTCAAGCTATGCTCCCACCTCGGCCTCCAAGTGCCAGGGTGTGAGCCACATGCCTGGGCTGTGATTTTTTTTTTTCTTTTAATCAAACTACTGTCTGGAAGTAAAACATGAAAGTTGAGTAATTTTCTCAAGCACGTAGTTTGCTTGCTAACAAGTAATGGATTAATTAGCTTTACGTTTTCACTCTTGTCTCAAGGTTTTTACTGGGTAATAATTTGTAATAAGTTATTAGGCACAAACCACTGGTCAGGAACTGTACACGCATTTTAAAAAATCCTCAGTATCCTTAGGAGTTACAATTGGCATCTTACAGATGAGAAAATCAAGGTTAGAAACAGTTACTGTCATTTGTCCAGATCATACAGCTACAAGCAATGAGGATCAGGATTCAAATCCAGGCCAGTTTGACTCTAAAGTCCTTGCTCATTTCACCAGAGCCAGCTATTCAATTTTTATGTTTTTTCTTTTGCTGTAACTGCCTGTTCACTAATTTCACTCCTTCCCTTCCTTGTGTGAAGCTGAAATTTATGTAGCACATAGTTCCAACTGCTTTGAAGGAGCTAAATTTAGTATTAATACACTGACTAAGTTGATACAGGTTACTGTAGATACTTTAAACAGACACAATAAAGTCAAGGATCATAGATGTGACCTCAGTTTGTCCTGGAATCCTTTTTGTTCCTCTTCTTTGCCTATTGGTTTTTACATTTGCAGGATTCAACTCAGGATGTCGGCCTTCCATGACATCCCCAATCTGGGTTAGATGCCCTCTTGTGATGCTTTAGCATCATGGCCTTACATCTAACAGAGCACTTGCCACACTAGTCATGTGCTACATGATGATGTTTTGGTCAGCCACAGACAGCAGATACAATGGTGGGATGAGAAGTGGGGGTGGAAGACAGTGAGACTGATGATCCTGACCTTTTGTATGCCTAGCATAATGTGTGTGTTTGTGCCATGGTTTTTAACAAAAAAGTTTTAGAAGTAAATAGTAAAACAAAACAAACAAACAAAAATTAATAGAAAAAAAGCTTCTAGAATAAGGATATAAAGAAATAAAGTATTTTTCTACAGCTGTACATTTGCATTTTAGGCTAAGTGTTATGACAAGAATCAAAAAAGTTTATAAAGGCCGGATATAGTGGCTCACTCCAGGTCAGGAGTTTGAGACCAGCCTGGCCAACATGGTGAAACCCTGTCACTAAAAATACAAAAATTAGCTGGGTGTGGTGGCGCATGCCTGTAGTCCCAGCAACTCGGGAGGCTGAGGCAGGAGAATCACTTGAACCCAGGAGTCAGAGGTTGCAGTGAGCCGAGATCATGCCACTGCACTCCAGCCTGGGCAACAGAGCAAGACTCCATCTCCAAAAAAAAAAAAAAAAAAAAATCTAAAAAACCCAACTGGACAACAAGCAAGACCTCGTCTCTACAAAATTTAAAAATTAGCTGAGTGTTGGTGGCCCGCACCTATAGTACCAGCTACTCGGGAGGCTGAGGTTTGAGGATCACTTGAGTCTAAGAGGTCAAGGCTGCAGTGGGCCATGATTGTGCCACTAAACTCCAAATTAGGTAACAGACCCTGTTTCTCAAAAAAAAAAAAAAAAACAAAACAAAAAAACTCATAAAGTAAAAGTTACAGTAAGCTAAGGTTAATTTATTGAAGAAAAAATATATATCTAATATATATAATACATAATATATATAATGTGTGTGTGTGTGTTTATTTTCAAGACAGTCTTGCCCTGTCGCCCAGGCTGGAGTGCAGTAGCGCGATCTCGGCTTACTGCAACCTCCGCCTCACAGGTTCAAGCTATTCTCCTGCCTCAGACTCCTGAGTAGCCGGGACTATGCCACCACACCCGGCTAACTTTTTTTGGTATTTTTTTTAGTAGAGATGGGGTTTTGCCATGTTGCCCGGGCTGGTCTCTAAACTCCTGAGCTCAGACAACCTGCCCGCCTAGGCCTCCCGAAGTGTTAGGATTACAGGCATGAGCCACTACGCCTGGCCAAGAAAAATATTTTCAATAAATTTAGTATAGGTTAAGTGTGCAGTGTTTATACAAGTCTACATGTTCCAACTGTCTATAGCATGCAGGACAGTAACATGCTATACGGGTTTGTAGCCTAGGAGCAACAGACTATACCATATAGCCTAGGTGTACTGGTAGGCTATACCATCTAGGTTTGTGGAAGTAAACAACATGATGTTTACACAATGACAATATCACCTAACGATGCATTTCTCAGAACATATCTCTGTCATTAAGTGATGCGTGACTCTATTTGCTCCTTTATCTCTAACATTACATTGTAAGGGTAAGGACTGTGTTATCAAGCCTGTATTCCTAACAAAATCTATGTTTAAGAAATATTTATTGTGAGTTTACTATGTATCAGGTACAGTGCTAGGTACTCACAATTGGAGACATAATTTTATAGATGAGAACACTGAAACTCTGAGAAATTAAGAACTTACTCAAAGTCACACAGCTGGCAAATGGGTTGCACCAGTATACCTACCTCCAGAATATATATTGGGTAAAGGATCTGTTTGCATGAACAAACAAAAAAATCATATTCTTGTAAGTATTTTTACACCCTGTACCAGTAGATCTTTCTTTAAATAAATTCCGAAGATGAACAATTTTTGTCCCATCTAAAATATTCAAAGCAAAGTCCACCTGTTCTGACTCTAGAACAAAAAGCTACAAATAGAGGAAATAAATAAGTTGAATTCAAATGCTGCTGAGAAAAGGCAATGTATATTATAGTTCTGTGGTAGTACTGATAACATTCAAGTCATTCTTAGGCACCAGTCTTACGTATATGAAGTCACTTTTTCATTCCATTGTACAAAACTCATATTTTGAGAAAAATCTAATAGCTAATAGTCTCCAACACCATATGATCATAATCCTTTAGCTTAAGTAGAGATCTACTTATTAAATGAGGCACCATCAACCTAAGGAAAGATAAGCTGTAAGAGAATGAAGACAGAGGTATATCAAGTAACAAGAACATTCTTCCTTATCAGGATAAAATGTTTATCAGTATTCAAATAAAATATCTTAAATGGAAAGAGACAGGAAAGAACATGGTTAAATCACAGAAAATGAAGAAAGGGAGAAGCTGATCATGATCTTGTACAACATTATGACAGCACTAAGGTATTACGTATCCAATACAAGGATACTTAATAGACCAAAGAATTTAAAATCCCAGGGAACTGGAATAACCAGCCACAAAAGAGGCCTCTCTTTGTTGTGGTTCACAACACAAAAGGCCATCAACAAATTAGGAAATATTAAAATTAAGAGAGCAGCAGGTTTCTTCTTGGTAGACAGCTCATGCTACCATCCACAAAGTGAGCAGTGGAAGGGGTATTTAATGTCAAGGCTTTATTTTGAATTTCTGTTCCAGATGCCTCTCCACAGCATTCATCACACCTTCCTTCACACTTGAAGGGAAAAGTCCTTAAGAGTTCACCACATTTTGGTGTTATTTTTAGCATAAACATTTGTTTTTCTATAAGAAGTATCTCTCTGGATTCAAACCACAGAAATGTCAATGAATGTTATTTCCATTGTATAATCATTTAAAAGTCACCTACAGAGCTGGGTGCAGCAGCTTGTGCCTGTAATCTCAGTTACTCAGGAGGCTAAGGCAGGAGGATTGTGTGAGGTCAGGAGTTCAAGACCAGCCTGGACAACATGGCAAGACCCTCATCTCTACAGGAAAAAAAAAAGGCACCTACAAATTGAAACTGACTTGATAGTTTAGGATCATTTATCACCAGTCCCATGTACTTGTAGTTGATTTCAAATGTTTGGTACAGGTGACTGTAAGACTTCAAGTATTCCATGAAAATAACATTCATGCTGGGATCATAAAATTACATTTCTGGGACAGTATTTTTAAAGTCTGTTTTTAACTTTTGTCTTCAAGAGCTACTTTCTTCTTGCTGTTCTGACCAGTGACCTTTTTCCTGTAAAGAGCAAAGTAAGAAAAATTGAATAAAAAATTCTACGTATATTTACTTTCCATAACCCTACCACCAGTTTAATAAACATTTACTGAAACCTACTGTGTATCAAATAATGAGGCACTAGGAACACAAAGATGCATTAGACATGGTCTCTGCCCTTTAGAAAATCACAATCACCTAAGTGAGGCAGAACCATCACAGTAAACTACATTACTACATGGTATGACACATAGGTTCGGATCCTGACCTAATGAGTTCACAATGATTCAGTGCTTACTGCATGCTAGAAACGGTTACTAAGTGCTTTACATGTATTAACTCGGGTAATTTTCCTAACAACTTATGAGGAGTATTGTATTATTATCCTCCGTTTACAGATGAGGAAAATGAGGCACAGAGTGGTTGACTTGCCAGTCATCACTCACTGGTAATCCATGTTAGACACGAATCCTATCAGTCTGATCCTATAGCCTAGTGAAGGTTGAATGTCATTAACTAAGTGGTAACAGACAAAGGAAAAAAGTTTTGAGAAAATAATCAATGTTTGCAAACTATTATTATAGTAATACAAAGTTCTTTGGTGTATATTAACTCATATAATCCCAAATCCCAACTCTACACAGGGAAGTAGATATTAGAACCAGTTCTTCTGGCTCCAAATCCAGTTCCTCCCCGACTCACTGCATGGGGCTGAGTTTGTGATGCCTGAAGTGAGGTCCACTAGGCAGCAAGGATTCAGGTTTGTAGCTCAATGGGGAAGTTGGGGCTGAAGATAACAACCTTAAGAGCGATCAGCACAGAAATATGAGCTGAGCCTATAGGCATGGGTGGGATCATTAAGGAAACATCTATAGCATAGAGGTAAGCCAGAGTTGGATCATGATGGGTCTTGCTTGTATGCTATGTTAAGTAGTATGGCCTTTACATATGAAGAAAATGGAGACACAACCAAAGCACCTTAAGCAGGGGGCTGATATGACAAGATTTATATCAAGTGTCTTCGAAGTCTTAGTACAAATTAAGTTTTAATAACCTCAGAAGAAGGCAGGTGCAGTGGCTCATGCCTGTAATCCCACCATGTTGGGAGGCAGAGGTAGGCAGATCGCTTGAGTCCAGGAGTTTGAGACCAGCCTGGGCAATATGGCAAAACCCCATCTCTACTAAAAATAAAACAATATTAGCCAGGCACGGTGGCATAAGCCTGTAGTCCTAGCTTCTCAGGGGGCTGAGATGGGAGGACTGCTTGAGCCCAGGAGGTCGAGGCTGCAGTGAGCCCTGATTGTGCCACTGCACTCCAGTCTGGGTGACAGATTGAGACCCTGTCTCAAAAAACAAACAAAAAACCCCAGAAGTATAAATGCTATAAACTTATAAAAATCAGCATTTAGACTGGGCGCGGTGGGTCATGCCTTAGCACTTTGGGAGGCCGAGGCGGGCGGATCACAAGGCCAGGAGATCAAGACCACCCTGGCCAACATGGTGAAACCCCGTCTCTACTAAAAATACAAAAATTAGCTGGGCATGGTGGTGTGTGCCTGTAATCCCAGCTACTCAAGAGGCTGAGGCAGGAGAATCACTTGAACCCGGGAGGTGAAGGTTGCAGTGAGCCGAGATCGTGCCACTGCACTCCCGCCTAGCAACAGAGATTCCATCTCAAAACAAAAACAAATCAGCATTTAAAGTATAATTATTTAAAATACTGATGTATCTTATTAAAATTCAACATAGCCACCATCTTATGTTCTAGTTGATTTTTGACCTTTGTAAAAACTTTCATCAGTTGCTGCTCAGTGCCTGAAAGGACTGCATTTGTTATCTTGGCTTTAAGACCATCCAAAGAGTAACACATACACAACAGTTCTGATGTGACCCACTCCTCTCCTACCAACAAGTCTATTAAGACAGATTAGGTGACCAAAGTGGCCAAGCATAACAAGGTTCGCTACCAATCCACTGGTCTAAGTGTCACCCAGAAACTGTTGCGACAGAAAATTAAAATTTAAAAATGTTGGCCAGGTGCAGTGGCTCACACTTGTAATCCCAGCACTTTGGGAGGCCGAGGTGGGAGATCACATGAGGCCAGGAGTTTGAGAGTTCGAGACCATCTTGGCCAACATGGTGAAACCCCATCTCTAGTAAAAATACAAAAAAATTAGCCAGGCATGGTGGCGGGTGCCTGTAATCCCAGCTACCCAGGAGGCTGAGGCACGAGAATCACTTGAACCTGGGAGGTGGAGGTTGCAGTGAGCCGAGATTGCGACACTGCACTCCAGCCTGGGCGACAGGGTGGCAGAGCAAGACTCCATCTCAAAAAAAAAAAAAGTAAATGTGATTGTGAAGCATTCCCAAAACTGAATAAGTACAAATGGAATTTGTACTTATTGATTGATTGACTATTCAAATATACTTTTTTCAGTTTGTAGCACTTATCCTTCCCAAGTTATTAAAAGTATGATAAAATTTTGAGACACTATATATACACTGTATATTTGAACCGACTTTTATTCCTCATAGACAATACCAACATGTGAAAACTCTTGTTCACTTATTTACAAAGCACACTCTAATTTTCATGCCTCTATTCATCTTGTTCCCTTCTCCATGCCTAAATTTTACCTATCCTTAAAGATAGTTCTACTTTGTTGAAACTTCTGTAACCACACCAATTCACAATCATCTTTCTCTTATCTCCTATTTTATTTAAAAGCCAGTCTCTAATTTTCTGTCATGTACACGAATCTTCTTTACCTAACTTCAGGAAAGGATCTCATTTTATATTCATTTGTATACACTACCACCACCAAGTACCTTGCAGAACAACTTGGTAAATGCCTACTGGTTGATGGAAACAGTTTTTTTCTAATGACTTCTATAGAACAGATGTGAGATAACTGGATATAAGCATTAGCATATTTCACAATGGTAATATCCTAGGCCATTGATAGCACTCTCAGGGGAGAAAAAAACAATAAATTATAGACTTGAACAATTCTATTAGAGTATATAATAACCTGGTTCTGGTAGAATGTGAAGAGTGCCATTTTCCTTAAATAGTGGATAGAGTATAACTGTTCAAAATATCTTGGCCTATCCTTTTCAAAATATAAAGCTTCCTAGTATTACTGGGCAAAATAAGGTAGCCTGTATGAATGCTAAAAAACTATACTTTAATATTCTCATAAAACTCAGCTAAGCTAGCACAAATTTACCTAAGTAATACTTCTTACAGGTGTTACAATGTGCATCTGCGTAAGCCTGAGATCATATTGAAATCCTGCCCAGAATATGGAGCTTCAAAGAAGACTAGATCCATGTAAGTCAATGGTCCTAACTATTGGCCTTAGTAGCATGTCCTAATGTGGGCTGTGTAGAGAAGGTGGGCAGTATAATTCGAATTTATAGAGAATTGAAATAATATTTTCCAAGACGGAAAAAAACAGATCATCAACATATTGGTACAGAAAAATTCCAATATTAAAACAAATTCCTGGCTGGGCATGGTGGCTCACGCCTGTAATCCCAGCACTTTGGAAGGCTAAGGCAGGTGGATCACCTGAGCTCAGCCTGGCCAACATGGTGAAACTCCGTGTCTAATAAAAATACAAAAAAAAAATAGCTGGGTGTGGTGGCGGGAGCCTGTAATCCCAGCTATTTGGGATGATGAAGCAGTAGAATGGCTTGAACCCGGGAGGCAGAGGTTGCAGTGAGCTGAGATCACGCCACTGCACTCCAGCCTGGGCGACAGTGCAAAACACTGTCTCAAAAAAACAAACAAACAAATTTCCCAATTATAGGCAACCTAAAATATATTATTTTTATAACGTTTTATAACAGACTGTAGTATCAATTCTACTTCTAAAAATTTACCTAAGGAAAAATAATGCCTACTATAACTTTATGATGGTGTCAAACAGCCATTTTTCTTACCACATACTTACTGTTTATCCTTAGCTTTTTCTAAGAAACATTTTGGAGTTGTACTAATGCTCTCCCTTTCCAATGGTTTCTTAATCATCTTTTTCTTTTGTTTGCTGAAAGTTACAAAGTAAAAAAGGAAAAGAATTAAGTGCAACTTCAATTAGAAGAGTTAAAGCTAAAATTAGTTTTGATCCTTGATCACAAAATTCATTTTTTTTTTTTCCTTTGAGACGGAGTTTTGCTCTTGTTGCCCAGGCTGGAGTGCAATGGCACAATCTCGGCTCACTGCAACCTCTGCCTCCTGGGTTCAGGCGATTCTCCTGCCTCAGCTTCCCAAGTAGCTGTGATTACAGACATACACCACCACGCCCGGCTAAATTTTTTTTTGTATTTTAAGTAGAGATGGGGTTTCTCCATGTTGGTCAGGCTGGTCTCAAACTCCCGACCTCAGGTCCCGCCCGCCTCGGCCTCCCAAAGTGCTGGGATTACAGGCGTGAGCTACCACGCTCAGCCACAAAATTCATTTTTCAAAACCATTTACTGGTTTAAGGTGGGGCTGTAACTACTTTAATAAACGAGATCGCCTAATAGGATTTACAGAGCTAACTCAAAGGGATGATAAATTCAATCAACCTTTTAGAAAGCTACTGACTGTGATTAAAATATGTCCTGTGCCAACCTTATATCCTGTGTCAACAAGCATCAGAGTTTGATTTTGATCAATTAAGTTTTTTACCAGCTTTATGAACTAAAATAATTCTCAGCATATTTTACTTATACTGAATACTTTTAAAAGAATCTGAATACTTCACATTTCAAGGATAAGCCTAGGTGCAGTAGCTCATGCCTATAATCCCAGCACTTTGGGAGGCCCAGGTGGGCAGATCACTTGAGGTCAGGAGTTTGAGACCAGCCTGGCCAACATGGTGAAACCCCATCTCTACTAAAAATACAAAGATTAGCTGGGCATGGTGGCGCACACCTGTAATTCCAGCCACTTGAGAGGCTGAAGCAGGAGAACTGCTTAAACCTGGGAGGCAGAGGTTGCAATGAGCTGAGACTTCATCTCAAGGAAAAAAATAAATAAATAAAGGATAAAAAACTGGCAAGGAAATAACATGTAATATTCACAAGCAGTTTTGGACTGGGCACAGTGACACAAGCCTGTAATCCTAGTACTTCGGGAGGCAAGGATATAAGATAGCAAGATCACTTGAGGCCAGGAGTTCAAGACTAGCCTGGTTAACACAGCAAGACCCCATTTCTACTCCCCAAAAATCTAAAAAATATTATAGCCAGGCATGGTAGTACATGCCTGTAGTCTCAGCTACTTAGGGGACTGAGGCAGGAGGATCACTTGAGCCTAGGAGATCAAGACTACAGTGAGCTGTGATCATGCCACTGCACTGCAGTCTGGGCAACAGAGCAAGAAAAAAAAAAAAAAGAATGTATATACAAAGAGACAGACAAAGATACAGGTAAATTCAAGATTGTACCTTAGTAGTTTCTGAAAACCTTTTATGTATTCTGGTACAGGACACCCAGCCTGCTGTATAACATTAGCAACGCTGAAAAAGAAACCCATAAACATAAACTTGTATCTTTGCTAAATTGATGTTTATGAATGTAAACCCTCTGCACAACCTTACAGGGAACTAAAACTACACAAAGTAATCCACAAAGTGTTCTGATATATTATCAATTATTACCTGATGTAAGCACATTGGATTACAGAGAGAACTATCCACTGGGCTGAAATTAATGCACTGATGAATAACTATAGATAGCAGCTATTTCAACATTTATCAAGCCCTACAAAACTGGTAAACTCAATCTTGGAGGAAGCACTGACTGAAGCCAGAGTCAAGCTTAAATTCATTAAGTGAAAGTGCCTACTATGGGGTTGGCACCGTTGCCAAGTTTTTTGTGTATAGTAACTTCTTCACTCTTCACAACAAGCCTGTGTTGTAAATACTATCACTGTCCTCATTTCACAGATGGAAAACTGAGGTGCATAGTTTTACACTAATATTTGGGTCATGGGATTCACATGCTTGGAGTTGCTGAGGCCTATGGTGGATCTAGGTTGTTGGAATATACCCCTCTACACACGCACATTTGAATCTGCTTAAAGCGATATAAAGGCTGACAGGTGGCAGAGCCAAAGCTCAGAAAGCACAACCAAAATATTTACCAAAACTGATAAACAGATCTAAGTACAAACCTCCTTTGGCCAAAACTAGATTAGCTAGAAATGTGAAGTGTTAATCATCATCAACCAAAAATTACTATAGGCAGTCAAAATGCAGGAAACTCATCTTCTACATTAAAATCTAACATCAACCATTGAAAGAGTCCTGAGTCTGAAACTTACAATGAACATTCCATTTTGAATATGTATTTCCAAATTCTAATAACGGAAGGGCAAAAACAAGGCCTTTTGATCATTTTTCCTTTCCCATGGCTAAAATTTGGTCAACTAACACCATTATCAGTAGAATTTGGGACATAGCCATTTTGTAATTATCTCTTAATTGAATATACATATAAGAATAATGAAGCAATTTTGCCAATAACACTAGGTTATTTTTTCTAATTTACCTTCTTAATAATGGCTTATCATCCTCAGTGAAAAATGTAATTGCTTTTCCCTTATTCCCTGCTCTTCCAGTTCGACCTAAGAAAAATTAGACCATTAAAAAACACATTTTGGGGGGAAGGAGGCTCTCAAAATTCATTTATAAAAGTCACTGGATTTTCACAGCACTAAGAAGTGAGCATATGTGCAGGGAATAGCAGGGGTCCTAAGACAGATCAGTGGGTGACAGAGGGGAAGGAAAAAAAAGACAACTCACCTATCCTGTGGATATATTCCACTGAGCTAGTTGGAAAGTCATAGTTGATCACCAAGTTCACACCTTTAAAATCAATCCCTCTTGCTAGCAAGGCTGTACAAATCAGAACCCAGATTTTTCCTGCTCTGAAACTGTGGACTGTGTTATCTCTCTGGTTAACAGAATATATATTAAATTGTTTTAGAATGAAAACAGGTACTTCATAAATTTAATGTCAATAGTTTAAAATCAAGTAGTTCTTCTGAGTTTCAAAGTATATATTTGACTTTACCTGTTGTTGTGTTCTCTCTGCATGAATAACATCCACATTAATACCTTCATATATGAGCTCATGAAAAAGTTCTTTAGCCCTTTCAATGGACTGAACAAAAACAAGAACAGGTGGATTGAAACCCTAAAAGAAGACAAAAATTGGCATACATAACTCAATCAAGAATACAATTGGTCATTATTTCATAATTTGATTGTAGCTTTTAAGAACCCAATTCAATTTAGTGTACTTTCTTGGCCAAATTTCTTGGGCTAGTGGTCTAATTCTGCCTCCATCTTCGTCACCATTCTCTCCAATTGGTTATTTCCACTCAACTTGAAATATATTCTCCATCTTGCTAATTCCAATAATGTTGTCTAATCAATCCCCCTACACCCCACTATGGTAACAGATGCCTCAACTTTGAAATAATCATCTCTTGACTTCTGTGCCTCAAAACCTTTTTTTATTCTGCTTAAAATGAAATAATTATCTTTTTAATTCACTGGGTTTTTTGGGGTGAAATTAATTTTTTTATTCTTATGGATTTAGGGGTACAGGTGCATTTGTGTTACACAGATATATTGCATACTGGGGAAATCTGGGCTTTTAGTGTACCCATCACCCCAATGGTGTACACTGAACCCCACAGGTGGTACTTCATCCCTCATTAACTCATTATTTATCCTAACTCTGGTGCTCTCCCCAAGCTTAGTCCTTGGTTCTCAGTTCTTTCAATATAATCTTTATTTTACTGAGTTGAATCTCTACTACTATCTCTAAGTAAACATTTTTTTTTTACTACATCTGATGTCTGTGAATCTAAACAAATTATTTTTACATTTACACTATCAAACCCTTACTCTCTCTCAAACCAGCTATCTTTTTAACCGTTCATATTAGAGTTTCTTAGCCTTTTTTTTTCTTTTTTTTTTGAGACAGAGTCTTGCTATGTTGCCCAGGCTGGAATACAGTGGTGCAATCTTGGCTCACTGCAACCTCTGCCTCCCAGGTTCAAGCGATTCTCCTGCCTCAGCCTCCTGAGTAGCTGGGATTACAGGTGTGCACCACCACGCCTGGCTAACTTTTTTGTATTTTTAGTAGAGATGGGGTTTCACCATGTTGGTCAGGCTGGTCTCGAACTGCTGACCTGATGATCCGCCCGCTTCGGCCTCCCAAAGTGCTGGGATTACACCGGTGAGCCACCACGCCTGGCCGAGTTTCTTAGCCTTTTTATGATGGCTTAAACATCTCTTTTGGAATCTAATGAAAGCTAAGAAACTTTCTAATAAGTAACTACTCATTCACACAAAAATCTTACGTATAATTTTAGAGGGTTTGCAGACCTCCCAAAGCTCAAACATGGCTGAAAACCTCTGGTGTATAATCTCCAAGGAATATCCTGGAAAACCTTAAATTTCCTAGTACCAAATGATTCTCTTAAGAATATTAATAAAATACATTTAGCATTTACTATGTGCCAAGCACTATTATATAATAAGTACTATGCTTGTACTAATGAATTAATAGTAAAACAGCTCTATGAGGTAGATATTATTATCCCATTTTACAGACAAGGAAAATGTGGAAGAGAGGTTAAGTTGTGCAAAGCTATAGTGGTGGAGCTAGAACTACCCAAGTAGCCTGGCTCCTGAGTCCATGGTCTTAACCACTAAAGCAAACCATTCTATAGTCACCAGGTACTTGCAAACTTTTCCCTTCTAGCCTCCAACTATACTTAATGTCTCACCACTAAGGCTGCTGCCCTTATTTCTTCCTCATCTCTGCCTACCCCAGTTTAAAAGCCTGATTGGTTTCCTTACTTTCCATCTTTCCCATTACAATTCACCTTACATATTACTGTTTAACTAATTTTCCTTAAAAATTATGTAGTCACAATTAGCCGGGCATGGTGGCAGGCACCTGTAGTCCCAGGTACTCGGGAGACTGAGGTAGGAGAATGGCGTGAACCCAGGAGGCAGAGCTTGCAGTGAGCCAAGATGACGCCACCGCACTCCAGCCTGGGTGAAAGAGCGAGACTCCATCTCAAAAACAAAAACAAAATTATGTAGTCACATTCTTCAAAAATATCCTGACCCCAGCTTTCCTGTCCCACCTGGTTTTCTTTAATTCCATACCATAAACTGTTTGCCTTAGACAGGTAACTGCTTCATTAGTCTTCAAACACATGGTGTTCACTTCCACCTCTTAAGGGTTTACTCAAGCTGCTCCCCCAGCCGTCAATGCTCTTCCCCTCCACGTTTTATCCTGAAAATCCTTCAAGGATCAGTTTAGTAGCATTTCTTCTATAAGGCTCAACCAATTTGGCTCACCCTGGTGGCCCCATTATGACTATATGGATGCTTAAAAAAGTACTCTTTAGCCCTTTATGACACTTTATCAGAGACTATCTTACACAAGTGTATTTATTTTATCCCTCTAAACAAGACTAAATTCCAGGGGCAGGGCTTAGGAGATTTCTTGTATTGTCCAGTGCTGACACCTCAGTACTTTTTAACTATGGTTTCTACTCAGTTCTTACTGAAAGGATAAAAACAGAAAACCCCACTCAGTGTCCTACAACACCCCAGTTCTTCTATAAGAAACCAGAGGAGGGATGGAGCAGGCAAATGTGGAAAAATGAGATTCTCAGGGCATCAGATAGATCGTTTCCTAGCCTAATCTGAGCTGCGAAAAGACAACTTACCATATTCTGAGAGGCAAGCTTCTGTCCCTTGGGATAAGAGCTGGGACAACACGCTTCTTAACCATTTACTCCTAGATTACTAAATACGATGCAGGATGATCATATAGTTAGCACAATGTACTTTCTTATCAATTTACCAATGGATTACTGAATACGAGCCAAGATGATGATGATACAGTGCTACCACTGTAATAGCCTCCCACTAGTAATATAAGACTTGGCAAACTTTACCAAAATTCAAGAAGGTAATACAAATATACCTTTTTAACAAGTTCTCTCACGGCCAGAAGTTTTCCGGTCTCAGATCCAACAAAGAGAAGCTCTTGTTCTACAGTTTCTACTGCAGAATTCCTGGGAAGAAAATATACCTTGTAGTTTGTAAGAGTTAATTTTTGCTTTTTCCCCTGAACTCTAAATAAATGAAAAAATTTACACACAACTCCAACAAAATCAATTTTTCCACTGTCAATATTAATAAGTACTGAATTATTTATACTTTAACTTGAAGACAAAATTGTTATTTTTAAATGCTTTCTTCTAATTTTAAAAATATCTTGAAATGCCACCCATTAAAACTTATGTTTCAGTCATAAATTTTCAGGTATTTGATTAGTTATAAAAAATTTCTAACTGTAAAATTATTGAGTAAAATAATAAAAATATTTTTAAGGTTGTTATTACACATGGTTAAACATTTTTCATAATGATTAGCAAAGATTTATTTATAGACCAACAGTTAGGGGTGAGATATATTAAGACTTTATTAATACTCTGTAAGATGTTACAATGTACTGTGTTGTATCATAAATATTTTTCCCATTTAATTATTTTTATCTAAATATATTTAAATATACATTAACCATATTTAAATATGTTTAATTTCCCATTGAAATTATGTTTATGGTGAATTCATTCTGCTTTCCTGTTTTTTTTGTTTTTCAAGATGGAATCTCACTCTGTCACCCAGGCTGGAGTGCAGTGGGGCGATCTCGGCCCACTGCAACCTCCACCTCCCAAGCTCAAGCAATACTCCTGCCTCAGCCTCCCAAGTAGCTGGGATTACAGGCACACACCCATTTTTGTATTTTTGGAAGAGATGGGGTTTCGCCATGTTGGTCAGGCTGGTCTCGAACTCCTGACCTCAGGCGATCTACCTGCCTCTGCCTCCCAAAGTGCTGTGATTACAGGTGTGAGGCACCGTACCCAACCTTGCTTTCTTCTTATAAACAGGAATTTTAGGTTTAAAATAGGGTATTCTTTACTGTTCCATTGGCTACTTTTTCACTTAATATGGTACTACAAACACTTTTTCATATAGCTACAGTCTTCCTACATCATTTCAGGGGTTACATAATAATCCATCAGGTAGCAGTATCATAATTTCTTTAAACTTTTTTCTGTCACTGAGCATTTATTTAGCATAAAATGCTCCCCAAAATATTTTTTAAAAGGAAATATATATCAAGTGGCTCAGTGACATCAGGTTCTTCCTCTGTGGTCCACTTATTTAAGCCATCAAAGAAACTAAATCTTCTAGGTGGCCACAGAGCTCATGTTATACTCTGTGGATGGAAAAAAACACCTAAAAGCATGATGACAGGAATGTTAATATGACAATGTAAAAACCTTCTTTTAGATTACTCTAAAATAGAAAATCCTTAAACAATCTTGGCTTAAAAGAACACATTTCAATCAGTAAAACTCTCTCCCTTGCTAGTCTCAGGCCAAGAAACCTATCTCCTTCAGTCTTTAAAAAAGACTTGTATTTAAAAAAAAAATCAGTGTGATAATGTTGAGAAACAATTAAATACCTTGCTCCAATGGACACACTGATGACATTGTCCAGGTTGAGTTTGCACCACTGTTCAACATCATATGCAAAAGTTGCACTGAACATAGCTCTTCGGACCTTGTGGGATGTGCAGGCCAGGAAAATGGAAGCCAGCTGGTCTCTGAACCCAGTTTTGCCATCTTCAAACAGTTTATCTGATTCGTCTACTACAAGCCACTCAACACTAAGAAATAACAAAACAACTTGTGGATACTGAACTGAAAGATCCAAGACACTTCACTAAACTGTGGGGACAGTGGACACATGAGGAAGTCAAACTATAATGCTGCTTCTCAGATCCACTTTATCATACCAAAAAAAAAAAATAAGAAACACAAGCAGGTGTCATGGTTTGGCTGTGTATCCCCACCCAAATCTCATCTCGAATTGTAATCCTCACGTGTTGAGGGAGGGACCTGGTGGGAGGTGACCGGCTCATGGGGGCACTCTCTCTCTCTCTTCCCCATCTGCCACCATGTAAGATATGTCTTGCTTCCCCTTCTGCCATGACCGTAAGTTTCCTAAGGCCTCCCCAGTCATGCCCTGACTTGTGGGTCAATTAAACCTTCCGTTCTTTATAAATTACCCAGTCTCAGGTAGCTGTTTAGAGCAGCATGAAAACGGACTAACACAGCAGGAAAAAGGTAAAAGGAAGATAAACATAGCTTAATGTACCTATTCCAATAGCCTCAAAGATACGAGGTTCCATTTCTTTTCTATGAATTTTTTTAAAAAACCATTATTCTCAGTGCCAACACTGACTGAAGGTGGCAAACAGCAAGCTCCAAAGACAAAAAATACAAGCAATAGAGGACAAAATATAATTAACTAAATTAAAAATACACACGAAAGACATGAAAATATCATCTATACCTTGCTAGGTCGATTCCGGGGGGATCTTGCTTTAATAAATAGATTAGTCGATTTGGAGTAGTCACAAGAATATCTATAGGAAAAACAAATGGTAGAAATTGCAAAAACAGGATTTATCCCTCTTGAACTAGGAATTAAGCCTCCTCAACTTCAGTTAATAACCTGAAGTGGGAAGTAGTCATAGCCAACAACACAAAACTATTATATCCCTACTTTCCTTTTAATATATCTGAGCAGCTTTCTCTTTCTTTTTGAGACAGGGTCTTGCTCTGTCACCCAGCCTGGATGGAGTACAATGTGTGATCATAGCTCACTGCATGCAACTTCAAACTCTTGGGCTCAAGAGATCTTCTGGCATCAGCATTCTGAGTAGCTGGGACTACAGGCACATGCCACTGCACCTGGCTAATTTTTATTTATTACTATTATTTTTTTGAGACAGTCTAGCTCTGTCGCCCAGGCTGGAGTGCAGTGGCACAACCTCGGCTCACTGCAAGCTCTGCCTCCCGGGTTCACGCCATTCTCACTCCCGAGTAGCTGGGACTACCACTAGCTGGGACTACAGGCGCCCGCCACCACGCCCAGCTAATTTTTTGTATTTTTAGTAGAGATGGTAAATTTTTTTTTTACTTTTATTTTTGTAGAAACAGGGTCTCCCTATGCTGTCCAGGCTGGTCTCGAATTCCTGGGCTCAAGCAATCTCCCTGCCTCAGCCTCCCAAAATGCCGGATTACAGGCATGAGCCACAATACCCAGCCTCTTCTCAATTTCTAAGAGGAAAGAACAATTTAATTTTCAAATCTTTTTTTCCCCCAGGAAAATCATTTTTTTTACATGGAATTTTATGCAGAGGCCCAAGATTTAAACAAAACAAAACAGATGAAAGCTTATCTCCAAGTGGACAATGTCAAAAAACAAAAAGAAAAAAAAAAAAAATGAAAGCAGATTCTCTGGCTGATATAAGGGTGAGGATGTAAGCCGTTCTTTTTGTTTTTTTTAAGATGGAGTCTCACTCTGTTGCTCAGGCTGGAGTACAGTGGTGCAATCATAGCTCATGGCAGCCTTGAACTCCTGCGCTCAAGTGATCTTCCCACCTCAGACTCCCAAGTAGCTAGGACTACAGGCATGCACCACCATGCCTGGCTAATTTTTTTTTATTTAAAAAATTTCTTTTAGAGATGGAGTCTCGCTATGTTGCCAAGGCTGGTCCCAAACTCCTGGCCTCAAGCAATCCTCCCACCTCAGCTTCTCCATAGCTATAGGTATGGAGAAGATTACAGGTGTGAGCCACTGCACCCAGCTATGCATGCCATTCCTGTCTGCCAGAGTATTTCCATGGCAGATTAAAAATCAATGGTATAAATCAGAATTTTTTAGCCTCAGCACTGTTACCACTTTGGGCCACTAAGTGTTCGTTGCAGGGGACTGTCCTGTGCACCGCAGAATGTTTAACAACATCCTTGGCTATAGGCTAGTAACTACAGGCTAGTAGCACTTCTCCCCAGTTGTGACAACTACAAATGTCTCCAAATTATTGCCAAATGTCCCTGTGGTGAAAGGTGGGGGGCAAGATTGTCTCTATTTGAGAACTACTGGTATATATTTATGTATAACTTCTCAGTAGAGTGAGAAGGGGATCGCTTTAGTTCTTCTAAAATTCAAATTTTATACATACATGACTATACTTTAACAACACTTACATAGCAATTAGGATATTTATAATTTCCAGATTCCTTACATGCTCTATCTACATCCCATGTATGAATTCCTTACCAAACTTTTTAGATGATTTAGGTCCAAATTTCTTGGCTGCCACTGCTGCTTTGTGGATCATGTGTATTCTGAATCCTGTTCCCTCAGAAATTTTTATTAACTCTCTGTGAATCTAAAAAAAAAAAGATTAAAAACATTAGCTGCTAACATACTTGGACAAGATGTATACTCTTTTACATGATTAATGAAATAAATCTATTACCAACCCATGAATATCTGAAATTAAACTCATAACAATCTGTAGATTAACCTGAAATCTCAGCATTTTGAAACTTCAATGCCTAATAAGATTCAATAATTTCTTCAGGTGGAATAAACTAGTTCCCAGAGATAAAACTAACCTATTTTGTATTGTTTTCAGAATACAGTACTACTGGCCGGGTGTGGGGGCTCACACCTGTAATCCCAGCGCTTTGGGAGGCCAAGGTGGGTGGATCACTTGAGGCCAGGAGTTCCAGACCAGCCTGGCCAACGTGGTAAAACCCCATCTCTACTAAAAACACAAAAACAATTAGCCAGGTGTGATGGTGCGCACCTGTAATCTCAGTTACTTGGGAGGCTGAGGCAGGAGAATCACTTGAACCTGGGAGGCAGAGGTTGCAGTGAGCCGAGATGGCGCCGCTGCACTCCAGCCTGGTCCACAGAGCATGACTGTCCCAAGAAAAAATACACACACACACACACACACACACACACACACACACACACACACACACATAGTACTATTACAAGACTATTTCATACTTGATATGTGTTTCATATTAAGCACATTGGGAGGGTAGAACAGATCACTGTATACTTTTCCCTTCTAAAAAAAACAAACTGAGATGAGTCAGGCATAATGACTCATGCCTGTAAGCCCTGTACTTTGGCAGGCCAAGGTGGGAGGATCACTTGAACCCAGGAGTTCAAGACCAGCCTGGGTAACATAGGGAGACCTTGTTTCTACAAAAAGAAAAAAATTAACCAGGCGCAGTGGCATGTGCCTGTAGTCCCAGTTACTCAAGAGGCTGAAGAGGGAGATCTCTTGAGGCCAGGAGTTCGAGGTTGCAGTAAGCCATGATCACACCACTGCATGCCAGCCTGGGTAACAGAGTAAGAATCTGTGGCTAAAAAACAAACAAATAAATAAATAAAAACCAAAACTAAGATGAGTATTCATTTTTTTTAGATGAGAAAAATAAATGTCCAAGCAGGGCTATATTTAATTAGCCTTTCAACTTCAAAGACCTTAAAGCATTTACCAAAGAAGTGTAAATATTAAAATCACTGTGTTTTAGAAACTTACAGAAAGACTTAAAAGACTTGCCCACATGGAGTAAGATCCGGAGCACTGTGCTGTGTAGAGGATACTTGACCATGACAGAAGACGTGGGCCTTGCTTTTTAAGATCTTTTTATTACCTTCAAATAAGAAAGATCACTGAAGTAAAAACCAATCGCATACTCTTCAAAAGCTACAAGTCATACCTGGCTGGCAAGTTCTCGTGTTGGTGATATAATCAGGGCTCTGAAGCCTTTATTTGCGGGTTGTTTCAGCTGCATTAAAATAGGAATGCTAAAAGCTAATGTTTTTCCAGATCCAGTTGGAGCAGAAGCCAGAAGTTCCCGACCCTAAAAACATAGGGTATATTAAATACTACAAAGAAAGTACATAAATTTTTCAGAGCCTGGTCAAATAACGCTACCAGCCATAGAAAAAAACAAATACAATTTTACATAATGAATCTAATCTTTCAAGTCATATCTGCTTTCCTAACATCATCCATCCATGCCACCATCACCCCAACAAAGTTTCTGAGCATTGCCCTTAAATTCCCTTTGAATGAGTGTAAAGAATACGGGTAACTAAAACCCAAAGATAATCCATAACCTAAGTTATATCCATTATTTCAATTTTTCTTTTCCACTAAACTATTGTCAAAATAAAATTATAAAACCAACTTTTTGTCCTGGTATCTGTATTGTTCAATCACTAGGGAAGGTTTTATTGAACAACAAAATGGCTGAAGAAATAAAAAATGGCAATGACCTGAGGGCAGAGTAATTTACAGGAGACAATTTTCAAAAACTCACTGTGTTTTTTTTTTTTTTTTTTTTGACACAGAGTCTCACTCTGTCACCCAGGCTGGAGTGCAGTGGCGAGATCTCGGCTCACTGCAACCTCCGCCTCCCGGGTTCAAGTGGTTCTTCTGCCTTGGCCTCCCGAGTAGCTGGGATTACAGGCACACGCCACCATGCCCAGCTAGTTTTTGTATTTTTAGTAGAGACAGGGTTTCACCATATTGGCCAGGCTGGTCTTGAACTCCTGACCTCGTTATCTGCCCGCCTCGGTCTCCCAAAGTGCTGGGATTAGAGGCGTGAGCCACCGCACCTGGCCCACTGTGATTTTTTAAGCTTTAAGCTAAAGCCATGACAGAAACAATCTTAAACAAAAATTAAAAGCAAATTTACTATAACATAAGTCAACAGCATCATTTAAATGTATGAATGTATTCTCATTTCATCTCTCAAAGAAAATGAAAAGGACTAGTATAGAGATGAAAAGGTATCTTATATCCTTTGGAAACCAGAACTGAAGGCCATCTCGGTTACATGGGGAAAAAACCCAACTCTTATTGCTACAGAAACAAACCTCAGAAAAACTTAACGTCCGAAAACCTAAGTTAATCCATACCTCTATCAACAAGTGACTGGATAACAAATTGTGGTATATTCATACAACATAATACTACTTGGTAACAAACTATTGCTCTATGTAATACAGAAGAATCTCAAAGCATTACGCAAAGTGAAAGAAACCAGAAATAAAAGATTAATGTGTGATTCCACTCATATAAAACTCTAGAAGAGGCAAAAGGAATATACAGCAGTAGAAATCAGAATAGCAGTTGCCTCTGAGCAGGGGCAGGGTGAGGACTGAATGGAAAGGGCACAAGAAAATTGTCTGGGGTAATACATATGTTCTCTATCTTCACTGGAATAGTGGTTACACAGGGCATGCATTGCTGAAACTCACTAAACTGGGCACTTAAAAATCTATGCATTTTATTGTATGTAAAGTATACTTTAATAATAAAAAGTATTCGGAAAAATAAGTCAGTTTATGTACAAGAACTTTAGAAAGCATTTGTATTTCTGGAGTAGTTCCTGGGCATTATAAACTAAATAATGAATGTATGAATGAATAGAACATAATCCCCATTCTCCAAGGGGTTACACACTAGTAAAATGAAAAAGATAAATATGATTGGTGCGAATACAAAGTAGTTTAAAATGTAAAATAAATGTTGCAAGGAAAAGAACACACCAAATACCATGGAAGAACTGCAGTGTGGGGGAAAGGGTACTAGAAAAGGAAGAAGATCACATCTAGATGGAGTGATCAAGACAACTTTTATGGAGGCACAGGCATTTGATGAACCTTAAAAGGAAGTGAAGGATTTTAACAGGGGAGATAAGGTGGAAAGAAAGAGTTCAAGAAGAGAGGGAAGAGAATGAGCAAACACACAGAGGAAGGAATGTTACAGGCATTCTAGATCTTCATACTCACATGCAGCATAACTGGGATGGCTTGCATTTGGATTGGCGTAGGCATTTGGAAACCTGCATCTAGAATGTTCTGAAGTAGTCGAGAATTGATTTTATATTCCTGGTCAAGTTGCTGAAATGTAGCAATTGGGTCAGGAAGATCGGTTCCTTGGACGTGAATTTTGTGTTTATTCCGCAAGAAGTTTATCTGAAAAGTGAAGTAAAGAGGCCACCATGGATATGGCCAAATAAATACATTCTCAGATGTTATAAAGCAACATTAACAGTTTCTGGGATAACCTTTAGCAGCATATGAAACTTTTTGGTTAAATCCAAGAATCAAAACATCACAGATATTAGGTACATTTCATGCCCTTTCATAGAAAACCTTCATAAAATGTCTATGCTTTCTTCATATTAATGTGTTATTGTCATAGTCATAACTTCTAACCTTAAATAAACTTCTTAGAAGGCAGGCATTGAACCCATCTACTATTTTAATATGGTGGTTAACATACAAGTATCATTGCTTTTTGATGATTTACCCTAAAACTCTGATTATTAAAACTGAGTGCCAAAAAGTGGAGTCTAGTAGTGTTGATTTGGTTTGTTTCCCCATTCTCTGGACCAGAGACAGCCAAATTCTGGTTTCTGGGTTACTGAAGCATTGCCATAGTAATCCCTGAAGTGAGCTGAATACACCTCTCCATCAGGAATACGGCAGGTGTACAGCAGACACAAAAAAGGTATATTTGTTGTTTCTTCCATATCCTACTCCTCTTATTCCCAAGTCATAAAATACCTTTCTTAAGAATTCTAACCCTCTAATCTGTGTCAGAGGAAATCCTTCTAAACCGGTGAGCTCAACAGAGAAGAAAGGGAGCCAAATTTTGTTTGTTTATCGAAAGCAGTTACGAAATTTTAAAAATTTAATTCTAAACATACTATCAATCTTGAAACTTGAGCAGGTCAAGAATTTTATATATGTATCAGCAATTTAAACTTTAAAATGTTCACCCACAGCACAAATGCCTACTTTGCTTTAAGTTTTCATTAAAGTAAAATCTAAATGAATGTAATTAACCTTCTATCTTAACAAAACTATATTCACATTAACAACAGAATAACCCAAATCCAGCGAATAAGTCACTAGGTCAGAAAATATATATACTTTTGGCCCCAAAATATTTTTCTAACCTTTTCTTTTCTGAGATTCTCCAACTTTCCGGAAGTTAGTTTACTTTCTCTCTGAACTTTTTTGTCTTCAATCTTTGCTTCTACAGATGACATCCACTGTATAGTAGCACCTTCTTCTTGGGAAGCAATTTCTAAAATATATTTTTAAAAAGTAAAAGATTTTAACAGTCTAGGCAACATAGTGAGGACCCGTCTCTTCAAAAAAAAATTAAAAATTAGTCAAGGGTGGGTGGTGGTGCAAGCCTGTAGTCCCAGCTACTTAGGAGGCTGAGTGGGGAGGATCATTTGAGCCTGGGAGGTTGAGGCTGCAGACAGCTGTGATCATGCCACTGCATTCCAGCCTGGGTAACAGAGAAAAACCTTGTCTCAAAAAAAAAAAAAAAGAAAAAAGGTTTTAATCTTGGATGTATGTGTAGCAAGAAAGCCATACCTTCACACTAAAAAAGGAAAAAGTACAGCTGATCCAACTAGATAAGAGAAAGTAATAGGATGTATAAAAATGGAAATGAAAAGGCAAGTTCTGTGTTGGTATGATCAGAGTTCTGAAGCTTACTATCTTCCCTTTGTTGGCTGTTTCAGCAGTGTACTTAGTATACTTGAAAACAACAGGGGATTAATTGAAAAGCAACTTAAACAATGATAAATTTCTTTCCTTTTTTTTTTTTTTTTTTTGTTTGAGACAGAGTCTTGCTCTGTCGCCCAGGCTGAAGTGCAGTGGTGCGATCTCGGCTCACTGCAACTGCTGCCTCCCTGGTTCAAGAAATTCTCTGCCTCAGCCTCCCAAGTAGCTGGGATTACAGGAATCCGCCACCATGCCCGGCTAATTTTGTTTTGTATTTTTAGTAGAGACGAGGTTTCACCATCTTGGCCAGGCTGGTCTCAAACACCTGACCTCAAGTGATCCGCCCGCCTCGGCCTCTCACAGTGCTGGGATTACAGGCGTGAGCCACCGTGCCCAGCCAAATGAGAAATTTCAATAAGGCAGCCACGTTCTCTATATGTAAACAACCAACAACTAAAAAATAAATATAATGAAAGATCTCACTTAAAATAGCAATGAACGGCCAGGTGCGGTGGCTCATGCCTGTAATCCCAGCACTTTGGGAGGCCAAGGTGGGTGGATCACCTGAGGTCAGGAGTTTAAGACCAGCCTGGACAACATGATGAAACCCTGTCCCTACAAAAATACACAAATTAGCCAGGCATGATGGCAGGTGCCTGTAATCCTAGTTACTCAGGAGGCTGAGGCAGGAGAATCACCTGAAGCCAGGAGGTGGGGGTTGCAGTGAGCCAAGATTGTGCCACTGCACTCCAGCCTCGGCAACAGAGCAAGACTCTGTCTCTAAATAAATAAATAGCAATGAACATAACACAATACTTTGAACTACTCAGTATTATAAAGATAGCCTTTCTCCCTCAATCTATGAAGAACACTAGCCAATTAAAAGTAATGGCAGAATTGTTTTGGTGACTAGATCAGCTGACTTAACAGTTTGTATGGGAGAATAAATATGTAAGACTAACCTAAATTTTTTTTTTTTTTTGAGATGGAGTCTTGCTCTGTCACCCAGGCTGGAGTGCAGTGGCATGATCTTGGCTCACTGCAACCTCTGTCTCCCAGGTGATTATCAGCCTCCCGAGTAGCTGGGACTACAGAGGCATGCCACCATGTCCAGCTAATTTTTGTATTTTTAGTAGAGACGGGGTTTCACCACGTTGGCCAGGCTGGTCTCAAACTCCTGACCTCGTGATCCGCCCGCCTCAGCCTCCCAAAGTTTTGGGATTACAGGTGTGAGCCACCGCGCCTGGCCTAACCTAAAAACATTTTAAGTTTAACAAGCAAAGACTAGTTCTACAAAGCAAAGACTAGTTCTAATTTCTAAATTAGTTCTAAAACTAGCAAAGACTAGTTCTAATTTCTTAATTTTTTCAACTTCACTGAGGCATAAATATATACAATAATCTGCATATATTTAAAGTATCTAATTTGCTGAGTTTTGACATATCTACACACCCAAAAAACTATCACCACATTCAAGGTTATTTCTATCACTTCTCCAGATTTCCTCATGACACCTTATAATCCATCACTCCATGCATAGGCAACCACCAATCTAATTTCTGCCACTATAGACTAGTTTGCCTTTTCTGGAATTTTATATAAACGGAATCATGTCATATGTACTAATTTTTGTCTGGCTTCTTTCACTCAAGATAGTTGTTTTGAAATTCACCTATGTTGCACCATGTATCAACAACTTACCGTTTTATTACTAGGTAGTATTCCATTGTAATGGATGTACAGTTCATCATTCACCTGATGAGGGACATTTGGGTCATTTCCAGCTTTTGGCTATAAGCAATGTTGCTATGAAAATTTGTGTACAAGTCTTCCTGAAGATGTATATTTTCCTGTCTCTTAGGTAAATATTCCAAGTGGAATAGCTGGGTAATATGGTAAATATATGTTTAACTTAAAAAAAAAGTCCCAAACTATTTTCCAAAGTGGTTGTACCATTTTACCATCAACACTGTGAGAGCTTGTTTCTGTACATCCTTGCCCATACTTGGTATGGTCACTCTTTTTTATTTTTAGCCATTCTAATGGGTATGTAGTAGTACTGTATTGTGGTTTTAATTTGCCTGATGGCTACTGATGTTGAGTATCTTTTATGTGCTTATCACCATGTGTATTATCTTCTTTAGTGAGTAGATACAAGTCCTTTGATATACATTTTGCAAATATTTTCCCATCTGTGGCTTGCCTTTTCATTTTCTTAATGTTATCTTTTGAAGAATGAAAATTTTTAGTTTCGATAAGTCCAATATATCAATTTTTTCTTTTTAAAGAATTTTGTTGTTGTTGTGCTAAGGAACCTTGACATATCTCAAGGCCACAAAGATTTTTTTCCTGTTTTCTTCTGGAACTTTTATAGTTTTAAAACTTCAGTCTGAGTCATTTGAAGTTAATTTTTGCTTACAATATAAAGTTAGGTTTGATGTTCACTTTTTTCCCCATGGATCCAGTCCGTTTGTCGAAAAGACTTTCTTTTCCCCGCTGAATTACCTTATTACCTCTGTTGAGAACTAATTGACCATATATGCATGGGTTTGTGGACTAGCTGTTCTGTTTCACTGATCTATATATAAGGGGGTCTTCAAAAAGTTCATGGAAAATCCGTATTATGAAGAAACTATGCAAAAATTTCAAAATTTTTTGCACCAAAATAAACTCATACCAACTTGTTACAATACGGGTGAACTAGATCTAGTCTGAGACACTAAGAAGGATAAGACAGCAGTTTGAAAACAGCAACATGAATTCTGCTTAAAACTGAAGCAAGAACAAACTCCAAATTTACAGTGAAGCTTCGGTAGAAGAATAGTGAAATCACTGATGCTTTATGAAAAGTTTATGGGGACAAAGAAATCACCTGTTTACAAATGGATAACTTGTTTTAAGAAGGAACAAGATAATATTGAAGATGGAAGTCTGTAGCAGCAGACCACCCGCATCAATTTATAAGGAAAAAATTCATCTTGTTCATGCCCTAATTGAAGAGGACTGTTGATTAACAGCAGAAACAATAGCCAACACCACAGACATCTGAGTGTATATAACCAATTACAAGCTCATGCTTGTAATCCCAAATATATATATATGGTTTGGCTTACACCACATATATATTTTTTTCAAGATAGGGTTTTGTTCTGTCAGCCAGGCTAGAGTATACAGGCATGATCACAGCTCACTGTAACCTCACACTCTTGGGCTAAAGCAATCCTCCTGTCTCAGCCTCCCAAGTAGCTGGGACTACAGACATGTGCTACCACGTGCAGCTAATTTTTTTTTTTCTTTTTGGAGTCTTACTGTGTCACCCAGGCTGGAGTGCAGTGGTGTGATCTCGGCTTCGGCTCACTGCAACCTCCGCCTCCCAGGTTCAAGTGATTCTCCTGCCTTAGCCTCCCAGGTAGGTGAGATTACAGGCATGCGCCACCACGTCCGGCTAATTTTGTATTTTTAGTAGAGACGGGGTTTCACCATGTTGGCCAGGCTGGTTTCGAACTCCTAACCTCAGGTGATCCACCCACCTCAGCCTCCCAAAGTACTGGGATTATAGGCATGAGCCACTGCTCCTGGCCCTATTTTTTGTATAGATGGAGTCTTGCTATGTTGCCCAAGCTGGTCTCAAAATTCCTGGCCTCAACTGATCCTCCTACCTCAGCTTCCCAAAGCACTGGCATTATAGGTGAGCCACTGCTCCTGGCCTCCCTACCAATTCTTTGTTTTGTTGTTTGTTTTTGAGACCGAGTTTCACTCTTGTTGCCCAGGCTGGAGTGCAATGGCGTGATCTCGGCTCACTGCAACCTCTGCCTCCCAGGTTCAAGCGATTCTCCTGCCTCAGCCTCCCAGGTAGCTGAGATTATAGGCATGCGCCACCACGCCCGGCTAATTTTGTATTTTTAGTAGAGACGGGATTTCACCATGTTGGCCAGGCTGGTTTCGAACTCCTAACCTCAGGTGATCCACCCACCTCGGCATCCCAAAGTGCTGGGATTACAAGCATGAGCCACCACGCCCAGCCTTCTTCCCACCAATTCTTAATGAAAAATTAGTTGAGCAAATTTTCCATATGATGGGTGCCAAAACCACTGCTCCCAAATCAGCTGCAGACAAGAGCAGAGATTTCAAAAGAAATTTTAAACAAGTGGAATCAAGGTCCTAAAGCATTTCTTTGAAGAACTGTAACAGAAGATGAAACATGGTTTTACCAGTTTGATCATAAAGACAAAGCACAATTAAACCAATGGCTACCAAGAGGTGGAAGTGGTCCAGTCAAAGCAAAAGTTGACCAGTCAAGAGCAAAGGCAACAGCAACAGGTTTTTTGGATGCTCAAGGCACTTCACTTGTTGACTTTCTGGAAGGCCAAAGAGTAGTATCTGCTTATTATGAGAGTGTCTGAAGAAAGTTAGCCAAAGCTTTAGTAGAAATTTCTACAAAAAAAATTCTGCTAGAATTCTAATTGGGATTGCAATGATTCTGTAGATCACTGTAGGGAGAAAACATTGAGTTGCCTAAAATATTGGTATGCCTCTCCACTCTACTGGATTTTATAACATATAAGGCCATAGTATTTAAAACAAGCTAGTATTGGTGTACAAATACAGAAACAGAATAGAAGAGGTCCAGAGACAGACTTGAATGTATATGGAAAATAAGTATACAATTAAAGTTGCGTTAAAGTCCAATAGAGAAAACACGGATTATCAACATATGGTATTAAGACAATTAGTCAACATAAGATAAAACACCAACATATGGTATTAAGACAATTATGTTATTAAGACAATTATTCAGACATCTGAAAAAAATTTTAGTTCCCTATTCACTCCTTATACCAAATAAAATTTCACAGGGTCAAAGATTTTAATATAACAAATTGAAACTACAAATAAGAAAACATGGAAGTTGTTTTTTTTCTTTTTTTTTTTTTTTTTGAGACAGAGTCTTGCTCTGTCACCCAGGCTGGAATGCAGAGGCATGATCTCAGCTCACTGCAACCTCCACCTCCTGGGTTCAAGCGATTTTCCTGCCTCAGCCTCCCAAATAGCTGGGATTACAGGCGTGCACCACCATATCTGGCTAATTTTTTTATATTTTTAGTAGAGACGGAGTTTCACCATGTTGGCCAGGCTGGTCTCAAACTCCCGACCTCAAGTGGTCAGCCCGCCTCCGCCTCCCAAAGTGTTGGGATTACAGAAGTGAGCCACTGCACCCAGCCTAGAATTTTAAAAAAACGTAATGCGCAGAAGGCCAAAAAGTAAATAAATAAGACAAGTGACATATGACAATCTGGAAACATATTTGTAAACATAATATGGCAGACATAGAGCTAATTTCCTCAATATATGAGGTTTAATAAATTAAGAAGAAACAGAAGAACGTAATATGATAAGGGAACAATGTAATACAATAAGGGTACAACGTACACGAAGAGACAAATTTACAAAAAGAGAAAAGTCTCATACCTTGCTGGAAGGCATCGCAAAGTAGAATAACTTTAAAAAAATTTTGTTCCCTTTATGAGACAGTTGGTACTAAATGACCCAAATCATTACTAATTCACAAGCTATTCAATTTTCCAGTTAAAAATAGATACATGCCTGGCTGGGCGTGGTGGCTCACATCTGTAATCCCAGCACTTTGGGAGCCCAAGGTGGGTGAATCACGAGGTCAGGAGATCGAGACCATACTGGCTAACATGGTGAAACCCTGTCTCTAATAAAAATACAAAAACAAAATTAGCTGGGCGTGGTGTCGGGCACCTGTAGTCCCAGCTACTCGGGAGGCTGAGGCAGCAGAATGGCGTGAACCCAGGAGGCAGAGCTTGCAGTGTGCCAAGATCGCGCCACTGCACTCCAGCCCCAGCCACAGAGTGAGACTCAGTCTCAAAAAAAAAAAAAAAATTGATACATGCCTACACATTTATCATAGATCTACGGCCTAAATACATTTGTTGCCACAATGGTTACAGTACATAGCTGTATATTTCTGGTGGCCCAAAATTTGAATCCTTTTCCTAAGTTTGTGGCGTGTCTTTCTTATTGGTAAAGGTTTTATCAAACTTCCTTGCAGCCAGGGAAGAATGACTTTTACTGCAGCACTTAACAGCAAAAGCATGCAAACAATGTACTAAATGCCCACACAGTAACATGTCAAATTGATCATGGGGCATCCCTACAATGTATGATGGGCTACTATGCTGTGTTACAATGAACAAGGCAAAGTACTTCCTACTGATGCAGTGTTTCTGGTGGATACATCTATTTGTTAACTCTGCAATTCCACTTCTAAGAATTTATGGGACAGATATACTCACATATACATGCAAAGATAAGTAGAATGACACTGCAAAACTACAACAGCAAAAATGTGAAAACAAACTATAATTATCCATCACACAGGAACTTGTTAAATCAATTATGCAATACACACAATGGGATACAATGCTGTGTTAAAATGAACAAGGCAATGTACTTCCTACTGATTCCAAACAACCTCCAAGATACATTGTTTTTAAAAAAGGGGAAGGTAGTAGCAGAGGTTCCCAACAGAGTGTATATAAAATAATCAAAGTATATAAACAAAGTATGAGGAGTATTTGTTTTTTTTTGAGTCAGGCATAAATACATAGGAATAGTGTCCCCAGAAAAATACAAAAGAAATTGATTAACAGTAGCTGCGTGTGGAGAAACAGGGGACTGGAGAGAAACAGTAGGAAGGAACTTTACTTTTCATCATTGTATAACTCAAGTGTTTACCAAAAAAAGGTAAATGACTAGGAAACTTAATATTATAGATTAAAAAAATATAAACAGCCCTAGAGTACAGTACAAGAAAAAAAAAAAAAAAAAAGGCCAGGCGCGGTGGCTCACACCTTTAATCCCAGCACTTTGGGAGGTCGAGGCGGGCAGATCACGAGGTCAGGAGTTCAAGACCAGCATGACCAACATGGAGAAACCCCGTCTCTACTAAAAAATACAAAAATTAGCCAGGCGTGGTGGGGCACACCTGTCCCAGCTACTCAGGAGCCTGAGGCAGAAGAATCACTTGAACCTGGGAGGCAGAGGTTGCAGTGAGCGGAAAACATGCCATTGCACTCCAGCCTGGGCAACAGAGCGAGACTCTGTCTCAAAAGCAAACAAACAAACAACAAAAAAACAAAAACCTCTGTCAAAATGGGCAAAGAGTAAGAAGAAACAATTCACAAAAGGTGAAATATTAATGTCCAGTAAAGCATACAAAAATATGCTTGACCAGCCAGGTGTGGTGGCTCACGCCTGTAATCCCAGCACTTTAGGAGGCGGAGGCGGAGGCGGAGGAGGGTGGATCACAAGGTCAGGAGATCGAGACCATCCTGGCTAACACGATGAAACCTGGTCTCTACTAAAAATACAAAAAATTAGCCAGGTGTGGTGGCAGGCACCTGTAGTCCCAGGTACTTGGGAGGCTGAGGCAGGAGAATGACGTGAACCCAGGAGGCGGAGCTTGCAGTGAGCCGAGATTGCACCACTGCACCACAGACTGGGCAACAAAGCGAGACTCATCTCAAAAAAAAAAAAATGCTCGACCTCACCAGTTATCAGTAAAATATAAAATTGTTTCAGGCAGGGCGCGGTGGTTCAGGCCTGTAATCCCGGCACTTTGGGGGGCCAAAGCGGGCGGATCACGAGGTCAAGTGATCCAGGCCATCGTGGCCAACATGGTGAAACCCCATCTCTACTAAAAATACAAAAATTAGCTAGGCGTGGTGACACGCACCTGTAGTCCCAGCTACTCAGGAGGCTGAGGCAGGAGAATTGCTTGAACCCAGGAGGCAGAGGTTGCAGTGAGCCGAGATCGCGCCACTGCACTCCAGCCTGGAGACAGAGTGAGACTCTGTCTCAAAAAAAAAAAGTTTCATTCATTAGCTTGGCAAAAAAATTAACACCAATAATATTCAGCACTGACAAGGACTTGGGAAGTCACTTTGTAGTATTTTTCAGAGAAAGGGTACATACCCTTTCACCATATGATGCTACTTTTCGGATGGTATTCTGCAGAAATAACAGTACCTGTACAAAAGGATTTATGTATAAATATCTTTACTTAAAATTACCTTTGCTGTAACAATATTTCTAATGACAAATACCTGGAAACAACCTGAGTGCCATCAGCTGACAAATGACCTTATTGTCTGACTTGTAGCCATAAGCCTGTATTATTTTTATAACTGAAAAAAATTAAAGAGAAAAAACATGACAGAAATCAAACACTAACCTGAAGTCATCGTCTTCCTTTTTTTCTTGCTCTGCTCCCTCTTCCTTTCAGTTAGGCTCTCTTCTTTTTTCTCTCCATTTTGGGGCTTCTGATGTGTTTGTGATGCTCCACACACACCTGGGACAGACTTCTTGTTTCCAAAAAAGTCCAGTCCCTGAAGCACCTCCGAAGAATCAAAGTCATATTTCCTTTTTCCTATCTAAAACCCAAAAAATGTAAAATGAAACCTACTGACAGAATACCATTGCTTTCATTCAAGCAAGACTGTTCAATGACTCCTCATCTTTTCTACCCTTTCACCAAGTATCTGTCGAGCTAACAGGTGTCTGGACAAATGGAATCTGAAGAGACCTTCTCTGACCTCATAATAGTAACAAATTAATATTAGCAATGAACACATATATGCTTACTAAATGTCAAGCAGATTTCTAAGCATGTTTATACATATTAAATTGCTTCACATTTACAACTCTATAAGGTAAATAGCAGTATTACGAATGAGAAAACCAAGGCATTCGGAAATTAAGTAACTTGAGGTAGGTCTAAAAATGAGTAACTGGCAGACTTAGCATTTAGACCCAGATAATCTGGCTCCAGAGTTCATACTCACCAGTTAGAGAAAGAAGAAACACATGTCACACGCATATACACATCCAAACAACAAAGTAGACATTCAAGATTTTCCAGAATTGGGCCCCAATTGACCTCCCCCGATGTATCACTCACTACTTCTCTAGGTAAGAGCCCCCATTTCTTAATCGCTCTTCTCATTGGTTACTTAAGCCATGGGGTTGAAGCAATAAAAAGAATCACGCCCAGTACAACTATACGCATGCCAAGCCAAACTTGGGGAGACTATAGTAAGAGAATCTGTTTTCTCCATCTTTGGTTGTTTCTGTTTTCGAAATTCCTTTCCTCTAGGTTCGGAGAAAAAGTTCCTTTTGAAAGGAGGATTCCAACTTTGCTTTGAATAAGAGGGAGGAAAGAGGGTTTCCGTGCCAGGCCCAACTAGGTCTACAACAGGATAGTTAAAGAGCTTATTCAAAAGGCTTGAACCGAGCAGCCGTGCAGGCAAGCCGAACACAAAAGGAAGCAAAATACCCCAAGGGTGGCGAGAGCCAGGCCACGGGTGTCCAAGTGCGCCGGCCTCCCCCAGCAGCGGGTTCATTCCCGGGCTCCTGCTCCTTCTCAGTTACTCGGCCCTCGGTCCCTTGGGCACAGTACCTGGAATCGAGCTGCGTCTGCCGAGAAGCGTCTCGTGTCGAATTTGGCCCCCGCGCCGAGCCGGCGAAAGAGATCGTGGACGTCCATCTTTACCCAGAAAGCGCCACAGTTCTACGGCGCCTGCGCAGACTACTTCCCAGGCCCCGGGCAGCGTCGGAAGAGGGCGTGAGCATAATTGGCTCCTGTAGGCGGAGCCTGGCTGGGTGAGAAACGAGGCTATTTTATTATCGTGTACTCCGTCATTATTTATCTTTTTTTTTTTTTTTTGAAACAAGGTCTCTCTCTGTCGCCCAGGCTGGAGCGCAGTGGCGCAATCGCAGCCTCGAACTCCTGGGCTCAAGTGATCCTCCCATCTCGGTCTCCCAAACTGCTGGGACTACAGGCGTGTGTAAATTCTTTTAAAAAATATTTATCAGTATCCTCTTATGTTGGGCACTGTTCTAGACTTTGAGGGATACTATAGTAAACAACATCTTAAGATTCCTCTTCTTACGAAGCTTACATTTTAGTAGGGACAACAGATATTGTTAACAAATAAATAAGCAAAATCTCTGTAAAGTAATAAGTGCTATAAAACAAAAAGGTGTAATTGATAGAGAAAATGATGAGGGAGCTGACTTAGTGAAATTCACTCTGTTGAAGTGAAAACTTGAGCTAAGAGGAAGCAACCTGTCCAAGATCTGGGAACAGCATTCCAGATAGGGGAAACACGTGGCTGAAGGGAAAAAAATTGGAACCTTGAGGGAATAGAAAGAATGCCGGTGCGACTAGAGCCAAGTTGCAGTCTGATAGAGTAGTACAGATAAGGTTGGAGGGACAAACAGAAGCCAGATCTCACAGAATCTTGTAACAAGGTCATAGTAAGGAATTTGGACTTCCACCTTGGGAAACTATTTGAAAATTTTTATGGAGAGAAGAACATGATTTAGTTTATCACATTTAATTTTTTATATTTATTACATCTGTACGAAATTATTTACTGCTTATTGCCTCTCCCTCTTCTGGAATGTAAGTCCCTGAGCACAGGGATATACTTTGCTTCGTTATGTATCCCCAGTTTCTGTGCACTTTGGTGAATGAATGCGTGGATGTTTCATAAAGGATTACACTGGCTATTTGGAGAATGGACCATAGAAAAGCTAAGAGTGGAAACAGGTTAGTCAAAGTAGAATGATGATCATGGCTTGTCTAGGTTGGTATCTGTGCTGAGAGAGATAAATGGATTAGATCTGGCATGTATTTTGGAGGTAGAGCTAAACGTACCTGACGGATTTTATGCAGAGGTGAGAGAAAGGGAGGAATCAAAGATCACTCCTAGTTTTTTGGCTGAGTAGATGGCATGCCATTTACTGAGCTAAGAAAGCCTGAGAGAAGAAGGGCTTTCTGGTACAAGTGAGATACGGAGGATGGAATCAATTGTTATGTTTTGGACGTGTTAAGATGCCTACCTAGTTGACTTTAAGTGGAGACATCCAAGTAGGTAGTTGGTTCTGAATCTGAAGCTCAGGAACAAAAATTAGGGCTAGAGAAATTAATTTGGAAGTCATCAACATATAAATGATACAAAGGAGTTGTACCATATAAGCATTTAACTTATAAAAATTCAGTTATATGTATTTGACCAAAGAGAATGAAACATACTTGAAATTGTATGGGTGAGTCCTTTACAATCAAGGAAAGCAGGTGTGAGGTGAGCATGTGATGGGGGAGGTGAATCTGCGGTTTCTCAGATGAATTCAGCCCCTTACTCCCTATTACAGTGGGTCGGGGGGTGGTCTTCCTGTCCCAAGTGTGTCTACTCTTTAAAAATAGGAACTTCCCAAGTACTTCATCTGTTGTTCAATAAAAATAATTTATCTTCAGCCAGGCGCAGTGGCTTATACCTGTAATCCTAGCACTTTGGGAGGCCAAGGTGGGCAGATTACTTCAGCTCAGAAGTTTGAAACCAGCCGGGGCAACATGGCGGAACTCCATCTCTACAAAAAATTAAAACATTAGCTGGGTGTAGTGGCACACACCTATAGTCCCAGCCACTTGGGAGGCTGAGGCAGGAAGATTGCTTGAGCTTGGGAGGTTGAAGCTGCAGTGACTTGTAACGGCACCACTGCACTCCAACCTGGGTGACAGAGTGAGACCTTGTCTCAAAAATAAATAAAATTAATCTATTTCAACATAAGAGGAAAAACTCAATATTAGTGTGTTGATCTTCAGTTTGGCACATAAATATGGCCATAGCCATATATAAAATTAATATGTATGAAATGGCAACTACCATACTTTGTGGATGACTTAGGGAATTTAAAAAAAAATTCAACTTTATGAGATTTTTTTTTTCTTTATGAGCTGATTTAGAACCTAATCCCTATGTAAGTGGTAACAAACCCATCTCCAAAAGCATGAGCATGAATGTGATCACTTAGAGAAAATGTGTGAATGGAGAAGAGAAGGGGACCCAGGACTGACCCTATGGTACTCTAATGCTTGGAGATGAGGTGGAGGAGGAGACACCTGTAAAACAAGAGTCTGAGAAGAAGCAAGTGAAGTAGAAAGCAAGCAGTGAGGTAGGAAGACCAGGAATTTGGTGTCACCAAAGCCAGACAGAAGTTTTAAGAAGGTAGTGATCAGCTATTTCAAAGGCTGTTGAGAGGCTGAAGACAGAAAAGATCACTGCATTTGGCAACGTGGAGGTCACTAGAGCCCCTGATAATGTCAGTTTCAGGGACATTGGTGAATAGAGATGATTGGTGAAGGTGGTGAAATGGAGATGGATGAAACCACTCTTCCAAAGATTTAGCTGAGCAGGATAGCAGAGAAGTGGGGTGGTAGCTATAGCCAGATGTGGATTCAAAGGAGGGTTTTGCTTTTGGTTTTTGATGTTTTTAAATATGAGTGCTAGGAGATGTTTGTAAATTATATGGGATGACCCAGTGGAAAGGTATAAATTGTTGCTGCAACAGAGAAGGGAGAATTATGAGATGGGGGTGGGATGAAATTTTGTCAGGGTGTGTTGGAGGGCTGAGAAGAGAAGTGGTGTGAAATAATATTCTCTAACAGTGGGAAAATGAACTTACTGAAGAAAGGCGGTAATAATTCTGGGCAATAAATGCCCATTTGAGGTTCAGGGCAATTAATGTAAAAGGAGACAAATTAGCATGATTCAGCCACTTAAATAAGGGTGTGAAGTGTATAGTGTTAGATTTGGCCAGGGTTAAACTTTTTCCAGGTTAATATCATGGAAGGTTATGGCAGAGTTCTGTCCTCCCCACTCCAACAAGAAAAGCACCTGAGATTGATAGTTCAATAGAAGTTTAGCCACCTAGGACCGAAGAAGGAAGAGGAAGCCACTAGGAATAATACTCTGTGTTATAGTAATAACTCAACTTGCTGCTTTCCGATCAGAGGAAAGAAGAATTATATTGAGTGTTGAATATGTACTATATTATTTACCTTCATAAGCATGGACTTGGAGTTAAATAGGGCTGAGTTTAAATTCTCCCAGCCTCTTCACCTATTAGCTGTGATTTGTGATTTGGTCACATTAATCTTTCTGGGACTAATTTCTTTGTTTGTAAAATGAGGATCATGATAGCTACTTTGGAATCGTTCTGAAGATTAAGCTAGGCTCATAGGCAGTGGTGTGTAGTGGAAGGAGTGTAGGTTTGGGGCATCAGAAATACTTAATGTTTGAGTCCAATTGTGTCATTTAGTAATTTGATAATCTTAAATGAGTTATTTCACTGGTCTGTGCCTCAGTTTCCTTGTTGGTAAAATAGTGATTATAGGATTATAATATCTACCTTGAGGTTAGGAGTAGCATAACTTTTCACCACACAGGGCTCAAAATGGTTGAGATGGGTCAGAATACTAGATATGTATAAAATCCTTATATATATATATATAGATAGATAGATATATAGATATATAGATATATATATTCTGTAGTTATTGTATAAAGCATTTGGAACAAAATCTCACACATAGTAGGTTCTTAAGCAATAGTAGTTCTTTCCCATCTTTCAGTTCTTCCTTCTAGAGCAATAGTTCTTGACCCTAACCACACAATAGAATCTTCTGAAGAACTTATGAAACAAGTGACCAAGTGCAGTGGCTCACACCTATAATCCCAGCACTTTGGGAGGCCAAGGCAGGAGGATTGCTTCAGGCCAGGAATTCAAGACCAGCCTGGGCAACATAGGGAGACCCCATTTCTACCAAACAATTTTTAAAAAATTAGCCAAGTGTGGTGGTGTACCCGTAGTCCCAGCTACTAGGGAGGCTGAGCTGGGAAGATCAATTGAGCCTGGGAGGTCGAGGTTGCAATGAGCCATGGTCACACCACTAGACTCCAGCCTGGGCAACAGAGCAAGACCCTGCCTCAAAACAAACAAACAAAAGAAAACTGATTCCCACCCCCAGAAATTCTGGTTTAATTGTTCTATACTGGTTCCCTAGCCTGTAATTTTTGAAAGCTTCTCAAGTGATTCTAATTGTAGTCAACATTAAGAATCCACCTGCTGGAATTATATTTCTGAAGCCCAAATGTGGACCATGTTGCTTCTCTGCTTAAAAACCTCTCTTGATTCCCCATTGTCTGCTGAATGTAGTCTGAACTATAACTTGTATGTCAGTCCCTAAGCAGTGGGTCTCAACATTTTATCTGCTTCAGCATTCTCAAGAAATATGACTCCCTGCCATAAACAGCTTCAGCTTGGGTTCAACTCTCAGTCCTATCACTTAACCAGCTGTGTGGTTACGTATCCTCTCTAAGCTTTAGTTTTCTCACCTCATTTCAGCTTTGCTTCCAACTCAGAAACTTTGTACTTATTTTTTTTTTCTTCTTGGAATGTCCTCTGTTCCTTTCCTCCATGGATAACTCCTTATATTCTTCAATACTCAGTTTACATGTCCTCTCCTGAGTGAAACTTACCCTGAATGTCCCCTCCTTGACATAGTCCATCTTTCTTCGAGTTCTCATGCCACTTCATAAGTACCTCTATTTTAGCTCTTTTCCTATAGCATTGAAATGATATTTCCATGTATGTCCACAGACTTTGAGCTTTTTGAGGGCTGTTCCTACATCTCATTTATCTTCATATTGTTTGCTTCTCATGGAGTCTGTTTCACAGTAAGTGGTCAGTAATCTTGTCCAATTAATGAAGTGAAATGAAATAGACAAAGATCCCTGAAACTGCCAACCTCAATGAATTTTGGAATGGACCTTATGTTTTTTGCTTGGTGCTTTGTGATAAATTTTAGATGAATGAATGAAAGAAGACAAATAGAAACTGTTAGACTTAGACCATTTCATACCCTCACAATGTCCAGCTGACTCATTAAAGGACCATTTCCTCCTGGGGAAAAAACGAAACAAAACAACTTAAAAGCATTGTCAACAAAAGTGGTGAGGAAACTGAATCATGGTTTTGTATAACTGGAATTTCTCTAAAAACCAGTACGGTCTGACTGGTAGACACACATGGTTTCTCAGCTGTAGCAAGTGAGAACACAAAGTCTGTATAACACTGCAGTGGAAAAGCTA
The DNA here is from genome assembly GCF_000001405.40 of Homo sapiens. Classification (NCBI taxonomy): domain Eukaryota; kingdom Metazoa; phylum Chordata; class Mammalia; order Primates; family Hominidae; genus Homo; species Homo sapiens. The sequence goes on from NC_000017.11 coordinate 37,648,873, forward strand.
TTTGGGATAACTTGTTGTGAATAGAGTGATCACTCTATGTCCTAAGAGTATGTTTTTGAAAACTTTTTCTCCACTCCTTGTTTATCATTCAACAAACTTGGTGGTGGTTGTTTTTACAGTGTTTCTGGCATGGACTAGGGCTTAGGGATCCAAAAATGAACTAGACACAGTCCTTGGTCTCAAGTAGCTTTGAGTTTGCAAGGGACAGAGAACTGTTTGCAAACAGAGCAAGGAAATTCTCTAGGCACTGCAGTATAAGTGTAGGAAGTGAGGGAGTAAGGGTGGCAGGATGGAGTGGGCTTTGTGGAAAGTTAGAAAAGACTTTATAGAGAAGACAAAGCTGGCATAGCCTTAACAAATAAAGTGTTGACCAATTAGAAAACACAGGTAAAAGTATTTAAGTAGAGAGGAGAGCAGCGCAACAAATGTAAAGAGGGATGAAACACGCTGTTGTGTTTGGGGAACTACTAGTGGCTCAACAAAGCTGGAAGTGGATGCTGCAGCAAGAATTGGAGCTGGACAGGTAGGTAGGGACCAGCTTGTGACGGGCCTTTTGTATATACTGAGGACTTTGAACCTGATATTGTAGGCACTGAGAGCCATTAGAGGATGTTAAGCCACTGATATAAAGTTTTTAATTTAATATTTATTTATTTAGAGACAGGGTCTCACCCTGTCATCCAGGCTGCAGTGCAGTGGTGCAATCGTAGCTCACTGCAGCCTTGCCCTCCCCAGGCTCAGGTGATCCTCCCACCTCAGCCTCCCTAGTAGCTGGGACTACAGGCATGCACCACCATGCCCAGCTAATTTTTACATTTTTTGTAGGGATGGGGTTTCGCCATGTTGCCTAGGCTGGTCTTGAACTCCTGGGCTCAAGCAATCCACCTGCCTCGGCCTCCCAACGTGCTGGGATGACAGGCATGAGCCACTGTGCCTGGCAGTTTTTAATTTTAAAACATCACTTTAGCAGCAACACAGAAGAGAGGCAAGTTGGAGTCAGGGAGACCAGGACAATATTGAAATAGCAGTCTAGTGAGGAAAGAAGGCAGTGGCTGTAGGAAGGAAGAGGAGAAAGGAGCGGATCTAAAGGACATTAAGGAGGTAAAGTGACTGGATGTGGGAGGATAGCAGGAGAGGGAGAAACTTAAAATAACTCCCGGGTCTCAAACTTAGGTGACTGAGTAGGGGTGAGCCTTTTCACGGAAAGGGAGAATACTGAAGGGCTAGGTTTGTGTGAGGACTATATATTCATAGTAAGTTTAATTCTGAATACGTTGAGTTTGAGATTTTTGTGGGACATTTGAATGAAGTTTCTAATGGTTATTTGAAAGTAGGAATTATTATTTCTTTGCAACGGGAGCTAGGAACTTTTGAACTGTAACTTCAGGATCTTAATTTAAAAGTGAGTTGAGGAGAGGGTGATTGGCTATGGATAACATCCGGAAGCCATTCCCACAGTGAGACAAAAACCTTGCTTTCCCCGAGGCTGAGTTTCCAGCTTCAAATTCTCAAGATTTACCAATAGTCTAGTACTTTAGAAATCCAAATCAAGTACTCAAGAAATCCAAATTCTTACAGTTTTTTTTTTTTTTTTTTTTTTTTTTGCCACCAATAGTCAACAGAGTGTACTTTTAGGCTACAATGCAATGTAAGTGTAACTACTCAAATATTCTTTTAATTAGGACAGAATTGAAGTAAATAGCGCAAGGACCAATGCTGACCTCACGGTGGCACTCCAGTCTTCGAATAAAGGGCTCTCTGGACTCATCTTATTGACCTCCAAATGGACAGTCCACATTGAAGTGAAGAGTTGACATGAACTCTGGGCCCATAGACCCCACAGTTTAATTTCCTGAAGAGAATCTACCAAGGACTTTGCTTTTCTGTTTTTAAATCAGCTCTGACGTAAGGCTGGATCAATAGAATAGGTGTCAAGTATGCCCGAATGTCTCCATCCGTAAAAAATTTCATCAGGGTTCAAAAGTAACCAAAATAATTTCACCATTATTATTTATTAATGGATACCATTTATTGAATGCCTGCTATGTGCCACATTGGGTTCAGGGTACTTTTCATATTATATGAGCTCATTGAACTCACAATAGCTCTATGAGGTTGATACTACAGTGTTCTCATTTTTCTGAGAAGAAACTAGGGCTCAGAGACATTAAGTAGCTTGCCTCTCACATCATATAGGTAGTAAGTGGCCATACTTGGTTTTGAACCCAATCTGTGTGATCCCCAAACTTGCGCTCTTTAAACAAGGCTGCATTGCCTCTTATTATTGATGCCAAGATAAAAGCAGCAATTAATGAAACTTGGTTTTCTTCAGGTATAGACTGTTTGGCATGAGGTGGTTTAAATAATATCATATTTAAGGAGATCTATTGCGGGCCCCTATTGTGAATTTGTGTCCTCTTCATGAAACTCTTTGCCACATATGAGAAACAGGATATTTACATAGTCACAAAGTGTGTCCCACAAGGTATTGATTAGTTACGAAGAGAAAAATTGAAAATTTACAGTGGAGCAACCTGGAAGATACCATGTGAATGAAATGGTCACAGTATAAATGGTAACATAAAAGTGGTAAAATATCAATATGTACACCATGGTCATATTCTTTTGCTTTTATTGTGGAAGAGACAAAGGGACAAGGGAGGATTTGCTGACACTGGTCAGGAGTGGAGTAGAGGACTAATTCCTATCTTTGATCTCCATCTGTGAAAGCCCAGATCGCACAAAGATTTCCAAATGAAATATTTACATTTCTAAGGGGTAGAGAATTATTCGTGAATCCTAGACAATATACAAGGGAAGGCTCCCAAAAGAAAGATACAAATAATAAAATTCTAGAATAATGTTATAGTACTGATTGTAGGCTATGGGGAGTGGGAGTTGGTTGTCCTACTAATAAAATGCTTAATCAAGAGTGTATGATTTGTAAATCATATTTGTTAAGCATTTTTTAATGCCTTACAGACTTCAAAGCCCTAAAACTTTTCTGCATCTCTAGGGGTTAATATCAGCATTTTGTATATTCTCAGCTTGAGATAATTACCAATCTGCCTATTTTTTAAAAGAACTGTCTTTTAGTGAGAAGGATAAGATGTCTGGAGAAGCTTTTTGTTCAACATGTCAGTATTTGCATGATTTACAGTGTAATTAACCAGGCCCTGTAGCACAGGCAGACCGGCTCCCTTCACTATTTATCATGTTTCCAGCAACTTCAGATCATCACCTCTGCTGGGAGGAAATACGTCCTTCTTAGAGATGTGAAAATATATCCCCAACCATTCCCACAGGCAGAATGTGATCTATCCTTATGTATCTATTATTTCTCATATCTAAGGGCTCTTCCCCCTACCCCATTATTTTTATACAGCATTACTCTCAGAACTAAACTAGTTAAATAAATATAAGGCCAGGCATGGTACCTCACACCTGTTATCCCAGCACTTGACGAGAGTCTGAGGCGGGTGGATCACTTTGAGCTCAGGAGTTTGAGACCAGCCTGGGCAAGATGACAAAACCCTGTCTCTACTAAAAATCCAAAAATTAGCCAGGTGTTTTGACGCGTGCCTGTAATCCCAGCTACTCGGGAGGCTGAGGCAGGAGAATCGCTTGACCCCGGGAGGTGGGGATTGCAGTGAGCTGAGATTGTGCCACTGCACTCCAGCCTGGGTGACACAGCAACACTCCATCTCAAAAATAAAAAATAATAAATAAATAAATACAAAATCTAATACTACTTAGGAATAATTTTGTTATTCAATTGCTTATAGTCACCAGCACATATTCGTTAAGGTATAATTGTGCTGTGTAAAAGACAAAGTCTGGTGACTCAAAATCTAAAACAAAACACCTATATAGACAAATAATATTATTACAAAACTACTTTAAATCTCTATATTAAAACATTATAGGTTTCAAAAAAACTTCAAATGTGTTTACTTTTGGCCCAGTAATCATTTTAAGAATTTATCCTGAATATACACCTACGGCAATATGAAAATACATACGCACAAGTTTATGTATTGCAGCATTGTTTGTATTTGGGAAATAATTGAGAAAATCTAAATTCCCATATGGTTCTCTAGCAAGCAGACTCAGAAAAAAATAGTCTCCTGTGGAGGAGAGTGGTTGAATAAACTACAGTACAAGTACATAATAGAGTACTATAAATCTATAAAAAAGAATGAGGGGCCAGGTGCAGTGGCTCACGCCTGTAATCCCAGCACTGTGGAAGGCTGAGGCAGGTGGATCACCTGAGGTCAGGAGTTCGAGACCAGCCTGGTTAACATGGTGAAACCTCATCTCTACTAAAAATACAAAAATTAGCTGGGCATGGTGGTGCATGCCTGTAATCCCAGCTACTTGGGAGGCTGAGGCAGGAGAATTGCTTGAACCCAGGAGGCAGAGGTTGCATAGCTGAGATTGCACCACTGCACTCCAACCTGGGCGACAGAGCAAGACTCTGTCTCAAAAAAAAAAAAAAATGAAGATGTCTGTGAACCAATATAGAATGATTTCTAGGATATATTATTTAGTGAAAAAGGTAGAGTACAAAACAGTATCTATAGTATGCTACTTTTTGTGTAAAAAAAAAAAAAAAGGAGTGAGAAAACATACATGTGTCTGCTTTTTTGACCAAAAAAGAAAACCGGGAAGGATAAATTAGAAAGTAATGAGATTGGTTACCTACAGGAAGTGGGTGGAAATGAGGAGGAAAGGGTGAGGAGGCTGGGGACTGAGTGGAGGGGATGGGGACTGACAGTTTTCTTGAATATTTCTTTTTGTATGGGTCTACTTTTGGAACCATGTTAATGTTCATATACTAAAACACACATACACACACACACACAAATGGGGAGGGAAATCCTAAAATGGAATACAAACAAATCAACCTAACAGTTTCAAGTGAATAATATAATCACCCTGAAGAGCGGGTATGTTGGTGGGGGGACTAACCCAATCCAAGCAACTGCAGAATATAATTTTTTTTTTTTAACTGTGTACTCTCAGACTAAAGACTAAATGAACTGCAAATGAATATTAAATTTTAGTTACTTTTTTTTTTGCACTAGAGGGTGTCTTTTGGTAGCAGTTCTAAAACTACTTCTGTGTATTCTGGAATTGGGCAAATAAGTACATTTATTATAGATAATGGAATTCATTTTCCTCACAGAGAGAAGAGAGTTACAAATTAGAACAGGACAAAAGTAGAATGAATCGTATAGTGTTGGATTAGACTTGGAATGACAGTATAAAACTCATGTTTTTTAAGAAAGGTATGAGAATGTTTTTATTGTGTACATATAATCATATATATATGCATGTATATATTCCCTGGCTCTATTCACTGAGAAATCCCAGACACAATGACACCCCAAGAGCAATGAGCACACCTGTCACTTAAATCATGATTTCTAATTTTGTTCACTATTTAAAGGAACCAGAGCTCCTTGAGGATTTGGCCAATTCCAGGGAGGCTAGGGCTGGGGACGTACAGGATGAGCCTTGCACATTTTATTAAGCTAGTAAGTTAGAAAGTACTTTAAAAATATAGGATCAGGCATCTCAAAATGTCCAAGAGTTATCCTGAAGGGATTGCTGCTGGCCAAATCTGGAAGAATTAAGCATAAAAATAAATAATGATAGTAATGTATTATAACTCATTGAATAACATGTGGGCATATAAATAAGAGTAAATAAATGTGGGAGAAGGAAAAGTGAGTCCTTATTGTACAATATCAACTAATAAATGTAGAAGGAATAATGGAATTAGGAAATCACTATCTAGCAACCATCGTGGTAATAATTGAATCATCGATGGATAGGAAAACTAGCAGGTCAAGTTTGGTTGAGAAATGGGATATTTACATAGTCACAAAGTATGTCCCCCCCACAAGATATGTATTAATTATAAGGAGAAAAATTATAAATTTAGAGTGGAGAAATATGTCAGATACTATGTTAGCGAAATGACCAAAATGATAAAGCAAACGTGGTAAAATAGCAATATTTAGGAAATTGGGTGAAGAATATACAGGAATTTTTTTGTACAATTTCTATACCTTTTCTGTAAGTCTGAAATTAAGAAATAAAAAGAAAGAGATAAGTAAAACACTTTTAAGGATTACTAAGCTATAGGAAGATAAAGGCTGTAATCAATGTGTAGCAAGTAAATTCTGCTCACCTTCCTAGCAGAACAGCTTATAGAAGGTCTTAGTTGGGGTGTGGGGAGTGAGAAGAGGGCAAATACCTTATTAGATGCTTCTTTAAACGCAATTTTTATTTTATTTTTTGAGCTAGGGTCTTGCTCTGTTGCCAGGCTGGAGTACAATGTTACAATCATAGCTCACTGCAGCCTCGACCTCTTCGGTGCAGGCAATCCTGCTACCTCAGCCTACCAAGTAGCTTGGACTGTCATCACCCACCACTACACCTGGCTAATTACTTTTATTTTTATTTTGTAGAGATGGTGTCTCTTTATGTTGCCCAGGCTGGTCTTGAACTCCTGGCCTCAAGCAGTCTTCCCACCTCGACCTCCCAAAATGCTGGGATTACAAGTGTGAGCCACCACCCTTGGCATGAACACAATTTTTTAAAATTGTTTTTTCAAATGAAAGACTTTTGAAGTTTTTTTTTTTTAAACTCTGTAATAGAAATTCTGGGTTTCTAGTTTTTAAAAAAAATAGAATGAAAATTTTAATCCCAGAAGACCTAAAAATTTAAGAGAGCAAAAAATAAAGAAATAGAGTAATTTCTGTTCTCTTCCCAGATAGTAAATTTAAATAAAAACTTCTGATTATGGCTGGGCACCGTGGCTCACGCCTGTAATCCCAGCATTTCGGGAGGCCGAGGTGGTTGGATCACGAGGTCAGGAGATCGAGACCATCCTGGCTAACACGGTGAAACCCCATCTCTACTAAAAATACAAAAAATTAGCCAGGCATGGTGGTGGGCGCCTGTAGTCCCAGCTACTCTGGAGGCTGAGGCAGGAGAATGGCGTGAACCCAAGGAGGCGGAGCTTGCAGTGAGCCGAGATAGCACCGCTGCACTCCAGCCTGGGCGACAGAGGGAGATTCTGTCTCAAAAAAACAAAACAAAACAAAAACAACTTCTGATTATGTTGGCAGTTATAAAGTTTTAATGTTACTGATACAGATGTACTTCAAAACTCTTTTATCGATCACATAGAAGTGAGTGTTAAGATCATTGACGAGAACTGTCCTAGGTAATGAGGTGGTAATATTACTACTAATACAAGGTGCCTATACTATTCCGAATACTTTTTGTAAATTAACTCATTCAATCTCACTGCAACCCTATGTTGTAAATACTATTATTAGACTCATTTTATACTTGAAAAAACCAAGGTTCCCAAACTTTCTTGGTAACTGTGCTCCTAGAGTCTCAGTAATTTTTTCACAACTCAGGCTCAAAGAAATACTTAATAATTCCATTGATTAAGTTAAGCCCAAATATCTTAATATATATTTATGATTTTACAACTTAGTAGCCATTTGAAAAAATAATACATATAAAACATTTTTTATTTTTTTGAGAGAGTCTCACTCTGTTGCCCAGGTTGAAATGTGGTGACATGATTGCGGCTCAGTGCAACCTCTGCCTCCCAGGTTCAATCAGTTCTCATGCATCAGCCTCCCAAGTAGCTAGGATTACAGGCGTGCGCCAACATACCCAGGTAATTTTTGAATTTTTAGTAGAGACGGGGTTTTGCTGTGTTGGCCAGGCTGATCTCAAACTCCTGGTCTCTAGTGATGCTCCTGCCTCGGCCTCCCAAAAAGCTGAGATTAAAGGCGCGATCCACCGCCCCAGGCCATACATATAAATTTAAAGAAAAAAATTGTATTTCATTTAAAAATAATTACACTTACTTGCTAATGAGAGTTGCAAAAAAAACAAAAATTACCCAGACACTAAAAGCACAGTAATCAATAAAGTTTGGGAACCTTGGTTTTTTCAACTATAAAATGAGTCTAATAATCGTATCTATAATGTAGGCCAGGTATGGTGGCTCACGCCTGTTAGCACTTTGGGAGGTTGAGGCGGGCAGATCACCTGAGGTCAGGAGTTTGAGACAAGCCTGCCCAACATGGTGAAACCCCATCTCTACTAAAAGTACAAAAATTAGCTGGGCGTGGTGACGGGTGCCTGTAATCTCAGCTACTCGGGAGGCTGAGGCAGGAGCATTGCTTGAACCCAGGAAGCAGAGGTAGCAGTGAGCCAAGATCGTGCCACTGCACTCCAGCCTGGGTGACAGAGTGAGTGAGACTCCCTCTCTCAAAATAAATAAATAAATAAATATAAATAAATAAAAGGCTCTATAACATAAGGTTGCAGTACAAGCTTATTGGATGCTGCACATCTTCTCAAACCTTGGGCTCAGATTGGACACTGCCACACTCATTTCCTGATTCACGTTGATATTCACATAGTACTTGTTTTTCATCCCAGCAACCACAGAAAACTCAGCTTTGCAATGATCTGACATTACCAAAAGGGTACTATTTGAATGTTGAAACCATGGCTATCTCATACTAGTAGTTCATGTGATTTTCAACAGACATTGAGTATCACTGTGTTGTCCTTGAACATTTGAAATATTCTGTGTTGCTCTATGGACTTGCTGCTGTTCCAAGCTGGAGTTCCTTGGGACACAGTTTGGGAACTGTGGTTCTACCACAGCATTGTTTTTTCAGTTTTGGGGACAAAATTCTTGGGAAGGTCATATGTGGTGGTTCACGCCTGTAATCCTAGCACTTTGGGAGGCCGAGGCAGGAGGATTGCTTGAGCCCAGGAGTTCAAGACCAGCCTGGGCAACATATCAAGACCTTGTCTCTACAGAAAATTAAAAAATTAGCTGGGGATAGTGGTATGTGCCCATATTCCTAGCTACTTAGGAGGTTGAGGTAGGAGGATCGCTTGAGCCCAGGAGTTTGAGGCTACCGTGAGCTATGATTGTGCCACTGCACTCCAGCCTGCATGACAGAGCAAGACTTTGCCTCAAAAAAAAAAAAATTCTTTGGGAAAAATATAAATCAGATTGTGATTTTTAATATTACTTAATAATTAGTGTGAATATTAATAAATTGTATAAAAAATTAATATCTTAAAAATCTTGCTCTTCATTTAAATTCATGTCTTTTTTGTTTTATCTAATTGCTTTGGGATAGACTTTTATAGACAATTAAACAGAAACAGGCTCATTTGGAATGAATAATAAATTGTTAACATCATATAGGTCAAAGGTAACTGCTTGCATTCAAGGAGTGGGAAGCAAGGACAGTACATAATAAATGTTTCAGCTGATAATATATGTAATAAAAATATTTTATACCACCAAGTACATAGGGTGAACTCAAGGAACTTCGTAAGTTTAGTTGAACCTCTCTCTTTTTTTTTTTTTTTTTTTGAGACAGAGTCTTGCTGAGTCTCCCAGGCTGCAGTGCAGTGGCGCAGTCTTGGTTCACTGCATCCTCCGCCTCCTGGGTTCGAGCAATTCTCCTGCCTCAGCCTCCCAAGTAGCTGAGACTACAGGCGCACACCACCATGCCCAGCTAATTTTTTGTATTTTCGTAGAGATGGGGTTTCACAATGTTGCCCAGGCTGGTCACGAACTCCTGAGCTCAGGCAATCCGCCTGCCTCGGCCTCCAAAGTGCTGGGATTACAGGCATGAGCCACCATGCCTGGCCTAGTTGAACCTCTCTTTTAAGCAAATTTATTACTTGAAATTTTGAATGTTCTAAACTAGTATACAAGGGGCTTGATTATTTTTACAAAAGAATATTATGTGAGTTTCTTTGATACTTAAATTTTTTTTTTTTAATTTTAAAATAGAGACGGGGTCTGACTGTGTTGCCCAGGCTGGTCTCGAATTCCTGACCTCAAGCAGTCCTCCTGCTTCAGCCTCCCAGAATGCTGAGATTACAGGCATGAGCCACCACGCCCAGCAGCTTTGATGCATTTAAATTATGATGTGGTTCACTGAAATTGAGATGTGTGCCCTACTTTAAAAAAATTACTGAAACTGAGATAGATGCCCAACTTTTTAGAAAATAGGTTTTATTTCTTTATTAACAAAAATGTTTTTAGACCCGTGGTTTTGCTGTTTCCCAGGCTGGACCAAAACTCCTGGTGTCAAGTAATCCTCCTGCCTCAACCTCTCTAGTAGCTGGGATTATAGGTCTGTGCCACCATGACCAGCTGCCCAGCTTTTAAAAATACACATTATTTTATAAAATGCCTCACTGTGTTCTGTTGCATTTTGAGTTTTCTGTCTTTTAGAAGTATGGGAAGCAAAACATTCTTCTACTATATATAAAGGGAAAATGAGGCACAGAGAAAAGCAGTGAGTTTATTTGGCATCACAGAGTAGGAAATTAAAAGGCACCAGCTACTCATCTTTATTAGAAAATATCATGTAATCAGTATCTAACAGCCATTATTTTCATAATAAAGTGATGCTATATAAAATCAATAAATAAAAGTACCCATTTCTGCACGATATTGTATTAGAATTAACATATGTGATTTTTTTAGCCCAAGAATTTGTCTCAGTTCTATTGACTGTACTGACACAGTCAAGATAATGGCAGCATGTATCATATCCCATGAGTGATATGATTGAAATAAGCTTAATGACAGATGGAGGAAATGCTTGCTTCTGTTTCACTCCTGTAGTCATGATAAGGGGTTTCATTTGATTAGGGTAACACCAGCTTGCATTAATGGCATGAAGAATCAGAAAGTTTCATTTTACTTTGCCATCATCATTTTGATAGCAGATTGACTCAATAAAGCTGGGGTTCCCAGAGCATTAAGTAAAATATCTCTGAGGCATCTTTGCAAAGTTATTCTGTAGCCTAGGCTGAAATACTGTGGTTATATCTTCCTTGGGGCTTCTAGTATTTTAATTATGGAGCAATTACAGAGCATTGCCTTCTTTCTTTTCACTGCTCCAGCTGAGTACCTGGGATTCTCTAAGGTAAAAGCAAAGGCCTTTCCCTGGGTCCTTGGGAAAAGCAGGGAAATCTAAGACAATCCAGATGGATCGCGGGTCTTTTTAAACACTTTTTTAGAGATGGCATCTTGAATAATTGTCTTCAGGGCGGTGAGCCATAGTTCACTAACCAAAGTTTCATTTAAATATCATGATGAATTGGCTGCGAAAAGAGGATGGGGAGGAATGTGAAGGGATTTGTATAACAAAGAACCATAAATCATCTCCGGTACAGTGGATCCCCTATCACTCAGCCTATGGGCTCATCAGAGGAACTGCAGGGAGAAAGATGAGAGGGAAAAGGGTCTTCCAGCTTGGGGGGCTACAGCATCCCCCAAGTTAGCAAGGTCCCAAACCAAGTCTTTCCTGAAGTATCATTCACTTATTCATCTTGGAAATATCTGTCAAGTGCCTACTATGTGCAAGGCACTATTCTAGTTGCCATTAGACTGGGAAAGTGTAAGGGTGCGGGGTAGTACTACTAAGATGAGTAGGATACAGTCCCTGCTTTACTATTTATGAGGCATTTTTATGGCAAGGCCTAGCTTCTTTGGCATTAACATTAGTACACAATTAGGGTGTGCCTAACTTTTTTAAACAGATGTATTTCTGAGCCTTTCTGGCATTAAAGTGAATGTCTATCAAGTGAATCTCTACATTCTTCATAAATCTGTCCCTGTTACCCTCAGTTGGAATTAATTTTTCTCCATCCCTGTGTTCCCATAGCCTTCTCTGTATATATCCTCCATCTTCCTCAGTAGGCCTATTGGAGGCAATTGTCACGGAGTGGAAAGTGGAAAGAGCATGGGCTCTGCAGCCACACGGGCTCAAATTAGAATTCCAGCTCTACCTCTACCACTTAGTAGTTGTGTGTGATCTGGGTTAGTTTCTTTTTTTAAAAACAAAATTATTTCCATAGGTTTTTGGAGAATGTGGTCTTTGGTTACACAAGTAAGTTGTTTAGTGGTGATTTGTGAGATTTTGGTGCACCCATCACCAAAGCAGTGTACACTGAACCTGATTTGTAGTCTTTATCCCTCACCGCTTCCCACCCCTTCCCCCTAAGTCCTCAAAGTCATTCTTATGCCTTTGCATCCTCATAGTTTAGCTCTCACTTATAAGTGAGAATATGTGATGTCTGGTTTTCCATTCCTGAGTTACTTCACTTAGAATTATAGTCTCCAGTCCCATCCAGGTTGCTGCGAATGCTGTTAATTCATTCCTTTTTATGACTGAGTAGTATTTCATCATCTATGTATACCGCAGTTTCTTTATCCACTCGTTGATTGATGAGCATTTGGGTTGGTTCCACATTTTTGCAATTGCAAATTGTGCTGCTAAAAACATGCATGTGGAAGTATCTTTTTCATATAATGACTCCTTTTCCTCTGATCTGGGTTAGTTTCTTAACCTCTCTAAGCCCCCAGTTTCCTCCTCTGTGGCATGGGGATACTAGTTCCCATTTTGGGGGACTTCATAAGTATTAAATGAAGTAAAGAATTCAGCATTTAGAAAAATGCCTGGACTATAATAAGCATTCAGTTGTTAATCATTGCTAGTAGGTATTTTATAGATGATCATCTTACAGGCAAGGCAACCAAAGCTCATAAAGGTTAAATAACTTAAGTGCTGTACTTTGTAATTTGAAGGAAGTATAACATTGGATTTAAGAACTTTGGAGCCATGTTACCTTGTTCACCCTCCTTTTCTGCCATTTACTGTTTATACAGCCCTGAGCCAATAATTTAATTACTCTTGGCTTTCATTTCTTTATTCATAAAATAAGGATGATGACTGATCATCTGTCACTCACTGCTTATTATGAGGATGAAAGGAGATGATATGTGTAAAGTGCTTGGTATCTAGCATGCAGTCAGACAATAGAAGCTGCTATTATTAGCAGAAGTCACCTAGTGGCCAAGTGGCAGGACTTAGATTTAAATCTAGTGGGTCTGACTCTCAAGCACTTGCCTTTTTCTAACAAACTCACCACCAGCTCCTTTTCTGTCCGAGCTGAGATTCTGAAGACTTAGCAGATGCTGTCAACACTTGAAATTGTTTTTTTCAAGTGTAATAAAGTCAATTGGTTGATTTTCTCTTTTGATGATTGCTTTATATTTCACAACTATATACTCACATACCCATAATCTTGAACAGCTTTTCCTTCCTCAATCAACAGAATATGTATAATTTATAATATATATGTTTATATACTGTATATATATTTTCCAACCTCATAAAGGAATAGCCAACATCTCAAAGGAACATACTGCTGCCTTCGCCCACATGGACTTTTCAAAACACTTGCTTGTGAAAGAAATCATCATCCCCGAGGAAGCATTACGGGGAATTTCTTGCAATAAGGAGTAGTATCAAAATTCATTTGTGGAATGAAACCCAAGTGAAAAGGAAAAGCAAGGGCTTGCCTTCTTCCTCCCTGCAAACCCTGTCTTGGAATACTTTCCCTCCCCAGCCCCAGGAGGGGCGAGAACAGTAGGGTCAAGGGGTGGTGACCAGGTTAGCGACAAGGGCAACAGAGGGAGGAGACAAAAGAGCAGAAAGTGGAGGCTGCTACCCGAATGCCTGAGCATGTTTCTTTGCTGAAAGAGAATGGCAGGACAACGACTCAAACTGAGAGAAGAGGGTGGAGGGGGAAGAGGACAGCTAATGGATGGGGTGGCCCAGCAGGGGTCAGAGGTCATGAGGGCACACAGTGAACTAATTGGCCACTCTGCATATTCACTTTCTGCTTCTAGCCTACAGCTGGGCCTTGAGAGAAAGGCCTGGGGGTGAAGCTGGCTTTATTTACACCATAGATTTGAGGCCAACTGGTGAAAAGCAACCAAAACCGAAAAGGGAGACAAGAACTCTCTTTCCTCCTGTAGGAACATCTGACCAGGGGTAGCCTTTTGCAAAAGAAAATGTGAAAGATTTCACTTCATTCATTCATACATTCATTCATTTATTCTTCATCATCATCGTCATCATCTCCACATGTTAATTGGATGCTCCAAGAAATGTTACCAGATGGAGAAGGATTATAGACACCTTTAACTTGGAACATAGATGATTAGAGTTAAATTTGGGCTTTTGAGATCATCTAGTTCAGCTCTCTTGTTTTATACTTAAGGAAAAGAGAAAACAATTTACTCAAGCTCACAGGAAAGTAGCAGAGGAGGGAGCAGAGCTCAGATCTTCTCCAAATTCAGAGATTTTTCTAGTACACATTTCTCAGAAACATAGTAGATGAAAACTTGTGTTGACTGGTGTGATTAACAGCTCAGCCTCTGGGTCAAACAGACTGGGCCAGAACGCCAGTTACTAGCTCTGTAAACTTAGAACACTTAATCTTTCAAAGAATCAGTTTGTAGAAAAATACAATTGTTATGTGAATCAAGAGAGGTAAATGCATGTAGAGTGAGTACATGCTTTACAATAACTATGACTATTGCTATTACTTTAGAGCCCGGTATAGACTGTGCTTTTGATGATAAACATGTAACACAATGAACATTTCTCTTGCCATATATAATCTCTATGGGCCTGCCGTCCCAAGATGAAAATCCTCCTTCCTCCTCAGTTTAGAGACCCATGAAGGTAGGAGGGAAACTTTAGAGGCCTGTCTGAACCTTTTACAGACAGAGCTGCCCAAATTTGGAATGAGCCAACTTTCAAAGAGTCAATATATGGGAAGGGCTTAAAGGGCCAGGCACATAGTTAGCACTCAGTAAGGGTTAGTTATTGTTATTATTACTGGTAAGGAGGGAGTTCTTTGTCACTGCACGGGTTCAAGCATAAGGCTGGCTTACCCTTTGTCAGGAATGTTTAAGGGAGATTCATGGATTGGACAGAGTAACCTGGGCTCAGCTTTTCTGTTATTCTGCTTTCCAGAGACTTTGTTTCACCCTCTTCAAAGGTCTGGCTGCATGAAGCAAGGAAGGGAATCTGGGAACCTAACTGTTTTTCAAAGATTTCCATCAGGCCAGGCGTGGTGGCTCACAGCTGTAATCCCAGCACTTTGGGAGGTCAAGGCAGGCAGATCACTTGAGGCCAGGAGTTCAAGACCAGCCTGGGCAACGTGGCAAAACCCCGTCTCTACTAAAAATACAAAAATTAGCCAGGTGTGGTGGCACGTGCCTGTAGTGCCAGCTACTCAGGAGGCTGAGGTGGGAGGATCACTTGAACCCGAGAGGCTGAGGTTGCAGTGAGCTGACATCGTACCACTGCCCTTCAGCCTGGGCAACAGAGTGAGACTCTGTCTCAAAAGAAAAAGAAAAAAAGAAAAGATTTCCATCAGTCTTTATATTTTTCACTCCACCTTCATCCTTATCGTCTGAGGTACCTGGTAGACTGTTGTGGAGGGAATGTTTGTGTTTCCCCAAAATTAATATGCTGAATCCCTAGCCCCCAGTGTGATGGTATTTGAAGGTGAGGCCTTTGGGGAGTAATGAGTAATTAGGTTTAGATTAAGTCATGAGGGTAGGACTCTCTTGGTGGGATTAGTGCCCTTTTAAGAAGAGGAAGAGAGAGAGTTCTGTCTCCACGAGCAAGGAAAGGCCACGTGAGGACATAGCAAAATGGCAATTGTCTGCAAACCAAGAAACACACCACTGCATTCCAGCCTGGGTGACAGAGATAGAACCTGTTTCAAAATAAAAACAAAAACAACCCACCCCCCCCAAGTGTCTTAGCCATTCTTGACTCTTTTCTAGTTCATATTTGAAGATTAGTTTGTAAGTTTTTTATATACTATATATAAATATAAATGTAGCCAAGTTGGGATTTTTTTTTTTTTTTTGGTATTGCGTTGAATTTATAGATAAATTTGGGGGACGATTGACTGTGTTTATAATAGTGGGTATTTCTGTTCACAAACATGGTATATTGTTCTATTTATTTAGGGCTTCTTTTATGTCCGCCAATAAAGTTTTATCATTTTCTTCATTTGGGTTAATACTTCTTTTATTAGATCTATTGCTAATACCTTTTAGTTTTTGCAGATATGTAACAGGGTCTCTTTAAGATTACATTTTCTAATTAGTTTTGCAGGTGTATAGGAATGCATCTGACTTTTTGTATATTGATTCTGAATCCAGCAACCTTGAGCAATCCTTTCAGTCGTTCTGATAGCTTGTCTATACATTATCTTGGATTCTCTATGTAAACAATCATATTGTCAACAAATAGCAACAATTTTATTTTTTCCTTTCCAATCCTTATGCCTGTTTATTTCCTTGCCTTATTGCATTGGCTGGGATAGCCAGTAAAATGCAATGAAATGAATGCAGGTGGTGAAAGCGGATAGCTGTTAAAGGGACATGCCACCTTAACAGGCATATATCACCAGAGCTATTGGCTTTAGAGCTATGCTGTGCCTGCCAGACCTGTACCAGCAAAATGTATGTATCTTTGGTGTTCAAAATGTATACACCTTTGGTGTTTGAGAATAGGTATTTCTATTCTCATTTAATAGATAAAGAAACAGAAACTCAAAGAAGTAACCAGGTCTGTAAACCCCGCACTTTGAGAGGCTGAGGCAGAAGGGATTGTTTGAAGCCAGGAGATTGAGACCAGCCTGCACAATATAAGGAGACCTTGTCTCTGCAAAAAATTTAAAAAACAAAAGAAACTCAAAGAGGTAAGTAACTTGCTAAAGACCACACAGTTTATAAGTGGGAGATTCACACCCAGATCTTCCGATTTCCAGTTGAATGCCATTTCCATGATTCCACACTTCCTTCCAGCTAGTTACCTGATAAATCTATCTGTGCTAATATGTTGCCCATCCCAGATAACATATTGCATTTTATCTTATTATTTATTTACTTATTTATTTTTTTGAGGCGGAGTCTTGCTCTGTCGCCCAGGCTGGAGTGCAGATCATGGCTCACTGCAGCTGTGAACTCCTGGGCTCAAGCAGTCCTCCCACCATGGCCTCCCGAAGTGTTGGGATTATAGGTATGAGCTACCACGCCTGGCCGTAGAATGCATTTTAAAAGAGATACTTCAGAACAAACAATGCTTTTACCCATTTAAATGAGTTTTTAACAGTGGGAGTTTTAGGCAAGTTTTAGGCAAGTATTTTGCCTTAACAGAAGACTCTGCCTATTTATAATTTTTTAAAAACAGATTCATTGACTCTTAGAGTTGAATGGCTTCTTGTCTCATCCAACCCACTATGTAATGTAGTTATCCCTGTATTGCATCCATGACAGATCATCCTCCGGCATTTACCAACTGCCAGGGACGGGTTCACCTCACCAGCAAGCTGTTGAATAAATTCTCATGTGAATCCACAATCTGCCCACTGATCTAGAGAGTTGTTTTCTCCTTTACCTGACAGCTCTTCACATGTTTGTTAGTTTCTCAGACTACCTGTCTCTAGGAGGTTTAGTTATTGTCTGAATGAGATAGTTTCCAGACTTCTCACTATCCTGGTCATTCTCCTCTCAGTGCTTTCTAGTTGGCAAATGTCCCTCTTGAAAATGTTGCCTAGGCCGGGTGCAGTGGCTCACGCCTATAATCCCAGCACTTTGGGAGGTCGGGATAGGTGGATCCCTTGAGCTCAGGAGTTCAAGACCAGCCTGGGCAACGTGGCAAAAACCTGTCTCTACAAAAAATACAAAAATTAGATGGGGCTGGGTTTGGTGGCTCATGCCTGCACTCTCAGCACTTTGGGAGGCCAACATGGGAGGACTGCTTGAGGCCAAGAGTTCGAGACCAGCCTGGGCAACATGGTGAAACCCCATCTCTATAAAAAAAAGTACAAAAAGTAGCCGGGTATGGTGGCATGCACCTTAGTCCCAGCTACTTGGGAGGCTGAGGTGGGAGGATTGCTTGAGCAGGGGAGGGGAAGGTTGCAGTGAGCTAAGATCGCACTGCTGCCTCCAGCCTGGGTGACAGAGTGAGTCTCTGTCTCAAGAAAAAAAAAAAAAAGAAAGAAAACAAAAGTAAAGAAAATGATGGCTAGGTTTTTAAGATGTATTTGGATTGCAAACAAAGTGGGCCTCATATCATCTGGACACAGTTACTTCTATTGATGCTGTCTAGATTTGTGTCTTTAGTAGCTATGACACACTGCTTATTTGTGGTGAGTTTAGGGTTAATTAAGCCCTCCATATATTTTTTATTTGAACTGCATTTCTGAAAATATACTATTTGTATGTTAAAAAAGAGAAGAAAAATGCTTCTGAAGACAGGAATTTATATATATCCTCACTAAATTTAATAATTTGTGTGGTTACTTCATAATTGGCCATCTATAAATGTGATCAAGCATGCCTTCTGTATATAGAGCGAGGCCTGCACTTGCAGAATGCAAAGACAAATTGTCCTGCATTGCCTAATCATTCAGACCAGAAGCCATGGAGGTATATTTGTTTGTTTTTAATCTTTCATCCCCTATGCCCTTTCCTGCAGCACTCTGGAGCTCTCCAAGACAGAGCAAAGTCTGTGGGGAAGGAACCAGGACAGAAATCTACTCTGTTTTGGAGACAAATGGGGCAGCACCTGCAGCTTGGAGGCTGCAGCAGGTTACCAGGAAACACCTGCTTGGTCAGGGGTAGGGAAAGTCATTAGGACTGCTGTCCCAGGACAGAATAAAATACCATCCTCAAATTTCAGAACACTGGTACATTGGGATTTTTACTATAGAATTAAAATTCAATTTCTTTTTTTTTTGAGATGGAACCTTGCTCTGTCACCCAGGCCGGAGTGCAGTGGCGCAATCTTGGCTCACTGCACCTCTGCCTCCCGGGTTCAAGCGATTCTCATGCCTCAGCCTCCCAGGTGGCTGGGATTACAGGCGTGCACCACCACACCCAGTTAATTTTTGTATTTTTAGTAGAGACGGTGTTTTGCCATGTTGGCCAAACTAGTCTTGAACTCCTGGCCTCAAGTGATCCACCTGCCTCGGCCTCCCAAAGTGCTGGGATTGCAGGCGTGAGCCACCACTTCCAGCCTCAATTTCTTACATGAAACCACTTCATGAATTTTTAAAAAACTTACTTGATGTTGGAAGATCCACAGGAAGGGAAGGGGCGGCAGGAGTGCTCTCCTCAGCTCAGTCTCACACCTCCTGGTTTAGTGGGATTGGCATCCACCCTTCCATCTGACTAGCACAAATCAACTTCGAGATATGTTTTTGAGACCGAAATCCTAGCTACCCATATCTCCCTTCTGCCTATCCTGCTCAAAAACTCATACTTACAAATCAATAGACATCCTCCACCCCAACACATGCTCCTCATCTTCAATAAATACTTGTAACTTTGCCTGTGTAATATTCACAAGGACAGTGTTGTACGTGTCTAGCATTGACAGTGCAATAATAAAAACTGCAAGCATGTGGCACTTGTGATGTGCCACCCACTGTTCTAAGCACTTTATAGATGTGAACTCATTTCATGACGTTAATTCATTTCATCCAAAGGACAACAGTCCTGTGTGGTACATAATGTTATTATCTTTGTTTTACAGTTGAGGAAACTGAGGCACAGAGATTAAGTGTTTGTCCAAGGTCACATGGCTAAAAGTGGCAGAGTGGGATTGGAGTTCATGCAGTCCAGCTCCAGTGCTCTTAACCACTATCTTACACTGTCTCACTAAATTGTGGAGGGAGCTGCAATGGATATCTGTGTGGGGTGTGCAGCCCCAGTCCTGGGTTTTCGTCCATAAGCTGTTCTTTGCCAAATGATTTCTAATTATAATAACCAAGAACATGATTACTTTCTTAGGATAGGAACTGCCAGCAGGCTTTAGCTCCTTTCCAGATGAGGAAACGTAGGCTCGGAGTGTTAGTGTAGTCAGGGTCACATAGGGAATAAGTGACAGAAACAAGAATGTGAACCCAGCTCAGGGTGACTTTAGTGTCCAGACACCTCCGCTTAACCTACAATGTCACAATGGTGAGGTCAAATATTCAGAAAGAGCTTAGACACTCTCCATACCCTCTTTTTCATGGGCTAGAGAATACATGGAGGCCTTTCTTCAGGGAAAAAATCATCATAATCATTACCAAAGCATCTTGTCGAAGATCCACTGGGTGCTGGATGCTATAATGTGGGGTTTTTTTAAACTTCAATATGAGGATCCCCGAAAGTATGAGTGTTTCATCATCAACTTGGCAGAAGTTAGCTGAAGGGTATGTAAGCCTCCTGTCCTAAGATAGGTTTCTTCATTTCTTGAGCTGACAGGTTGAATTAAGTTACTGCTTCTCATATATAGCTCTCTGGCTTTTGCTTTAATTTTATTTTTTAAACTGGTGATAGCAGCAATAGGAGGCCCTTGCTTTTAGATCAAGCATAGCTTTATTTTTTTTCAGGATGCAAGTCAAGAGCATAGTTCCTAAAGAACCGTGTGGTGATGTCTGGGATCACTGGGGTGTGCACATTTATTTTATTTTATTTTATTTTATTTTATTTTATTTTATTTTATTTTATTTTATTTTATTTTATTTTATTTTATTTTATTTTTTTGAGACAGAGTTTCGCTTTGTCACCCAGGCTGGAGTGCAATGGCATGATCTCGGCTCACTGCAACCTCTGCCTCCCAGATTCAAGCGATTCTCCTGCCTCAGCCTCCCAAGTAGCTGGGATTACAGGCATGCATCACCACACCCAGCTAATTTTCTATTTTTAGTAGAGACAGGGTTTTGCCATGTTGGTCAGGCTGGTCTTGAACTCCTGACCTCAGGTGATCCACCCGCCTCAGCCTCCCAAAGTGCTGGGATTACAGGCATGAGCCACTGCGCCCAGCCGGGATGTGCACACTTCTATGCATACACATACACCTGGCACAGACAAGCACACGTACTGCCACGTTCATGGTGTGAATCCCTGGAAATAAGGGTGCCGTCAGGGGACCAGCAAGTGCATGGTATGGTCTCCATTCCTGGGTGCATTGATGTGGCCTGCCATGCCCTGCTGGGTTGAGGTGGGCCTGTTCTGTCTGCTCTGAGTCCTGGCTGGGTCAGTCTTTCCAGGAGTGTGGGGATACGGTTTCTATCAGGCATGCCCAACATATCCCCCTGGTCTTGGATCAGCAGGGCAGGCTGGCAGGAATGCCTACCTCAGAGCCCCTAAGCAGGGTTTAGGTCAGTGACCTCTCCACTCCCCACCTTGGCCAGCAGTCCTCCAGCAACGATGCCAAGGATGCTTATTTGTTTGTTTGTTTATTTATTTATTATTTTTTTTTGAGATGGAGTCTTACTCTGTCGCCCAGGCTGGAGTGCAGTGGTGCGATCTCAGCTCACTGCAACCTCCGCCTCCCAGGTTCAAGTGATTGTCCTGCCTCAGCCTCCCAGGTGGCTGGGATTGCAGGTGTGTGCCACCATGCCCAGCTAATTTTTGTATTTTTAGTGGAGGCGGGGTTTCACCATGTTGCCCAGGCTGGTCTCAAACTCCTGATCTCAGGGGATCCGCCCACCTTAGCTTCCCAAAGTGCTGGGATTACAGGCGTGAGCCACCGCGCCCAGCCCCAAGGATGCTTTCTTAGGTCAAAAGGGAAAGCATTGTTGCTGCCCTGTGGCCAGGCAAACAAGCTGCTGGCTTTGAAGTCACAGGGGATTTGCTCAGGCTGGAGTTGGGAGTCTGAAGGAGAGGCCTCCATGCCTTCCTGAAGCCTCACTGCGTTTATTAACTCCACCTGCCTACCCGGGCCTGGTGTGTTTGATGTCTCGGGAGAAGCAGGAGGAGGGAGGCATGCTCTGGGGGTCCTCCGAGGGACATCTTTCAGCCCCTGCTGAGCCTGCCATCCCACCTGGTCTGAACAGAAGGAAAACCAGGCCCAAGTCCAGAAGGGCTAGTGACAGGCCTGTAGTGAAGGGGACACCTAGTCCCCCTCCCTTCAAGGTAGTTTACAGGAGTGTGTTCCAGGGCCAGTTGGAGAGCAGGCTGCTTCCCTTGGTCATTGTCTTTATTCAGGTGGCATCCGGTGAGAATGAAAGTCAAGGGAAGACTTGAAGAGAGAAAGAGGCATCCAGAGGCAGCACTGGTGCCTTAAGGGGCCACAGCAGGTCTCTCCACTTTGCCCTGAGGTCCCCAATCACGCCTCTGCCAGGTGCCTCCCCAACTCCTGCCCCATGCTTCACCCCTTCTCCCCACCAAAGCAGCATGAGTGGGCAATTTGCCATTTCCCAGCGACAGCTCAGAAGCCTTAGGTAATGACCAGAGACATTCCCCACCCACCCCCTACTCACACTCAATAAAATGCACTGATGAGGAATCCATGGAGTGGGGAAGAAAGTTCTAGAGAGCAGGAGCCTGCGTAAAACAATGCTCGCCTCTCTGGGCTTGCCTTGCCCCAGGATTTCACTATGTTCCAAATCATGTTTTATTACCTTTCAGGGTTGGGCCATGGGAATGGGATAAGAAGCAAAGCATTATTATTAACCAGTTCCATGTCCCATACAATATTAGCCATGAATAGCTCCATCTCTCCCCCACAATTTCCCTATCAGCCACATTCTAATGCCCCCCACCCCCAACACCGCTCTCTAGTCTGTCTGTCTGCCTGCTCCCCCTGCCCCTGACATGTTGCAATTCAGAAAGAGCTTGTTTATGATAAGACCTTGAAATCTGGAGTTATAAATCCTGCCCAGGGCGGCCGCCCTATCTCTGTGCTAATGCTTGTGGTGCCAAAAGGAGGCTCACCTGGTTGTGACCCAGTCCCTCTTACTCCCTGAGGAGTTCCCTGCTCCTCCTCTGCAAACACAGGACAATGGGCAAATGGGAGTTACCTGTTCCAACAGGTGTTAGCTGGGCCTCACTTTCCTACAGGGTGATGAGAAGGTCACCCTCTGGCCCGCCCACGCTGGGCATTCCTGTGACTGTGAAAGCCCACCTTCGAACATGACCCTCCCTCTCCCCCACCCTCCCATGACTTCAGCTACAGGAGACTGAGCCCACCTCAATGGCTTTAAAAGTCCCCACTTGAAGCTTCTGAGTCCACCAACTAGAGAGCAGGCAGCACCTGCACTGGCTGGAGGGCCCTTGTGCTGCCTCTTTATTCTGTACAGGCCTCTGTCATTGTGTTTACACCATATTGCAGTTGGCAGTTGTTAGCCTTCCCTACTAAGCTATGGGCCCCTTAAGGGAAGACACTGTTTCTGATTCATCATTGAATTCCTAGGCCCAAAAGACTGCACAGAACATAAATATTTGTTAAATGACTAGGTGAATGGTGTCATCATTACCAGCACATATTTCTTCAGGGTATCTTATGTGCAGCGAACCTGCTAAGCAGTAGGGATACAAAGATTAATTGGACACCATTCCCACTCTCAGGGGCTTATGCTGGAGTCGGGGAGACCCACTGAAGCTTCACTTCCCTAGAGGTCAGAGGAAGAGCTGGATCTGGGGACCCCAGGAAGCTGCTTTGACAACCAGAGGCCTAGGGTCTTGGGAAAGTTTGCCCAGAGTGAACTTACCACAGATGCCAGAGACTCAGATACCTACTCACCATTGGTCTTGGTACATTCCAGAGTGGAGGTGATAACTTGCCAACTAACAGCATGTGGAGCCTTTTCCTTTGTGACTTGTATCCTCCTCTCAACAATGGGAATAAAAGTAATTTCTAGTATCTTCACTTGGAATGGATTTTTCAGCCCTTTAGCTCTGGGAAGAAAAGAAGTGAAACTGGCCCCCACTGGGCCCTAGCTGGAGCTGTACTTGTTAGCTCTGCCCCATACCATTTGGTTTAGGCTGCCTGTGGATTTGAGGCCACAGCTGCCTCCACCCTCAGGAGGAAGGAACGAGGAGGTCCAGGCATCTGTCTGGAGTTCAGTTCATCCCAACACACATTAATTGAATGCCTCATCTGTGCCAAGCATGCTGGACAGTGGGAATAGAGAAATTAACATCGTGGGTGTAGCTCCTCCTTTCAGACAGGGACTGATATCTCTGAGAACCTGTGGGAAGAAGGACAACCAGTTGATCTCTTGAGGACTGAGAGTCAGCCCACATGATATGAGAGGCTGTTGCATCCCAATGCCATTGTCTCATGGAGGGGACCTTTACTGTGTGGAGTGGGGGCCTAGCAGTGTATGTGTGGGCAGTGTGGTGCAGTGTCCATGGGTGGTGTTTTCTGTGTGGCTGTTTGCAGTCAGCGCTTTTGAAGCTTTTCATGTGAAGTACCATTAGTGGCAGAGAGTGAATTCACACTTCACAAGGGGCATGGGGTTTTAGATCACTGCACACAGAAACTTTCTTCGAAGCCCCATGTTTTGTCTTAAAAGTATGTTTAGGCTGCGCATGGTGGCTCACGCCTGTAATCCCAGCACTTTGGGAGGCCAAGGCAGGTGGATCACGAGGTCAGGAGATTGAGACCATCCTGGCTAACACGGTGAAACCCCGTCTCTACTAAAAATACAAAAAATTAGCTGGGTGTGGTGGCGGGCGCCTGTAGTCCCAGCTAGTCGGGAGGCTGAGGCAGGAGAATGGCGTGAACCCGGGAGGCGGAGCTTGCAGTGAGCCGACATTGCGCCATTGCACTCTAACCTGGGCAACACAGCAAGACTCCGTCTCAAAAAAAAAAAAAAGTACATTTAAATTTTCTATTTTCTACCATAATCCATCTGTTTGCTTTTATTGAAAAATGCAGTTAACATTTCTTATATCTGAATAAAATGGACATTCCAGGAAGATAAGCCATCTTTCCTGTGACTTCTTGCAACCTCTGGCTCACAGCCCTATTACCCTAGCTTGAGAAGCTTGCCTTTTGGGACATCAGGCCCAGATGTACCACATTCAGGGTGCCACCCCAAAGTGGATTTCTAACACACTTGCATGGTCCATGCCCGTGACCTGGAAACACTGTTCTGGATTTGGCCTATGCTGCCCTGGTCACACACTCCTTCAGTCAGACCCCACAGGACCATCCCTCCACCTCTCGGCTTATCCTGGTCCCTACAGCAGGGTTTGGAGATCAGGTGGCCAGTGACCATATTCCCCAGATGTCTGGGGCAATGGCCATCAATCTTTTTGTAGTCTCCTTCACAGAGAATGAGTAGGGCAGAAGCAGCAGTGAGCATGGGATCCTGAGGGGAGTTCACAACAACTAACACGGCCAGGTGCGGTGGCTCACGCTTGTAATCCGAGCACTTTGGGAGGTCAAGGCGGGCGGATCACCTGAGGTCAGGAGTTCGAGACCAGCCTGGCCAACATGGTGAAACCCTGTCTCTCCTAAAAATACAAAAATGAGGCATGGCGGCACATGCCTGTAATCCCAGCTACTTGGGAGGCTGAGGCAGGAGAATCGCTTGAACCCAGGAGGCAGAGGTTGCAGTGAGCCGAGATTGCACCACTGCACTCCAGCCTGGGAGACAGAATGAGACTCTGTCTCAAAAACAAAAACAAAAACAACTAACAGCTAATGCAGATACTTGAACTAATTATCTATCTAAAGGGTCCTGGTCTAGGGATTGTTCTCACAACTGCCTTGGTAGCTTTAGTACAATGCCCCGTTTAGTGTTCCCTGACACAATTGCTTTATCTGTATGAGGAAACGGAGTAAAGACTACATTTTATCTGGTAATGGAGAAGTTCTATGATCCCAAGTCCATATAGGTTTATTATGGATTCACCGTATTAGTGTTTTTTAAGTTTTTAAAGAAGTGTGATGCCCTCATTTTTTTCACTCACACATTAATGCATTTTCTTATTTATTCAACAAGTCTTTATACAGAACCTACTATGCTTCAGGCACTGTATGAAGTCCTGGAGATATAGTGGTAAGCAAGAATGGCATGGTCTGGGCCCCCTTAGAATTTGCAAGTGAGAGACAAAATTAAACAAATGGTCTCCATGGAAGCAAACAAAGCAAGTTCAAATGGGGCAAGCCCAGGGCTTTCTTCTGCTGACTGCTCCTGGATGTTCTGCCCAATAGCCTAAGAACACAGTTAGTAGGTCCTGGACTAAGTCAGGGATAACAATAGATTGTCTATGATTCCTCATATGGAAAGTAAAAACAAACGTAAAATGAAATTCACCTCCAAGTCCCTCCTCCTGCTCGACTGCCCCAGAGAAAATGCACCAAACCTTAAGTGTGCAAACACACTTAAGAATAAGGAAATTCATTATTTCATTTAGTCCTCAAATTAGGGCTGTGAAGTTAAGTGCCATGATTCTCTCCATTTCAAAGATACAGAACCTGAGACCTTAGGGAGGTGAAGCTCACCTGGCCAGGATGGGAGTAAGATGGAGTTTACAAATAGGGTGGGGAGGAGGAAGCTTTGGGGCATGACTCTTTTGAGACAGGGTCTCACTTTGTCACCTAGGGTGGAGTGCCGTGGCATGATCTTGGCTCTTGGCTTACTGCAACCTCCGCCTCCTGGGTTCAAGGGATCGTTCCACCTCAGCCTCCCAAGTAGCTGCGACTACAGGTGCATGCCACCACACTTGGCTAATTTGTGCTAGGATTACAGGCATGAGCCACCGTGCCTGGCATCTCTTGATTTTACTGAACAGTGCTGGGCTGGAGGCTTCCAGTGACTCTCCAGACAGACCCCTGTGGTTCTGGAGACTCTGCCACTGCCCCTTATCTTTCCTCCCCATGGCGCACACGGATTTGATGGCTCTAGGTGCTAAAAACTCTGGACTCTAGAACTCAGCTAAGGAATTGCAGAGCTGATGGGACAGTGGAAATGTGGGCAACGTGTCCGAACAACCCACAGCCCTGCCTCCTCCTCCCCAGACTGACCAATGACCCTAAGCCCTGAATGGATTTTTCCTTTTTTTTTTTTTTGAGATAGAGTCTCACTGTGTCGCCCAGGCTGGAATGCAGTGGCGCAATCTCGGCTCACTGCAACCTCTGCCTCCTGAGTTCAAGTGGATTCTCCTGTCTCAGCCTCCTGAGTAGCTGGGATTACAGGAGCACACCACTGCGCCCAGCTATTTTTTTTTTTTTTTTTTTTTGTATTTTTAGGAGAGACAGGGTTTCGCCGTGTTGTCCAGGCCGGTCTTGAACTCCTGACCTCAAATGATCCGCCCGCCTCAGCCTCCCAAAGTGCTGGGATTACAGGCATGAGCCACCGTGCCCGGCCCTATTGGATTGTTCCTAAGAAACTTGGCATGGCTTTGGCAACTGACAATCCTGACAAAGGATTATCACTTCCGCCCTTCGCCTTTGGAGTATCTTCATCTAAGCCTTCACTGCCCTTAAAGGAAAATTCAGCTGAATTTGGAATGAATGAGGTTGTACAGCTAATCATGTTTAGAGTCACCTTCCTATGACATTAAGGCCTCCAGGAGAGTCATTGAAAAGTCTGTGAGGTCTGCTAATTCTATTGAGAGTGAGGAATGTGTTTATTCTTCCAAGGGGCAAAGATCCCCCACTCAAAATGACGCTGCCACATTGTGTAACCAGGAACGTGGGTTGTTGCTGATGTAAACAGATGGCCAGGGGTGGACCTGCCAGGATCCCGGGTCTCCTTTTCCCAGAGGTGTTTCTTATGAATGGTTGTGCCCAGTGAAGCAATTTCCTGCCTTGTAAACTGCTGCCCACCAAACCACATCTCCTATCTATCGCTGCCTGGCTCTGGGTCATAAAACAATTCCCCACAAACCAATCAGAGCCTGATTAGGAGACCTTGAGTAACAGGAAAATTACCCTCCACCTGCAGATGTAATGACACTTTGCAAGCTAGTGGCTTTGCAGTTTCTGAACGTAAACATCACATGCTTTACCCCATGCCCCACCTCTGCTCATCTGAGATGTGGGGGCTACATATTTGATTCTCAGGCCCTGGTTCACTCTGCTGGGGCACCGGCTGACCAGTGACCCATTACCTTGACCTGACACCCTGCAGCCTGGAGAACACATTTCACTCTGTCAGATCATGATTTACAGAGCCAGGGCAAGAGAAGTTCAGGCAGGGGTCTCAGGCATGCAGAGCTGGGTTGGAGGAATCAATGAGGACAGAGGATTTGGACTGAAACACTATGAACTCATTGATTTGGACATTCGCTTTGCATTGTGGGTCTGGAATGCCTCCTCCACTATCCTCTGCTCCCCATTCACCTGGTGAACTGTCATTCATTCTTCATGACACAGTTTACATATCTACCAAGGAAACTTTGATTGCCATCCAAGCAGAACTTCCTCTATTGTCCTATCAATATTCTTTCTAACACCTACACTCTGTAATTGAAATCACTTGCTAAGTTGTCTGTCTCCCCAGCCAGGCTGGGAACTCCTTCAGGGCATTTTAGAATCCCCACCACCCACTACCATGCCTGACTCAAAGTCAGTGTGCAAAAGAGGTTTGTTGAATGAGCACTCACACTCAAGTGCAGTGTCTCCCCACTGCACTTACGTGTTTTGCATATTGAAAATGTACAAAGAACATAGTCAAAGGAATGAAGAACCTGGGTTAGGCTGATAGGCATAACATAAGGTCTTTGTCCTTAAGAAGTTTGCAATCTGATCTTCTTTCTGTGAATAGTAGGAGTATTTGCAGGTGGTATACAGAAATTGGACCCATGGCTAGGCATAAGTGTTGGGTTTTTCCCCCCTTTTTAGTGCCAGCTCAAAGCTGAAATGAGTTTGAGAGGTGGCCTGTTTTTCTTTAGCTCTCTCAGTTGTTTTAACTTTGACTTTTAGTTTAGTACTAAACAAGTCACACTTCCAACGATCCATAGTAATACACTAGCCATAAAACACCACCCAGGACTGCCATTTTCATCTCTTCTTTCTCCTTATCCCCAGCAATAGAAGTAATACCAATGACTTGCTTCTTTCTTTGAATCTTGGGAGGCCCCAGAGAGTGATGGTGATAGTGGTGGTGGGAGGTGTGTATTGGGGTCATTTTCCAAACATAAAACTAGTAAACTCCACGATACACATACACACATTCCCTTATTTGAAGAATATTTACCGAGTGCCAATGTGTGTCAGGTACCAGATGCTGGGGACAAACCAGTGAACAAAACACCACATCCCTGCTCTCACAAAACCTATATTCTGGTGGGAGGAAGACAGTGACAGTAGGGAAGGGGCCCATTGTGCTATCTCATGTTGTATTCCTGAATTGGATGCTAATGATGAACATTTATTGAGCCCTTTCTTATGTACCAGGCAAAGGGCTTTATGCATCTTCTATCTCATTTAATCCCCAGACAACCCCATTTTCAGGTAAGGAAACATTCAGAGAGGTTAAGTTGCCTTCCAAAGATCTCACAGCTAGTAAGTGGTAGAGTCAGGATTTGAAATCAGATTTGAATTACTCCTTACTCTGAGCTCTTAACCACAACTCTATAAGGCAGCAGTAAATATTTACTCGATGAACAAATGAGTAGATAAATGGTTAACCCTAACTACAGTGGCAACCTATTGTTTTGTCTCCATGATACAAACATGAGCAACATGCTTGTTTTTCATTGACTTATTGATTCAATTGCCCCAAAGTGTGGTTCCTGAAAGTAGGTTTTGTATTGATTAAGAAACAAGTGTCTTTCTTGTTACCATCCATGTTTCCTGGACAAGACAACCTATTTTATGAAAATAATGATGAATTATAATGGAAAAAGTTGTACAAAAGAAAGTGTCACCTTAAGTTCTCTTTTCTGGCTTTGAATGTGTGGGTTTGTGATAAAGTCTCTGTATTAGGCTGAATAATGACCCCCAAAGATGTCAGGTCCTAATGCCTCCATCCTGTAAATGTTACATTAAAAGGAAAAAGGGTCTTTGCCGATGTAATTAAGGAAGATTATCCTAAGCAACACAGTGGGCTGTGAATACAATCACATGTATCCTTATAAGAGGGAGGAAGAGGGAGACTTGACACAGAAGAGAAGGCGATGTGACCACGGAGGCGGAGATAGGAGTGATGTGGCCACAAGCCAAGAACTGCTGACAGCCAATAGTGGCTGGAAGAATCAAGGTAAGAGTCTCCTAAATTTCGAGCTTCTGGAGTGAGTGACAGCCTGTTGACAGCCTGATTTTGGTCCAGTGATACTGATTTTGGACTTCTGGCCTCCAGAACTGTGAGGGAATAAATTTCTGTTATTTAAAGCCACCACATTTTTGGTAATTTGTTACAGCAGCAAGGGGGAACTGATAGAATCTCCTAGAGGAGGAAGCAGTAGGGAAACAAAGTCTTCAGCAGACAGTGCAGGTGATTCAGAAATATTCACTCAGTTATCTTTTTGGTCAGGGTGCCCAAAAGAAATCCTATCTTGGAAAGCAAAGTTACCCATGCAAATATGAATCCACCTCCTTCCCCACCCTCCTCTTTCACGTTTCTCTGCTTTGTTCTTCTTTCTAGTATATATCAACACTCGTATTTTTGTTTATTTAGTGTATATTTAGTATATTGTTTAGTTCTTGTTGGCTCCCTCCCAGTTGAATGTAAACCCCATAGGGAAGTGACCTTTTATAAACTGCTTTTCTTCCCATGCCTAGAGAAGTATGTAGCGTATAGTAAGCACTCAATAAACACTTGTCGACTAATGTGGTTTGGCTCTGTGTCCCCGCCCAAATCTCCTGTCAAATTGTAAATCCCAGTGTTGGAGGTGGGGCCCGGTGGGAGGTGATTGGATCATGGGGGTGGTTTCTAATGGTTTTAGCACCGTCCCCCAGTGCTGTCTCGTGCTAGAGTTCTCATGAGATCTGGTCACTCAAAAGTGTGTAGCACCCAGTAACCAAAACAGCGTGGTACTGGTACCAAAATGGAGATATAGACCAATGGAACAGAACAGAGGCCTCAGAAATAATACCACAGATCTACAACTATCTGATCTTTGACAAACCTGACAAAAACAAGAAATGGGGAAAGGATTCCCTATTCAACAAACGGTGCTGGGAAAACTGGCTAGCCATACGTAGAAAGCTGAAACTGGATCCCTTCCTTACACCTTATGCAAAAATTAATTCAAGATGGATTAAAGACTTACATGTTAGACCTAAAACCATAAAAACCCTAGAAGAAAACCTAGGCAATACCATTCAGGACATAGGCATGGGCAAGGACTTCATGTCTAAAACACCAAAAGCAATGGCAACAAAAGCCAAAATTGACAATTGGGATCTAATTAAACTAAAGAGCTTCTGCACAGCAAAAGAAACTACCATCAGAGTGAACGGGCAACCTACAGAAAGGGGGAAAATTTTTGCAATCTACTCATCTGACAAAGGGCTAATATCCAGAATCTACAATGAACTCAAACAAATTTACAAGAAAAAAACGAACAACCCTATCAACAAGTGGATGAAGGATATGAACAGACACTTCTCAAAAGAAAACATTTATGCAGCCAACAGACACATGAAAAAATGCTCATCATCACTGGCCATCAGAGAAATGCAAATCAAAACCACAATGAGATACCATCTCACACCAGTTAGAATGGCAATCATTAAAAAGTCAGGAAGCAACAGGTGCTGGAGAGGGTGTGGAGAAATAGGAACACTTTTACACTGTTGGTGGGACTGTAAACTAGTTCAACCATTGTGGAAGTCAGTGTGGCGATTCCTCAGGGATCTAGAACTAGAAATACCATTTGACCCCGCCATCCCATTACTGGGTATATACCCAAAGGATTATAAATCATGCTGCTATAAAGACACATGCACATGTATGTTTATTGTGGCACTATTCACAATAGCAAAGACTTGGAACCAACCCAAATGTCCAACAATGATAGACTGGATTAAGAAAATGTGGCACATATACACCAAGGAATACTATGCAGTCATAAAAAATGATGAGTTCATGTCCTTTGTAGGGACATGGATGAAGCTGGAAACCATCATTCTCAGCAAACTATCACAAGGACAAAAAACCAAACACTGCATGTTCTCACTCATAGGTGGGAATTGAATAATGAGAACACTTGGACACAGGAAGGGGAACACCACACACCAGGGCCTGTTGTGGGGTGGGGGAGGGGGGAGGGATAGCATTAGGAGATATACCTCATGTAAATGATGAGTTAATGGGTGCAGCACACCAGCATGGCACATGTATACATATGTAACAAAACTGCACGTTGTGCACATGTACCCTAGAACTTAAAGTATGATAAAAAAATATATATATATATAAAATAAAATAAAACGAAACTACCATCCAAAAAAAAAAAAGGAAGTGTGTAGCATGTCCCCCTTCTCTCTCCTCCTCCTGCCTGCCACGTAAGACGTGCTTGCTTCCACTTCGACTTCCACCATCATAGTAAGTTTCCTGAGGCCTCCCCAGAAGCAGAAGCCTGTATAGCCCACATAACCGTGAGCTGATTAAACCTCTTTTCTTTATAAATTATACAGTCTCAGGTATGTCTTTATAGCAGTGTGAGAATGGACTAATACATCAACCAAATGAATGTCATGTTACTGAAGAGCCTGACATCATATTAGGGATATGATAATATCACATTACAGCATAACATACTACTAAGATGCTTCCTAAGGTACCACTTTAAAGAAAAACCAAGATACAGCCTATGTTTGTGTAACATTGTTTTTCACTTTCTACAACAGCAGGGTTTATTTTTATTTTTATTTTTTATTTTATTTTATTTTTTTTTGAGACAGGGTCTCGCTCTGTTGCCCAGGCTGGAGTGCAGTGGTGCAATCTTGGCTCACTGCAGCCTTGACCTCCTCAAGCAATCCTCTTGCCTTAGCTTTCTGAGTAGCTGGGACCACAGGTGCACGCCACCATACCTGGATTTTCTTAATTTTTAGTGGAGACAAAGTCTTGCTATGTTGCCCAGGCTGGTCACAAACTCCAGGGTTCAAGAGATCCTCTTGCCTTGGCCTCCCAAAGTGCTGGGATTATGGGTGTGAGCTACCACACCTGGCCAACAACACTAATTTCTATTTCCTACTTTGTTTAGGGCCCAAATCTTGGAATTATTTTTTATCACTCTTTCTCACATTCTACATCTAAACCAACAGGAAATCCTGGTATCTTCAAATCCTGTACCTTCAAAATACAGAATCAGATCAGCTCTCATCACCTATGCTTAGATTATGGCAACAACTTCCTGATAATCTCTTTGCTGTCACTGTTGGCACTCCCTTCCCCAAAATCTCAGCAATCAGAGGGATCCTTTTAAAACAGAAGTCGTATCTTGTCCTTGCTGTATTCAAAATTCTCTGCTGGCTCCCAGCTCACACAAAGTAAAAGCCAAAGTTCTTACACCAGTTGGCCGAAGTGCTTACAAATGGTCACAAGGCCCTTTGTCATTGTGCCCCTGCACCTGTTTATCTCTGTGAACCAGAACTATCCCTCTCTCTCTGCTCTAGTGGCTCTGCTATATGTTTCTCTTCCTGCCCCAGGGCCTTTGCACTTGCTATTACCTCTGCCTGGAATGCTCTCCTCCTAGATGTCCATATGGCTGACTCAGCAGCCTTAGGGCTCTCAGACGTCACGTTCTCAGTGGCCACTCTCTTCTTCCTTGTCCATACTGTTTAAAATGGCTACCAGGCTGGGCACAGTGGCTCATGCCTGTAATCCCAGCACTTAGGGAGGCCAAGGTAGGCAGATCACCTGAGGTCAGGAGTTCCAGACCAGCCTGGCCAACATGGCAAAACCCATGTTTAGTCTCTACTAAAAAATACAAAAATTAGCCGGGCATGGTAGCGTGTGCTTGTAGTTCCAGCTACTCAGGAGGCTGAGGCAGGAGAATTGCTTGAACCCGGGAGGTGGAGGTTGCAGTGTGCCGATATCGTGTCACCGTACTCCAGCCTGGGCCACAGAGTGAGACTCTGTCTCAAAAAAAAATTAAAAATAAATAAATAAAAATAAATGGCTACCCCTAGTATCTCCTTTACCTGCTATAATTTGCATAGATTTTTTTTTTTTTTTTTTTTGAGACGGAGTTCACTCTTGTTGCCCAGGCTGGAGTGCAACGGCACGATCTCTGCTCACCACAACCTCCGCCTCCCGGGTTCAAGCGCTTCTCCTGCCTCAGCCTCCCGAATAGCTGGGATTACAGGCATGTGCCACCATGCCTGGCTAATTTTGTATTTTTAGTAGAGACAGGGTTTCCCCATATTGGTCAGGCTGGTCTCAAACTCCTGACCTCAGGTGATCCGCCTGCCTCGGCCTCCCAAAGTGCTGGGATTACAGGCATGAGCCACTGCGCCCGGCCAATTTGCATAGATTTTTAAAATCATCTGACACACACACATACACATACATATATTCACACATTTATTTGTTATCTCCCTGACTAGAATGTAGGGTTCATGAAGGTAAGGATTTTTATCTATTTGGTCTACTGATAGATCTCCAGTGTCTAGAACGATAGTACCTGACATGCAGTAAGTGCCAGTAAGTATTTCTTGAATAAATGAAGGGGAAATATTATTTTGAATTATGTATTTACAAAAGCAAAGATATACACAGAAGATCTTGTAATGGCTCAGGAAATCAGACATGTTTTCCTTATACTGGTATTTTTTGGTCTTTTTAAAAAATTAGCTTTATCCATTTATTACCTTCAACCTTCATAATTAATTGGGGATAATCTAATATATCAGTTCATTAATGATGTCAAGACAATATGGCACAGGAAAGAAATCTTTCTTTGGGGAATATAACAGTGTGTATCTGGTGAAAAAATAAAAGACGGGGGAAAGAAACATCTTGTTTTTGTGTTGCGTGATCTGTTGGCGTAAACGTACATATGCAGATCGTGTGAAGCCTGCTTTGGTGTTTCCTGCTTTTGATGTGGTCCCCCTCATATTTGCTTTGCAGGTTCTCCCTTAGAAAGTGTTTTCTCTATAGGCATGCACCCAGGAAAAAGGAACGTTCATCCAGGCACGTGCAAAGTCCTGCAAACTCTAAAGATTCATTTGTAAAATAGTCATGTTATAAATCTCGGCAGACAATCCAGTATTTGTCCAGCTAGAATGACCTCTGCACCCAGGAGAAGAGGAGGAGGGAGGGGGGTGGGGAGGAAGGGCCTAACAGGCACTTGGTTCAGCTGATTGCAATTTCTCATAAATATTCAGCCTGTGTGATGCTGTTGGGATGTGTTTGAAGCATTAAGGCATGGATATGTCATATCTCATTTTCCAGAGCAGCTTTGGATGGCGTGTTTGAATTAATTCCTAAGTCAAAGGGGACACCTTGACCCTGATTTTCCTTGGACAGAAGTTAGCTCCCACCTCTTCCTGACCCTCACTCTTCCTTGCTCACTGGATTCCTCCATGATCCCCAACCCACTTTTTAGAACACAAAGCCAGTTTTAGTTCCATCTTCCCAGTGCTCTCTGTGGCCCTCCCACTCATATAAGATCATCACATTTTATCTTCTTCTTTTCCTAAGGAGGACAAAGACTCTCTCCAGTGAAGCCTTTCTCTTCTCCTCAGGCCTCTCCTTCCTGACTCAGCCTTGGTTTACCACTGAGATTTGCCATATACCATACAGAAGAACAAAAACGTTACCAATTATTGGCAGGTTTTTTTTGTTTTTTTGTTTTTTTTTTAACCAAACGTCAAGTTGGTGATGAAGTTATCTGGAAATGTCAACCAAACCCAGAAGACTACACAAGACTACAGGAGAAGGCACTCTGGGGTGAGATGATACTAACACACAATACCCATTGTATATACAGTTCTAAGTGTTTAACATATATTAACCCTCTTACTTCTCAAACAATCTAATAAAGTAGGTACTACCATTATCATTCCTGTTTCACATAGCAGGACACTAAGGGCCAGGGAGGTTAAATGGTGGAGTTGGAGATTCTGATCAAGGAATTTTGGCTCCAAAGGTAATTCAAAGACTTGCCCCCAACTGTGGGCCAAGAGCTCAGATTCCCTGACTGTCTGCATTGTATTCTTTCTTATCTACCTGAATTCAGCAGCTAACACTGCGTTATCTCTGCCTTTGGTGGAATACCCCATAACTGGTTAGCATGGAAAAGTTTAATACAGTTTAAGGCGAGTTTTCAGTACTGGTTTTATTTCCTATCCATGGATGTTAAAATGAAATTTGCCTTCCTCAGGCTCACCCTAGAAAGTGACAGCTGGCTCTGATAAAAATGGAACCATCTGTCTGTGAGCCTGGGGTCAGGGTATGAAAAGACACCCTGGAGATTGTTGGTCCATCAGGTGGTGGGAGGAAGGTGTGGGGGTTGAAGCTTGCCAATGAATCTTCAGAGTGTGTGATTCCCCTTGGCCCTTGTATAGCCAGTGGAGGGAGGTCCCTGTTTGATTTAGAAAGGTGAAGCTAACCATCCTTGGGGCTCTCAGTTGCCAGGGTCAGCTGTCTACATATCTTCGTTCAAATAGGATTTCGTTAGGAAAACTCTCTAGAGACTGTCCCCAACCCAGCCATCCTCCCTCTCTTCCATCTACACCTCTGCCCAGATGACCTGTTAGATAAATATGACCTTCTGGGTTTTCAGGGTCTAAATGCAAGATCTAAAATCTATCAAAAGCAGATGCTTGCTTTTCTAGAAACAACACGAGTCCAGATATAGGGCTTCAATTGGGGCTGGAGCTTGAGGCCTATGTTCCTTTCCTCTTCCCGGAGCTCACAGGAGCCATCCAACAGGACAGCTCAGCTAATGAAAGGGGATCTTGGCCTCTCTCCATATGCAGTGCTCGGCCTTGTCCTCAGCCCTCCTCAACCCAGTCATGAACTTTTCTCTTCACTGTTTCAATCCAAATTACATTGTTAGG
This sequence comes from Homo sapiens, assembly GCF_000001405.40. Taxonomy (NCBI): domain Eukaryota; kingdom Metazoa; phylum Chordata; class Mammalia; order Primates; family Hominidae; genus Homo; species Homo sapiens. The sequence goes on from NC_000017.11 coordinate 37,685,532, forward strand.
GGGAGCTAGGAATCAATTAAAGTCAGTATTTCCTTGTCCATCCATTGCTGCTCTGGCCACAGACTAGGTACTCAGTAAATTTGCCCAGCTCACTGAGAATTGAATCTCCCACTACAATGGGATTTTGAAAAAATCCATCACTCATGGCCTGGTTAGCACAATCTTTGCTTCCACTTTCATTGGGACATGCTCTGCCTAAAAGCGAAGAACCACAGGGCAGTAGGCCTATGCTGTTTGGCAAAAAAGGAAACAGCAAAGAAGACAGGTCCATCCTCCTTTCTTCTGGAGTCAGCACTGAATTATTTGTGGTAAAGTCCCTGCTGGTGGAGTCTCTGGGCCTTTGGCTTTTTACTGTTTGGACTATTTGTATTCCTTAGCATCCCCACCAGAGAGAGAATCTTGGGCAAGAGGTGACGTCCACAAGAGCCCATTCACTTAGTGACTGAGAGCTGTAAGGGAAGGAAAAGGAGGGCAGGAAGAAAGGCTGGAATTAATGCTTTAAATGAGGCTAAACAATTTACCCGCAGAGTTTTCATTCATCCTACTTTTTGTCTGTTTCTATCACATGTCACCCACCAAGAATTGACTCTATGACTTTACCCCTGTGAGTTGCAGGGAAGAAAAGGGTGCTAGCTCCTGCTCTGGCCAGATTCCCTCTGAGCGACTTGTGGAGTCTTACTGGGGGATTCAACTCTTCTTCACCTCAATCAGCAGTAAAGCCTACACAGACACTGGGAGCATGACGGCAAGAGAAGGCCACCCACCTCTCTACACCCCTAGATGACACACTACAGGATCCCAGTGGAGTATACAGAAAATTCCAAGGAGACCAGGGGCCAGGGGTTCTCGGTGGAACCATGGCAGGGAAAGTATCAGAGACAGAAATATGAGACTCTGGGTAGTGATAAAATAAATTGTTTTAATGGAAGGCTTTCTGAGACTGCAACTTTTTCTTCTGCTATCAAACAGCCAGTTTCCCTGCCCTGGGGTTTCTTAGGGAGTGCACGGCTGAGCTCCTGGCCCACAGGAAGCTGGCATGTTACTCTGACACACTACATTCAGCCCCTCCAGGGATCCAGAGGTGTGTCTTAATGTCAGGAGACTGGAGTTAGCTGGTAGTCAGTCCAAGGTATGCTGTCCCCATAAGTGTCCAGGCCCGCGGGAGAGGACAAGGGGCTTCACTTCCCACTTAGGATGTTTCTCCATGAGGGGAGAGGGGACAGATCACTTTTGAAATTTTGACTCTGACCTTTACAAAGAAAACTAATAGACACTTTAGTATTATATACAGGGCAGAGGGGAGAGGACACAGAGGGGAAATTGCACTTAATTACAGTAGTTTATAGTTTACAGCCATTGGACAAATTTACTTCTTTAAAAGAAATCTCAAGATCATTTGGGATGGGGGCAGGGGAGGGAGTCTGTGGATATTTACAGTGTGTTTGGCTCAGTTCAATAGCACATGTCCTTCTCTCCTCATTTCAGTAACAGATTCAAGTTTTCGCATCAGTTTGTTCGATGAAGGATCACAACATAGACAGTACGGCTTTCTTGCTTCCTCTTCGGAGGTTCCTTGTCTCCCACCTCCAGGACAGACAGGAGTCCTTGACATCGTGGGAGAGGCATTGTGGCAATACTGCATAGAAGGGAAACTGGGCTTCGGGCTGCGCCTCCTGAGAGTGGATTGTCTGAGGTGCCAGCAGGACGTCCGTCAGGTAAGCAGGGACCTCTCGCAGGTGCTGGTCAGGTCACTGGGCTTTTCCATGACAGCTGCCCAGAGGGTGATGGTGTGGAAAACAGGGTCCTTGTTGTTGCGCACGAAGTAAGTGGTGTGTGGGCATCACCAGGCTTGTAGAGGACACTGCAGAGAGAGAGGAGAGAGGGTGCTCAGCTGTGTCATTTGGCAGGGTCATGGGCCATTAGTTTGGCTTCTCTAAGGGAGATGATGCCCAACTCAACCAGCAAAGAGCAGCAGGTGGAGGGCTGGGGGCCTCGTGTCTGCTCAGTTCTGCAGTTTTCATGCTGAGGCACACTTCCTGCAGGAAAACCCGGGAGCCGGCTTTCCTGGCCACTTCAGAAGAAAGAAGTGAATTGCTGGGGACCTTGAAGTAGTCTTAACTTGCTGACCTGAATCCTGAAGCTGGGCTCCTCTTTCTGTGACAGTGGCATTTATAGAGTGCTTAGTGTACTTGAAAAGGCAGCTGGATGGTGAGCTCTTGCCTCTCGTGGAAGCAAGGGTCTCTTCCTAAGACCGCTAAGAGCAGAGGCCTCCTATACTAATGCTTCTCGAACTTTAACGGACCCACAAGTACCAGAGAGCCTGTGAAAATGTGGATTCTGGTTTAATTCTGACTTGTAGGCCTGGGGTGCACCTAAGAGTCTGCATTTCTAACAAGTTCCCAGGGTGTGCCAGTGCTGCTCACCTAGGGCAGCAAGGCCAGAAAGCACACGAGAAAATGACCACTCAAACTACTCATCAGGAAGGAGCTTTGCAAATTGCAAAGTGCTTTCTACGGGTTTCTTACTTTAGCATAAGAAACTCAGAGGACCAGGGAAAGGATCCAAAGGCTGAAGGCCTCTGATGCCATCCTTGTGGGTGGGCCAGGGCAGGAGACCCCAGAATGGCTGGAGAAGCCCTCGAGAGAAGCCACCTCACCCAACTCAGGGCAGCCTTGCCCTCCAGTGCCTGGGCCTTATTCATTTGAACTGTCATGGAGTGTCACTGCTTTCCTTTTCACTTCTGGGGAGTCTCTTTTTGTCTCCCTGTGTCTCCTCCTTCCCTTTTGCTTTTGCCGGCATCTAAGGTTCTGCCTTTGACTTAGTGGCTTATTCTCTCAAGATCCCCCCAAACACACACACACACACACACACACACACACACACACACACACTTACACCTACCAATACCACTAAAGGCCACTGTTATCGCATTGATCAGTGCTCCAACCATAACCCTATATGAGGATACCATTATGTCTATTTGACAAATTAGGAAAACAAGGCTAAAAGAGAGTCAGTGAATTGTCCATGGTTTAAGAACTAGGAGAGTGTGGAGCCACAGCTTCAAACTAGCTGTCTAGGTGGCCACTCAGCATGTGCTCTTTCAATCATGCTTGGAGGTGAGGAGCCTTCTACTAAGCTTTGTGCTCTTGGACAAGTTACTCTCTCTGTGCCTCAGTTTCTTCCCCTATAATATGGGAGTTGTTGTGTGATTAGATGAGTCAACACCTGTGGAGTCCTGAGCATGGTCCTTGGCACAATTGTTATTATTAACATGGGGTTCTTCGGCCCAAGCCCCTGCTGCTCCTCAGTACTCTTAAGAGTGGGGCTGAAGGCCTGGCGCAGTGCCTCACGCCTGTAATCCCAGCACTTTGAGAGGCCAAGGCAGGTGGATCACAAGGTCAGGAGATCGAGATCAGCCTGGCCAACATAGTGAAACCACATCCCTACTAAAAATACAAAAATTAGCTGGGCATGGTGGTGCACACCTGTAGTCCCAGCTACTTGAGAGGCTGAGGCAAGAGAATCGTTTGAACCCAGGAGGCGGAGGTTGTGGTGAGCCGATATTATGCTACTGCACTCCAGCCTGGGCGACAGAGCAAGACTTGGTCTCACAAAAAAAAAAAAAAAAAAAAAAAAGAGGGGGGCTGAGCAGTGCGTGCATGTGAGGAGACAGGCTTCTGACCCTTCCACATTCTTGAGACGTTGGTCAGGGTCCTCTGATACCCTTTGCCTCCTCTTCCTCCCCTGGCCCACCCCCACTCTCAAGTCTCTTTACTTCCCACTATCAGCCTTTTTCCAATTTTCAGATTTCAGGTGGAGGAGAGAGAAAACGGCTTGTGACCTTGCAGGTTTCAAAAGAAGAGCAAACAAGAAGGGCAGATAAGGAGACGCCAGTGAGATTCTATGGCCTGTCATTAGGGATGGGCTTCCCAGCTATCAAATGTTTGCTCACATAATAAAATGGTGGCAGAGCCCAAAATGTTGTCAAAAGAACTAGAGTTATTTGCCTCCTTCAGAGTCTAAACACAAACATCTGATAAGGGGTGCACTGTGGTCCCTTAGAACTGGAGGCCCAGCACACGCAGCCCCACGGGGGCCTGGCCCAGAAGATCTCTGAGAGACCGCGGGGCCCTCCGTCTGAAAGGTGTGGTAGCTGTGGCAAATGTGAAGGACATCCTTATTCTAAGAGGATTTGTTACATAATGGTAAGAGCTAACATTTATCGACATCCTACTGTGTGCCAGGCACCATACCAAGGGCTTCACAAGCATCACTGCCTCGAGTTCTTACGTCGACCCTTTGAAGTAGGTGATTATCGTGAATTCATTTAACACGTTTGAGTGCCTACTGTGTACTTGGCACTTTTTTAGACACTGGAGATGCAGCTGTAAACAACACCCTGCCCACTTCTTCACAGGCTTTACCTCCTAGTGAAGGCTTTGAATAATAAACAAGTAAACAAATGCGTGCACACACACACACACACACACACACACACACACACACTACAACTTTAGGTGGAGATGAGCACTCCATAGAAAAATAAGCATAGAGGTTAGGGCAGCTTGAGGAAAAAGAGATTAACTTAGATATGGGAATCAGGCGAGGCCTCTTTGAAATGGTAACATTTGAGCTGAATGAAGTGAAGGGGCAAGCATGTAAAAATGCACAGAAAAAAAGAGCTCCAGGCAGACACCACAAATGCAGGAGTCCTGGAGTGGGATCTCTTCAGCCCTGGCACAGCTAAAGCTGAGCGGGTGATGGAGGGAGGAAGGAGGTGAGAACGGCGACACTGGCAGGGGCATAATCACATAGGGTCCTGTATGTCTCTGTTTTAGTTTGGTTGTGATGGAAAGCTATTGGAGAGTTTTGACAGGGGATTGACATGCTTGATGTCTCTTTGTAAGAGATCACTCTGGCGAACAGCCCCCAGTGGGGCAAGGGTGGAAGTGGGAGACAGGCAAGGGCCACCTAAGGAGATCAGGGAGAGACAAGGGGGCCTGGGCTGGGACTAGGGCAGTCCTGATGGGAGTGTGAGAAGAGGTCAGATTTAGGATGTATTCTGAGGGTCCCCTAGTAGAACTTATTGAGAGACTGATGTGATGTGGAGAGAAGAATCAGGGATACTCTCAGCTCTCTCACTTGAACAACTGGTACCAGTTTTGGAAATGGAGAAGCCCATGGGGGAAGCAATTTTGATAGGATGAAATAGGGCAAAATGAAGAGTTCCTATTTTAGGCACGTTGAATTCAAGAGGCTTATTAGATATTTTAGACATGCGTCTGTCCCTGCCGAAGCAGCACTGGATCTGTGAGTGAGCACTCAGTAGGGAAGACCGGACTGTACACAGAATTACAGGAACCATCGGCGTGTACACTTGACCTAAAGCCATGGGACTGGAGGAGATCACCCAGGAGTGAGCACAGATGAGAAGAGGCCAAAGAATGAGGCCCGGGGCCCTCCAACACATAAATATTGGGAAGATGAGTTGCCAGCTGAGGAGATGAGAAGTGGCCAGTGCCGTAGAAGAACCAGGAATGGTAGTATCCCAAACTCCCATGGAAAAAAGGAGGGAGAGATCAGCTGTGTCAGAGACAGAGGTTGAAAAGTAACCATTGGTTTCAGCAGCATGGAGGGGATCGTGAGCTGGACACAGTGAGGCGTGAGGATAAAGGCCAGTCTGCAGTGATCTCAAGAGAGAATTGAGGGTGAGGAAGTGGAGACAGTGAGGACAGATAAGTCACTTCTATGACCATGAACTTATGTGAGATTCATTGTGGCTCCATTAATTAAAAGTCATGATTATAATTCCGGTTTTACAGATGAGGGAAGTGTGGCCTGGAGAGGTGATAAGTAAGTTGGCCGGGGTCTCACAACAGCAAGGCTTGTGCTCTTCACCCCTATGTAAGAGCACTTCTTTCAACCCCCTCAACACGGGGAAATAAATGCCCTTTGCCACGTAAGACCCTTTTCCCAAACTCAGAGCCGCTCAGGGGTGCTAGCAGGGGAAGCCAAGAGTGACCCAGCTTCCATGGGCTGGGTGTTTCCTTTGGGACATGCGCTGAGTGAAGTATTTTACAGGTCTTCGTGCAGTTAGTCCTTTCAGTGATCCCATGAAAGAGGTATCATTATCTTCATTTTACAGGTGAGCAAACAGAGGCTCAAAGAGGCTAAGACATTTCTCTGAGGTCACACAGGTAGAAAGTGGTAGAATGTTGAGCCCAGATCTGCCTAACTCCCAGGTCGATGCTCCCAACCATCAGAACACTCTGCTTCCTCACCCAGTGAAGAAGCTGGGAGAGGAATAGCCGAAGGGGATAGATGATGAGGCCACCCACCTGCCCCCTTGTCAGTGCCCTGACTAGTTACTGCTCTGGGGGCCCTCTCTTCACCTTCCCATAAACTAGGAAGTCAAGCAGCGGGGAGAGAACACTGTGGAAACAGGAGTTGGCTCACAACCTGCCTGCACTTGTTCTAACTGAGGTCAGTGGTTGCTGTGGTCTTGTTTCCAGACTAGCGGGGCATTGTTGAACTCAGGCACAAACCCACTCAGAGATAACTTGCCAGCACCCAAGAGTTGAGAAGGAGGGAGACGTATGTGCTCTGGAAGGGACAGATGGCAGTAGATGCAGAAGGATTCTTGGCGCGAGAAGTCCCAGCCTGGGGTTCCTGACCTGTAATCCCCAAGGCCCTTGGGGCATGTCTGCCTTGACAACAGGAAGTACTGGGATCAGACAGATACAAGTACAAATCCTGGCTTTAGCCTTATACCTGCATAACCTTGGGTTGTTATTATGGGTGCTTAAAAGTGGATATTGGAAGATGAACGTTGTTTAATGAGTTTGGAGTGAGAAAGCCAGTCTGGAAGTCCAGCTCTGGAATTTATGATCTGTTTGAACTTGACCAGATCCATACCCATCTTTGAACCTCAGTTTTCTGCTTTGTAAATCAGGTATAAAAATAACGACCTTGCAGAATGGGTAAGAGGGTTCTCCAGGAAATGTAAGCTAGAAAAGCATCTGGGGTGCTGCTTGGAAAATGGAGGCATCAAAAAACACGGGTTCTGCATTCATTCGTTCGTTCGTTCATTCATTCTTTGTTATTTACTGAACATCTAATATAGCCCAGGCATTTGGCTAAGCCCAAAGGGTATGGGTGCTTTGACAGGCCCTGAACTATTTGCTTTTTTCCTGGGAAATAGGTGAGCAGGGAGTCTGTGTATCAGCAGGAGAATGGGAAACAGGGATCCGGAGCCCAGGCCCAAGAGGTAGGATGTGCTTGAGAGATGGTAGTAATCCTGAGACATTTTCTTCTCCCAGCCTCCTTTGACTGCATGTAGACCAAGCACTGAATTGGATATTGAAAGAGTCACTAGGCCGGGTCCAGTGGCTCACACCTGTAATTCCAGCACTTTGGGAGGCAGAGGCGGGCAGATCACGAGGTCAGGAATTTGAGAGCAGCCTGGCCAACATAGTGAAACCCCGTCTCTACTAAAAATACAAAAAATTAGCCAGGTGTGGTGGCCTGTGCCTGTAGTTCCAGTTACTTGGGAGGCTGAGGCGGGAGAATTGCTTGTACCCAGTAGGCGGAGGTTGCAGTGAGCTGAGACCACACCATTGCACTCCAGCCTGGGTGACAGAGTGAGATTCCATCTCAAAAAAAAAAAAAAAAAAAAAAAAGAGTCACTGGAAGGGGAGACAACTATCTCCTAAAGGATCACAGACGGGAGAGAAAACAGGGAGGGGGCTACCACTTTGAATACTTGACTATGTACTAGGCATTCTGTTAGGCACATTGAATATTTTGTGAGATGGGGGTGGGATTTTCCCCATTTATAGATGAAGAAACTGAGTCTCCCAACAGGGAATTAACTGCCCAAGGTCACATACCAGGGGGTGATGAAGCTGAAAGTAGCTCAGGTCTGCTGGCGTTTCCTACCACTGTACAATACCTCTAAAATAGCACTGCTCAGGATGTGTCCCTTTGACTCGAGCAGGGTGCACGCTAATTGCCCGGTTCAGTGCACACATCAGCAAGTGAAATGCTCTGAGAAGCCCTGCCCAGTAGCATTTAACTTTGTGTAATCCAGCAGTTCCCCCAACATATTTGACCAAGAAATCCTTCTCTCCCCTCACTCGTATGTCCTTGATACCTAGTGATATGGTTTAGATGTGTGTCCCTTCCAAATCTCATGTTGAAATACGATACCCAGTGTTGGAGGTAAGGCCTGGTGGGAGATATTGGATCACAGGGGCAGATCCCTTATGAATGGCTCAGCGCCATCCCCTTGGTGATAAGTGAGCTCTCGCTCAAGTTAATTCACACAAGATCTGGTTGTTTAAGAGTCTGGGATCTTCCCTTTCTCTCTCTTGCTCTTTATCTCACCATATGACATGCCTATTCCCCCTTTACCTTCTGCCCTGACTGTAAGCTTCCTAAGGCCCTCACCAGATGCAGATGCTGGCACCACAACCTGCAGAGCCATGAGCCAATTAAACATATTTTCTTTTTAAGTTACCCAGCCTCAGGTATTCCTTTATAGTGATGCAAATGGACTAACACAAAAAACTGGTCCTGGGAGTGGGGCATTACTATAAAGATACTTGAAGATGGCCAGGTGCAGTGGCTCACGCCTGTAATCCCAGCACTTTGGGAGGCTGAGGCAGGTGGATCACCTGAGGTCAGGAGTTCGAGACCAGCCTGGCCAACATGGTGAATCCCTGTTTCTACTAAAAATACAAAAAATTAGCCAGGCGTGGTGGCCTGTGCCTGTAATCCTAGCTACTCAGGACTCTGAGGCAGAATCGCTTGAACCTGGGAGGTGGAGGCTGCAGTGAGCTGAGATCACACCATTGTACTCCAGCTTGGGCAACAAGAGCAAAACTCCATCCCCCCGCCCCGCCGCCCCCCCCCCCCCCCGCAAAAAAAAAAGATACTTGAAGATGTGGAAGCAGCTTTGGCAATGGGTAACAGGCAGAGATTGGGAGTTTGGAGGAACAGAAGAAGACAGGAAGATGAAGGAAAGTTTAGAATTTCTTAGAGACCTGTTAAGTGGTTGTGACCAAAATCCTGATAGAACTATGGAGAGTGAAGGCCAGGCTGATGAGATCTCAGATGGAAATGAGGAACTGATTGGGAACTAGAGCAAAGGTCACCCTCCTTACGCCCAGGCAGAGAACTTGGCTGCATTGTGTCCATATTCTAGGGATCTGTGGAAGTTTGAACTTCAGAATGATAGCCTAGGGTATCTAACAGAAGACATTTCTAAGCGGTAAAACATTCATGATGTGGCCTGGCTGCTTCTAACAACCCACAGTAGCTACGGAAGCAAAGGAATGACTTACATTTGGAATGTTGGAATTTACATTTAAAAAGGGAAGCAGAGCGTAAAAGTTTGGAAAATTTGCAGCCTAACCCTGTGGTAGAGAAGGAATTCAAGTGGCCTATGGAGCAACAGCTTGCTAGAGAGATTAGCTTGACTAAAGAGGGCTGCATGCTATAGCCAAGACAATGGAAAAAAGGCACTGAAGTATTTCAGACATCTTCTAGGCAGCCCCTCCCACTAGAGGCCCAGAGGCCTAGGAAGAAAATATGGTTTTGGGGGCCAGACCAAAGGCCCTGCTGCCCTGCACAGCCTTGGGACACTGCTCCCTGCATACATGCTGCTCTAGCTTCAGCCCTGGCTCAAAGAGCCCCAGGTACAGCTCAGACCACCACTCTAGAGGGTGCAGTCTGTAAGCTTTGGTGGGTTTCATGTGATGTTAAGCCTGCAGATGCACAGAATGCAAGAGTGAAGGAGGTTTGGCAGCTTCCACCTAGATTTCAAAGGCTTTATCAGAAAGCCTGGGTGCCCAGGCAGAAGCTTGCTGCAGGGGCAGAGCCCCCACAGAGAACCTCCACTAGGGCAGTGCTGAGGGGAAATGTGGGATTGGAGCCCCACCCGCCCCACACACAGAGTCCCTACCAGGATACTGCCTAATGGAGCTGTGGGAATGGGCCTGCCACCCTCTAGACCTCAGAATGGTAAAGCCACTAGCAGCTTGCAACCTCAGCATGGAAAAGCCACAGGAACAGAGCTGCCCAAGGCCTTGGGAGCCCACCTGGCACACCAATGTGCCCAGGATGTGGGACATGGAATCAAGGATTATTTTGGAGCTTTAAGATTTAATGCCTGCCCTGTTGGGTTTCAGACTTGCATGGGGTGTTACCCCTTTCTTTTGGCCAATTTATTTCTTTTGGGATGGGAACGTCTGCCCAATGCCTGTACCACCATTGTATTTTGGAAGTAAGTATATAGTTTTTTTATTTTACAAGCTCATAGGTGGAAGGACTTGCTCTTGAGTCTCAGATGAGACTCTGGACTTTGAGTTAATGCTGTAATGAGTTAAGACTTTCAGGGACTAGTGGGAAGGGATGACTGTATTTCTCAATGTGAGAAGGACATGAGATTTGGGAGGCCAGGGGTGGAATGATATGGTCTGGATGTGTGTCCCCTCCAAATCTCATGTTGAAATGTGATTCCCAGTGTTGGAGGTGGGGCTCAGTGGGAGGTAATGGATCATGGTGATGGGTGAGGAATTCATGCTTGAGTTAGTTCACGTGAGATCTGGCTGTTTAAAAGAGTCTAGGGCTAGGCATGGTGGCTCACACCTGTAATCCCAGCACTTTGGGAGGCCAAGGCAGGCAGTTCACTTGAGCGCAGGAGTTTGAGACCAGCCTGGGCAACATGGCAAAACAAAAAAAATGCAAAAATTTAGCCTGTCATTGTGGTGTGCGCCTGTAGTCTCAGCTACTCTGGAGGCTGAGGCGGGAGGACTGATTGAGCCCAGGAGGTTAAAGCTGCAGTGAGCTGTGATTGCGCCACTGCACTCCAGCCTGGGTGACAGAACGGGACCCTGTCTCAAAACATAAAAATATAAATAAATAAATAAGAGCCCAGGGCAGGGCCTCTCCCTTCTCCCTCCTGCTCACACTCTCACCACGTGATGCACCTGCCCTGTCTGCACCTTCCGCCATGCTTGTAAACCTTCTGAGGTCTTCAGCAGAGGCAGATGCTGGCATCATGCTTCCTGTGCAGCCTGCAGAACCATGAGCCTTTGAACCTCTTTTACCCAGCCTCAGATATTTCTTTATAGCGAAGCAAACAGACATCGCTATAAGCAATAAATCTGAACACGCCAGAAATGAATTTGAAATTCCTGTTGGAATATAAGACCTTAAAACAAAACCAAAAAAGCAGAATTGCCATCAGGTCTCTTTCAGAACTCACTTCTGACCCTCTGCCTTAGGAACAGAGTTTGTACAAACTGTCTTCACCTTGGGTACCTTCTGCTGTCAGGAGGCAGCACCTTTACCCTCATTTTACTTCACTGTGCCTTTCCCATTCCTCCTTCTCTTTCAACTTGTTGGAAGAACGTTTCCTGAGTGGAATATGGCAAGTGAACTTATTTTTTACTCTTGTTCCTGACCACAAAGACAACAAGAGTGGCAGCAGTTACCGTAGAATTTTAAAGATGGTAGTGGAAGGCAAGTATGTGGAGTCAAAGACCAAAGCCTGAAGGTCCAGCACTAGAATTTATCATCTGTGTGACCTTGGGCAGGTCACTCTTCATCTCTGGGTTTTAGTTTATTTCTTTGTACTTAGGAGGTTGCAGTAAAAAGAAAACAATGAGACAATGTTCATGAGAAGTATAAACTGTAACGTGCCACGTGAGTATTTTTCATCCTTACTGAGTGTAATAATCATCCTCATCATCGCAGAAATGAGTCTATTGCCAGACTCCTGAAATGTCTGGGGACATGGAGACAATGTCACAGCAGTTCTGGGAGGCCACTCATGCAGCTTCAAGGTTGGCTGGCCACTCTGTCCAATGGAGAGGAGAAGCCAGTGGGGGGCTGGTGCAGCGTCTCAGGGAGCATCTTAAAGTATTTTGATTAAGAGACCATTTCCTGAATTCAGACGACTTGTTTCAACAAGCAACCATCAAAGTCAACTTGGGAAAGACAGGAATAATTAATCATGGTCCTGTCTGGGGCTGACCAAGCGGCAGATGGATTGATAAACCTTTCAAAGGGGAAGGTATTCCCAAGGAGGGCCGCTGCGCCTGGCTGCCCCCCTGATTGAGATTTGTGAGCACAGATAAATGTTTTCCCTGCCCACTACAAAGAGTGGGAACTCGCACGGGAGTCGAAGGGCAGGGTAGTGAGGGGTTGTCCTTTCATCTTCTATTGGGTGAGAGAAGAGTGGCAAAGCAGGTCCCACACACCTCTCCCTCTACCCCCAGCTCCAGAGCCCAGCTGCCCTGGTCGTGTGTGTGTTTCAGTGCCCAAGACACCAGTTACTTAATCTACGCAAGCTTGCTGAATCCTCAGAAAAAGCAGATGTTACAACTCTCACTTTAAAGATGAAGAAATGAAGGCTCAGGGAGGTCAAGGTCACCAAGCAAATGGCAGAACCAGGAATAGAACCCACCTGCTCCACTGCACTCTAGGGCTGGAAGGAGATCGGGGCAAAGGAAAGGATAGAGAACCCTGATCCCATGAAGGAACCTCCTGGGAAGCCCATGGCAGTGGATGAAGTGTGATTTGCAGGGCTCAGATGAAAAAAAGACCATCAACAAGACCAAATTCTGAGAGCTTCTGACATGAAGTTCAAGGTTGTCACCTACTTATCTAGTAATCGATAGAGGCCAAACAGTTCCCACACTGCACAGACCCCAGCTACTAAAAGGTCTCATTGTGTTACTCTGGAATCATCACCTGTGTTCAGACATCTTGTCCTGTTTTCTAACTCTCGGTGTCTTCTTGCAGTCCAGCTGTCCAAGCTGCAGCAATGAGCCTCGCCATCAGCTGCCTGTCTACTATTCCATCACCTCTATTCAGAGGTGGGACTTAGTCATCAACTGAAACAGTGACTAAGCCTCTGGATTCCCCACTTTCAGTGCAGCAGGAAGTTGATTCTAAATTTCTTGATAAAACCCCAAGTGGATGCTTACCCCTGGAAAAGCCAGGCTGTCTACTGGGGAGTCCCCATGGGTTGACACAACTGGGTCATTCCCAGAGCTTATGGCATTCTGGGTCCAGGGGAATCAGCCTCAGGACCTCTGACTTCCTACTCACTTTCTCCGCTGACTACTTTGTGGATCCTCAGGGATCCCTCTTGCAAAGCATGAACCTCAGCAGGGGATCTGTCCTCCTGAGCCCTCCTTGGAAATACCTTTTCCATGGACCATTGATCATTCTATTAGGGAACACTCAATCTAAATGCCTAAGCGCTCTATGTCATCCAGTCTCCAGCAACCTATCAAACTTCTGTCCTTGTTTAGTGCTCTTCCTGGGGAATCTGGGGGAGCAATAAGCCCTTTCAGCCTGTGGCCCTTTTTTTTTTGCCCTGGGACCTTAAGGATTCCCTTTGCAAACAACAGGGAGCCTCAGAAGGACCTAATTTCTGGCCGAGTCCATGCTTGCCACAACCTCTGCACATCCATGGCCTTATCACACCCTGCCCACACCCCAACCCCCGCAAATCCTGCTGGCATTACCTGTTTACTTGAAGACATGTTGGTGAGTGTACTGATGCTGCTGGTATCTGTGACCACCATTGCAGATGGAAACCGGGAGGTGTGGGAATACTGGGGGGGTTCCTGCTTGTGTGCGTACACTGGAGAGACAGAGTGAAGACAGAATCAAGGTGCATACACAGGCAAAGACACAGGTACAGAGCCCCCATCCCACACCATAGCTCCCATCTCCTCAGGTAGATAAAAGGGCTGGTGGTTATAGTGGGGATTTCTCATATTAGTTATCCATAAGATTCATGTAAATTCCAAGTCACATAACCAACTCCCGAAAGCATGTGGATGCTTGGCTGTGAGGGAGAGACCACCTGCTCTCAGAACACAGGGCCTACCAGGGAGGCCTCCGGTACGGAACGGGAGCAAAGGTCACTGGCTGTTGCCTCGGCTTGCCCTTCTCATGCAGGGAGGCAGGTTATTTCCTGGTCCAGGGCACCATGGGCTCTCTCTTCATGGGCGGCCAGGCCTGCTGGGCCTCAGCAGTCCACAGGTCGCTGGTGACCACTCTCTGACTATCCCACCCAGGCCTCGCCACTGAGGAAGCCTGGCCAGGTGAAGGGATGGGGTAAGTGGGGAGCACATCACCAGGCTCTGGGAGGAAGGGAAGTGGGGCACATGTGGTCTCAGACTCTGCTACAGGCTGTGGCAGATTTTCAGAAGCCACTAAAATGTGATTGGAATGTGAGATGGTGCTCAGAAACCAGCTCCACAGGCCCGAGTGGGGATTGAGCCCTGAAGATAGAAGGCTGGACTTGGCTGTTCTCCCCCAAACCCACAGCTTATCCGATGCAGCTAGGGAAGAAACACAAACCTCTTTCACCATCATTGCCTTCTAAGAGTCCCTTTATAAATAATCTTTATAATTTTTTATGCTTACCAAACGCAGTTTACCCCTATGTTTATTTCATATTCATAATGACTCTAAATGCATACTATTTCCATTTTATGGATGTAGAGATTGGACTTAGAGTGGCTAAGTAACTTGCATTAGGCTACACAGCTGGTAAGTATCACAGCCAGGATTTAAATCCAGGTCTGTCTGATCTAAGACTAGTGCTTTATACTGAACACTTCCTTGGGGTTTCTGAAGCAGAGAAGCCACGATTCCTCCCCAAACTCCTGTGTCAGGGGCTATAGCCAGACCTGGCCAGAGGATTGGAAGCCTGGGACTCAGGATGAAAGGCAGAGAAACAGAGGATGGGATTGGATGGGAAATAAGTGGTCGAAAGGTAGGCTTGGGGTAGGTATAGAAATTGGATATGAGAAACAGTCTGTGTGCAGAGATGCAGGGGTGGCATGGAGGAAGAAACTCTAATGCCCAGGATGGCATGCCACTGGTATTTTTCACTTGTGTTCATGGTTCTTGATTAGAGATGTTTGGGGTGTATAAATTGGAGGACACGGGACTCTAGAAGATTCTTCTCTTTTAGGGAAGGCAAACAGGATGCAAATTAGATGCCAATTGTGATCATTTGATAATGGCTGCTTGGAAGTTTAGATTGCAAAGGCTAAGTTGAAGTTCACTGGGAAAAGGTGCTGGTGGTTTATGGACGCGATCTTTTCCAGAGGTGTTGGAATGGGAAATTGGCGGTGTGTGTTCCACATGCTGTCTGGCTCCAATTCCCCTTCATCTGTAGGCCTACACTGTCCTCTTCAAACCCTTCCCTGGGAATCTCAGGGGTAGAGAAGAGGACTAGAAAAGGTACAGCAACACTCAAGAGTTATGCTTGAGAAATTGTCTTAGTCGGTTGATCATAGGCAGGGAAAAGTGACCAAGCCAATAAACTTCCGAGAAAGTTCAGACCCAGAGAGGGAAAGTGGTTGGCCACTGAGGGTCCTGAGTGCTCCCTCCCTCCACATGCCCGTGTCCTTACTGTGTGAGTTCTGCAGCTGAGTCACAGCTGCCATGAAGGGCTGCTGGGCCATGTGGCTGCCTGGGCTCTGCTGCATGAGGGGCTGCTGGTGAGGGCTGTGCAGCTGCTGGGAGAACTGGACGGGCTGCAGGGCTGCCAGGCTGCCGGCCACACTGTTGATGACAGGGACACTCTGTGCTTGGGAGGTGTTGAGGCCTGTGGGAGCAAGAGGAAAAGATCACAGACAGCTCCTGGGATAAGGAGAGGTGGATGGATGCCATCATTTGAGCCCCCGCTCAATGTCCCAGTCACCGGGCTGAGCCTGTTACATAGGAGATTCCATGGGAGGCAAGTGTAAAGAAACGGAGACTTGGAGATATTAATTTACTTGCTCAAGTTCCACAATGAGTTGTGGGTTGGAGATGGGCATTAAACAGATCTGATTAAAGCCTGAGAGTCTCCCAGAGTCATCCTGTGACCTCCCAAACTTAGCTCTCTTGAGGTTACCAGGGCTTTGGAAAAGCTGGCTCTACCTGCCCACTCCATCCATGCCAGGCTGTGAGAGAGGCTTGCCCTGGTGCCCGCAGGGCAGAGTTAAAGATGTCCACACTGAGGCACAGGTTATTGCCCAGATCGGTCTGTCCAGTAGAGGGCAGGAGTGTGCAGGGACCCAAATTTTGACTAAAAACAACTTCCATAGTCCCGGGAGTATGAGGTTGGGAGACCCTTATTTAGTAGACTGTACAAAGACCCCCAGAGAAATCAGGTGCCAACTCCCTTGACTGTAACAGAGAGGGGAGAAAACACTGGAACTCAGCCAGTCTGCGAGGCGGGCATATCTTATGTGGCAGCATAGGGCTTGTGGCACTAAAAGGACCAGGTTTTAGAAAGAGGAAGTAGTACATTAAAGGTTGACTCTTGGCATTTATAGTGGGTCTTCCCATCTTTCTGTTCTGGAGATGTCAGGGCCTCTGTAACTTGGAACTGTGTATCCTGAGGCCTCTTTAGAACCCGGGCCAGCACTCTGAGGATTGGATCCCCTGGTACCCATGCTCTATCTCCTCCCTGAGAGCGACACGGAGGAAGACAGCTAAGGTAGGATCGGAGTGGGGACAGGACGATCAGGAGAGAAGACACCTGGACCTGCTTCCTGGGGTCGATTGTGTTCCTGTGTTCTTGCTTTCTGGGAAGTTGGGGGAAGAATGGGATGAAGAAGGAATCCAGAAAAAGGTCTGTTTTAGGTGGATGTGGAAGGGACACCTAGAGAGGCTTTCCTGAAATGGAGACGGTTTCATAGGCAGGTTTGAGGGAAGTCATCAATGGAGATAACACGGAGTCCTCAACAATTGCCTACTCAGAGCTTTAGCTGATACTGTTATCAGAAACCTAAAAGGCGAGACCCCTGAGCAGAAAGGACAGGGGATGAATCCTGCTTCTGGCTCTCCTGGGTGGGGGCTGGGGGTGCCACCCTCTGATCACCCTCAGAACAGCACTGTCTCCAGTTCCCCAGGGGGCTCAGCGTCTCCTCAAGCCAGCATCTCACCAGATACCCTGATGACCGATGACCGTGTTTCCCTTTCCTACCTCCTGCTTATGGTCTCAGTCTCCCAGAAAGCTCCATGAATGTGCCGTTTTTGAGAAATCTTTGAGAGCACTGCTGCTGCTCTTTTTGAGAAACTGCTGCCCAAAAAAGCAAATGATCCTGTCTAGAGTGGATGACATTTGAAGGCATAGTTCTGAAACCTGCATGTGCTTCAGAAATCATCTGGGGGAGCTCTTTAACAAATATACATTCCTGGGCCCCACCCAAGACCTAATGAGTCAGAACCTTCAGAGGTGGGGCCCAGGAATCTTATTTTCAATGCAGTCTGTGATCCTGATGTGCCTCAATTCCAGGATTGAGAGCCTCTGATGTCATTCCAGCTCCCTCAGTGGGTAAGTCTTGACCTTTTCATCTGTTTCTGTTTCTGGGCACTGGTTCTTGCTTGGGAAGTATGCTATCCAGTCCAGGGAAGAGATGAGAAAGAGAATAGGATGAAGAGGTGAGAATGAGTAGAGAATAAGGAATTGGCCCTGCCAAATAATTTGTTACCACCTTCTCCACAGGCTTCCGCAATTCTGAGGCAGGGCCCATGGTACTCAACACATCAGTCAGTTAAATGAAGATGCCTGCAACCAGTTTCTCATCCTAACACTCCATAGTGTAGGACCTCTGTGTCTCAGCAGTCTTCTGGTGATTCTCACCATTTCTCATGCTCTGTCTACCCCAAGTGTACACAGATATGTACACACACAGCCATCCTTCTGAGGTCAGTGTGCACTCTGGTGCAGCCCATCTGAATAGGAGATTAAGGAGCATCGTGAAATGATAGAGAAATATGAGTAGAGGAAATTAGAAAGAACAAAATGGAAAGATGCAGACTAGCCCCAGGGAAAATTTTAATTCAGATAGTATATATATATATATAACTGTATGGCAGTGAAAGCTTAGAATGGAAAGAAAGAAGTTAAGTGGGACAGTTTGTTTATTATTTTGGTTGCAGAAATAAGTGGAATATCTTCCCCACGGGCCTTTTAATCAAATCTTCTAAATGGCAAACAAGCTGGTTTTAGGTATCTTATCTCATTCCAAACTCTGGTATTAGTATAATTACCATATTCCATATACCAGAGGGCCCAGTCAAAAGGCAATACATTTAAAATGATCATTTATATTGTGAGTTCTCTAAATGCTTCCCCATTCCCATTTTCCTTCTGCCAAAATCAATGCACTGTGTGTCAATTTCCAAGCAGCTAAGGATAGAGTGAGAGCCACACATATTCAATAAATTTGTGTGCCTCCAATGGGCTTAGCCCTGTTCTGACCTCAAAGGATGTGTAAGTCATTCTCTTCAGAAGTGAGAATCCAAGTTCCGACCCTAGCTAAAGCTGATTTAGGGAGAGAAGAGGGAAGAAAGAAAAAGGCAGAAACAAAACAAAGAGGTGGCCAACATGAGCCCTAGATACAAGGAAGGTAAGAGGACAATGGAGCAATACAAGGTTGAAAGAAAGATGACCAATGTGTTACCCTTAGATCTCTCCCAAGACATCCAGCAATACATCCAAGGGTCACAAGGATGGTTTTGAGAAACAACGACACCTGAGCTGTCATAGTGAAGCTGGAAATATGCTGAATACTCATCAACATTAAAACTCTCAAAGAGATATCCACAACCACAGTTCCCTTCAGCCTTCTCATGCCTCAAGATGGCCCATGTATGGGAGGGCACAGGCTTGCTGTTGAATATGAGCCTCCTGGAGCTGGAGGGACCTGATCCATCTCCGTGTCTTCAGGCGTGTGATGTGCCAAAGCAAGCTTTTTCTCCTTAAAGTTTTCAAAGCTCTCAGATACAATGGCAGTTTCCCTCTGGATCCTCCCTTGGTGTATTTTCACTGCTGGCCAAGGAGATTTCATATACCACACAAAACTCCCCATTTAGAAGGAAACCTGTCATTCTTACTTCATCATCACCAAACAGAAAGAACCTCCTGAAAAATCTACCACCTACTTAGTGATAGGAATGAACTCAAGACAAAGTGTAAGCTACGATGTTATACATATTCATGCTTTAGAGATTTATAAGCATGTTCATATTCACTGTCAGTTGATCACTTTAACAACCTATTTTATAGATGAGGACATTGAATCTCCTGAAGGTTCAATGATTTGACCCAGGATGCACAGCTGCTAAACTGTGACCAGGATCCAAATCCATTCCACAATTTTCTCTTGTTTTAGGCTAAACAATCCAAATATTGGATTTAAGGAGACAGATGAGAAACTAAAGAAGTTAAACCAAATCTACTAGTCGTGGGTGAGTTTGAAGGAGACCTACAGTTATTTTTCACCACATTAATTTGCTTCCCATTCTTCTTCTCCCTGCCCCCAAGTTTTCCAACCAAGAATAGAACTTACTTTGTGCAATTGCCATGACTCCAGAGAGGGGTGTCATGATGAGGTTTTGAGATTGCTGGGGATTATGGTGGGAGAGGCTGTGGATATTCGTCAAGGTGCTGACTGGGGGCAAACCTCCTCCTGAGACTGAGATCTGATGGAGAGAAAAAAACAAGAGAAACATGGGTGGACTTGGACCACAAAGAGCAGTTTCCAACACGATGTGACTTAGCGATTCCTTGGCATGACTAGTTCTCAAATTCATTCCTTCATTCACTCAATAACAATTATTGGCTGGGCATGGTGCTTCACCCCTGTAATCCCAGCACTTTGGGAAGCCAAGACAGGAGGACTGCCTGAGCTCAGGAGTTCAAGACCAGCCTGGGCAACATGGTGAAATCATCTCTACAAAAAAAGAAAAAAACACAATTATTAAGTGTCTACTGTGGGACAGACACTATTCTAGGTGCTGGGGATAGAGCAGTAAGTAAAACAGACAGTGATCCCTGCCCTCATGGTGCATCTATTGTTGACTGTCTGAGTTACTAGCCAGCTTCAGAAATTACTAAGGGTTGGGGGAGATTAGCCATTACAAGGTTTCTCTACTTTTTCCACATCTCCAGTACACATTACAAAATTTTTTTTCTTTTTTGGTCAAGGATCCTATATTGTAATCACCATTATATTTTAATGACAGATTAGTATGAGAAAGCTACTGATTTTGGTGTATTTACTTTGTACATGACCACTTCACTGAATCCTACTAGTGTCTTTTCCTCATTGATTTTTTTCCAAGTATGTAATTGTAATACAAGCATCTGATGGTAACAGGGTCTTTTCCTTGCTAGTACTGATATGTCTACATGTCCTATTATATTGCTTAGAACTTACAGTATTAAACAATAACAGCTGTAATAGATGTGCTTATTTTGCTTCTGATGTTATCAGAAATGTTTCCAATGTTTTCCCATTAACTCTAATTGTAATTATAAGGGCGCGATCAGTTTTAAACACACCTACACTTTTTCCATGATACATTAGTTTACTACTTATAGTTTCAAAATAATTTTTTTCTTTTTTTGAGGTGGAGTCCAGCTCTGTTGCCCAGGCTGGAGTGCAGTGGCATGATCTCTGCTCACTGCAACCTCCGCCTTGTGGGTTCAAGCAATTCTCCTGCCTCAGCCTCCCGAGTGGATGGAACCACAGGCACCTACCACCACGCCTGGCTGATTTTTGTATTTTTAGTAGAGACGGGATTTCACTATGTTGACCAGGCTGGTCTTGAACTCCTGACCTCAGGTTATGTGCCCACCTCAGCCTCCCAAAGTGCTGGGATTACAGGTGTGAGCCACTGTGCCCAGCCTCAAAATAATTTTTAAAGTTATTATGAAGAAAGGACTGGCCCCTCTTATTCTGAACCCAGGCGTGCTTGAGAGCATCAGGAACCCCGAGAGGTGCTTTAGGGTTAGGATGCACCAGATGTCTGAGTAACTCAACTTTCCTTCTTCCATCTTTCACTTCCCAGAGCTTTTCAGACGATAGCTCTCCCACCAGCACCCAGGTAAGATGCTATCTCCCACCCTGCCCTTCCGGTCAACTCCATAGTGTCCAAGGTTAATTTGAAAAAGAAAGAAAGCAAAAACCAAACAGGTTTGTTTGTGTTTTTAAAATAAGCATCAAGAAATGTTAGGGGGTCACATGACCAAGAAGGAATTCTGACCACATCAAACAAGAGAGAAGCAGCCTGTTTGCTGGACTTGTTTTTCAAAATACCAGTCATTAAAAAAAAAAAAAAAAAAATCCGTAGCCTGCCCTCAGACTGAATCTCTTGGGTAATGTAGTTCCTTTGGAGAAAGTCAACCAAGTGACAGTAATTTCTCTGACATTTCAGCATTTGGTTAATGGTATAAGAGAAGTGTGGAGGCCAATGATAAAAATAATTTAAATGTGTGTGACTTTAGGATTTGTAAAGTGCTTTCACTGATTGTCCTTAATAGATAATGACACAAGTAGGGCAGGCATTATTACTATCAGTCCCTGTATTACAGATTAAGAAACTGATCTTCAGAAGAGTTGAGACTATTTCTATGTCACTTGACTCATAAGTGAAAAAGCCAGAGTTAAAATCCAGTTTTGCTGGAGCTTAAATCTTATTCACTTACTAAGTTTGGGCAACCTTGATCAAGTTACTTCCCATTCTAAAATGCAACTATTATTTTTAATTTTTTTTTTTTTTTTGAGACAGGGTCTTACTCTATCGCCAAGGCTGGAGTGCAGTGGCATGATCACAGCTCACTGCAGCTTCGAACTCCTGGAATTAAGCGATCTTGTCACCTCAACCTCTGGAGTAGCTGGGACAACAGGCATGCACCACCGTGCCCAGCTAATTTTTTTATTTTTTGTAGGGACAGGGCCTTGCTGTGTTACCCAAGCTGGTCTTGAACTCCTGGGCTCAAGCAATTATCTTTCCTCACCTCCCAAAATAGTGGAATTACACGTGTGAGCCACTGTGCCCGGCTACAACCATTACTTTCTATTTGGCTCCTGGACTGATGGAAGCTAGGGCACTGCCAAGGGTATCAGTGGTGATCCTTACATGATAATTTGGAGAGCCTGAATTACATTAATGCTGTCATTTATGGTCTCTTCACTATGCTAGGTTCTTTATATACCTATAATCTATAAGGTTGGTATTATTATCCCTATTTCATAGAGAAGGATACTGAAATTTAGAGAAGTTAAGAAGTGTGCCCAAGTGGTAGAATTGGGGTTGAAAGCAGGCTATCTACCGCCACAGCCTGAGCTTTTCACCATTAGGACATACTGCTTGATACTGTGAAAGTATCCAGTATGTGCTTTGCTTTGTTCTCTCTCTTTTTTTTTTTTTTAAAGGTTCGACATGCACAGACTACAACCCTAAACCTGGCCAGTTTTTTGTCAATGCGTGACATTTGGGCATGGGGGCGGGTAGGGGCAGACAGTACAACAGAGAGTTCAAATGGATTGGCTTTATTTCCAAAACCAGTCCTTGGGGAAAGATTTCAAGGCACGTCCTACTGAAAGTCAGCATGCAGAGATTGTCATTCCTAGAACAGGGCTGACCCAAAGAACAACAGTGCTACAAGCAATCTTCACACCAACCCTATGACGTAGGCATCATTATCCCCCATTTTACAGATGAAGAAACTGAGGTTAAGCAATTTGTCCACACTACTGCTGGTGAATGACCGAGCCAAGACTTGCACATACTGGTTCCCTTCCCTGCATTCCTTTTTAACCATACTCCACTCTTGCCTTGGGGGACCAAGATCCGTGATGGACATGTTATTATATTAACAAGAAAACAGACTCTTGAATTTGGACCTCTGATGATAGTGACACAGCACATGCACTAGGGTGTTGGAGACAAGAGAAAAGCCAGGCCCTGCAAACAAGCTTCCAGGTGTTTGCTAACGTTGAGGTGTGCAGTCTTGGTCAATCATCAATCCAGTAACACACTGCCCAGTTAAAGCACTGCTGAGCAGAACAGGAAGCAAAAAGCGTGTCCACAGGCTGCATTTAGAGCGGCCCTGGCCTGGGTGAGGCAGCTTGCCTCTTAGAAGGAGGAGAGGCAGAGCTCAGTAGGAAACCCCAAGGACCTTCAAGCAGTAAGAGCTGAGACCTGGAAGGTTCTTCCACACTGAGAAGTCAAGACCTCTTCCGTAAGGCACCCTTCTCCATGGAAGCCTGGGTAATCCTTAACCCTAACTTGTTTGGGACACTCTTGAGAAGTCAGAAAGACTTGTCTGTGCCTCTCACAGGTAACTGACACAAGTGGTTCTTCACATGGAGAAGAATCTTTCTTAAGGGATAGGTGGGAGTAGGAGAAGAGGGCTGCAAAATGCCTCCCCCAGGAATGCCCTTTCATTTTTGTTTGCAGAGACCACGACCAGGGCAAGCAGCTCAGGTCCTCTGAAACCAGAATTGGCCGGGTCAGTGCTCCCCTCAGAAACCACACTTGTTTTTCCTCCAGGGAGCCAGGGACTCGATCACCTGTGACTCACCGTTTCTGTGTTGCCTACACAGCACACACGTCAAGATCTAAAATGGCCTCTGCACCCTGTTGCCCTCACCCATCCTGGCCCCCACTCTGGGAATGTGTGCAGCTCCACCTTCAGCATGAAAGTCGGGAATCTGCGGCTCCTCCCTCCCCTGAAAAACAGAGCATGACCCAAAGAATAGAGCTTTCCATTCTCTACCCTTGCCAGTGTCGTAATGCTCCTGTTCTCCCATAAGCCACTCTCTCCTGCACTTGTGTTGCTACAGGATCAGAACCTAATCCTAATTAGAACCTAGTTTTATTTATTTTATTGTTATTATTAATTATTATTTTTTGAGACACCCGAGTCTCACTCTGTTGCCCAGGCTGGAGTGCAGTGGTGTGAGCTCACTGCAACCTCTGCCTCCCAGGCTCAAGTGAGCTCCCCACCTCAGCCTCCCGAGTAGCTGGGATTACAGGTGCATGCCACCATTCCTGGCTAATTTTTGTATTTTTTTTTTAATAGAGATGGTGTTTCGCCCTGTTGTCCAGGCTGGTCTCAAACTTTCTGGCCTCAAGTGATCCACCTGCCTCAGTCTCCCCAAGTGCTGGAATTACAGGTATGAGCCACTGCACCTGGCCTAGAATCTAGTTTGATGTAGAAAATTCAAATTCAAATTGTGCATTCTTCACCAAGTGTGCTAAACTTGCATCTGGGTGTGGGGCTGTGGTTACGGATATAGAAAACTTCATTTAATGAGAATGATATTGACATTTACACGACAACAACAACAATACTGCAATTTATTGACTATTTTCTATGGCAAACACTGCAGAGTATTTCTCAAATGTTATCACGCTCATGCCCCCACCAAGTCTATTGTTACCGCCCCCATTTTATAGATGAGGAAGAGATCATAAGTAGTCGAGTAACCTGCTCAGGCTACACAGCTATTAAGAGCTGGAGCTGGGATTTGAACCTGGGCAATTGTAACTTCAAAGTTGGTGTTTCTCCCTCCCTAAGCATCGCCCCACCCCATCTACCATTTGTGCTGTGATCTTCGCTGTCATGGTGTCCCATGTCTTTCACTGTTCCAGTTCAAGAAGCTTCTCCCCATCGCCTCCTATCCACTACATCCTGACTTGCTAATGACTCTTCTTGTCAGTACCAAGGGGATGGTAAGGAGGAAGAGGGGGCTTGTGTCAAAGTGAGGTGCTCTCTAAGTTAAAAAATTGGCTTTGGAGGCCTTGGGGGGAGGGATGAATGAACATTTTATCAACACAAATGTCATTGGCAAGCCCCAAAACAAACAGTGTCCCACCGGGCTTGCTCCTTTATGAGGCATTCAATCAATAAAAAGAGAGCAGAACTCTGTCAGATTTATTGGCTGGGTTCAAACCGAACACCTCTTCTACCCGCCAAAGGCTGGGTCACCAGCACTACCTCTCCTTTCCGACTCTGGACAGCCCTCATTTTCCCCTATGGGGCTACAATGGTTCATTGTTTGAGGCAGGCCTTGTGAGAAGTTGTGTTTGTTTTGCCTCTTATCTTATCAGCTCCAGAGCGACAATGGCCCAGGTGTACTCACCATTTTACCATCAGGTGAGAGGAGATTGTGGCCTGGGTCCAGGCTGGCTGGGGAGACTTGCTGTAAAACCGACTGGCTGGTCACCATGGCGCTGTTGCCATGGTGACTGATTGTTGAGGAGGAAGTGATCTCATTGTTTCCCTGCTGGCTGTAGCGCACTCCTGCAAAACAACACAAACCCAGTAGGGAACATTAGTGCCACCAGGGTCCTGGAACAATGACTCGGCACCTCTTGTTTTCAAGGGTGGGTAATAAGAAAATAAAGTTGCTTTCTCCTCCCCTGTCCACCCACAAGAAATATCGGCTGCTTTTCTCCAGGGTAAATATGGCATGTTCTCTATTTAATTCTAGAATGTAAGCGCCACGAGGGCAGGAAATTTTTATCTCGTTTGTTTTGTTCACTGATGTATCCCCAGTGCCTTGGCACTGAATAGCCACTCGGTAAACTTCTGATGAATAAATGAATGACTGGATGGATTCTGTTTGTTATTGCTTCCGCACAGTTCTTTGAGGATTTGGGGGTTGAGACTAGCCTTCTGTTACTGGCTGGAGTATTTTTTATTCTTTAAAATGCCTTTTAGAAATGTTTCCCTGGCATCCCTCGTGGTGCTGCAAAGTATAAGTAGACCCATGTGACGAAGAAGAAGCCCTTGTCCAGTGACCCTTGAAAGAGCCGTAGCTTAGGCATCAGTCTCTGTGTACCACCTTTGTGGCCAGGCCCAAGAGGTCAGGGGCACGGACACAGGCAGAGCAGGACAGGGATGAAGCTGCGTCTAGGAGCTAGGCTGTAGAACTCACATTCCTTTGCTGGGGGTCCCATTTGGCTGCCTTCCAGGGCACAGGGAAAGGTGTGTCTGCTGGGAGGTGGGGCAGGCAGCACCACACACAGGCAGATGTGGATGTTTAGTAAACCACTGGAGTTTGCTCTGCAGGGGAAGGGTAGAACCAAACATGTTTACAACCTCGCTGCTCTGACCCTCCCTCTTGCTCGGGAACCAAAATGGAGGTCTGCTCTCAGGAAAGAAAAGTTCTGGACAGAGATCAGGCAACTGAAGGAAGCTAAAAGAACGCCTGGGTCCAGTTTGCAGATGGAAATCCTGCTTGATGTGCCCATGAAACAGTCAAGGACAAGGTTGGGGGTACATGGGGCATCTCACCCCTAAGCTCAGTGCTTAGAAAGACAGTGTTCTTGTTTTTTGCTTTGGATTTGACAAAAAGGTTTGGAGGACCCTGTCCTGCAGAGACCAAATGCTCTAGGCATGGAATTATCTGGATAGGTGGACCAACTCTTTAGCTGCACGTCTTCCTTTGCCCAGTTTCCCAAGATGAACCATCCCTGTACACTGATTCTGTTGTTGCTCTTTCATCCACCCACCCCCTGCCCTAGCTAGAGCCCCACCTTCCAGAGGAGACCACAAAGTTCCCCCAGGGGCCAGGCACTGCCATAATCAGTGTCATAATCTGCCTCTAATTCACCAAGATGAAGCTTACCAAGATGAGACTAGATGAGCCCCAAGCCAGTTTTCCTTGGATCTTCCTAAGGACTTTACCCAAGGCCGATATGACCTAGAGCTTAAGAGGGCTGGGGAAAAGAACAAAACAAATGCTAAAGCTGGGTTCTAACCTTCAAGAGCAACTTGTCTGAGTATGTAGTGGCTTGACGCTTGCTCTATGAGCTTTTCTATTGGCCATTTTCCCCATTCTTTGAATCAAGGAGCTGCTAGTGGGGGTGGTGGTGACAGTGGGATGGCGCTGGCATTGGTGTATTGGTTTAAGGCACTACATTTTTTGGGAAGGACAGAAATCATGAAGTTAAAAGGAGGAACAGCGTTCAGCTCCCCAAGTCAACAGCCGGTGCCCAGGCCCCTGTCCTCCTGTGCACCTATCTGCAGCCCCCACGTCTCCTGTTTGCCATCGATGCCATCCCATTGGATTAAATGAGGCCTTCTTTCTTCACGTCTGCCACCCAGTTCCCAGTAGGATGCTTCCAACAGTTCAAAGTGTTGTTACATGAAAGAAGAAAGAGATTTGAACCTTATGAGCTCTGAAGGCAGAGCTAGGTTCAATGGAAAACAGGGAGGCAGATTTCAAATAAATAACAGGAAGAATTTTCTATCAAGGAGGGGCAGTGGGAAGACTATGGACTCTGCAGCGAAACCAACTCAGGTTCAAATTCTGATGCTGCTCTTAATAGATCTGTGATCATGGGAAAATTACTTTCCCTCTCTGTGCCTTTGTTTCCTCTAGAAAAATGGAGAGAATGCCTCCTCAACAGGACTCTTTTTGGATTAGAGGTAACATCTATACAGTTTCTTGCAAAATGCCATATAAATGGCAACTATGGGTGGGGATGCTGTGGGGAGGAAGCTGGTACAGGAATGGACCCCAAGATATTTGCCCTAAGATCCTAGAATTCTAGATGGCTTAGGACAGATTCTAAACACTGAATGGAATTATCTTTCCGTAGAGAACAGTTTCCAAAGAATCCTACCCTGGCAGAACCACTGATGCTTTGCCCTGGAAGCAACCTGGGAGAGAGGTCTAGCCGCTGCCCTCTTGCTCTGTTCTTTTGGAGGAACTGGACTTCACCCTGTTTTTCTCCTGCTTTCTCTGACTCCCTAACCAGCTATTTACCTCCCCGAGAGGCTCTGCTCCTGAGAGAGTGTTGATAACGCTGGGAGTCAGTTGTGTTTTCACCTCCCAGCCTGTCCCCATCATCGATTCAGTCTCAAGTCAAACAGTCTCTGGATTTAGCCTATTTAATTTGGCTGATGGAAAAGGGCCAGCCCTCTGATGATCAAATATGGGTCACAAGGAGGCTTCTCCCCTACCAAAGGCTACGCAATTATTTATTTAAAAATAATTAACCAAGGATTTCCGCAGGAAACAAAAGGCTTCTTTACAAGGGAGCATGTCAGGAGAGACTCAAGAGCCATTTGTTAGAATCCAGGCAGCATATTCCAAGGCTGCTGTGGTTTTTATACTTTGTTTTCTCCCCAACAAAACTTTATTATATAAGAAATATAACGGTGGAGCTGCTCTGTCAAAAGACAGATGAGCCTAGACCTTTGAACGTTCCTTTAAAAGCCCCTGGTTAAGTGATAGAGGCTCGGCTGGAAACTGGGGGATCCCTGTTTTAATCTCAGCTCTGCTATCAATTTCTTGGGTGAGCACCAGCTTCCTCATCTATAAGCCAGAGGACGGCCCACTGTGGGGAGGGGGCCATTGTCACAGCAGTGTGATGGGAGCCAGGCACAAGGCTGCTCATCAGCCCCAGATCCACCTGCAGGTGTTCCCACGATGCTCCTCTCACCAAGCATGTGGCAATCACTGGCCCCTGAGAGGGTGGCTGTAATCAGCCAGCCATCTTATGAGGGGGCGGGGTGGGGGCGCATCACAAGGTGTACACCAAAAATAGGTGCTCTTGTTAGAGGAAGGAGAGGCCAGTCCTCCTATATTTCAAAAACTCAGAAGAGCACTTGAAGTGAGAACAAAAATAAGTGCAAAGTGTGTAGGCTCTGGAGCCAGGTGACCTGGGTTTAAATCTTGGCTCTACCCTGTAAGACCTGTGTGATCTTGGGAAGTTACTTAACCTCCCTGAGCTTCAGTTCCTTACTGTTAACAATATCCATCTGTCAGGTCATTGGGAAGAGAACGGAATGAGTTAATGGATGTCCAAATACCCAGATCATGCTGGGCACATAACAGTTGCTGAAAACACGTCAATTCCTCCTACTTTGGCACTGTCCTTGTTTAAAAGACATTTTTAGGAAGGCTGAGGTCGTGCCACTTTATTGAGCACCTACCATGTGCCAGGCACTGTGTTAGGAAGCATTAAGAAATGGAATAGCATCTTCCCTTCTTCCTTCACCAATGCAAGTTCTTAAAGTGAACATATGACAAGGGCTCTGGTTTAATATTGATTAACCAAAGATGCCAGGTTAATAGCCACAGAGGACCCATAGGAGAAATGACAGTGGCAGATGGTAGCCATTCACCTTCTACTTACTTCCTAGCTCAAGCCACTCACTGGCCCCATCCCCATTGTTGGCTCTATGAACCACAGCAATTGTGTCCAGCAGCAAAAGCCATCCAAGGTGGAGTTGAGACATCCCTGAGGCCCTGGTGAGTAGATCATCTACTTTCCTCTATTCCTAGGCATCAGCATCATGGGTGTTGGGCTATTCCTGGATACAGACGCAGATCATTCGGTTTCTATCCAATATGACTGGTCAGAAGTGCCAAAGGCATGGCACAGGTGCATGGTTCCAAGAAGCCAGCATCCTTGCTCTGCCTTCCTGTGCCAGCACCGTCTCTAGGGTCCTTTCACACTGCTGCAGCCTGGGATATCTTTCTAAAACAAAGTCACACCATGCCTCTGCTCTGCTTGGAAACATCTGATGGCTCCTCACTGCTTTCCAGAAAAGCCCCAACACCTGAGACTGGCAGAACTGGGCCTTTGTGATTCATCTGTTTTATTTGCATTATCTCTCACCACAATCTTAATGCACTTCTCAAATGGCCTGACCATCTCCTGCCTCTGCACCTTTGCTGTTTCCTCTGCCTGGAAAGCATCTCGTGTCACATGTCGCCCCCCTGTGAAGCTCTTCTTGATTCATCCTGGGAGATGGCTGCTCCTTCCTTTGTATTTTACATGCACTAGACAGAGACTTACGGCAGGAGTCAGTCACCCTGCATGCACGCTGATGATATGTTTACTTTTCTCTGCCTCTTAAAGAAAGAGATGAGTCTTTACTTGTTGCATCCTTATAGCCTAGCAGACTGCCTGGTACTGTGCATATTTATTGACTGAAGGAATGAAACCCCAGCAGCTTTGAGCACCCATGCCCCAGACAAGGAGCATCACGTCTAGCAGAAGTAGAAAATACAGTCAGTTGTGTATTTATTGTAGTGAAAGTGTAAATCTGTTCCAATTATATAGACATATTGGGGATAATTTGAGTGTAATGTCAATTTCACATTTGGAAAACACTTAGTGAATTCAGAAGCCTGCATCCAGCTGAATGGAACCACATAGGAGAATACTAACAATGCTCCTGTGTGTACATATGCGCACCTCAAACATCCACCAGCCGCCTCGGTCCACTGTGTGCACTGGTAAGACACATCCATGCAATATGGAGTCACATCTTTTCCTTCCCATGTCAGATAACCCTTTCTCCACTGCTTCACAGTAACTCACAACCCGCAGCACTTCTGATGCCCACTTCCCTAGGCAAACTTGCCATATTTACTATTGTATAGCATTGATATATTTCTTAACTATTTAACGGGTATAAAACTCTGGTAATCTTTTTATTGGATTCTTATCTTTTAAAAATGTGTTGGCCGGGCACGGTGGCTCATGCCTGTAATCCCAGCACTTTGGGAGGCCGAGGCAGGTGGATCACTTGAGGTCAGGAGTTCGAGACTAGCCTGGCCAACATGGTGAAACCCTGTCTCTACTAAACATACAAAAATTAGCTGGGTATGGTGGTACGCGCATTAGCTAGGCATAGTGGTGTAATCCCCACTACTCAGGAAGCTAAGGCAGGAGAATTGCTTGAACCTGGGAGGCAGAGGTTGCAGTGAGCTGAGATCGTGCCACTGCACTCCAGCCTGGGTGACCAGAACAAGACTCCATCTCAAAACAAACAAAATGTGTCGCTGAGGAAGTTTTCAAGTGTTGTGCTTTTTAAAAAAGTTTATTTCAGAGACAGAGTCTCATTCTGTCACCTAGTCTGGAGTACAGTGGCGTAATCTCGGCTCACGGCAACCTTCGCCTCCCGGGCTCAAGTGATTCTCCTGCCTCAGCCTCCTGAGTAGCTGGAACTACAGGCGCCCACCACCACGCTCAGCTAAATTTTTGTATTTTTGGTAGAGACAGAGTTTCACCGTGTTGGCCAGGCTGGTCTCAAACTCCTGACCTCAAGTGATCCGCCCGCCTCAGCCTCCCAAAGTGCTGGGATTGAAGGCATGAGCCACTGCGCCCGGCCTCAAGTGTTGTGTTTTTAATCCTGTTTTTCCCGTAAGCCCTGTGGTTCTTATCACATGGCTTAGCAAACTCTGGTGATTTTTAGGCTGCATATGTCAGGTTATATAGACCCTACTGCGCCTGTGTGTTCAAAGACAAACATGACTGCCTTGCAGGAGGACCCCAGAGAGGAGCTGCTCAGGGTGCCATTCACCAGAGACTTTGCAGAAACCTGTGCTTCAGGGCCTTAGAGCTACAGCTCATAGAGCCCCTGGCGATTTAATTCAGCTCTAAGAGCTTCAAAAAATCATGGAATTCCATGATTCCAGAGATCAACTGGGCACCAGCCTCTAGACACTTTAACAATCTCTCTCTCTCTCTCTCTCTCTCTCTCTCTCTCTCTCTCTCTCTGCCATAACTCTCTGATGATTCTGGGTCAGTTAACTTTTGAGCCTTGGCATTTTTGTCTGTGAAAGGGGCACACAGATATTCCTTCTTCACAAGCCAGAATAATGAATGAATAAAATAATGTCAGAGATGCACTGGTTCTGCTGGGTAAACAGAAGAGCAATGTCAACAAAGAAAACAGGACCAGAATTGTTCTTTTAGTAAGAAGAAATGAGGAAAGTGGGGATTCCTGGGCAATGTGGGGCTCAGCTTGCCCACGATGTGGCTTTTGGCACTGAAACCTGGGGGTTCCTTTCACTGAAGTCTATGAGCTGCACCCAGAATCTGGTGGGATGCCTTTCACCCTTGACATTTCAGAGCCAACCTCCCATCCCTGATAATGCAGGAATGTTCCTCTGGCTGGTGGACCTCTGCCAGCGTAAGTGAGCGTCCCAGCCACCAACAGAGTAAACATTACTCAACTGGCTGGGGCTCTGTCACACACATTCTTCCCCTGTGTTTCTAACCTCATGCAGAGTGCAGCCCAGCCCTGTTGGGTCTAGAAACTGGGAATTTAAACTCAGGCAGGAGAGAGCATGCGAAGGAGAAAGCTCTTCCAAAAGGTAATAACTATGTTCATTGTTCATAAATTATGAGTAGACACAGCCATCTTTTCTATGAAGCCAAATCATTATGTTGGGGAGATGACAGGGAGAGACTGGGCCAGGCTTGATGGACCCAGTACTGTGTCCTGATAACTCTACCTTCTCCCTAAACACTTTACTTTTCTTAAGGACAGAGGCAGAGAGACAAATGATTCTGTCTGGTGAACTTCTGAGAGGCCCATTTGGAAGAAAAGAATGTGAACAATTCCCTGGCTTGAAATTGAGAACTCCAGAAATGAAAGCTTTCGAATGAGTTAGCATTGCTGCCTCAGTTTCCTTGTTTGTAGCACTGGACTTTTGCTAGTTCTTATTAATATTTCCTCCTCTGAGAGGATACAGATTCATGTTTGCAAAGAGTTTAGAAGATTAAAAATCTGCAAATGTGGAAGAAAAAGCTGATGCAAGATGAAAGCAATTTAAATGCTGGGCTGGTTTCAATTCCGGATCCCTTTCTACCTAACATGGCTTAGTTAGGAGCTCAATTCATAAGAGGAGAAATACAGACAGGCCTGCAGGGACAGTAAACATTCTTGACTCAAGGAGTAAAAGTTGAGTGATACTTAAGGGAAGCCCACAAACTGGTTTTCTTATTTAAAAAAAAAATCAAAGCAAATGTAACCAAGAAAAGAAAAAAAAATCTTTCATCAAAAGCACCTTGGCTGAGAACAGAAGCTAACATGCATGGTGCACTTGAAAAAATTGCACATGTGGGGAGGTAGAAGACCAACAGAAACTCTGTGTGTCCTCCCCCACAAGGTCTACCTGGGCCACCACGCCTCATCCTTACTAGAGTGGCAGTTTCTGCAGGCAAACATCAGGCAGTTTGCAATGAATACTTCAGCCTGAAGATTGCTGCTGTAGGTAAAAGGAACCAGCCTGGCACTTGATAACTTGGGCAGTCCTCACATCTGAGAGTATGTTACACCCATCTGCTTCTCAATGTGTCACAAGCACCCATTTGACAGAGTGGAAAACTGAGGTTCAGAGAGGACAAGGTTGTTTGCACCGCTCCTTGCTAGGGGGTCTCCCAGCAAGTCCGTGGTATTCCAAAGCTGACCCTTCTCCCTCTTCCTCCTAAGCCCCAAATGGGCTCCAGATATGTAGAGCCTCCCCATCACGACCCACTAATAGCTTGAAATGATCTTGCAGGTTTGTTTACTTGTTCCTTGGCTGCATCCCTCACTGTAATGTAAGCCCCATGAGGGCAGGACCTTGTCTGTATTCTCCATTTTCTTCTTGGCAGAGTCATGCTAAGCATTCAGTAAACATTTATTGAAGGAGTAAATGATGAATGAATAACCTATGCTTAAACTCTGACTGATGACTCCACATCACTTTCACCTTTAGACTGTTGAGTTGAGTGGTGGTGAAGTGACTGGAGTATGTCCATTTATCCTCTAAATCTCCCAGTTTTTCTTTTCTTTTTTGAGGCAAGCTCTAGCTCTGTCACCCAGGCTGGACTGTGGTGGTGCAATCACAGCTCACTGCAGCCTTGAACTCCTGGGCTCAAGGAATCCTCCCACCTCAGCCCCCAAAAATAGTTGAGACTACAGGCACATGCCACCATGCCTGGCTAATTTATTAATATTATTATTATTATTATTGTTATTATTATTTTGAAGAGATGGGGGGGTCTATGTTGCCCAGGGTAGTCTCAAACTCCTGGGCTCAAGTAGTCCTTCTGCTTTGGCCTCCCCTCCCTGTTTTTCCATGGGCAAGGAGAGGCAAGCATTCTTTTTAAGGAGGAAGAAAGAGGAGTAAGAGAAGAGGAGAGAGAGATTAAAATACAATCAAAATTGAAGAAACAGTATTGATAGACTTGGGCAGTTTCACATTTGAAGAACCGAGTTTGGGGGCTACTGGGTTGATTTGGGGATAAGGAGAAGAGTCAATTAATGGGAATTTACTGTGGCAACATGAATAACTTTTAAATGCCCCTTTCTCCAAAGAAACTAGAGTAAAACTAAGAAGGGTTAATGGTGGACATCGTTAGGCCTAAAGGCTGTGGGGACACAGAGTGCCCTTCTGCAGTCTGGCTCCCAGGGTCTGGTATTTTCTGAGCAGCTGCCTTTGCAGGCAGAGATAATATGGCTGCAACAAAGGCCTCTAGGCCTAGTGGACAAGGAGAATGGTGATGCTCCCAGTGGGTCTGGGCAAAGGGAGAAAGGCTATAAAGCCATCAGCAGACTGAGCCACTGGGTGTCCACACAAAAGTAAGGTCCTATAAACAGACATCTGTATTGTGACTGAAGGGCTAATAAAATTGCCTTAGAAAAGAGAGGTTTTCCACCACAGCCTATTCATAACAAAGACCGTACTGGGAGATGATACCCAGGGAGAAGATCCTTTGAGGTCTGGCAAGTGTCAGAGCTGCCTTGTGATAGGGATTTGCCTGGCCAGATCCCAGCCTCTTCATCACTGTCACAGAGGGCATCTCCATCAGTATCATTATCACCATCATCATCACCATCATCATGACAGATAGCTGCCGATCACCGGCAGGCCCAAGGAGGCTCGTCCCAAGCAACACCAGGTGTTGGGCACTGAGATAGGAGCACCAGCCAAGTGCTCAGGGAGCACCACCAGAGACCTAATGGCTGCCCAGAGCAGGGCAGTTTTGTTTCTGTCTGTCCAGATAATTGATTTGCAGTAGTCCAGTCCCTTTTCTAGACCTCATTTTGCTCAAAGGAAACAAAAGAGGAGACGTTCTTGCTCTTTTCTTGCCCTAGGGATCCTGGTAAGAGATTTTAAAATGAATGAAAGTAGTAGAACATTAAAGTAACTAGTAGAACTAAATTAAATGAGTAGACTAGTTTACTAGTAGAACATTAGGGAGAAACTCATGATACGTTCTTTGAAAACTTTCTGGTAACATTAAATGTCGACATTAATTTGTGAACTGTATACTTAAGCAGTGTTAATAGGGTTGAAGCTGGGTGACACTGTTTCTAGAGAAGAGAAAATATGCCTTTATATATACATATATATATAATTATATAGCACATATATGCTATATAAAACAAAACTAATCCTAGGCTCAGTTTAATTCTTAAACTGAATACCAAATTTATAAAACAGGGGGTTTCTGCATATGCTTTGACAGGAAGCCTTCTATAATAGATATCTTTATTTCACAAATATATGGAGTGTCTACCATGTGCCAGGCACAGGGCTATGGGCTGGAGACACAATGATGAAGAAAGCTACCTCAGGCTCAGATGTTGGTACAGCCCACAATTCTGCCACTCAGAATACATACATACAGAGCAAGGTGTTCAGAGACTTCAGGGACCTTCTTCTTCACGGTGAGATTGAAGTTTACAGGTAGGGATGCAAACCCTCTAGTTCCCCTGGCTGTAGGGTTGTAGACAATGAAGAAGAACGGCCGCTCATTTCTGTCTCCATCCATAAAACACCTTGAGATAAATTAAGCACTTTTGTGCCCATCGTGCAAACTGATGTTACACAAATAGGAGATGTTGTTTAAGGGTTTTCCACTCTTGCTGAACAAGAACTCACATAGACTTCACTGCCAACCCAGTCCAATGGGTGCCAAGCAGGAAGAGGCACCCTGCAGTGGACAGGGCCAGAAGGCATGGGCATGCCAGCTGCTATTCAGAAGCCCTCAAAGTGTTAACCTCTAGCAGTTATAGGTGTCTCGTTTATACCCATTATAAATCTGTTTATTGTGACTGGCCCCACCCAATCTGCTGGTGTCGTAAAGCTCTAATGATCCCTAATAAAGGTGGAAGGCTTCTAACAGCACACAGTTCCTGAAACGGGGAAGGAGCGAGGGAGTGAGGGAGAGAAGGAGAGAGAGACAATGATGAGTTTCACAATAAAATACCACAATGGCAAGCCTCCCTCTGCACTCCAAGCTGCGGAGTCCTGGGCCCCAAGACTGGATGCCACACACAGTCTTCAAATAATAGCCTGTCAGAGTGGAAAGGCCCTCATCCCACACCCTCATTTGCCAGAATTCCCAGGAAGTTAAATGATTCACCCAAGGTCACCCTTGCTCATTGGTGGCTCTGATCTCCTGAATCCTAGTCCAAGGCCCCTCACCCCGGCTGCTTCTCTTTTCCCATTTCAGCAAGGGGCCATGAGGATTACCTTCAACCCCTTCAGAACTCTCCTGCTCCATCTGGCCTAGTAATGTCAACCCTGACTATGCATCCAAATCTCTCTCTCTTTTTTTTTTTTTTTTAGAGACAGGGTCTCACTCTGTCACCCGGGCTGTACTGCAGTGGCGCCAATGGGCACAAAGTGCTTAATTTATCTCAAGGTGTTTTATAGAAGGAGACAAAAATAAGCAGCCTGTGTTCCTTGTTGTCTACAACCCAACTGCCATAGCTCACTTCAGCCTCAAACTCCTGGGTTCAAGTGACCCTGCTACCTTAGCCTCACAAGTAGCTGGGACTCTACGTGAATCTCTTAGGGCTTTTGTCGAAAGTTCTTATGCCTGTGAACCCCTCATCTCTCAATTCTGACTCCAAAGGTGTGCGTGGGTGGAGGGAGCCATGTCTATTTTTAATGAGCTCCCTGGATGATTTTTATGTGGTCTGGAGAGAGATTTGAGAACCACAGATCTTGCCAATACTTAGTTCATTGTTTCTGATGTTTCAAATGACAAGCAGGGTTCATGGAAAGGGAAATCCTTCCCGATTGAAACTACAAGGTAAGACCCTTGTCAAGAACCCAGGGAGAACCCAAGCTCTTCCGTTCTCTCAACACCCTGAAGTTTCTGAGTCAATTCAATAATACTGTAATGGCAGCTAACCTTCCTTGCCAGGCACTGTGCTTGGCACTGGGTGTGTCTGATCATATTTAAGCCTCATTGCACCCCTAAGGGGATAGGTATTGGGACAGAGAAGCTAATAACTTAAGGTCACACTGCCGGATAGTGACAGAACCACAACCCAAGCCAAGCCTGATTTGGGTGCTATACTGGGCTACCCAGACACACGCATCTGAATCCGGTCCTGAGAAGGGACTGGCCATAACCAGCTCACCTTGGCTCAGGTAGGCTTCCCTTGGGAAAGTCTACATGCTAAAGACCATCTGCAAGGTGTTTCTCCAACTTAGGAAGAACATGCAGAGTACAAGTCCTGAGAAAACTGACTCTTGACTTCCCAAAAGCATTGGAAGCATCGAGTCCCCCCTTGCCAGTTGATTCCTCAGTGGCTGAACTCACGCAAGTGTGCTATTGCGGAGGCTGCTGAAGTTGGAGCATAGGGTAACAGGAAGGTACCTGAAGCAGACGCATGCTCACAGGTTGAGGGAAGTGGTTTCCAGAAAATCAGCCCTTAGGAGCTCTGAGGTTTCCCTTTGCTCACCGTGGGGCTGTGTGCACCTTCTCCTTCTTAAATGCTCCTTCGCCTGACGTTTGGGGGCCATTAAGCTTCCCAGATGCAGCCTCCACCAGGAACATCCCACACCCCTCTACCTGGCAGGTTCCCAGGGCTAATTACTAACAAGCAATACACATGAGAGGAGTACTCACACCTCCTTTAATTAAAAAAGAAAAATGGCCGGGCGCGGTGGCTCACGGCTGTAATCCCAGCACTTTGGGAGGCCGAGGCGGGCAGATCACGAGGTCAGGAGATGGAGACCATCCTGGCTAACACGGTGAAACCCCGTCTCTACTAAAAAAAAAAAAATACAAAAAATTAGCCGGGCGTGGTGGTGGACGCCTGTAGTCCCAGCTACTCGGGAGGCTGAGGCCGGAGAATGGCGTGAACCCGGGAGGCGGAGCTTGCAGTGAGCCGAGATCGCGCCACTGCACTCCAGCCTGGGAGATAGCGAGACTCTGTCTCAAAAAAAAAAATTAAAAGAAAAAGAAAAAAGAAAAATGCCCTGTTAGTTACAGGAAATTCATGGTCATCTCGACTTCATGAACATCATGAACCTGACCTCCTGCTACATGGTCATGACCCTCCCCTCTGCCCCCACCAATCCATGGTCTTCCCAGCTTCCCCTCACTGTTTCCTGAATTTGTACTAAATGCCTTACGGCACTCAATATGCCTTGTGGATGTCACAGAGAAGTCCTAGGAAGAGCAGGAGATTGCCTCATACCCAATGTGCTGCAACAAGCCAGCCTAAGTTTGCTGCAAACACCAAGATGAATATCTAGTTGGAGATACTCAAATTCTTTAAAAATCAAGGTTGAATGAAACCTCCAAGAAGGACAAGGAAAGAGGGAAAAAACTAAAAAAACAAAAAAACAAAGAAACAACCCCCAAGTCTCTGCAAGGAATGGTAACAGCTACTATTTATGAGAATCTGGTATGTCTGGAGTGTTTTACATATATATTATCTTATTTAATTCTTCCAGCATCTGCATGAGTGGATGTCTCCACACCTCAAGAGGCAAGCACAGAGATTCCAGAGACTTGCCCAAGGTCACACAGCAGTAAGTGCCAAAGTGAAGGTTGGAATTTGGGTCTGCCTCCATAGCCTGTAATTTTGTCACTGTGCTGGCTGGATTTAAAAGAGCATTTCCCCATATTAGATGTCAAGGCTGGTGATGGTGAGGCAAATTACACAGGTTGGGAGGCAAAGGGGAGTTAGTTGCTAATCCAACTCCAGTACTCAAAAGTGTGTCCCAGACCATCCTCTTCAACAGCACCTGGGAACTTGTTGAAAATGCAGAAACCCAGGCCTCACCCCAGGCCTATAGAATGAGAATCTGTATCCTAACACCCCCCACCCCAGGGAACTGGCATGCACTTTAACATTTGAGAAGCTAAATTTGAGAACCTTAGAACTGGTTCTCAAATTTAGCTACACATTGGTATCACTTAGAAAGTTTTAACTACTGATATGTAGTCCCACTCCCCAGCTGTTCTGACAGGTCCAGGGTGCAGCTTGGATACTGGGATTTTTAAATACTCCCTCGGGTGATTCTAAAGTGTGGCCACATTTGAGAACTATTGTCCTACAGCGGGGTCAGCAAACTGGTCTGTTGGCCAAAGCAGCCTGTTTTTGTATGACCCACAAGCTAAGAATGGGTTTTACATTTTTAAACAGTTGAGAAAAAATCAATTAAAGACTATAGGATGATATGTGAAAATTATATGAAATTTAAATTTCAGTCCCCATAAAATAAAGTTTGACTGGAAGACAGTGATGTTCATTCACTTCCATGTCTATGGTCTATGGCTGCTTTGGTGCTACAAAGGCACAGTTGAGTAATTACAACTGAATAGTTTAAAGTACTTAATAGTTACTATCTGGCTCTTTACAGAAAAAGTTTGTCAATCCCTGTTCTAGAGAATTTATGAATAGCTAGGATAATAACCATGACTGACTAATTGATCTGACTTTATTTGTGGGCTGCATTCCTTTTATATATATAACTTCTATATGTATGCGTGTGTGTGTGTGTGTGTGTGTGTGTGTGTGTGTATATATATATAATACATATATATGTATGTATATTTCTCTCTCTCCTCTTCATTTGTGTTTATACTTCCCCCTAAAAAATAGGTAGAGGCATAAAGCCAGATCTTGTTCCATTCCATTAAGCAGGTAGCTTCAAAGGCCCTTGCACAGATCTCTGCCTCTCTCTGCACCTGTAATACCTAATTCTCTCCAAGTTCCTGTCGCTTCTCATCAAACCTTCAACAGTTTCCAAGAGCACTTCTCCCATAAGCTGCAGGCCAGGGCTGTGTGCTTGCAGGCAGCTTCCTTCCTCCTCAGAGCTCACTGGAGGCGGCAAGGAGTCCTTGAATCGTCTAAGGATCCTTCAGGCGGATTAGGCATGACCCTTTGGTGATAGGACTCCAGTATCTCCTGGCCCCTTTGTGCAGAGGCTTGGAGCCCCACGAGCACAGCAGCCTGGTTTCTTTGTATGCAGACCAGGGCTGGTCCCCTATCAGAGGGAGGCTGACAGCAGAACACCCTGAAGGCTAGGCCTCTTAATCTCATTAATATCCTGATTGTCTTCCCCAACCCAGTGGCAGCTGATGGGGTGGTACCCACAAGATAAAATGACCTTCAAATTCAAGAGATAAAATGGCACTCAGATAAAGTCCCTAAGAAGGAGAATGCTGGAGCCACCCATGTCCGCCACTAAACCTCAAGTCAGTATGAATGTGTTTCCTAGAATAGCAGACATTTCAAGGCAGGATTTGTCTCTCTTCTGAACTGAAATAATCTGCTACTTAAGGACAATGGGCCTTATTTACCGTGAGGAACTTTGCTGCTGAGATGAATATTTTTACAACTACCCTCATAAACCCCTCCCGCTGTCTGCTGCCCAGGGAGGGGGCGGAGCTCCCAGAGGTGAGCTGAGGTGCTTGCACTGTCTCAGAAGCCCCATTAAGTTGTTAAGGCATTTAGTAGTCCAGACAGTGCCGACTGCAAGGGCAGTTCAAATCCCCACACAAATGGGGATGGGGTCATGAAAGAGGGGGCTTTGATTTCTTGCCTGGGCAGGGCACAGAATCCACCTTGGTCAGGGGCAGTGGTTGGGGAGGAAGTAGTAAACTACCCAGAATGGGAGACTCTCACCCTTACCCCACCTCTTTGGCCATGATCTCCCAAAGCCTCAGTGTCATTTAGAGGGGAACAGTAGGAATGTGGGAAAAGGAACTGCTGG
This sequence comes from Homo sapiens, assembly GCF_000001405.40. NCBI lineage: Eukaryota > Metazoa > Chordata > Mammalia > Primates > Hominidae > Homo > Homo sapiens. The sequence continues at coordinate 37,726,133 of NC_000017.11, forward strand.
GGGCTGTGTGTGTGTGTGTGTGTGTCTTTCTCTCTCTCTCTCTCTGTGTTGGGTTTAGTGCCTGAAAAGTTCTTAGCATCTGCATAAAGCAAAAAGAGATGGACAGTGTGCAACAGCTCAAAACCTCTCCCCACCACTTACTAAGAATATGAACTTGGGCACATGCCTTCCATTCTAAATAGTTCACTTCTCTTGATTGTAAAATGAAGATGACACTAGAGATGGCTCCTACTCTGCAGGGCTGTTGTGTGGGTCACATAAGATGATGCATGGAGGAACTCGGCCCAGGGCCTGGGACCAAGGAAGTGCTCCATCAACACTGGCCATTAGAATTCCTCTCGTTGAGTCACTACCTTGCCACTGGACACTTTGGAGATTTCCTCGTGTCCTGCAGAATTCAGTGCCAGGGAAAACAACAGCATTCACATAGGTACCCTGGCCCAGAGTTTGGCTGGTCTGAGACCCAGGGTTAGATTCCCTCAGGTAACCTGGGAGGGGCTGTGAAGGGGGATGAGCGAGAGGCAGGAGGCAGGATTCTCTGTTTTTCAAGCTCTAAGCCACATCAGGGAAGTCAAGTCCACTGGGCTTGGAGAGGGAGGAATAGAGTTCAGCGAAAGGGAGGAGCAGCAGCCACAGAAATAAATGTCTCCTCTTTGGTGAAGGGGCTATGGTTCGGGACCCCTGAAAGTCCTCCTGGCAGGGCCTCTTCTCTTTTTCTTTGTGCCTCACTTTCTTTCCAGGAGAATAAGTCCCCCCTTCCCTCTCAAAGGTGACACAAGAGTGAGGACATCATGCGTGGGAGAGCGGAGGCTGATGAAGACCTTTTACCCCTCCTCTCCTCCTCAAGGTAGTGGCCAGGTGAGCTTGCTGCCGACTAGAGCAAAGGGTACAGGGAGCAAGGTCGCCACAGATCACACAGCAGATACCACAGCTTGGGCCAAGGCTAGCCAAGTTTCCATCCCGCGCCAACTTCCTCCTCCTCCTCCTCGAGCCAATCAATACAAGCACCAGGCTCCAACCAGTCCTTCTCCTTGCTGCCGCCCTGCCCTCTGACCTTTTAGGGGCCTTTCTCTTGATTCATCTCCAGAAGGGAGGTAGAGGCCATCACTCCAGACCTGCTCAATGGCTTCAGAATGGGCTGTCATGGAGCCTATAACCAGGGACAGCTCCTGCTGGCCAAGAGCTGGAATAGGGGGTGGGGGCGGATAAAGGCCTTCCAGGCTGAAGATAAATGGCTGCCTGCAGCCTGCTACAGTAACTTCAGGCCCCCAAGAAGAGCAAACAAAGGGTGCCCCTGTGACACTCCCTGGAAAGATGAAGGCCCAGCAGCGGCAGCCAGGCTGGTTCAAAGCCCCAACTTAATTGTCAATTAAGCATGCATAAGGGAGACAAAGCCATGACAACCCTTGGCTGCATGCTGGTGTGTGATTGTAAAGCCAAGGAGGGGCAACGCTGGAAACAGCTGACTCTGCTGACAGTGTGTTTGTAGGGCATCTTGTAACCAATCAGCCGCTGACAGAGGCAGAGTGCTCCTCCTGCCACCCCTATTGTGCCGGACATTCCAGGACTAGGGTCACACCGTGGTCATCGTGGGCAAGTGGGCCACAGCATGGTAAGCATGGCTGGGAGGGAAGGTGCTGTTAGAGAAAGGCTGCTCTTCCTCTCTAGGAAGAGGGTTCTGGGGAAGCTTCGTCTCCAAGGTGCTGCCAGCCCTCCTGGCTCAGGTGCTGATGTTTGGAGAGGGGAGAGCGTGGAGAGTGGGTGTGGAGGGATTCGGGCCTTGTTCCCCCCAGCTCAGTCTTTGGGGTTGCTAGTGCTGACGGTGGATTTTGGGCTCTCCTCAGCAACATGGAGTTTTTTTTGTTGTTTTTTTTTTAAGACAGAGTCTTGCTCTGTTGCTCAGGTTGGAGTGGAGTGGAGTGGCCCATCTCGGCTCACTGCAACCTCCACTTCCCGCCTCCCGGGTTCAAGCGATTCTCCTGCCTCAGCCTCCGGAGTCGCTGGGATTACAGGCACCTGCCACCACGCCCAGCTGATTTTTGTGTTTTTAGTAGAGATGGGGTTTCACCATGTTGGTCAGGCTGGTCTCAAACTCCTGACCTCAAGTGATCTGCCTGCCTTGGCCTTCCAAAGTTCTGGGATTTCAGGTGTGAGCCACCACACCTAGCCCACAGAGCGTTTTTTTTTTTTTTGAGACGGAGTCTCGCTCTGTCACCCAGGCTAGAGTGCAGTGGCGTGATCTCTGCTCCCTGCAAGCTCCGCCTCCTGGGTTCACGCCATTCTCCTGCCTCAGCCTCCCAAGTAGCTGGGACTACAGGCACCCGCCACCACACCCGGCTAATTTTTTGTATTTTTAGTACAGACGGGGTTTCACTGTGTTAGCCAGGATGGCCTCGATCTCCTGACTTCGTGATCCGCCCGCCTCGGCCTCCCAAAGTGCTGGGATTACAGGCGTGAGCCACCGCACCCGGCCTTTTTTTTTTTTTTTTTTTCGGTATTCTGCACACAGTTACGTTTCTGGCTTGGTTAGTGACCCTACCTTGGCTGTGGGCACTGAGGTGGGAAGAGTGCCATGCGGCTCTACAGACAGAAGCCACCCCTGAATGCTGGGCTCCAGCCTGCTGTCTGCCTGAGTGCATGACTCGGGAGCCCTGTCACGGCACACACGCCATCCTGGCAGCCTGAGGTGGGGACACAAGTCTTTGACCCCAGCATCGTGCATCTCAGGCACTAGCACAGCAGCCACCTCTGTTTCTAGTTCCAGGGCCAGGCTACATCTCACTGCCTCTTAGGGGGAATGCCCTGGTGTGTGAGATCAAAAAGAAAATGATTTCTGCTGCCTGCCAGTCTTCTCACTGCCCTTGTTTAGCCCTCTCTAATGTTAAGAGTCATAATGAGGGTAGTATGGGTTATCGGGAAAGGTGTCTTTATACATTCACTCCTTTCATCCTCACATGCACCCTGTGTGGAAGGTCCTATTTCTCCATTTTGTAGGCAGGAAATTCAGACTCAGAGAAGTTATGTGAATTAGCCACAGTTATAACCTTACTGGTTAGAACCCAGATACATAACTACACTCAGAGAAAGAGAAGCCAGTCCCTGGGCTTGGGACAAGGACCATGTTGAGGAGCCCAGAGTGAAAATTAAAGCAGAAGGGCTGGGCACAATCTCACAACTGTAATCCCAGCACTTTGGGAGGCTAAGACAGGAGGACTGCTTGAGACCAGGAGTTCGAGGCTGTAGTGAGCCAAGACTGCACCACTGCACTCTAGCTCGGGTGACAGAGGTAGACCCTGTCTCTCAAAAAAAAAAAAAAAAAAAAAAGACAGAAGAAAGGCAGCCACTGATAATATTCAGTGTCCCATAACTGTTGCTCCAGAAACAGTAATAGGATCTATTACACCGCAGAAAGATCCACAAAGCCCCCAAACAAAACCTCCATCTGCAGCTGGTTCTGGGGACTCGACAGTGACCCGATATCCTTCCTACCAGACAGTAACCTCCCAGAGGGCAGGACGCGCAGCTCGTACATCACTAGCATATTCCCAGGACTTGGTAAGCATTCAACACATCGTAGTGCTGTGGGAAAGTATGGAGTGGGAACCAGCAGGCCTGAGCTCTAGTCCTTGTTTTGCTACCATTGCTCTGTGTCACTTTGGCAAATCACTGCCTCTTTCTGGGCCTCAGTTCCTTTCTTCAAATTCCCTCCAAATTCTAACATTACAAGATTTTTAGAAAGATCCAGACTTCAGGGGCACCCCAGAGTATCCACTTCCCATGGGACACGCCCTTCCTAGACTCCAGTCAGAGGAGTACACAGGCTGTGTTTTCTGCCCTGCTCCCTGTCCCTCCAGCCCTAGCTCTCTGGGTCTCCTGTCAGCACACAGGATGCCTAAACCAACGACCCCGTGGTGACCTCAGCACAGCCCTTGCTTGTCAGAAGGCTGCTGGGCCTTTGTTTGGCTTCCAGGCTCCCTGACTTTGGTGTGGAGATCACAGGTCCCAACACAATGGCCATTGTCTTCCCAGTAATGCCCCTTGCCCCAACCACGCCCCCTGTAGCTCCCAGCTTCAGCTCCGTGGATCGCTGTGGTGGGCAAGCACACTGGTACTGCTCAGTGCCAGCCATGTGCCATTTGCCACAACCCTCAGAACCCTGCTTTGAATTTCCCTAAAGGGGCGAAGTTACTCTGCAATCAGGCCAGTCTTTGCCTAGGGGCTTCTCTGCCTCTTAAGTAACCAAGACTTTCTTCCTGTGTGGCTGAGCCTCTCTCCTCTGTGGGAGTGGGACCTACAGAAACCCCCAGCACTGGCCCCACCTTCATGCTGGGCACTGTCAGGCTCCCAGAGGCCCTGGAAGAGGCAGTGCTATGGGAGGGCACAGCAGGCATGGAACAAATGCTTGTACACCACCCAGCTGATGGCTCCGAGCCTGTCTTGGTGGCTTTGGTCCCCTCAACACTTGGGTCAGCCCCCAGCCCTCAGGCCTTTCTCATCAGAAGGGCAACCGACAGGTGAGGGGAGCCAACAGGTTTCAGAATCACCCCTGAGTTAGAAACAGTGTTTGGCTTTCCTTTCGCAAGCCCTTTTCTTGGAGCAGGCAGGAGGCTGCTACACTTTGTCCTCATGGGCACCACACAGACCCCAGTGAGCACATCCATTCTAGGAAGCCAGCTTTGCCAGAAGAATGAAGGACCAGAAGAAGTGCTCCATCCCAGCCTGTGCCTAACACAGCGCTCAGCATGAGGTGTGCTTTCCCCCAAGGAGGCTGTAGGATTCCATCCTGACAAACCCAAAGCCCACAGCAGAGGCATTCTAATCCAGGCCAGGGCCCAGCACACAGGAGCACTCAATCAAGCATGATGGAGCAGGTACTCGGTCAGTTTTTCCCAACTCATTGCTGCAAAGATTTCAAGTGACTGACCCCCACCAACCCTGATGACACACGGAAGCCAACAAGCAGAGGCCACCAACAGAGTGGCCGTCCCCAAAGGCTACTGAGCTTCTCCTGAGGCAGCCGGACCGAGCGAGGGGCAGGATATGGCCAGAGATGGAGGAGGTGGCCGGAGTGCCATCCTCCAACACAGTGAGGGTTGCCACGCCATCACGACCCGTTTGCCTGCGGTTTGGATCTGGCCCACCCATAAGGCAGCCTCCTCAGTGTAGAATGACCGCTGAGTCAGCAGCCACACAGGGAGAAGAAGAGGGAAGGAGACAAATAGGGTAAAGGGCTCCCTGGAAGCCGAGTGAGCCCTCACAGGGCAATGGCTGAACCAGGAGTTGGAGGAAACTGATCAGAGCCACACATTATTTCCAGGGGAGTATATTCTGGCAATGAGAGAGCGGCCCTAGGATCATCTCAAAAGCGTTTGCTCCTCTGAAAACCCTTAAACCAGATAAGATCCGTGGCAAGAACCAGGATGGTTGGGTTGCCGAGGCAGTGAGGCCCAACCTTTGCTTACCTGACAGCTTGTTTGGAGGAGAGGAGCTGGGCTGGTGGTGGGGGGAGCCGTGGGAGAGCAGAGGGTTCAGGCTGTGAGTCTGGTTGGAGCTATAGGCGTCCATGGCCAGCTTTTGCCGGAATGCCTCCTCCTTCCTGCGGTTTGCAAACCAGTTGTAGACACGGACCTCAGTGACCAAGTTGGAGCCCAGGCCGTGGGCTTTGGAGGGGGACACCCCTCGCTGCAAACATTCTGCCCTGGGAATGGATGGAGGGGAGATGGTGAGTGAGGGGGGGCGGGGGGACTTGTTGGTGCTTGGCCAAAAACACACAATCACAGCAGTCTTGGTTGGGAGTATGAAGGGGCCGTGGGCAGAATGGAAGGCTGGGGAGGAGAGGCCTATGCAGAGAAAAGGCCAATCCATGGAGTGATCTGATGAAGATGGCTGAAGTGGGCCTGAACGCAGGGACAGAGCAGGCTATGCCGCCCTGGGAGTCAGGGGCTTAGGCTCTGGTGTGGCTCTCGAGGAGAAGAGAGCAAGCCGGGGACAGGCAGTCCAGGGGAAGGTCCAGATGGGGCTTCCTTATTTAGCCATTCTTCCCACCACATAAAAGGCAAAGCCCTTCGCTGGCTCTGTCTTGAGTGGCTTCAAAGCACTTCGAGAGGATTTCTGGTCTTTTGGGGCTTGAACTCCCTGAAAGAGTGCCAGGAAGCAAGATGCTTTATCCCCTCCAAAAGGCAGGCTGGGTGGGGTACAAAGCAGGGTGCATTGAGATGGCCAGTCTCTAGCTTTATCAGGGCTGGTGAAACCTCAAAACCAGGTGCGAGAGATTCTTAGACACTACTGGGTGCTGCAAGGCATCTCATTAGTCGGGGTATGGAGCACAGCCTGAGGACTCAGTGGCAATACAGGCCTCCCTGCTTCCCAGCCTGACCTCCCTGGCTGCATTCTTCCCACAGCCAAGGCCAGCCCAGCCCAGAGACAGAGAAAGCGCACACAGGCCTTGGCCAGACCAAAGAGCTGAAGTTTTAGAAAGTCAATACTGGAGTCAGGGAGAACAGGGCAGGAATGAAGTAAAAAGATTTCCCAAGGCTTTCCAATCGTTTAAAAAAAAATAGCTGGGCCCTGTGGCTAGAGCCTGTAATCCCAGCTATTTAGGAGGCCAAGGCAGGAGGATCGCTTAAGCCCAGTTCAAGATCTGCTGGGCAACATAGCAAGACCACATTTTAAAAATAAATACTTAAAATAACACAGAGTTGTTTTTTTGTTTTTTTGTTTTTTTTTTAAATAGAGATAGGGTTTCACCATGTTGCCCAGGCTGGTCTCAAACTCCTGGGCTCAAGCAATCCTCCCGCCTCGGCCTCCCAAAGTGCTGGGATTATAAGTGTGAGCCACCGTGCCTGGCTGGTAGTTAACAAGTAAAAAGAACTCTGTTGAGTCAGCGGGGGCAGAGTGGACTGAACAGATCTGACCAATTCTTACTCTCCTGCCAAGTTTCCTTTTGGACCACTGCATGTCTGACAATTGGTAGAGGCCAGATCTAGAGTCTGTGGCTAAGGGAAAGTTTTACCCTGGCCTGCAGGGAGGTCAAACACACAATTTCGCTTCCCAAGTATCATATTTTAAATTAGCATTCTCCAGAGTATCTTCCCTGGAAGAATAATTCATGGGGTTGTTTGTACTCTACCGAAGATTCCATAGTTAACAACCAATTCAACAAAGCTAAGTGGGTTTCTTGACTGCAGGGCTTCTCGGAACCTTTAATATATGTTGTGACTCTCTAAGGGGAAGTATCCATATGCTGATTCTCAGACTTACTGATTAATGAATTGATATTGGGGTTCTGTGGAACATACTTTGAGAAGCTCTGATTTAGCCACACTTATCTGTATAACTAGTGTCTCAATATCCCAGGACCGAGGGGAGGGTTCCTGGGTCTGTGTACTTGCCCACCTGCCCAGGTGAGCTTCTGGTGGTGTTACCTGTTGCATTCCTCCACTAAGGCCTCTCTCTCTTCCTTGCTGGGGTTCTTTTGCCGATCGTAGGCCTGGTACAAGATTTGCTGGGACGCGGGCCCCCATTTGAACCGGTTGCGGCGCATCTTCTTGTTGGTGGGCTCAGAGCAGGCATCATCGGACTGCCCAGGCCCATGGCTCTGTTGACTGAACTCTGGAAAGAGAAACAGCAGCTGATCCTGACTGCTTTTGTCTGTCATATTTCCAGAACTCTGGACTGTCTGGTTGAATTCTGAAAAGAGAAAGGAGTAGATTTGATAGGGTCTGTAGCCTTCACTCAGCAGACAGACAGACAGACAGACAGACAACGGACGAAGACACCTTTATTCCCCTCGTCTAACTAAGCTTTGCAACCTTCTCTCACTGCATGTGGAGCTGGAGATGGGGAGCCCTCAGCACAGGCCCTTACTGCCCACCTCAGTTGCTCCAGCAAAGCCACCCTTTTCCTTTCTTTGAAGGAGCTCAAACATAGCCAGCTATAGTTTTAAGAAAATTATTATTTTTTCCCCTTTGGCTCACTGGCCTTCAGAGATGAAGCAACACTCTGCATCCTGAACTCCTGTATTTGATGTCAAGTGGGTGAGCTCAATCAAGTCTCACATCCAGGGGAGAACTGCTCAAAGGTACAATTTACACTTGCACAAAATATTCAGAGGCTGTAGATAGCACTCCCCACCTCTCCTCCCTCTTCCTATATCCTAGGTATCTACATTATAAAGTCAGGTTTTTAGAAAAACCCCAAACCTTTTGGAACATGCTTTGAAATAAATATAACTGGAGCTTTGTATTGGAAAAAGAAAATGTGCTTTAGATCTCAAAATAATTTCAAAGACTACAAACACAGGACCTGTCTGGGAGTAGTGTTTAATTAGCTGGAAATGATGCTCCCTGTCTGTCCAATTCCTTGAGTCCAGGCATACTGTGACCATCAGGAGATTTTTGTGGAATGAATGAGAACCAGCAGCTCGGCCCAGAGGTGATGCCTTAGCCCACATGGTTTAATGAGATTTGATATCTACATTACCGAAGAAGAAAGCTTTGCTGTCCTCGTCTTCACATCTGCATGAAGCAGGGCTCATCAGGAGTGATTAATTCCATTTTAAAGATGAATAAACATGGAGGCTAAGCACTCTGCTGAGCAAAGACACGTAATACATTCATCTCCTAGCTCTGGGTCCCTATGTTCTGGATCTTAATATCTTTTTTTTTTTTTTTTGAGACAGAGTTTGCCTCTTGTTGCCCAGGCTGGAGTACAGTGGTGTGATCTCGGCTCACTACAATCTCCGCCTCCCGGGTTCAAACAATTCTCCTGCCTCAGCCTCCTGAGTAGCTGGGATTATAGGTGTGCGGCACCATGCCCAGCTAATTTTTTGTATTTTTAGTAGAGATGGGGTTTCATCATGTTGGGCAGGCTGGTCTCAAACTCCCGACCTCAGGTGATCCACCTGCCTCAGCCTCCCAAAGTGCAGGGATTACAGGTGTGAGCCACCGTGCCCGACCTTGATGACTTTCTTTCTCAGTTCCTGTAATTACTCCCACAGGTCACAGAAAGTGGAAGGCTACCACCTCCCTTTGTGATGTAAATGATGTGCCATCATTTACATGCCATCCTTCCTGTTCCTTTGGACAACTGGATCCAAAATCCTCAAGGTTCAAGTCAGGCTACTACTTAACGTTTGAATCCCCTCTACAACCCCACACCAAGTGGCCCTCCAGGCTATATGCCTCCAGCAGCAGGGAACTTACCACCTGTCTTAGGCTCATTTCCATTTTGCTCCATCGGGAGGAATGGTTAGGGCCCCTAGCCCGCCAAGACTTGCAATCCCAACTGCAGGTGGTGTTGGGCTTTGTTTAACTGTGGACTGATGGTGTCACTGGGGCCTTTGATTTCGGCCCATTCACCTTGGAGGATTCTTAGGCCACCTTAGGGCTCTGTTTTCAGTGGTGCCCAACAATGCCACTATAGACCTGAGAGAGTCCCTGTCAAATGTACTAGCAGGAAGTCACTGCTAGTGGGATCATGTGGGGCCCCAGCTTAATTCCCTCATCATTTAGTCTCCCCAGCTGTGGAATGAGACTGACTGAAAGCTTAGGGACACTAACTAGTCTTTTAGAATATCTACCCCTAGTCAGGATGATAGTGATGTTGGCCCAAATTCCTTTGGGGGTTATACTTTTTCTTTTTTTCAAACAAGGTCTTGCTCTGTGACCCAGGCTGGAATGCAGTAGTACGATCATAGCTCACTGCAGCCTTGACCTCCTGGGCTCAAGCCATCCTCTCGCCTTAGCCTCCCAAGTAGCTGGGACTACGGATGTGCAGGCCACCACATCTGACTAATTAAAAAAAATTATTTTTGTAGAGACGGGGTCTCGCTATGTTGCCCAAGCTGGTCTCAGACTCCTGGCCTCAAGCAGTCTTCCCGCCACCTCAGCCTCCCAAAGCATTGGGGTTACAGGCGTGAGCCACCATGCCCCACCTGATTATACTTTTCAAAGTGCTTTAGCCCCTCTATGGTATTTGACTTCACAGCAGCTCTCTAAATGCAGTTACTTGAGGGGAAATCCAAGGGGGAGAAGGAGATGTCCCCTGCTCAGTGAGGTCTGTCACAGTGTCTTCCCTCCTCCCCGTGGGCCCTGTGTGGCACCAGTAGAGTCACCAATGGCGAAAGCCAGTGTGGATCATCCCAAGGGCCTGGGAGCAATGTGAGATTTTTTCATTTGATGTGAACAGACACAATAACGGTTCACATTTATTGAACCTTTTCTGTGGTGAGGTATTGTGCCAAATCCTCTAAATATATTCCTTCATCTAATTCTTACGACCGCTCCATGTGAGAAGTACAGCCACCTCCATTTTACAGATGAAGAAACTGAGGTTCAGACTGGTGAAGTGACTTGTCCAAAGTCATGTGGACTTGGGGCAGGAGCCTGGACACGAGCCCAGCCTGCAGGCTTGCAGGCTCCTAACTACCAGCCTGTGCATCACCTCTCACTAAAAACAAAACCCAAGCCACGTACCCCGCAAACGCTTCATATCTGACTTGTGTGGAGGTGACAAAACCGATTCCTGAAGCTTTGTGTCTGGTGGGTGTGAGACACTCTCGCAGCTGCTCCCCAGTGTGAGGGCTGCCTCAGTCTCTCACCTGCCCTTTGAGGAGGTAGCAGGCTGAACAGTGTTCAGAACTCAGTGTGTCCTCAAATCAGCCAGGTGGGTTTGCCTGTAGGTGCTCAGAACCATTCGGGTTCCACTGACATCAGGGGCTTGGCTCTAGCCTCTCCCAATTTTTGAAGAACTAGACTCCCACATTTGCTCCCTCTAGCCACCAACAACTCTTCTCTACTTCCCTTCAGATTAATTGGGGTTGGGGAAGAAAATGTTCATTGCCCATGAAAATTATCTTGGAGAAGTTGGCTTCAGTAGCCTCTTTATAGGCTTGGGGGCTGCTTGGACAAGGAGGTTCTGTGTGTGTAGAGGGGCCCATGAATATTACCATTTGTTATTTTTAGTTTTTCCAGGAAATTTGTAATCATGTATCATTTTTTATTCTCTCCCCTCTTCCTCCTTCTCCTCACCCCATTCACTTGTGTCCCTCTTTTATTTCTCTTACTTCCTAATTCTTATATCATGCTTGCATGTCTTACATTCATCCTTCAAGACATGATTTGAATGTCACCTCTTCTAGGAAGCCTCCCATGATGTCTCCAGGCAATTTAGCAATTCCTCTGCTGCCCCTTGTGTATATCTTTATAACAGCTCTTAGAAAGTGAATGTCATTATTTACTCAAACATCTCCACTTCTTCACTGGATGGCAGGTAAGTCCCTGGAGAAAAGAACCTATGTATTCCATAGCTTAGCGTAGTGTTTGGCACATAGTAGGTGCCTGTATAATAGTTACAGAAGGAAGGAATGTTTCTTAAGCTTTTATGTCTCGTGTGACTTTAAAACAAAAATAACAACTGGGTGCGGTGGCTCACCCCTGTAATCCCAGCACTTTGGGAGGCTGAGGCGGCGGATCACGAGGTCAGGAGATCAAGACCAGCCTGGCCAACATAGTGAAACCCCGTCTCTACTAAAAATACCAAAAAAAAAAAAAATTAGCCAGGTGTGGTGGCGGGCACCTGCAGTCCCAGCTACTTGGGAGGCTGAAGCAGGAGAATGGCGTGAACCCGGGAGGCGGAGCTTGCAGTGAGCCAAGATCGCGCCACTGCACTCCAGTCTGGGTGGCAGAGCGAGACCCCGTCTCAAAAAGTTAAATAAATAAATAAATAAATAAAACAAAAATAACAATAACAACAATCTCTTGAAGAGGCTGTTGTATTTGTAAAACGTCCCTTCCTCAGCATCTTGAGAAACTTTCTGGACCTCTGTCTTTTGAGAAGTTTCCAGTCTGCCTTTCCTGCCTCCTTCTCCTTTCTGAAGAAATTCTCATTGAATACAGAGAGGCAGCACAGACTGGAAATGCTGCATAAAGCTTAAATTGGGCAGGGCCCAAGCGTTGTTGGGTCTTTGGAGACAATGGCTCCTGAGAATTTTTTTAGGCTTTCCAGGAACTACAGAGAGTTGCTTCATGTCAGGAACACAAATTCTTAAAGAGCTAGTCACCAAGTATGGGGGGCCAACCCATTCTTGGAAAGGTCTCTCGCTCTAAGCAGCAAACAGCTCTCATGTTGCTTCTTCCAATCTATTCATGTAATGCTCCCAACAAAAGCACAAACACCACAATATGAAATGAACACCTAAAACCATTCCTTTCACCAGCCCAGGGACATTGAGACAATAAATACTGAAACAATCACTTCAGAGCAGTGTGTAACAGAAGACAAGAGTCATTTTAAAAAGCAACAGGGAAAAAACCCAACCCAGAAACCCAGATAGTGGTGGAAATTAACATCTTGATAAAGACAGAGAAGCCTAGATAAAGCCAGAGGATAGTGTGTGGGGAGAGTGAAAACCGATACAAATTTTCCAGGAAAAGGATTGGATCAAAGTAATGAAAGTGTAATGTCAAAGAATACTTTCCTAAAATACAGACAGTATGTCATTCCTACTCTTGTTATTCATAGGCAGTTCAAACTTCTCTAGACGTACTTCAAAACAAAAACCTTTTAGAATTATTGGGTGGGAGAAATCTTGGGACAGAAAAAAAACTTTGGGATGGGAATGGGGATGACAAGAATTGATGGGTCAGAGTTCCAAATGCAGATGCTTTTCCTGTGCCCTGCCTTAGCCAGAAATAGCTTCTTCATGAGCAGGGCCACCAGCTGAGGTCCCCACACTCTACCAGTGTTGGTAAATGTGGGTAAACACCTTAAATTGCCTCAGGATTCAATCCCTCCCACTATCCTCCAAGAACAGGGTGAAGTTCTGAATATATCTCTCTATACAAATGCATTCTATTGTTGATACTTTTTCCAGAGAGGAGGAAATTAACAGTAATAGTAATCAATATTATTGACTGCAACGAAATGTCTTCTTTGGAAATTGACTGATGGTCACGTATCAAGGGGAGATGCTGGGTTTTCTCTCAGGGAAGACATTTCACTCTGTCACCTACTTGGTTTCAAAGAGAAGGAGGTGGAAGGAGGGGCCAAAAAGTTTAAGGTATGCTGCATACACTGACAGGCTCCTCAGAGCAACTGGCTGGGTAGCAAGGGGGCTGTGACTGAAGAACATGACAGAAGCCAATCCATTGTACAGCAACCACCAAGGCCAAATCTACTTGCCACCTTCCTCATATCTGCCAAGTGCTCACAAGGCCTTGTCGATGAAAGGGAAACTGAGGCAGCCAATGGGGTGAGAGGGCAAAGGTCACTTCAGGTTGAGGCAGAGGCAGGATGAAAACACTTACGTCGGAGGATCTCTCGTTGCTTTCTGACGTACCAGGTGTACAGAGCGGCACGCTTCTGGGTCTTCATAGGGGTGCCCTTGTTGAGATGCTGGGAGAGGTGCGACTGGTTCAGGCCGGTGACATCGACCACCTCCCTCTGGGGGATGTTGTGTTGCTGCATGTAACCCTTGATCATTTTAGCAGCCCTCCAAGGGTCCTCACTAGACAGACAAGCAGATGGTTAGGGTACTAGTGGGAGACATCTGGGGAGAAACATTCTTTTTCTAGGGGGTGCTACCTATGGTCTATGCAAAATTCTGAATTTTCCCCCCATCTAAGCTACAACTTTGGGGTAGACATGAGGCCAAAATGGAAGCTAAACAGAGGAGAAGGTGACTGCCCCTGTACGGTACACCTCATCCCTTTCTTCTGAGGTTAGTGGGCAAAAGAGGACTTCCCATCTTCAGGAATAAAAAAGCACCACCACCACTCTCTCTTATTAAGCAAAAAGAAAAGCTCTTGTTTTATTTAATTAATTAATTAATTTATTTATTATTATTTTTTTTGATGTGGAGTTTTGCTCTTGTCACCCAGGCTGGAGTGCAACGGCATCTTGGCTCACTGCAACCTCCACCAGGATCCTGGGTTCAAGCGATTCTCCTGCCTCAGCCTCCAGAGTAACTGGGATTATAGATGCCCAGCACCACACCCAGCTAAATTTTTTATTTTTAGTAGAGATGGGGTTTCACCATGTTGGCCAGGCTGGGCTCACACTCCTGACCTTAGGTGATCCATCTGCCTCGGCCTCCCAAAGTGCTGGGATTACAGACGTGAGCCACCGCGCCTGGCCATTTTATTTTGCTTTCCTCCATTTTCCTGCAATGTGGGAGATTTAAAAGGCAGGAGGCCCACTGGAAAGTGGGGATGCCTTTAGCTTGGGGCTGGACTCCCTGATCCTACAATGAAGTAGGGATAGCATCAGTTTCTGAATTTGCCCAATTTTAGCTTCAACCTCTCCTACATTATTTTCCTTTTGAATGGGTATCTCCATTTCTTATAAAACAGGGGTGAAATGTATGTGTTCACCTTCTAAGAAGCAAGGAGGATGTCTTAGCCAAATAGTAAATAATTTTCAGAGTTTTAGAAAAGTTTTCCAAAATACAATGTTGTATCTCCTTGGGACGGGAGGATCACACCACTGAGGTGAGGCAAGTAGTTAAAAAAAAAAAAAATCCACAGCTCCACCTTCCAGACAAAATCTACTGGGCTAATGGGGACAAATAACTTCAATTTCGGACATTAACAATTTTAGATGCTTGTTTTCCTGTATTATGTTTCTCATAAATTTTAAATACTGGATAAGAACATGGTTATACTTTTCATTTCTCATAAACACAGGTGTGTAAACTGCTAGTTTTAGCACCTTTGAATTTTATTTGTCTAGAATGGTTTCAACTTTGCCAATATCTTTTCTTGCTTATTGAACAGATGCTTTGAAAAGAGAGATATAATTTAAAACTAGAAATTAAAATAGTGTGCAGCACAGAACAAAAGTACTAAAGAAGCAATATATACATGTTTACTATTTATTTAATGCAGGTACATATTTAACTTACAAAAACCAGCACCCCATTACTGTATGTTGATATATATATTAGCTTGATAGAACAAGAAAAAAAACGGAAGGGAAAACTAGTTTCAGGTGAAACAAAAAAGAAAACGGTGTAGAGGCTGAAATAGATACAGCATTGCAACATAATAAGCAATTTTATTTCTAAATGGCGCCTTTAAATATGTCAAATAAAATTAATTCTGTTTAATGAATAAAAATCCAGTAATCGAACATATTTTATAAGCATTTGGGTAGTTGTGATTATTTTATTAAGACTTTGATATTAAACTCGTGAGAACACAGGCTTTGATAGAGATGTTTTTGAGAAATGCAAACTTTTTATATTAATTATATATAAGAACGAATTTCTCAAGTATTTACAAAGGTAATTTCCAAGTACACAATATGAGGAAGTAACAAGAAGAACAAAAAATGAGAAAACGAGTTACAGTTTCAAACGTGGAGAATTCACATTAAGAGGAAAATAATGTAATAAACGTTTTAGACATATCCTTGTAAACATCACAGATCATTTAAAAGTTTATTTCTGGTCAATATTTCCACCGATATTTTTAGGATGGAAAAATACTTTCAACGGCTACGAACAAGACTCCTCGAACCTTAGGGGAAAAATTGCATTTTAAAAGTGAATATTGCTTTAGCAAATTCTTCGGCTATTTTTCTTTTGTTTAAATGCCTTTACCTGTGTTCATTTTGTATGCCTAAGAAACCTAGAAAAATAGGGTACTGTTCTAAGTGGGAATGATTCTGTGGAAACAGTGAATTAGCCCAACAATTGGGGAGGGTTTAAAAAAAGCCCCCAAGAACCTTATAAATAATGGCAAAACCTTTTAAGTCCGACTTAAAAGAGTGAGGAGTAAGATGGCGCAGTTATACCTTCACAACCCTCTGACCCCAAAATTCACGTGTGTTCACCGGGAAGAGCCGGGAGAGCTGGTTATTTTTGTTTGTTTGTTTGAAAACACAGCTCAGGTTCAGAGGTTCCCTAACACCGAGAAAGGCACCGGTCCCGAAGAGGGCCTGCGGCCATTGTGTCCCAAGCGCAGGTGTCAAACGCCGGCCGCGGCGCCCGCAGGGTCCGTCCCGCACGCTCCTTCTCAAACAATGACTTTGCTGCCCACGAGCAGAGAAGCCTGGACTCCAGCGCAGTCCGCAGCGCGTTCGTTAAGGAGCCCAACTTCGGCTTCTTAGAATGCAGCCCACTTTCTAGACGCCCCCGGCGCACCTGCCTCGAGGCCGCGAGAAAGGCCAGCTCCGGCCGGGAGCCGGGGACCGGGAAGCGCGCAGTCCCGACCTTCCTCCCCTGCCTTTCTCTTCCAGGAGGTTTACTAGAACTCCGGGAACTCCAAAACGCGACTTTTCTTTCTCTTTGCTTTTCGTCTTAAGGGAACACGGTGGGCAAAAGAAGGGAGTGCGTGTGCCCGAGGCTTGGGAGCCCCCTGTGCAGTGACCTAGGAACCGCTAGCGATTTCTTGAAAAATTACTTTAATCAAGTCCGGCGCTCCCGGGAGCGGGGGAGGAAAGGCAGCACCCGCTCGGGACGGGAGAAAAAAGCCTCCAGGTCTGTCCCGCGTCTCCAACTCGGCGAGGGTCTCCGGCTCCCCAGTCCCTCTCCCTGCCCTGCTGGGGCCTGGGGCTTTGGGGAGGGAAGAGCGGGGCTGGGGTCTAAGGACCCTGGGCCGGGCCTGGCTCTCCGCCGGCCGGGCCTGCGGGTGTCGGCGACCCGGGGGCTCCGCGGGCGGCTCGGGCGCTCACAGAGCCCGCGTCCCGCGCCAGAGCGGTGAGGCCGCAGGGCCGCACGGGGCGCCTGGCTGGGTGCGCGCTGGGAGCGGCGAGCAGCCCCGCGCCCGCGTTTTGATCTCCTTCCCCCCTCTAAGCCGCGTTTACAACTTCACCAATGAATAACCCGCCTCTCTTTTCAACCTAATCACGGCTCTTTGTGTATCTTTCTGTTGATGATTTATAGAAATAAATTAATAACACCCCAACTCCACGTGCTGCAGTTTATGTTACGTCTCAGCTGCGGCCAGCCCGGCGCGGGGCTGGGTGCGGAGGGGCGCCCCAGGTCCTTCCAGCGCCGCGCTAGAAAGCGGGCGCCTGCGGCCGAGTGGGAGGGCCTAGGCCCTGTGGCCCCCGGTGGCCGGCGGTGGGAGCCTGGTTCATCCGCCAGGTCCTGAGCGACCTCCCCGGCAGCCCTGGCGCCCCAGCCGCTCCTAGGGGCCACTCTCTCGACCCCTCTTAGCCTCCGCGACTCACACCTTCCGCCTCGCGGAACTCTCTTGCAGGAGTTCTCTCCCGGTAGGGGAGAAATCACCTCCGGGCGGGAGAGCGACGAGGGAAGAACCTCAAACCTATGAATTATACCAAAGTGTGTTTGGGGAAAAAAAATCTACAAGTTCCCCTGATTGTTTTGGCTAGAGGGCAAACCGCCAGGCCCTCGGAGCACAAATTCAAATGCAAGGTCATATCCCACCCCAAACCGCCGCTGCGGACGTGCGGCCAAGGCTCAGCCCCGAAATCGCAGCGCTTCAGTGTCCGAAGCCACGCGATGGGCTCTGTCCTAAAGCGGAGTGGCCCGGGAGCGACGTGCTGTCTCAGGGAACCGCTCGGCTCCTTAGATAATTAGTAACCAGCTGTCAAAGTCTAGGGCGGTCGGGGAGGACCCACAAACGATCCCGGCCCTGGGGATACACTGCCAGCCGGCCTGAACTCCCGGGGAGAGGCCGGGGGTGGGCAGCGAGGTCTGGAAACGCCCTCCTTTCTCAGACTGAGACCAGATCCTCTGCGAACTGAGGTCTGAGACGCGTTCGCCCCCACACCACCGCGCTTGGTTTCTTTGGCCCCGCGCGTGTCCACCCGGACCCTGCATGGAACATGCCCTTTGCAAATCTAAACCCGCGTTGGGGATCCCGGATAATTCCGGGCCTTGCATGGGCGCGGCTAACAAGAGTGCCCACCAGGGAACTCGCCTCCCAGATCCCGGCTCCGGATGCCGCCTGTCCTTCGGCAAAGAACTGCAGGTCATCATGCAGGTCAATGTGTCCGAGGCCGACATGCGGCTTTCCAGACCCGAGGCAGGGCGCAGGAAAAATGCGCGGCCTGGGGCTTGCAGCGGCGCGAGGCTCTGCTCCCGGGAAGTCGCAGCGGTTTCACTGCACCCACTCGCACCTTCAGTCGCGTGGGCAAACCTCCCGGCAAAGGGCTCCACAGCTCCAGTTCTCCCCGGCCCAGCCCCAGCCCCGCGGGGAAAAGCCCTTGGGTCTCGGACGCTGGCCTGGGCCTGGGGAGAAGAAGCCCGGTGGGCCGCAGGGTCGTCCCGCTAAGGGATTGGGAAGGGTCCGGGTGTTGGGAGAGAAGCAGAGCGCCCCCCGGGGGACTTCTCTGGTGGGAAACGGGCTTGGCGAGTGTGGTCGGGCGCAGTGTCACTCAGGCCCGGGGCCGGGGCTCCAGGGGTTCGGGTGGGTCCCCTCCACCTCGCTCTGCGCCTACCTGAGCATCCGGTCCACCTCCGCCCGCTGCTCCGCCGCCTCCTCGGTGTTGAGCGCCTGCAGCTCCTTGAGGATGGGAGGTGTGTCATAGTCGTCGCCGTCCTCGGAGCCCTCGTCGCCGGACAAGCGGCCCTTGGCGTGGCCGTTGGTGAGAGTATGGAAGACCGGCTTGGTGTCGGGCTCGGCCCCGCTGCCAGGGGACAGGGGCAGCGTCTCCAGCTTCACCCCGAAGTTCGGGGATGGCAGCAACTCCTCCAAGGCCTGAACCAGCACCTCCTTGGTGACCCCGGAGCTCAGCAGGGCGCTCAGGAGTTCTTGCTGGAGCGACGTGAGCTTGGACACCATTTTCCAAGGACGGAAAAAGAAGGGGGTGAGGGGGTGGGTGGGTGCGAGAGAGGAGGGTGGAGGGGAGTTTCACAAGCAAACCCCAAATCCAGGAACCCCTCCACCCTTCAGCCTCCAGACACCTGTTACTCCCCGGGGTCCCGGAGGCTCCTCCGAAAGGAGTCAGAAAACTTCTAACTTGCCATGATCGCCACCATTAGGCCATATAAGATATGCAAATTAGTGGGAAGGGCCCAGCTTTCGGCTGGATGCAAATGATGGTGGGGAGGGGGAAACCCGGAGAGAGGGAGAGCCGGAGGGGCAGACCTGGAGAGCAGAAGACCTGGGCCGGGAGCGGGGCTTTGCCAGGGTCCATTGTACTCACGCTGGGGGGCTAGAGACCTTCTTTTACTGGTTCTGCTTATCAGCCAAACTTCACCTAACCTTTGGACTTGTTAAGCCAGTGCCTTGCAGCCTAGGCGCGGGGCTTTTCCACCGGTTCTCAGTTCCGCTTTAGTCCAGAGAGAAGACACTACGCTTCGGGGTTCAGGTGAGAGCCAGAGGAAGCTGGGGTGCTCGTGGAAGAAGGGGACGCAGGAGGAAGCGAAGAGTAGAGACCCTGGATGCGTCCCGGCCGACGCAGGTGGTGGGCCAGGAGAGCCCGCAGGGCGGAAGAGAAACTGACCACTTAGGAAGGGGCGCCGAGGCCACGGGGGAGGTGAGGCAGCGTTAGGTGTGGTGAGCATGCCCTGGAGGGACTCCATTTATTTCTACCTCGGTTACTACCTCCAGGCCCCAGAACCTCCCTGGCCTGGTCTGGCGGTTTGGGTTTGCAGAACTGCCCGCCAGAGAGCGTAGGCGAGGGTGAAGGAGTCCGGGAGAACTCTTGGAAAGAGACTACTTTATGGGTAGAGGGAGTAGCCAAAGTGAAGCTCCCCCAGCAGCTGGGCTGCACCGGCGCCCAGCCTGGCCACGCCACTGGGGAGCTGGACCCCTGGGGCTCCTCACTCTCCTGTTTAAACCCGGATGTCAAGGCGCCTCCGCCTTGGGGGAGGATGGTGAGGCAGAATGGTGAGGCACTAGGATGGTGAGGCACTAGGATGGTGAGGCACTAGGATGGTGAGGCAGTGAAAGCAAAGCTTGACCTGCAGCTGGGTGGACACTTGCAGCCGAGGGTCCCCCCGGCCCACTCATTTCTGGTTTATTCGTAGTTCCAGAACATCTGTGGTTCCCTGGGCCGGGGACGAGCTCTGTAGACGAGGTCACTGCAGCAGTGGCAGAAGTCTTGCACTCCTAGTACAGAAGGTGTCGACAGAGCTACTGAGGGAAAGATGTTTTTTTTCCCACTCTGGCCTGGGCCAGGTAGGAAGCCATAGGCCTTGCAGCACTATTGGAGTTTCACCTGCTTCCCCCCTGGTGACGGGCAGGAGGGGAGGGCGGCGGAAGCGCGCCCAAACCGGCAAGCTAGGACCTGACCTGTAGAAGAACAGGGAAAGGGGCTTCTTTGCTTCCACCACACACAGACCTAAAGCTTCTGGGGAGGAGCATAACGCTTCCCTTCTGGGAGCCTCAGTTTCCTCATCTGCAAAAAGAGGATACCACTGATAACCTTTTTTTGGGGGTTGTGTATATTGACTGAGGCCACTTGTGCAACCGCTTGGTCTAATAATAAAGTTCAACACTTTCTGGTCTGAGAAGACGGGAAGCCAGTTCCCAGTAGTAAAACTGAGTTACTCTGGAAACTTAGGGTATTCAGAATTGGTGATACAGTGCTGGGGTTGGAGGGATTGGGGGACTAGGGTTTCAGAATCAGCAGAAAAATTGCAAAGGAGTTTCTAAGCACATTTTCCTTCCTCTCCCACCCTTGAAAGATATCTAGGAGGAAGTAAGGTTAGGTTAGGGATAGAGAGGAATTTCAGCAGGAGGAGGAAGAGTCTAGCAGCTCTCATCTGCCTAGGGGCAGGATCTAATCTCCTAGGTGTGCAAGGGCTGATGGTGTAATTTATCAAGTCAGGCTGTTAAGGAGCTAGGATGCCTCTTAAATACAGGGTCTGCTACAGGTGCCTGGGCCACTTGTGCTGAGAGCCAGAAGGAAGCGGGATGGTTGTGTGCGTGTAGCCTGAGGAAAGTTTACACTGATCTCAGTCCCTCTTTCCCGGAGACAAGCAAATCCCAAATTCAGGAACCTCTCCATCCTTCAGCCTCCAGACACCCATTACTCCTCAGGGTGCCACAGGGAGTCATAACTTCATGAAAATGTTGGCTTTTCATTTCACCTTCTTTCCCTCTAGTTTGTTGTAATAGGTGCAAATCTTTGCTTCTCATAATTCTGCCCAATGGAAGAACATTCTCTGCCTACCCAGCTTGCCTCAAGAAGGATAATGAAGTGTTCAGAGTAAATGTCCCTGAAGAACAATCTCTTCGTCTGTCTCTCACTCGCTATCAGGATAGAAGCATCAAGTGTAATGAAGATCAGTTTCTGTGTTAAGCTGGGAAAACCCATTTAAAAAACAGCAATCACTTCTGTTGTAACAACAAAACTTTGATTGGCAGTTGCAGCTGCTGTGTGCCCCATCTGATTCCCAAGCCTCATTCTCTCTCAAAATTCAGGTGTCAGCAAACCCATTCTTCCCCACACCCCAGCTAACTATGTGAATGTGCAGGCAATTTCACACAGAGGATAGGACAAACTTCCTATGAGTGTCCAGGTATGTTTTCCAGGTAATCTGGCTATTCATATCTAGCAACTTCCTGTAATGCTCCTTCCTAGTCCTACCTTGTAATATGCCACTTTGTGCAATATAAGCGCTTATCAAGTAATTGTTCTGTACTATAGATCTTCAAACAGATTCACCAGTCCCTTCATATGGAAGTTTAAAAAGAGCTGTGTAAAGTAGACCAGCAGATAGTCTTTCAGAATGCAGTTCATAATGTTAAGTGAGCTATCTTGTAAAACTCTTCAGTTAAACTTCCCCCAAATAGAGGAAGACGGAGTAGGATTGAAATAACATCTGTTTATGCTTCACACAGAATAAAGTCGTGATGGACTGATATAATAACTCCATTTTAAAGATGGAAAAATAAGATATGGGAGAGTCTCAGGTTGCTTGTAGCCACCTCAGCAAATTAATGGAAGGGTTGAGGTTGGGGCTCAGAACTTTTGAGCAGGGTTTTAGGATGAAAGAGGAGGGTCTCTAGCTGTCATTGTTTTGAGGGATGAGAAGTTGAAAGAGGGATTCTGTGGGGGAGAGGTGGAGGATACCCAGCAGAGAATAGAGGGCAGGGTTTGGAGTAGTCAAACAGAACTAAACTTGAACCCAAGATCTGCTTCACCTGCTGTGTGACTTTTGGCATGTTACATAATCTTTCTGATCCTCAGTTTCCTCAGTGCAAAATGATAATGACACTCTACTGTGCCGGTGTGAAGATTAGGTGAGTTAGTAACCACAGGTTCCTAGAATATGGTGGGCTCTCACGTATTTAGAAAGAAGAGGCACATCTTGATAACATGCTGAGAACTGAGGCAACTGATGTCTTTAGGCTCTTATAGTCCCAGCATGTTTTTAAGAGCTACTGAATTTGAAGAGACCATATCAGTTTCATCTGCTCAAATTAGATGAATTTGCAGTTCATATCCCAAGGTTTGTTGTTCTTGTTTTTTATAGGACGTGCAATCCCTGGTATAAAATAAGTTGAAATCCAGTTGACTCATCATTCTATGAAGGTGTTCTGAGCACCATGCTGGTCATTCCACAGATTGGCAAATGTGGCTTCTGTGAACTCATCTCCCCTGGAACTTAGCAGCACAAGCGATATTTCTTTTCTGATTTGTGCATGCAATCTTTCCCCTACTTTTCACGGTTGCACTTCTTTGTTTACAGAAGAGATTCTGGTCATTTCCACCCCTGCCACTCCACTCTCCCAGCCTCTCTCATTGGTTCACAGAGTATCTAGAAGGCCTCAAAATAAAATCATCTCTAGAGTAAAACATAAATACCATCCTAACCTGTTCTGCAGGAGGTCAGGGGCCTTCTTGTTAGAGAGCAGTGTTGCAACCTGGAGAACATTCTAGACATCAGGGTCTGGAAAGAGCCTGAGGTTCTTCTTCTGGCTACAAAACCTCTTTCTGGGTGATTCATCTCCCCAAAAGTTTTGGTGAGCACCTTCTCTGGGTCTCTGATTCTACCTTTGAAAAATGGCTATTGGTCTGGATAACCATTTAGGTCCTCCAACTTTTTTTTATAATTTGAAATTCCTAAAAGGTCTTAAATTATTAGGGTGTCTACTTGCAGGCCTTCGGGCAGATGGGCCAAGAGCTCAGGCCAGACCTCTGTGTAGTAGTGGACATGAAGCCTTGACTAGCCACGAAAAAATATACCACAGAGAGCAAACCCTATGAGGGGCAGGCATCTTCTCATGTCTTACTCCTCAGTGCCTGGAGAAGTGCTGGTGCATGGTAGATGCTCAAGAAAATGCTTACTGAGTAAACGAACATGTGATTGCCTCTGGACAATACTGTTAAAACTAAATACTTGCCAGGTGTGGTGGCTCACACCTGTGATAGTTCTTTGGGAGGCCGAGGTGGGAGGATAGCTTGAGCCCAGGAGTTCAAGCAAAATAGTGAGACCCTGTCTCTACAAAAATAAAAAATAAAAAAATTAGCCAGGCATGGTAGTGCATGCTTATAGTCCTGGCTACTCAGGAGGCTGAGGTGGGAGGATCGCTTGAACCCAGGAGTCTGAGGTTCCATTGAACTATGATCGTGTCACTGCACTTCAGCCTGGGTGACAGAATGAGACCCCATTCTCTAAATAAATAAATAACTACTTTCACCAGACACGAAAGAGTATATACTGTGTGATTCCATTTATATAAAGTTAAAAAGTGGAAAAACAAATCCGTGGTGCTGGAGGTTTCTGGGGTGCTAGAAATGGTTCTATATTTTGATTGGGATGGTGGATCCATCACCAGGCTATACATGTGGGATCTGTGCATGTTGCCATATGTAAGTTATAAATTAGTATAAAGTAAATTAAATAAATTACTCCAAGTATAAAATGTAAACAGTGTGGGGCCGGGCGCGGTGGCTCATGCCTGTAATCCCAGCACTTTGGGAGGCCGAGGCAGGTAGATCACAAAGTCAGGAGATCGAGACCATCCTGGCTAACACAGTGAAACCCCGTCTCTACTAAAAATACAAAATTAGCCAGGTGTGGTGGCGGGCGCCTGTAGTCCCAGCAACTCGGGAGGCTGAGACAGGAGACTGGTGTGAACCCCGGAGGCAGAGGTTGCAGTGAGCCGAGATTGTGCCACTGCACTCCAGCCTGGGCGACAGAGCAAGACTCCATCTGAAAAACAAACAAACAAACAAAAAACCAAAGCAGTGTAAATAATATTCTTACCCCCGTCAACAGTTTACAGTTGATGTTCGGTCCTCCAGATTTTTTCCTATTCATCATTGTAGTTAATCATCATTAAGGTCTATAGCTTAGTATATTCCAGGAGTCAGCAAACTTTTTCTATAAAGGGCAAAATAGTAAATATTTTAGGTTTTGTGGGCCAGATGGTCTCTGTTACAACTACTCAACTCTGCTCTTATCGACAATACATAAATGAATATGTGTGGCTGTGTTCCAATGAAACTTATTTACAAAAACAAGTAGCTGGCTGCATTTGGCCCACGTGTCAGTTTGTCAACCCGTGGATAAAGCACTTAGGCCACTAGAAGTCCACAGATCCAAAAGGGACCTTAAAATCATCCCCTTTCACGTCTTCCTCTTTGGGATAAGGAGGCAAATTCAGGGAGGATAAATGACTTTCCCAAGAGCACAGGACCCTGGGAGAATCAGTTCTGGAGTCAGATGGGCCACCTGCTTTCTGGGAGTGTGTAGCCATAACTTTGGGCAAGTTACTAAATTTCTTTCAGACTTATATTATCACCAAAGGTAAACAGTGATAATGGAATTCATACCTTATAAGGTTGTTGGAAGAATTAAAGGAACACAGAAAAACACCTTGTGTGGGGTTGGCACGAGCTGGGAACACATGAAGTACTTGCTTGATCACAGCACACGGCTCAGAGGCTCCCTCATGTCCTCCCTCCCTTCCTTCGAAATGCAGAGTTTCTGGCCTGAGTTCACTAACAAACACTACCGAGTGTCTACTCTGCGTGGAGCACTCTGGGGAGCACTGTGAGGAAATAACAAATGGATACAGGAAGATTCCAGATCCCACCAATCCCCACTATCAGCTTCCTTTCCAGAAATCCCTTTCGGCTCTGAGCTTTTATTTCCCAGACATGCTGCTATTAGGTGATCATTGCCAGGGAAACTCCTAAAGGTAAAGAAGATTTCTCTCTCATTTTGATTCAACAACCCACATCCTTCTGCTAGGTCATTTTTTAGAAATAGGGTATTCCCAGTAGCTTGTAAAAGATTAAATTAAAAACCGGCAACCTAGTATGATATTAAACTAATAAATACTACACCTACCATAGAGAGCCTTCGCTCCAGAGCAACCACCTACTTCTCTTTCTTTACCACAACATCCGTGAAAAATGAGATTGGCGGTTGGCCCAGCACACAGAAGGTGCCCCATGAGTGTTTATGGAGTAAATGGTGGGCCCGGCACACAGCAGGTGTTCCATAAATGTTTACTGAATAAGTGATCATGGCTAGGCTGCGGTGTTTCGGAAAAAAAGCAATAATCTTTACTAGAATTTTCTGGAACCTGTTTTCAGATTAATATTTAAATAAATAAGTGTTATTGAGGTGCCCTAGCTACACTCTCTCCTTTTTCCTCCCTCACAGACCTATGAAGTAGGCAATATCCTCCATCCCTGCTTTAATGATGAGGAAATGGAGGCTCCAAGAGGGTAAGGATTGGCCCAAGGACCCACAAAAGGTTAAGGAGCAGAACCCCGGACTCGCACGGAGGACCCCCAGATCCCATGTTAAGTGCCTCGTTTGTGACACTTTGACACCTTCCGAGCCCCGAAACAGGTGGGGGCACACACAGAAGCACCCTGGAAAGTCTCAGCACAGGGAGAAATCTTGTGATTGCTTTAGAGAGGGAGAGAGAGAGGGAGAAAGGAGACAGGGGACAGGGTGAGAGAGATCAGTCTTCCCTGTCAAAGGAGATACCTGGCACATAAAGAACTACGCTATTTATACAGTATTTTATGGTGTGCAAAGAGATTTCCTCTTTCATTTGATCTTCAAAAGAGTCCTGCAAAGAAGGCAAGGCAGGCACTACTACCCACATTTCACAGATGAGGAAACTGAGGCCCGAGGAAAAACGACCCCCAAAAGGTGCCAGAATCACCACCTGAGACTTCCGCATCTAGAACCCAGTGTTTTCTCCACGACATTGGGTTTGTATAATGACAAGATCAGCACAAAGCACAGCCCAGGAAGAGGGACCAGGCCTAAGAGGAAGATACAATAAGACACCTCAGTTTCTGCTCCTGATGCCATGCTTGAGTGAGGCAAAGGCTTTTTCCTTCCTCTCTGGTAAAGGTTCCAGGAAAGAGTTCGATCTGTGAGTCAACAGCCCCTGCCCACTTGATGTTATCCTGTTTCTCCCCAACGATGAGTCTTCTCTGATTCTAGAGGTCCTGGTTGCAGAGCAGGAGCGAGGTGGACTCTGCCTCCACTCACCCTACTGTGTCTGGTCGGGAGTGCTGTCCATGACCTGTGCCTTGGGCATGAGAGTTACCACTCAGCCTCACACTAAGGGATGACCGAGGTATCCTTTTGTGCTCTGATGACTATGCCCTGTTTCCAGGCCTGGGGGTGAAGAGCCATGCAGGGCTGCTGAGTCAATGCAGCAAACATTTATGGAGCATCCGCTATGTGCTGGGCATGCAGTCAGTGTCTGGCACTGCTGGAGCAACCAGATTCACTTCCTGCTCTAAAGGAGTTGGTTATCCAGAGGGAGGGACAGACACGGACACACACCTCTATTGCTAGACAGAGTGGAGCAGGCTTCATCATAGCACTGTGCTGATTGCTTTACACAAAGCATCTCATTTGCTCCTCGTAACTGCCCATGAGACAGTATTATTATTATTATTTTTAGTGTTCCTAACTGATGCTTAAACTGTTGGAGTTGCACAGAGCTTGTTCTTGCTCAGATTGGGTTGAGATTCAAATACAGCTTTCCCTGGTTTTCTGTACCAGCCGAGAGGCAGGTGCCACAGGGAATCAGCATGGGGCTTGGAGTCAGCCCAATCTGGGTTGAAACCTGTCTCTGCTGCTTTTCAGATGTGACCTTGGGTAAGCTGACACTCTGAACTTCAGTTTCTTTATCTGTAAAAAGGAGGACAGTGTAGAAATTTGCAGGCCAGATAGTATATGTAAACCCCCTGGCACAATTAATAAATAGAAGCAAATGTCAATAATAATAGGGGAACCAACAAAATTCCGTCGGGGCTCAGGGCCCTTGAAGAGTACATAGAATTTTGACATCAAGGAGAAGCCAGAGAACATTTCAGGCAGAAAGAAGAGCCGAGCCAAGCATGAAAGCAGGTAATGAGGCGACGGGGGAGGAGGGCAAGCTGGGCTGCCTGGACCACGGAGGAATCTTGCTAACGATGACACTGGAAAGTAAGGACAGGGCTGGTCATGGGCAAACACTGAATGCCAGGCCTGGGGGTCTCATCCTCTCTCCTTAGCCAATGAGGCATCTCAAAGTTTTCAATGGCATATGAGCCATTATTTAATTTGCTTTTTTTTAAAAAAGAATGCTTGTAACAACAATAACAATAGTAGTGACTACTTACTGTGTACCTCTATCACTGTGCGAAGATTTACAGTGTAATGTCATCTGATCCTTAAGATTATCTGAGGTTACTGGTTTTTTGTTTGTTTTGTTTTGTTTTGTTTTTGAGATGGAACCTCATTCTGTCACCCAGGCTGGAGTGTAGTGGCATGATCTTGGTGCACTGCGAACTCCACCTTCCGGGTTCAAGCGATTCTTGTGCCTCAGCCTCCCGAGTAGCTGGGATTACAGGCATGTGCCACCATACCCGGCTAATTTTTGTATTTTTAGTAGAGACAAGGTTTCACCATGTTGGCCAGGCTGGTCTCGCACTCCTGACCTCAGTGATCTTCCTGCCTCCACCTCTCAAACTGCTGGGATTTCAGACATGAACCACCGTGCCTGGCCTGAGGTTACTCTTATTATCTCCATTTTACAAAACTGAGTGAAATGGTTCAATATGAAGACTGTAGCCAAATTGCCAGGATTCAGATTTTGGACTCACAGCTCACTAACTGTACATGGGCAACTTACTAAACCTCTGTGGGGCTCACCATTCCCACCTTTAAAACGGGGATGGAGATAGCATTTACCTAACAGGGAGGTTGTAAAGAGTAAATGGTCAATGCATATATAAAGTAATTAGAAGAGAGGCTGTCAATAAGCTCCCAATAGCTCTTATTTGATGATGACTGCCCAAGGTGACACACTTAGAGAGAAGCGGTCCCAGTGGGTTCATTGATGGAGACCCTCCAGTGAGCCTTTGTCCACAGGAGGTGAGTGAAGGTGTTGTGGGGCAGCACAGAGGGGAAGAAACCAGGGCGGAGATGAGGGTCTCCGTGGAAGGAGCCTCTCCAAGGTTGCTGATGGGTGCCCCTCGGCTTTCACGCACCAGGGCCTTAGGAAGAGTGAGTCACAGCCCCACACCACATGCAGGTGGAGGCCTAGAAGTTCAGCAACTCACCAGAAGCCACAGTGGGGCAACAGGAAAGTTCAGATATAATCTATGTAAGGTTAAAAGACCCCTATCTTACTCACCCTCTCCCCACACTTCCCATGCCAAACCATTCTCCCTATTAGCCCCTATAGCTCCTTGCTAATTTCCATTCCTATACCTGTTCACCTGCCGCTTCCTCCACCTGGAAGAGCTCCTTCCAGGCAAACCAGACTTTGCAACTTCCCTGAGAATGTGGTTTAAAATTCATGAGCCGCTGGAAGCTTTCCCGACTAGCGCTGTTCCTTCTAATCATCCCCCCTACCCCACCCCTTAACCTTCTGGGATCAGCTGAGAGCTCGAGTCCTTTGAGAAGCCCCACCTGACCCTAGGTTGAGTTATTACTCAGTGGTTCTCACTTGAGCATGGTTTTAACTCCTAGGGGGCTTTGGTAATGTCTGGTAGGGTCAGCTTCATGAGTGTGCTTGGGGTTTAATGCACTGTAGTTGCCATCTTGAAATTCTTAATAGTTTTATCTTTGACTTTGTGTTGTGTAGATGAAGCTGATGGGACAATAGAGCGTATGCCAGGGGCTTAGTCTCAGTTCATGTGGTCCCCCCTTCTGCTGCCTCCTTGCCTTTCTGGCATGGGTTTCAGGTCCCAGCTCTCCATCCACTGATGCCCCTGGCCTGGCCAGGCCTCTCTCTTCCTACTCCCACTCAGCAACCACCGCTGCCCTCTCTGTCCTTAGGGGGTCTTCATGTGGGCATGGAGAGGTTGAGATAGTGTGCTTTTGCGGCACGACATCTCAGGGTGGAGCATGGCAGTGGCCATCCCTGACCCAGGCTGGCAGTGCCATGGAGCATTAGGCAATAGGCTACATGGGGAGCATGCTTTTTACCCACCTCTGGACCAAGGGTGTCCTTGTGCCATGGTTGTAATGCCCTTGGGGGATGTCCATCTGCCATGGGCTGGGGCAGCGAGTTGTGGGAAGGGAGACCTGGTTTGACTTCCATGCCCTCGGAAGGGCAGATGCATGGCCCAGTGGCTGGTCAGAGCGGGGACATGGCAGCTGGTGGGTTGCATGTGTGTATATGCTGAGTCATGGGGTGGGGTCACCAGACACCTACAAGGGTTTGCACTCACCCTGCTAGTGTGCCTATCCCTAGGGAATGAAAACACTTTGTATCTGAGTATCTTCAATGGCACTTTCCCTCTGCTTTATGAACGAAGGGTCCCACACTTTCTTTTTGCACTGGGCCTTGCAAATTATGTAGTTGGTCCTAATGTCTAGAGACGTTTTTAGTTGTCATGGCTGAGGGGGGTGCTACTGGCATCTAGTAGGTAGAGGCCAGGGATGTCGCTAAACATACCACAGTGCACGGGACAGCCTCCCACAACAAAGAATTATCTGGTCTAAAATGTCCATGGGGCTGGGCGAGGTGGCTCATGCCTATAATCCTAGCACTTCGGGAGGCTGAGGCGGGAGGATCTCTTGAGCCCAGGAGTTCGAGACCAGCCTGAGCAACATAGTGAGACCCCATCTCTATTTTTAAAAATTAAAAAAAAAAAATGTCCATGGGGCTGAGGTTGAGAAACATGGGATTTTGTATACTTCCTTTCTGTTCCCACGCCCTCTGTGCTGATTTCTGTCCTGGCTCTTTGCTCAGGTTGTGGAAATGACCTCATTACGTGTCTAGACCAGAAGTTCCTCAAAGACAGGGTTGAATTTTTGTCAATCTCAGATCCTTAGCACCAGGACCTAAGGTGGTGATGGGGCATAGTAATTCACTGACTGTACTGGCAGACAAGCTGATGAACTTACTTTATCATATTTTAACCTATTGTTTTGTGTGTGTGTGTGTTTGTTGGAAGTCTAAAACCATTTACAGCCGTTCTTGAGGCGTTACATGATTGTTGTATCTTTCCTAAGTGGATTGTAAATCCCTAAAGCACAGGAAATACACTTTTTTTTTTTTTTTTGAGAGGGAGTCTTGCTCTTGTTGCCCAGGCAGGAGTGCAGTGGCACGATCTTGGCTCACAGCAACCTCCACCTCCTGGGTTCAAGTAATTCTTCTGCTTCAGCCTCCTGAGTAGCTGAGATTACAGGCATGTGCTACCATACCTGGCTAATTTTTGTGTTTTTAGTAGAGACAGGGTTTCACCATATTGGCCAGGCTGGTCTTGCACTCCTGACCTCAAGTGATCCACCTGCCTCAGCCTCCCAAAGTGCTGGAATTACAGGCGTGAGCCACCATGCTTCACCAGGAAATAAACTGTCTAAGTCTTCTGTGTTGCTCAGTTGTGCTTAGAACAGTGCACTGTATGCAGCAGGTGCTCTGTAAGCAACAACGTCTTTTGCTCTGTTCTGTGTCTACCTTTCTGCATGTCCAAGGCCCAGATTACATTCATTTATTCATTCAACAAACATCCATTCAGAATTTACTATAAATTTCTTTTCTTTTCTTTTCTTTTGAGACGGAGTTTTGCTCTTGTTGCCCTCACTGGAGTGCAATGGCGCAGTCTTGGCTCACCGCAACCTCTGCCTCCCGGGTTCAAGCGATTCTCCTGACTCAGCCTCCTGAGTAGCTGGGATTACAGGCATGTGCCATCACGCCTGGCTAATTTTGTATTTTTAGTAGAGACAGGGTTTCTCCATGTTAGTCAGGCTGGTCTCAAACTCCTGACCTCAGGTGATCCACCCACCTCGGCCTCCCAAAGTGTTGGGATTACAGGCGTGAGCCACTGCTCCCAGCCTAAAGATACAATTTCTATTCTCAAGGAGTTCAGTGTGGCCAGGGAGTTAGAAAGTTTTTTTGTTTTGTTTTGTTTTTTTTGAGATAGAGTCTCCCTCTGTTGCCCAGGCTGGAGTGCAGTGGCATGATCTTGGCTCACTGAAACCTCCGCCTCCCAGGTTCAAGTGATTCTTCTGCCTCAGCCTCCCAAGTAGCTGGGACTACACGTGAATGCCACCACGCCTAGCTAATATTTGCATTTTTAGTAGAGACAGGGTTTCACCATGTTGGCCAGGCTGGTCTCGAACTCCTGACCTCGTGATCCGCCCGCCTTGGCCTCCCAAAGTGTTGGGATTACAGGCGTGAGCCACTGTGCCCGGCCAGAAAGTGTTGTAACTCCATGTAATTAAGCATCATAATTGCTGTGAAATTAGCCTTCAGAAAACTAATGATCAAGAAGAGAGAAAATTCAGTAGAATTTTAATTCCACCAGAATTAGAAAATTATGTTTGTAACAGAGAGTTCTCAAGCTCGTTTGGGTTTGTAACTCAGACCTTTGCAGCAGTTGGTTTGTTTGTTCAACAAGTATGTGTCTGTGTCAGGCCCTATTCTGGGTACTGGTGATGCAGCCGTGAATGAAACAGACAAAGCCCCTGTCCTCCCAGAGCTCACCTGCCAGCAAGAGCCAGGGACAGGCAGCAAGTCAATCCGTGGTGTATCACAAGAGGATGTATGATTGAGAACAATGAAAGGGCAGGGGACAGTGAAAAGGCAGTGTGCGGGACTCTGTTGTAGGTGAGGGATCTTCCTGGGGAAGGAGGTTCAAAAGTGACGTGTGGCTGGAAATCAACTCAGACTTCTTGGGATGTTGGTGTGCTCCACCCACCCTACCATACAGGCCCTATGCATGCCCAGAAATCCCTTCTGAGCTGCAAAGACACTGACTATAAGTAGGAATGAGTTGAATGAAGTGTTGCTAAGTTTTTAAAGGGCTTTTCTTTAAAACATTTGTGTGAAAATATTTTTCCCAAGTTACTCCTCTCAATTAAAAAAAGTTTGAACACCTCATTTCCACTATTTGTATGAATTAATTAATTAACTTACTACATGTGCTACCATACTAATATTTTATGCTCATTATAAGACTAACACAAGAATAAAAAGTATGGAGTTAACATAAATATAAAAATAAGGCTGGGCATGGTGGTTCACGCCTGTAATCCCAGTACTTGGGAGGCTGAGGCGGGCGGATCACCTGAGGTCAGGAGTTTGAGACCAGCCTGGCCAAAATGGTGAAACCACATCTCTGCTAACAATACCAAAAAATAAATAAATAATAGCTGGGTGTAGTGGCAGGCACCTGTAATCCCAGCTACTTGGGTGGCTGAGGCAGGAGAATTGCTTGAACCCAGGAGGCGGAGGTTTCAGTGAGCTGAGACCGCACCATTGCACTCCAGCCTGGGCAACAAGAAAGAAACTCCGACTCAAAAATAAAAAAAAAATAAGACCCAAGATTTTCATCCTGTACCCTCAATATATCAGTTTGTGCTTCCCCCTCTTGGGGACCCCTGTTCTAAGGTAGAAAAGTACTAAATACTATTTTATTTTTGGATAAGAAGAAACTTGCCTAGAGGTCACTAGACAGACACCTCTCAGGACTTTTTTACGATTTGGAAAAGAATAAGGGAGATTGAGGTACAGGAGGAGAGAGAAAGGCAGAAAGGAAGAAAAGAAAAGGGGGATAATGAAGAAAAGAAATAAAAGAAATAAGCTTTCTTTTTTTAAAAAAGAAAGCAAGATAAAAGAGAAGGAGAGAAGGAAAGAAAAAGAAAGAAATGAAGAAAGAAAAGAAAAGAAGGAAGGTAAGAAAGGGAGAGAGAGAGAAAGGGAGAGAGAAAGGAAGAAAGGGAGGGAGAGAGAGAGAGAAGGAGAGAGGGAGAGAGGGAAGGAGAGGGAGAGAGAAAGGCAAAAAGTAAGGAAAAAATACCCCCAAGACGCCACTGGACAGAGGCAGTGCCTGTGCTGTCTGCCCGGCCTTTGCTCAGACCTCTCAGTGTTGTAAGAATGTTCCGTCACAGTCCATAGGCTGGACCTTGGCCTCTTTCCACACATTCAGAACCACCAGCTAATGCAATGGAGATTGCTTTCTGGTCCAGCTCTCTTACCCGATGGCCAGTTCCCCTTCGTGGCCCTCACTTGGCAGTGGTGTCAGGAGTGATGTGGAGGCTGACCTTTTCCCATCACTGTCCTGCACAACTCATTAACTTCTCCTTGCAGCTGGAGATGACCATTATGGAGTAGAAGAGCTGACAGGTTTTTCAGAGAGCAGAGGAATGCACAGTTTCCCAGAAGTTCCTGATCCAGGAGTTCTCGCCTGTAGAGCATGGGAGATAATCTGGTTTATGGGGCCATCAGAAGAAAGTCATGTTCCAAGCTCTTAAAGAACCCTGAGCTCTTTTTCTTTTTAGACTCTTGCATTAAAAACAAAGGAATGAGACAAGGCACTTCAGTGTAGAATGGATCAAGGAATACAAAATAAAATAATGAAAAAATGCTATGCAAATAATACAAACATAAAAACACAAGCAATGTTTCTTGAATGAAATTTTTTACTTTCAAATTTGATCTAGCCCTGCACCAGGAGGCATGCAATTTGTTGAAGGAATAAATGGTGAATTTTCACGATAATTCTGTGACAATGCAAGGTGGACAGGATCTTCATGGAACCAAGGAGACTGAGGCCCCAGAACTTAAGGGCCCAAGGTCATACAGTGAGTGAACAGGTGTCAAGACCGGTCCTCCATTGTCACCAGGGCACTGCCTCCATGCAGGCCTTTGGTTTCCTTTGGGAAGATTTATCACTTGCCTAGCTACTCTGGTGAAGTCATTGCTTTAGGGCAATGGGACTGAGTTTAAACATATTGAGCACCTAAAGAAGACAGGCATGTATCGGGCATGGGGTGGTGGGGTGGGGTATAAAGCCGTGAAGCTGGCCCCTGCCCCCAGGAAGCTCACAGCCCATGACAACTGCAGTGACCCTTATGCCTGTCATTTTCATTACTGTCTTCCCTGTCTTGTTATTGAATATTATTGTAATCTATGTGAGCATTCACCTTTTAAAAAGGCTTTTAGTTTTTGAATTACAAAACTGATAAATATCACCATATAATCTAGCAATTCTATTTCTGGGTATATGCCCCAAAGAATTGAAAGCAGGGTCTTGAAGAGATATTTATACACCCATGTTCATAGCAGAATTATTCACACTAGCCAAAAGGTGGAAGAAACTCAAATGTCTTTTCTTTTTTTTTTTTTTTGAGACGGAGTTTCACTCTTGTCACCCAGGCTGAGGTGCAATGGCGCAATCTTGGCTCACTGCAGCCTCCGCGTCCCAGGTTCAAGCGATTCTCCTGCCTCAGCCTCCTGAGTAGCTGGGATTACAGGCGCCCACCACCACACCCGGCTAATTTTTGTACTTTTAGTAGAGACAAGGTTTCACCATGTTGTGCAGGCGGTCTTGAACTCCTGACCTCAAGTGATCCGCCCACCTCCGCCTCCCAAAGTGCTGGGATTACAGGCATGAGCCACTGCGCCCAGCTTCAACTGTCTATTAAGAGATTTTATATATATATAGGTATTTGTTTATTCATTCATCTCTCAATAGACACAATAATTTTCCATTATATGTATACATATATAGCATGTATACAACATATATACATACATATATACATTTTATATATACATGTATATACGTATACCTACAATGGAAAATTATTAAGCCTTAAGTAGGAAGGAAATTCTGGCCAGGCGTGGTGGCTTACGCCTCCATCTCAGAAAAAAAAAAAAAAAAGAAGGAAGGAAATTCTGACACATATCTCAACAGGGATGAACCTTGAGAACGTTACGCTACTGAAATAAGCCAGACACGCAAAGACAAAAACTGTATGATTCCACTTATATGAGATATCTAGAGTAGCCAAATTAATAGAGACTGAAAGTAGAATGGTGGTTTTCAGGGGCTGGGAGGTGAGGGATGGGGAGTTATTGTTTAACGGGTACAGAGTTTCAGTTTTGCAAGATGAAGGTTATGGAGCCGGATGGTGCTGATAATTGCCCAATAATAACAATGTGCTTAAAATACTATTGAACTGTACACTTAAAATGGTCAAGACAGTAGATGTTATGCTATGTGTATTTATCATAATTTAAAAAGATCAAATAGACATTATGATAAATTCCAATAATCAAAACTTACTAAAGCAAAAAGAGAAAGTCTGCTTTCTCACCTGTTTGTCACCTCTCCTCCTTGAGATTTATTCTCAATCTCCTCTCTTTATCTAGGCAATTGCTATTCAGTTTATTTGTTTCCTTTGTACTGTTTTGCCTGCTTGCACAGATATACACACACACGTGCATGCACACATGCATATATGCTATTAAAAGCCAAAACGGGGCCGGGTGTGGTGGCTCATGCCTGTAATCCCAGCACTTTGGGAGGCCGAGGCGGGCAGATCACAAGGTCAGGAGATTGAGACCATCCTGGCTAACATGGTGAAACCCCGTCTCTACTAAAAAAATACAAAAAAATTAGCTGGGTATGGTGGTGCGCACCTGTAGTCCCAGCTACTCGGGAGGCTGAGGCGGGAGAATAGTGTGAACCCAGGAGGTGGAGCTTGCAGTGAGCCAAGATCGCGCCATTGCACCCCAGCCTGGGCAACAGAGTGAGACTCCGTCTCAAACAAAACAAAACAAAACAAAAAAAAAAAACACCAAAACAGATCATTGATTCCTTCTTCTCCCTTTCCCCCTTGTACACTCCTCAAAGGGAGCCAAAAGGAGAACTTAAGAATGTGGGTGGTGGGAACAGAAGGCTGACTGGAATTTCCATTCCTCCCCTTACTCACTATGACCATTCACTAGTGATTTAATTTCTCTAAAGCTCAGTTTCCTCATCTGAAAGGTGGGATAATATTATTGCTGAGACTTAATGAAGAAAACAATGGAACACGCTGGCACATAGGAAACATACAGTCAGGGCTGACTGGTTATGTGCTTCTGGAAGTTTCTTCCATAACGTGGGCTCTGTGTGCAGTCAGGGCTCAAGGAAGTCTGTAGCAAGAAGAGGAGAGCGAAAGGGAGAACCTCTTAGCAGGCGCTATGTTCATGCCTAGGATGCAGGTATCATCTTCCCCGAAGGGTCTAGTTAAGAAGAGTTATTGGCCAGGTGAGGTGGCTCACGCCTATAATCCTAGCACTTTGGGAGGCCGAGGCAGGTGGATCACTTGAGCCGAGGAGTTCAAGATCAGCCTAGGCAACAAGTGAGAACCCCTTCTCTACAAAAAATAAAAAAAAAATTAGCCTGGTGTGGTGGTGCACACCTATAGTCCCAGCTACTCAGGAGGCTATAAGCAGGAGGATCGCTTGAGCCTGGGAGGTTGAGGCTGCAGTGAGCTGAGATCGTACCACTTCACTCCAGCCTGGGCAACAGAGTGAGACTGAAAAAAGCAGGAGCAGCAGCGGCGGCAGCGGCAGCAGCAGCTGCAGCAACAGCATTATTCTGTTCTTTCCAGTGATGAGAAGCAGCTGTTACACGGTGGATATCCTTTTCAAAATAGTAGATCCTGGAAGTGAAAACTCATAATATAAACTTCTAGGTACAGGTGACAGAACAGAATCCAGAAAGCATTTAGGACCCGGGATACATGGATAAGTGATTATAGGAAGGTCTTGGGGTCATGGAATATGTGCAGCACATGGGGTCCAGAGGTCTGAGTTCAAGTTCTACCTTAAGGATATATATATATAACCTTGAGTCACACACACTATACACTCTTTTTTTTTTTTTTTTTTTTTTTTTTTTGAGACAGAGTCTTACTCTCTCACCCAGGCTGGAGTGCAGTAGTACAATCTTGGCTCACTGCAACCTCCCCCTCCTGGGCTGAAGCAATCCTCTCACCTCAGCCCCCAAGTAGCTGGGACTACAGGCATGAGCCACCATGCCTGGCTAATTTTTGTACTTTTTGTACAGGCAGGGTTTCACCATATTGCCCACACTGGTCTCAAACTCTTGAGGTCAAGCAATCCACTTGCTTCAGCCTCCAAAAGTGTTGGAATTACAGGCATCAGCCACCATGCCCAGCCTCAGTTTCCTTCCCCAGAAAATTGTATATCTTGTAGGGTTATTGTGAAGATTAAAGTGGAATGTGCATGCAAAAGTACTTTGCAAACCACAAAGCTCTAGGTTGGAGTAAATAACTGAACTTTTAAAAAAAATTTACTTTAAGTTCTGGGATACAACGTGCAGAACGTGCAGGTTTGTTACATAGGTATACATGTGCCATGGTGGTTTGCTGCACCTATCAACTCGCCCTCTAGGTTTTAAGCTCTGCATGCATTAGGTATTTGTCCTAATTCTCTCCCTCCCCTTGCCCCCTACCCACCGACAGGCCCTGGTGTGTGATGTTCCCCTCCCTATGAATGACTGAACTTTATATCAATGCGTTTGTGTCAATGTTCTGCTATAAAGCACTGCAATCCTTTTTAACTTTTAAAAATGGAAATAACTTTTTTTTTTAGTTCTTGGTAATATACAATCATTGTAAAAAATTAAAGCAAAATGAGAAAGTGCAAGTTTCTTTAATCTCAACTGTTGCTGACACTTTCTAATTCTTATTTATTTAATGATATCTCAATATATTAACTGAAAAAAGTTTCAAACATTTTTGTAGTATGGTCCTATTTACGGCTTAGGAATTACTGCCAATCAAATATTAGTGACAAGAATAAACATGCAATACGCTACGTTAAGATTATATGATCTCTTAGAGACTTTTATAATTCTCAAATTCTATCAATTATTGCTGAAGATCCTTTATGTATTTAAACTAGAATAGAGTACTAGTTAGAATTTAGGTTCTACATTGGTAAAAATGGAGATAATACAAGTGCAAATTCATAGTTTGAATGAAGATTAAATTAGATAATGCACAGTATTTTCATAAAGCAACAGAAAAGTTAGTTGCTATGATTATCAATAATACATTTAGGTTATTTTGTTACTTGCTTTTGCTAAAGGACTTGCTTATTGATGACCACAGGGTAGTTTATCTGATTAACCTGTGATTACTGGGGATAAATAAAGTAGAAGGCTTTAGGAAATAAGATTGTTAATTTACAAGGTTGGGAGGTAGTGCAGAAGTAATTATGAAGACTGTGGAGGTTGGAAGCAGTGGGTGGGGACAAGTAGGTAGTCCGGCTAGGTGATGGCCTGGGACTTTCTGATCTGTGGTGTCTGGCTGTCGCTTCTTTGGTCATAAACTCTTAACTACTGTTCCTGAGATTTCATGTGCATTTCCCTATACAAATCTTTAGTGCTACTGCCAGACTGTTAATATGTGAGGAGATAGTGCTTGCTTTTTTTCTCTGACAATGACAAGAAACTTATTATATGAACCACGTCAAAATTCCATAGTAATTTTTTTCTCCATTTGATCTAACTCCAAAGTCTTTTCCCTACCTCTTATTAAAATTTAAATGTTATACGTGCAACACTTGGAACAGAACAAGAGGCACAGGATCTTTTAAAGTTTAAAGGTTACTTTTAAAAAATCACATTTGCTAAGGGAATTTCTTCTGTATCTTTGAAAAGCTGTTAAAATACACACACACACACACACACACACACACACACACACACACCTCTCCCAGCTGTCAATGAATGGTATAAATAACAATTGTGACTTTAACCACAACAAAAATGTGTTACTTCTTAGGTCGTCTTTGAGGTTTTCCTTTTAGGAACTGTTTCTAGGAGCCAAGTTTTGGTTTTGTTTTGTTTTTTTTTTTCTGCGATCACGGCTGACTGACTGAGGACTTCAGGCTGTTTACGCGGGAGAGCTTTAGATATGTTTATTTGTATGGCATTGTATCAAGGCCTTCAAATATTTGCTGGGAGGTTTGGTGGAAAATGTCTAGACCAGTGCAAACACTGCAGGCCCCAGAGAAATCCAAGAAGCTCAAGGAACCATTCAAGAACCCGTGCTTTATCCTATTGTCATTACAAGGAATTACAAGGAAATCTTCTGAATCTTTGTCAGACTGGATGAGCCCATCAAAGAGGGTCCAAGTCAATAAAGGATCTTGATTTCACCACGCCTGGTTTCGTTCATTCCACAGCGATGAGAAGTAGAGTGGAAAGCCATCGATCTAAGAGGCAGGCGAGCTTCATACCAGCCCTACATCAGCTACTCACTTGCTGGATCACTCTGCCAAGTCACTGGCCCTCTCGGGGCTCTGGTTTTCTCAGGTTTAAATGAAAGTGGTTAAGTAAAAGAATGTCTAAGCTCCCTTTCTTTGATCCTATCTACCTATTAAATAACTTTTAAGTGTAGTCATTGAACCAGGTCTGCAGTAAAAGATACAAAGAAAAAAATATAAAATGAGATCCCTTGTCTCAAGAAAGTTTGATTGGATATTTAAGCCTCTTTTATTATTTCTCAGCTCCTAGGAGTTTCTTGGAAGCTCATAATCTCACAGAGTATATGTGGCCACAGGCAAATACATAATAAATCATTTATCGATGTTACATCACGAGATAAAATAATATCATCTATGTTGCCGGGCTTTGGGGCCACCCAGGTGGCCAACACACAAATAGATACACCTATAATAACTGTTATTTTATGTGTAATAACAGCTATATCGGGCTCCTACTATGTACCTAGCTCTCTGCTAGATGTTAAAAGCCTTATCTCTGAAACCCTCATGACAATCTTGTAAGGTAGGCAGTGCTATCTCCGTTTTACACATGAGGAAACCAAGACTTTGAGAGATTAAAAAACCTGCCCAACATTGGCCGGGCATGGTGGTTCATGCTTGTAATCCCAGCACTTTGGGAGGCTGAAGCAGGAGGATCACCCGAGGTCAGAAGTTTGAGACCAGCCTGGGCAACATGGCAAAACCCCGTCTCTACTAAAAAAAAGAACCAACAACAACAAAAATTAGATGGGCACAGTGGCATACGCCTGTAATCCCAGCTACTCAGGAGGCTGAGGCAGGAGAATCGCGTGAACCCAGGAGGCAGAGGTTGCAGTGCGCTGAGATCACGCCACTGCACTCTAGCCTGGGTGACAGAGTGAGACTCCGTCTCCAAAAAAAAGAAACTTGTCTAACATCATGTAGCTAAGAAGGGGCTGCAGCTCTTTCGATTCCAAAGTCTAATCTCCTTTCACTGTACCTCTGCCTCTGGGTTTAATGTTTTGCATTTTTTTGGTTTGTTTTTTGCTTTGAGATGGATTCTCACTCTGTCCCCCAGGCTGGAGTGAGGTGGCGCAATCTTGGCTCACTGCAAGCTCCGCCTCCCTGGTTCAAGCCATTCTCCTGCCTCAGCCTCCTG
Organism: Homo sapiens; assembly: GCF_000001405.40. Taxonomy (NCBI): domain Eukaryota; kingdom Metazoa; phylum Chordata; class Mammalia; order Primates; family Hominidae; genus Homo; species Homo sapiens. Next base: position 37,766,690 of record NC_000017.11, read on the forward strand.
AGTAGCTGGGACTACAGGCGCCTGCCACCACGCATGGCTAGTTTTTTGTATTTTTAGTAGAGACGGGGTTTCACCATGTTAGCCAGGATGGTCTCGATCTCCTGACCTCATGATCTGCCCACCTCGGCCTCCTAAAGTGCTGGGATTACAGGCATGAGCCACTGTACTCGGCCATGTTTTGCATTTTAAGAAGCTATATATATATTCTCTCTCTCTCTCTCTCTCTCTCTCTCACACACACACACACACACACACACACACACACACACACACACACACTCCGGGATTTTGAAGATAAGTAGACTGAAGCACAGGTTGCTTAAATGATGTGTCCCAAATCCCTTCACTAGAGACTGGCAGACGAGGGACCTGAATGAAGCCAGGTGCTCTGACTCAAGAAAATGTTCTCTTACCCTGCAGCACCGCTTGTGCAGCGTGCCCCAGCTGACACGGTTTTGTAAGATTCCTTGAACTCTCCTAGGTGGGGCAGGCATGCCACACGTCCCCTCCCTGCATTGTTCATATGCTGCTTCCTATTTTCTTGCTCAACTCTCTTGCAATCTCTCTCAGTTCTATACATGGGAATTTCATCTTTCTAGCTGCTCAGGCCCCAAAACAAGAACCAATGACTTGTCCTTTTCTCTTACACCTGTATCTACTCCTTCAGCAAATCTGCCAAACTTCCTTCAACATAAACCCAGGATCTGACCACTTCTTGGCTCCTCCACCATTCTCCTTTCAGTCACACCAGGCATCTTTCCTGTCATCTTATTTGGTCCCTCTGCATCTTCCCTTGCTCCCTACAATCTCTTCTCCACACAGTAGCCGGAGGAATCCTGTTAAGTCAGAAGCCACATCATGTCTTTCTCTGTTGATAAACGCTCGAATGGCTTCCGGTCTCACTGGGAGCAAAAGCCCTATGAGACGGACTTGACTCCCCCCATGGGGCCTCCTGGCTCTTTCTGGAACACATCAGGACACATTTCTGCCCCAGGGCCTTTGCACTTGCAGTTTTCCTGCCCTGGGACCCTCTTCCCCAGATGGCTGCAGAGCCCACTCCTCAGCTCCCACAAATGTGTGCTAATTTGCCATCTCCTTGGGGAGGCTTCCCTTGCCCACCTTTATTAAAACTGCAGCTCATCTCCTACCCAATGTTCTCCAGCCCCACGCTCTGCCTCCTTTCTCCTTCTAAGCACTTATCACCGTCTGGCAAACGATGCATTGAACAAGTTCGTTTTATTTGTCATGTAACTCCCCAACTAGAATGTAAGCCCCACAAAGGCAGGGTTTCTCTTTTGGGAGGGGAGGTTCTGGTTTGTTCACTAATATAACCCTAGTGTCTACAACAATGCCTGGCACTTTGTAGCTCTCAATACATGGTTTTTTTGTTTGTTTGTTTTGAGACAGAGTCTCGCTCTGTTACCCAGGCTGAAGTGCAGTGGCACCATCTCACCTCACTGGAACCCCTGCCTTCTAGGTTCAAGTGATTCTCCTGCCTCAGCCTCCCAGGTAGCTACAGGCATGCGCCACCATGCCTGGCTAATTTTTTGGTATTTTAGTAGAGAGAGTTTTGCCATGTTGGCCAGGCTGGTCTTGAACTCCTGACCTCAGGTGATTCGCCCACCTCGGCCTCCCAAAGTGCTGGGATTACAGGCATGAGCCACCGTGCCCGGACCCAATACCTGTTTTTTGAGTGGATGAATGAAGGACATTCATTCCCTGTCCCCTGACAGGTCTTAGGGCCTCATCTCTTCCTGATCTGCAGACCGGATCATTTTTATCTCAGTCACATGTTCAGTCTTCTGAGATGTGGTATGGCCACTCATTTATCACTGACTCTCACTTAAGCCCAGTTCCTACCTAAGATGCTCTCCACAGAGGCTTGGGTGAGGCTGCAGTCATGCCAGCTTCTGCTCTCATCCCACATTCTTTGAGTTTAATGAGGGAGCCTCCCTCAGGCACCATCCTGGACCTTTTCATAAGACCCTGCCTTCACAGACAACATTCTCGGTTTCAGGAGCCATAGAGCTGTTGAAGGTCAACCATTCAACTTACTGAGTATTAATTATTCAAATGTGTCTGGTTGTACAGGAGGCCTTCAGCCAGCAATGAAATGGAGGGTGAACCAGGATGAGGGAGAAAGTTCATATTAATGGCACCTCTTTCCCCATCTCAAAGGGGTAACTGCCCTTGAAAGAGCCCCTGTAGTTCGGGGTTGAAGAGAGTGCAGGAGCACAGGAGGAGAGAAGGCTATTCAATTTGTAATTTGCAAAAAAAGAAGCCATTTATCAAAGTTTGTGCTTGAGATATTTAATAATAGAACTGCCCTTCAAGGTTTCCTTAAGGGTAATATTGCTGATTAAAAAGGAAACATGCTCTCTCATTTTGCAATTGAAGAAACAGCCACATAGAGTCGGGTGGTGATTCTCAAAGGACAACAGCAACCCAATCAATTCTACCCCTTGTATCAAGGGACAGTCATGTTCACCTCCATCCATGAGAATTATGTCCCACGCCATCTTTGCAGGAGTATGTCATCACGAAAGTTACCTGCCATCGAGACAAAGAAAAAGAAGTGAAACTCACCCACCACTCAAACCCCAAACAGTGTTGGGTCAGGGGTGAGAGCAGGGCAGGCAGAACTGGGCAGAACGTTAGCATTGGTGTCCCGGCTGGGATGGCCTTTAAAGGTCAGCCAGGGCAAACTTGGAGGTCACCTGCACTTGGGGAAGCTGAGGTGCAGAGAGGATGAGTGACTCCGGGGCCCTGGCCACACAGGGGGTTAGTGACTAAAAAGCAGCCAGAATTCTGTCACCGTGAGTCTCCACATAGAGCTATGTCCAGGGTCCTTAAATGACCTTGGCAACCCACTGCTTTTGTACCCTTATGTTCCACAGGAGGAAACAGACCCATAAGGCAGAAGAGCAACGAGGCCAAGGAGACCAGAGAAGATATTTAATGTGGACCTTTACCCCATTGGCTTCCCTTGAGTTTATTTAAGCAGGACTTTCGGTTCTTTCTCTCTTCCTTTCCTTCAGTGTCACAGCAACTTTATATCGATTTTGTCTAGTCCCTCAGGAAATGGTCTTGTGAACTTGAAAAACAAAGGCCTAAATTCACGGAACCAAGTTAGTTTCTAGCACTGTCTCTTCTGTTCCATGCCAGTGTTTCTGCCCAGAAAAATGGGGTCAGTTTGGTCAGAGTGGAGGGAAGAGGAGAGATTCAGTGGACTCCCCCAGAGTCATAGCTTAGCAATGAGAAGACAGGGATGCATAGGATAATCTCCCCAAATTAGACTATCCCACTGTTCTCAGCATACAGCGGGTGCTTTAGCAAATAATGATTGCATTGCTTTGTTAGGTGCCATGCCGGAAAATTTACAGGCTACCAATTTTACAACAGACCAATGGACAAGTATATTGATCACCCAACTACTCTATGTCCAGAGTTATAATTGGAATTGTCCAAAAGTCAAGAGACATATAGCTTTACCCTGGGGGGCCTTGAAATCTCATTGGGAAGCCAGTTCTATTACACATAACACACCTTGAGCAAAATACAGGACAGCTCCTGTATAAGACCGTGTAACATTGATGGGATTGTAGAGAGAGGATTTAAAAGCAATCTCTCTCCATCATCACGCCCATGTAACAATAATGATAGTAATAATCATAGCTGCCCTTTTTTGAGCAGTTAACTGTAGTTACTACCAGGCACATGCTAAGCTCTTTAAAGATATCATCTCATTTACTCTGGACAACAAACCTACCAGTACTAATATTATCTCCTTGTCAAAGGTCATGTAGCTAAAAGTGTAGAGCCAGAATTGGAATCTGGGCCCCTTTTATAAACCCTAACCCTAAAGCCATGTTTTTAGCATTGACACCCACAGCCCACCCTCAGCCACTCTAGTCCTCTGTGTGTAGGTAGCTCCTTGAAAGATGACTGTACCTTTTAAACTTTCTCTCTGCGTCCTCTGGCCACCATGTTCTGGTCCAGATCAGTGGTCCTCAAACTCTCGGACACCCACCACATAATAGAGGGTCCTGATGAGTGAGAAAGAAAGGGGAACTGCTCGTCATCTGTGTCCCATTTGCGTCCACCCACCCCTGGAAGTGAGGGCCACACACACACCCTGTCCCAATGTTGTCACTCAGGTGGAAACAAGTTGAGAACCACAGTTTTGGGGTCACCCCTGTTGCTCTCGTCCCATTTTGCACTTTCCCTTCCTGCTTTCCTGTGGCTGACCCTGCTCTGCTGATGTCTGTCTTAAACCCCAAGGATCAAACTGTTTCTGAAGCTCAGCCAACCAACTCTCCTTCATCTCCCGGGAGTCTCCTAGGGTCCTCAGGGTGCTCCCAGCTCCTGAGCCAGTTATTTTTCCCTAGGCGTGTTCCGATGTCATGAATGCCAAATCATTGCCCCCGCCTTGTGGCTGTGCCTGGGAATTACAGCTCTCCTGCTCGTAAGGACAACTGGGTGCCCAGAATACAGGTTTACGTTGCATCCCTCTCCCACTGCTATACTCACCCCGTCTCCCAGAGTGGAAGTACCTTAAGTTAACAAGCCCACTTGACATCCTCAAATTCCACCATGCCTTCAGGACACGTCAACATTAAAATCACCCCGGTACTGCCACTACTTACTACCACCACTCAATTCCTGCCACCACGACTAATACCCTACTCTGCAACCACTACCATTACTACTGCTACCACCACTTCTATCACGGTTAATATCACTACTACAACAACCATTACAACCTCTATTAATACTACCATTACTACCACTACATGACTAGTGCTATGGTCACGCCTACCACCATTAATACCACTACTATTGCCACTACCACCACCACCACTAGTGTTACTATCACTACAACCACCACTAATGCCACTACTATTACCATGATTACCACTATTAATACTGCTACTACTACTACCACTACCACTATTAATACCACCACCACCAATATACCACTATTTTTTTTTTTTTAAGAGTTGGTGTCTCGCTGTGTTGCCCGGGCTGGAATGCAGTGGTGCAATAATAGCTCACTGCAGCCTTGAACTCCTGGGCTCAAGTAATCCTCCTGTCTCAGCCCCCAAATAGCTGGGACTACAGGTGCATGCCAGCACACTTGACCAATTTTTAAAAATTTTTTCCAGAAATGGGGTCTTGAACTCCTGCCCTCAAGCAATCCTCCTGCCTTGGCCTTCCAAAGTGCTGGGATTACAGGTGTGAACCACAGCACTTGGCCACTATGATTACTATTAATTACACTCCTGCCATTATGAATCCCACCCCTACCACTGCCACTCCTACCACTGTTCATACCATTCCTAGTACCACTACCACCACCACTACTACTATTGCTATTGTTGCTGCTGTTACTGCTGCTACTGAAGACTTACTGTGCGCTTGGCTCATGATCTTTTTCTTATATTATCTCATGTAATTCTTACAGCAACTCTTGAAGTAGGAAATATAATTATCCTCATTTTACAGATAAGATAATCAGGACTTGGGGGCTGGGCATGGTGGCTCACACCTGTAATCCCAGCACTTTGGGAGGCCGAGGCGGGCGGATCACGAGGTCAGGAGATCGAGACCATCCTGGCTAGTGCAGTGAAACTCCGTCTCTACTAAAAATACAAAAAAATTAGCTGGGCGTGGTGGTGGGTGCCTGTAGTCCCAGCTAACTCAGGAGGCTGAGGCAGGAGAATGGAGTGAGCCTGGGAGGCGGAGTTTGTAGTGAGCCGAGATCGTGCCACTCCAGCCTGGGTGACAGAGCGAGACACCGTCTCAAAAAAAAAAAGATAATCATGACTTGGGAGTCCTTTGAATTGTCATAGCTCCCTCTGCTAGTAAGAGGCAAATCAGGATATGAACCCAAATTGTCTGGCATCAGAGCCCATGCACTTAACCCCCAGCGTGAGGAAGCGACACTGGCTTTGGAGTCAGAGAGACCCAGGTTAGACTCCTCACCTTGCTGGGTAACCAGGCGAGTGAGTCTTCTTTGTAAGATGGGGTTTCCCCTTGCAAGGCTAGGGTTCTTTTGAGAATTAAATGAGATGATATATATCGGGATGTCCAATCTTTTGACTTGCCTGGGCCACATTGGAATAAAAATTGTTTTGGGCCACATATAAAATACACTAACACTAACGATAGCTGATGAGCTAAAAAAAATAATGTTTTAAGAAAATTTACAAATTTGTGCTGGTCTGCATTCAAAGCTGTCCCAGGCCACATGTGGCCCATGGGCCATGGGTTGGACAGGCTTGATACATATGAAACATGTAGCAGAAAGGCTGCACGTAATCCGCCCTGCCTCCCAGGGAGCCTGGCTGACCTGTCTTGTGAGTCTCTGCTCACAGCCAACAATAGGTCCTCTGCAAGAACCTACTGTTGGATAACTCACTCTCCACTCAGGCCATACATACAACTTGTTAATGATTCATTCCTTCCTTCATTCACCCACATATCACACATTTATTGAACACCTCCTATATGGTAGGCATGGTGCTTGGACCTGGGGATGTGGTCACTGCCCTTGTGTCATACACCCTACTAGAATTTTCTGTGTGCCAACTACAGGACATGCAAAGAGCAGTGTGGAACAGTTGAGGCACAGAGCATCTGGTGAGCTTGGAAAGGGGGATAAAACAAGAAAATCAATGACTAGGCACAATGAAGATGAAGATAAACATCTTAGGAGATTGGGGAATGGATAGTCTTATCAAAAGATAGAGACATCCCACTGGTGGAAGAATTGGGCAAATTCTGGTGGCATCAGTTGGAAGGAGCGGAAGGAAATGGCAAAGGTAGCAGCTGGAGAAACATCCTGGGTAATTAGTTTTTTTCACTGAGGGGCCACTGAACCTCTTGCTCATCCTTCACTATTTAGAGAGCACTTCTAATAACCAATGATTGTCTCACAGCAGCTTCACTGGCGTGGGGAGAGCTGGACCTTAGCGGCTCCTCCACAATCAATGGATAACCACATGGAAACACTCCTACTCTAACCAGGCTCTGTGCTGGACTCCAGTCCTCATCACTGAGAGGCGGGCTTCCATGCTGCAGATGAGAAAATGAAGACTCAGAGACGTTCGGTGACTTACTAAAGTTACTGAATGCAGAAGTCAGGATGCAAACCTGGATTCATCTAGTGCCAAAGGCCACATTCTTTCCATCATGGAACACTTTTCTTTTACTGAGAAGGCAGGAAGCCTGGTGAACTCTCACTCAGTTCTGATCATGCAGGCAGAGGGCCATGTTCTCCATATAAAGGGGACAGTGCCTAGAGCCACACAGGGTGTTGAGAGGCTGAAACAGACTTTGGGTGGTGTGGTGTTGTGAGAGGCTGCAGAGTGCAGCAACTGGTGTCAGGCAGACCTGGACTTGAATCTCAGCTGGGCAAGTTTTTTTGTTTTAACCCCATTCAAAAATGCCAGTCCAACTATTTCCCTCTGTAATCATGTTTTAGCTGCTATACACATTTTAATGAAAATTATAATCGTACTGTAGGTTTAAGCCTTGATTTTCTCACCTGCAAGCTGATAATGTCTATTATAGGATTGTACATGGGGATGAAAACAGTTAACACAGGAGGAGCTCCACAAAGCACAGGCATACAGTAAGCACCCAATGCATATTTTTCACTAGGAGAAGGACCTAGAACAATGCTGAGGACATTGTTCTAAGACAATGCTGGGGTGCTCAGGATGTGGCTGCTAATGTTTCACTTTTTCTGGAGCCTGACAGAATCCTGGGCACTGTACCCCTAACTGATATAGTCAAGAGGGTGTTTCATGAACTTATGAATTTTTATAAGGTTCTACTTTTGCAATTTCATGTAATGCTCCAGTGCCGTTGGACACGTCAGCTCCTGACCTTTCAGTTGGTGAGGCACTTCCCATAAACAGAGCCATAAAAGCCCACTGGTTTTCTCCTTGGTGTGTGAGTTTGTTTGGTGCTCTCCCTTTCTCCTTCGCCATTTGAATAGTGATGTCATTATTCCAACGTCCTCTCACCTCTACTGAAAAAGGCCTACCAGTGACTCTCTCCTGGGTACTCAGCAACACTCTGGAGGGAAGTTGTGGTTTCAGCAAGGTGCAAGCATCATGAAACCGAGAGAGAACTGGCAGGGTGGAGAACTCACCCAAAGGTAGGAGAGAGAGAAAAACACTCACATGCTTTTATTAAGCTTCAGACAGTGGTCAAGTCAGTCTTTATTATTAATTTTTTTAAGACTTGCTGTTAAGACATTAGCATAACACCATTTAAGGAACTATAAATAGAATAAAGCACCACCCATTCCCCACGACCAAATGCTAGCCCAATTATTTCCATTTAAAAGTGATCACTTTTAAATGCTATACATATTTTAATAAAAATTATAATTATACTATAGGTTTAATTTAATTTAATCTCCTTCTCTTTCCCTGAATGTTATTTCAGGAAGGGTTTTTTTTTTGTTTTTTTTTTTTTTTTTTGAGATGGAGTCTTGCTCCATTGCCCAGGCTGGAGTGCAGTGGTACCATCTTGGCTCACTGCAACCTCTGCCTCCCTGGTTCAAGCGATTCTCCTGCCTCAGCCTCCCAAGTAGCTGGGATTACAGGTGTGTGCCACCATGCTCAGCTAAGTTTTGTATTTTTAGTAGAGACAGAGTTTCGTCATGTTGGCCAGGCTGGTCTCAAACTCCTGGCCTCAGGTGATCCGCCTGCCTTAGCCTCCCATAGTGCTGGGATTACAGGCCTGAGCCACCATGCCCGGCCCAGGAAGGCTTTTTCGACACTGCTGCTTCTTCTTCCTGCTTATCACGGAAGCTACTGCATCATGGCTTGTTCCTGGGACTCAGTGCTCCAGCATCTTGGTTGCAAGCAATCCCAGGGGTGAATGGAACAGGCAGAGGTATCAGAGTCACAAAGCCTTGGGTTCAAGCCTTGCTTCTGACACTTACTACTCAAATGACCTTGGCTCAGTTACTGCTTTGTGCTTTGAGCCTATTTTCTCATCTGTGAAGTGGGAGGTCACACAGACGTGGCAGGGTTACTGTGAGGTTTAGAAGTAAAGCATGTAAAGGCCTGGCAGAGAATTTCTTCAGCCAATGGTAGCTGTTCTTAGAGATGTGCTGTTGTTGACCTTATTGTTGGACAGTTCTCGATGACGCCATGATGGGTATCTTTTATAATGTCTGTTCTTTTTTTGACTTCTCTTCTGAGGAAAAGTTCCAGGAGTGGGATTTTTAGCCCAAGAGTATAGACATTTTTGTGGCTTTTGACATGTATTGCCAATTTGCCTTCTAGAAAGCTGATACGAATTCACATAATCATTGGCAATGTAATTAGTATTTGATCCAAAGCTAGTAGCAAAAGTAGGTGTGCAACTAGTGACGTTAGTAACTCAGGTCAGTAATAAGTAGGTTCTTTAGGAACCAAGAGGCTGCAGTTTGTGGAATTTTGATGTTGGAAGCCAGAAATTTGAAGACAGTAGGAAGTAATAGAAATTAGGCTGGGCATAGTTGCAGACCAGCAAAAGGCAGATATTTACCATCTGTGAGTTTGTTAACGCATATATTCCTTCAGGGCTCAAGTATTTGATATTAAAACAGGATTCTTCCTAAATTTATTTCTGGTTTAAAACCATATCAGTGCTATGATCTTTTCATTTATATTTTATGTTTTCTAACACATCTCTTGAGTGGGGTGGAGAGAGCACTGTGTTGAGAATTGTTTGATCTGGATTCGGGGACTGATTCTCTCATTACCTCACAGTGTAATTTGGGGGAAAATCGCTGCTTATTCCCCAAATTCCTATGCCTTCCACAGTGAGACTCACTGCTGTGGCGGCCATGTTCCTGGTGCCTGATGGTTTACAGCTTTTGAGCTTTCAAAAACCAGTCCTGAAGTTCTCTGTGACAATACGCCAAGGGGACTTAATAAAAAATTTCTGTATTTAATTAAATTAATTATTATTTTTTGATAAGGAGTCTTGCTCTATTGCTCAGGCTGGGGTGCAGTGGCACAATCTTGGCTCACTGCAACCTCTGCCTCCCTGGTTCAAGCGATTCTCCTGCCTCACCCTCCCGAGTGGCTGGGATTACTGGTACCTGCCACCATGCCCGGCTAATTTTTGTATTTTTTAGTAGAGACAGGGTTTCGCCATGTTGGTCAGGCTGGTCTCGAGCTCCTGACCTCAGGTGATCTGCCCACCTTGGCCTCCCAAAGTGCTGGGATTACAGGTGTGAGCCACCGTGCCCTGCCCATTGTTGTATTTTAAATGCATTAAAAATACCCTATGGATATTTGCAGGCCAGTCCTCTCTTCTCCTTGCTGGACCTTGGTTTCCCTGGAAACCAAAGGGTTGATTTAGGCAACTGTTGAGGTCCCTCCTTCTCTGAAAGTACCCCCACCCCATGCTAAGGTTGAGGGTTACTGTAGCTCTGCTGTGCCGGCCACTGCTCTGCTTCCACTGTGCATTTAGGGCCTGTGGATTTTGTAGAACTCCACTAAGTTTAGCTGCTTTCTCCTTGTCAATCTTCAAGAAAGTAAGGATTGGGCCCGGCGCGGTGGCTCACGCCTGTAATCCCAACACTTTGGGAGGCCGAGGTGGGTGGATCAGGAGGTCAGGAGATCAAGACCATCCTGGCTAATGCGGTGAAACCCCGTCTCTACTAAAAATACAAAAACAAAATTAGCCGGGTGTGGTGGCGGGTGCCTGTAGTCGCAGCTACTCGGGAGGCTGAGGAGGGAGAATGGCATGAACCCGGGAGGCGGAGCTTGCAGTGAGCCGAGATCGTGCCACTGCACTGCAGCCTGGGCGACAGAGGGAGACTCTGTCTCAAAAAAAAAAAAAAAAAAAAAAAAAATTGAATATACAGAATTGGAGAGCAACAGAATTTGAGTGGCCCCTTCAGAGAATGTCCTTCTTCATTTTTGCTCTCTTTCCTAGCCTATTTCAAAGAACTCTTTGGGGAGTTCGGGGTCAGTTTTGGTGTGCCCATGACACTGGGGAGCAGTGCAGACCCTGGGCACCACTCAGCTCTAAGCAGGCTCGGGGGATCCCATCTCAGTTTCTCTTGCAGGAAGTGACTATGGCCTGAGGGCCCTAGACACTTTACGGGCCACATTCATTGCCAGTGAAAGAAAAGTGCCCAGGGCAATATAATTAAATGTAGATGAGATTATTACTGGAATAGGGTTTTTTTTTTCTCTTTAAAAATAAAAACAGCAGGTTGGTGGCATCAGAGAAGTGTAGTGAAGGCGCTCTCTAGAACAACACAAGCTACAGGTATGAAAATTTATAGGCAGATGGCCAGCCCCTATCATTGCAATTTCTCCGTCTTTCAACGCCATACCAACAATTCAGGAATTCTCAACGTTTCTGGGATGGTTTCTCCAAGCAGGTGGGCTCAGAGGGACCAGATAGGCTGACATCTGTGCAATGTAATCTGATGAAATGACCTGATGTAGTTATGCTGCAGTGGCATTTGTGGGTACATAAGAAGATGGGGTTCCCCCTGCCCATAAGGAGGTGTGACTTAAGGAGGTGGCCTTGGCGTAGTTTTGCTTCAGAACTCAGGAAAAAAAATGTTGGCATTAGTCACTAAGGAGGGAAGTGGCTGGAATGCAAAGAAATATATCAGGGGGGTCCTTTTCTGTGGTTCACACAGGGAAATAATTTGTTCTTCCTTTTCCTGTGCACCTAGAATAATATGTATGAACAGGCAACCCTCCACCATAACTGTAGTGTATTTTCCTGTAGTCACTAAAGCTGAGCTTTGAGAGTCTGGGTGTTCCTTTCTAAAACTTTGTTGTTCTTTTTAAACTCACCATCTCCAACCCCCACATTGCCAATGTTCATAACACAGTGTCTGGTTGTATTGGACCCTTGCTGGTCAAACGTGGTCCATGGACCAGCAGCACTGGCATTATCTGGGAGCTTGTTAGAAATGCAGAACGGGCACATGCTGGGCACAGTGGCTCACGCCTGTAATCCCAGCAGTTTGAAAGGCTGAAGCAGGCTGATCACCTGAGGTCAGGAGTTCGAGACCAGGCTGGCCAACATGGCGAAACCTCATCTCTACTAAAAATATAAAAGTTAGCTGGGTGTGGTGGCGGATGCCTGTAATCCCAGCTACTCAGGAGGCTGAGGCAAGAGAATCACTTGAATCCAGGAGGCAGAGGTTGCAGTGAGCCGAGATCGTGCCACTGCACTCCAGACTGGGCAACAGAGAGAGACTCTGTCTCAAAAAAAAAAAAAAAAAAAAAAAACCCAGAACCCCAGGCACCCAAGATGTATATGTAGGGATGTGCTCGTACTTCAGCCTCTTGAGTAGCTGGGACAAGCGGCATGGGCCACCAAGCCTGGCTTATTTTTTTATCTTTTGTAGAGATGGGGTCTCCCTATGTTGCCCAGGCTGGTCTCAAAATCCTGGGCTCAAGCAATCCTCCCACCTCGGCCTCTCTAAGTGCTGGGATTATAGGCATGCACCACTATACCTGGACTATAAAAATTTGTTAAAAGAGTAATTTTGGTGGGTTTAAAAATAAGATGAAACTAAATTACTAGGACACAGTAGACATTTGACAAGGGCAAATTAAAGTGTCCTAAGGTTTTATATTTTGGGAAAAGTCATTAGAGATATTGATTAACTTTAGACTAATTAGGACAAGTATTTATATGAAAAATTTAAGGGTTCCCACTAAAAGAGTAGAAATGGAACGTAAAATTTTCAAACCAACGAAGAAGAATAATGTGATCAATTGGTAGAATGCAAAAAATAAAAATAAAAAGAGGAGAAAAGAAGTAAAGATAAAAAGAAAACACAAAATAAAATGGTAGAAGTAAATTCACAAATATCATTAACCATAATGATTCTAATTGGAGGAAACTTAAAATTTCTGAACACGCGCTTGATGCCAGGTACTATGCTGTGCCCAATACAAAAATAGATAAACAAAAGCTTCTGTCTTCAAAAGCTTATAGTCCAGTAGTGGGTGGGGCAGGGCTGAGAATGAGGCTAAGCAAAGCAATACCTCATTCTATTGTGCTTCTTGTATACTGAGTCATTTTTTTTTTAAACAAATGCACGGTTTTTGGCAACCCTGCATTGAGCAATGCTATTGGTGCCAATTTTCCAACAGCATATGCTCATTTTTTGTCTCAGGGTCACATTTTGGTAATGCTTGCAATATTTCTAACTTTTTCATATTATTATATATATTATGTTGATCTGTGATCGGTGATCTTTGATGTTAACTATTGTCATTGTTTTGGGGCACCACAAACCTCACCATATAGGATAGCAAACTTAATCGATAAATATGTGTGTTCTGATTCCTCCACCGACCAGGTGTCCCCCCATCTCTCTCCCACTCCTCGGGCCACCCTATTCCCTGGGACACAATATATTGAAATCAGGCCAACTAATAATCCCTGCAGTGGCCTCAAAGTGTTCAAGTGAAAGGAAGAGTTGCACATCTCTCTTTTTAAATCAAAAGCTAGAAACGCTTAAGCTTAGTGAGGAAGGCATGTGAAAGCCGAGCTAGACTGAAAGCTAGGCCTCTTGCACCAAACAGATAGCTGAGTTGTGAAGGCAAAGAAAAGTTCTTGAAGGAAATGGAAAGTGCTACTCCAGTGGACACATGCATGATTAGAAAGGGAAACAGCTTTATTGCTGATATGCAGAAAGCTTGGGTGATGGCAATAGAGAATCAAACCAGCCACTATATTCCCTTAAGCCAAAGACTTAGCCAGGGCCAGAGAAAGGCCCTTATTCTCTTCAAATTTATGAAGGCAGAGAGAGGTGAGGAGGCTGCAAAATATTTTCTTTTAAGCTAGCAGAGGTTGGTTGATGAGATTTAAGGAAAGAAATCATCTCTATAACATAAAAGTGCAAGAGAAGCAGTAAGTGCTGATGTAGAAGCTGAAGCAAGTTATCCAGGATATTTAGCTAAGATCGCTGAGGAAGGCGGCTACACTAAGCAACAGATTTTCGGTGTAGACCAAGCAGCCTTCTATTAGAAGAAGATGCTACCTGGGACTTTCATAGCTAGAAAGAAGTCAATACCTGGCCTCAAAGCTTCAAAGGACAGGCTGACTCTCTTGTTAGAGGCTAATGGAGTTGGTGACTTTAAGTTGAAGCCAATGCTCATTGACTCTTTTTTTTTCTTTCTTTCTTTTTTTTTTTTTTGTGACAGAGTCTCACTCTGTTGCCCAGGCTGGAGTGTAGCGGTGCAATCTCGGCTCACTGCAACCTCTGCCACCCAGGTTCAAGCAATTCTCCTGCCTCAGGCTCCTGAGTAGCTGGGATTACAGGCCCCTGCCACCACGCCCGGGTAATTTTTTGTAGTTCTTAGTAGAGACGGGGTTTCACCACCTTGGCCAGGCTGGTCTTGAACTCCAGACCTCATGATCCACCCACCTTGGCCTCCCAAAGTGCTGGGATTACAGGCATGAGCATTCGAGCTCACTGACTGTTTCAAAAGTCCTAGGACTTTTAAGAAATATGCTAACCCTACTCTGCTTGTGCTCTAGAAATGGAATAACAAAGCCTGATGACAGGACATCTGTTTACAGCATGGTTTACTGAATATTTTAAGCCCACTGTTGAAAACTACTGCTCAGAAAAAAAGATCCCTTTCAAAATATTACTGCTCATTGACAACGCACCTGGTTACCCAATAACGCTAATGGAGATGTACGAGGAGATGAATGTTGTTTTCATGCCTGCTAATACAACATCCATTCTGTAGTCTGTGGATCAAGGAGTAATTTTGACTCTCAAATCTTATTATTTAAGAAATACATTCATAAGGCTATACAGCCATAGATAGTGGTTTCTCTGATGGATCTGGGCAAAGTAAATTGAAAACCTTCTGGAAAGGATTCATCGTTCTAGATGTCATTAAGAACATTTATGATTCATAGGTCAGGGTCAAGATATCAACATTAACAAGAATTTGGAAGAAGTTGATTCCAACCCTTATGCATGACTTCAGTGGGGGAAGTCACTGCAGATGTGGTGAAAATAGCAAGAGAACCAGAATTAGAAATGGAGCCTGTTCCCTCCTCCCTGCTTCTAAAAAAACAGTGGAGCCTGAAGATGCGACTGAATTGCTGCAATCTCATGATATATATGATACTATCTTCTCAATATATATGATACTATCTTCTCAATTTATTACAAATTGTAATAAACATAATAATCAAACTGGTGCTCCAAGCTTATGCTGTTCACATGGAAGACACCGCAAAAGAAGACACAATAGAGACTGCCTTGCAATTGTACCTTGCAATAAGAGGTACGAATTGTTTCTATAGAGATGGAGAAATAAAAGGACAAATCTAGTTGCCTAAAAGACAATTCTCTGTACACATTTTATTTACAGTTTTTACATTGTCTTAATACGGATTGGATTGCTTTTTCTACTTGAGCCTTTTTAACCAAAACAAAATAACCTAAGTAATACAAAGTGTTAAAATGCAGCATAAAAGGTAGTTTTTTTTTTTCTAATTCTGTGAAGAATGTCAATGGTCATTTAATGGGAATAGCATTGAATCTATAAATTACTTTGGGCAGTATGGCCATTTTCACGATATTGATTCTGCCTATCCATGAGCATAGAATGTTTTTCCATTTCTTTGTGTCCTCTGTGATTTCCTTGAGCAGTGGTTTGTAGTTCTCCTTGAAGAGGTCCTTCACTTCCCTTGTTAATTGCATTCTTAAGTATTTTATTCTCTTTGTAGCAATTGTGAATGAGAGTTCTTTCATGATTTGGCTCTCTGCTTGTTTATTCTTGGTGTATAGGCATGCTTGTGATTTTTGCACATTGATTTTTTATCCTAAGATTTCACTGAAGTTGCTTATCAGCTTGAGAGCTTTTGGGCTAAGAAGATGGGGTTTTCTAGATATAGGATCATGTCATCTGTGAACAGAGACAGTTTGACTTCCTCTTTTCCTATTCAAATACGCTTTCTTTCTTTCTTTTGCCTGATTGCCCTGGCTAGAACTCCCAATACTATGTTGAATAGGAGGGTGAGAGAGGGCATCCTTGTCTTGTGCTGGTTTTCAAGGAGAATGCTTCCAACTTTTGCCCATTCAGTATGATATTGGCTGTGGGTTTGTCATAAATGGTTCTTATTGTCTTGATGTATGTCCCATCAATACGTAGCTTATTGAGAGTTTTTAACACTAAGGGATGTTGAATTTTATGGAAGGCCTTTTCTGTATCTATTGAGATAATCATGTGGTTTTTGTCTTTAGTTCTGTTTATGTGATGAATTATGTTTATTGATTTGCATATGTTGAACCAGCCTTGCATCCTAGGGATGAAGCTGACTTGATCGTGGTGGATAAACTTTTTGATGTGCTGCTGGATTCGGCTTGCCAGTATTTTATTGAGGATTTTTGCATCAATGTTTATGAGGGATATTGGCCTGAAGTTTTCTTTTTTTGTTGTATCTCTGCCAGGTTTTGGTATCAGAATGGCACTGGCCTCATAAAATAAGTTTGAGAGGAGTCCCTCCTTTTCAATTGTTTGGAATAGTTTCAGAAGAAATGGTACCAGCTCCTCTTTGTACCTCTGGTAGAATTCAGCTGTAAATCCGTCTGGTCCTGGGCTTTTTTTGGTTGGTAGTCTATTAATTATTGCCTCAATTTCAGAACTTGTTATTGGTCTATTCAGGGATTCAACTTCTTCCTGGTTCAGTCTTGGGAGAGTGTATGTGTCCAGGAACTTATCCATTTCTTGTAGATTTTCTAGTTTATTTGCATAGTGGTGTTCTTAATATTATCTGATGGTTGTATTTCTGTGGGGTCAGTGGTGATATCCCCTCTATCATTTTTTTTTGTGTCTATTTGATTCTTCTCTCTTTTCTTCTTTATTAGTCTAGCTAGCAGGTTTTTTTTTTTTCCCCTCAAAAAATCAGCTCCTAGATTTGTAGATTTTTTGAAGGGTTTTTTTATATCTCTATCTCCTTCAGTTCTGCTCTGATCTTGGTTATTTCTTGTCTTCTGCCAGCTTTGGGGTTTGTTTGCTCTTGGCTCTCTAGTTCTTTTAGCTGTGATGTTAGATTGTCAATTTGAGATCTTTCTACCTTTTTGTGTTATAGCATTTAGTGCTATAAATTTCTCTGTTAACACTGCTTTAGCTGCATCCCAGAGATTCTGGCATGTTATCTCTTTGTTCTCGTTGGTTTCAAAGAACTTCTTGATTTCTGCCTTAATTTCATTATTTACCCGGGTATCATTCAGGAGCAGGCTGTTCAATTTCCATGTAGTTGTGTGGTTTTGAGTGAGCTTCTTAATCTTCAGTTCTAATTTGATTGTGCTGTGGTCTGAGAGACTGTTTGTTATGATTTCAGCTCTCTTGCATTTGCTGAGGAGTGTTTTACTTCCAACTATGTGATCGATTTTATAGTAAGTGCCATGTGGTGCCAAGAATGTATATTCTGTTGCTTTTGGGTGAAGAGTTCTGTAGATATCTGTCAGGTCCACTTGATCAGAGCTGAGTTCAAGTCCTGAATATTTTGTTAATTTTCTGTCTTGATGATCTGTCTAATATTGGCAGTGAGGTGTTAAGGTCTCCCACTATTATTGTGTGGGAGTCTAAGCAAAAATTGACAAATGGGATCTAATTAAACTAAAGGGCTTCTGCATAGCAAAAGAAACTATCATCAGAGTGAACAGACAACCTATAGAATGGGAGAAAATTTTTGCAATCTATCCATTTGACAAAGGTCTAATATTCCGAATCTACAAGAAACTTAAGTTTACAAGAAAAAAACAACCCCATTAACAAGTGAGCAAAGGACATGAACAGACACTTCCCAAAAGAAGGCATTTATATGGCCAACAAACATAAAAATAAAGGGTCAACATTACTGATCATTAGAGAAATGCAAATCAAAACCACAGTGAGATACCATCTCACGCCAGCCAGAATGGCGATTATTAAAAAGTCAAGAAACAGTAGATGCTGGTGAGGCTGTGGAGAAATAGGAACACTTTTACACTGTTGGTGGAAATGTAAATTAGTTCAACCATTGTGGAAGACAGTATGGCAATTCCTCAAAGACCTAGAACCAGAAATGCCGTTTGACCCAGCAATCCCATTACTTGGTATGTACCCAAACGAATATAAATCATTCGATTACAAAGATACATGCACACATATGTCCATTGCAGCACTATTCACAATAGCAAAGATGTGTAACCAACCCAGTGGTAGACCGGATAAAGAAAATGTGGTACATATACACCATGGAATATCATGCAGCCATAAGAAGGAATGAGATCATGTCCTTTGCAGTGGCATGGATGGAGCCGGAAGCCATTATCCTCAGCAAACTAACACAGGAACGAAAAACCAAACACTGCATATTTCCACTTATAAGTTGGAGGTGAACAGTGAGAACACATGGACATAGGAAGGGGAACAACACACACTGGGGCCTGTTCGGGGGTGGGGGAGGGAGAGAATCAGGAAAAATAGCTAATGCATGCAGGGCTTAATACTTAGGTGATGGTTTGATAGGTGTAGCAAACCACCATGGCACACATTTATGTATGCAACAAACCTGCACATCCTGCACATGTATTACGGAACTTAAAATAAAATAAAATAAAAAATATAGCATAAAGATACAAAACTAGACATACTAATTCTAGTTAGAAATGTAATTATGATGTTACATTTTTATGATCAACAATTATGTTGTGGAAATTATACAAACACACATCACTGACTTGAATGAAATGCATAAAATTGTAGCAAAGCTTTGTAGTTACAAAAAACAAAAAAAAATTACCAAAGAAAGCACAAGTTTTTGGAGGGGAGGGGTTTTTTTTCCTTTCTTTTTTTTTTAAATTATACTTTAAGTTTTAGGGTGCATGTGCACAATGTGCAGGTTTGTTACATATGTATACATGTGCCATGTTGGTGTGCTGCACCAATTAACTCGTCATTTAACATTACGTATATCTCCTAATGCTATCCCTCCCCCATCCCCCAACCCCATGACAGGCCCCGGTGTGTGATGTTCCCCTTCCTGTGTCCAAGTGTTCTCATTGTTCAATTCCCACCTATGAGTGAGAACATGCGGTGTTTGGTTTTTTGTCCGTGAGATAGTTTGCTGAGAATGATGTTTTCCAGCTTCATCCATGTCCCTACAAAGGACATGAACTCATCATTTTTTATGGCTGCATAGTATTCCATGGTGTATATGTGCCACATTTTCTTAATCCAGTCTATCATTGTTGGACATTTGGGTTGGTTCCAAGTCTTTGCTATTGTGAATAGTGCCGCAATAAACATACGTGTGCATGGGTCCCAAAGAATGCACAAAATTAATGTCTATTCCACCTTTGTGTCATATTCCTGGATTCTCATGATATAACTTTGACAGATGAGGAGTTGGTTCTTACAGATGAGCAAAGAAAGTAGTTTTTTGAGATGGAATCCACTCCTGGTGAAGATGCCGTGAACGTTGTTGAAATGACAACAAAGGATTGAGAATATCACATAAACGTAGTTGATAAAGTGGTGGCAGGATTTGAGAGAACTGACTCCAATTTTGAAAGAACTTCTATTGTGGACAAAATGCTACCAAAAAGCACTGCATGCTACAGAGAAATCTTTTGTAAAAAGAAAAGTCCATCTATGTCACAAACTTCATTGTCTTATTTTTTTTTAATTGCCACGGCAACCTCAATCTTCAGCAACCACCACCCTGATCAGTCAGCATCCATCAACAGTGAAGCAAGACCCTCTACTTGCGAAAAGATTACTACTCACTGAGGGCTCAGATGATTGCTACCATTTTTTTTTTTAGCAACAAAGTATTTTAAAATTAAGGTATGTACTTTTTAAAAGATGTGATGCTATGGTACACTTAATAGACTACAGTATAGTGTGACCACAACTCTTCGATGCACTGGGAAACCAAAACATTTGTGTGACCCACTGTGTTGCCATATTTGCTTTATTGCAGTGGTCTGGAACTGAACCCACGATATCTCCAAAATATGCCTGTAAAAACAGTAGGCTAAGTGTTATGATAAAGGAAATACAGAGTGCTATGGGACTAAAAGAAGGGGCATCTAGCTTAGCCTGTTGGGAGAGGGTCAGGGAAAGCTTTCTGAAGATGGTGACCCCTCAGCTGCACTTTGGAGGATGAGTGAGAAGACAAAAGGGGTAGGAAGGGTGTACCAGGCAAATGTAACAGCACGTGCAAATGCACAGAATTGTAAGAGAACATGGCACGTTCTGGTCCGACATTGTTCCATTATGGATGAGAAACTTGAAGCCCAGAAAAGGTGAGGAGACTACCCCAAGGTCACCCAGTGAATTAGTAGTAGGATCAGAATTTGCACCAAGACTTGCGTTTCCTTTTACATTGGATTTTCCACTATACCACAGTGCCTTAGGTTTGTAGCAGGGGATTCTGTGACTAGAGGTTGTTGAGACTGCAGCCAACTTTGAAAATGAGCTGCATGTGGGTGTGGGGGCTGGATCTGTCTCCGGCCCATCCCTGGCTGGAGCTGAGCCAGGAACTTGGCAGTTTCCAGGGCTGAGCCATCCAGCTCACCCCAAGGAAGCCTCGGCCTCCAGCCATGGCACTACCACGTGGTTTAATCATTAACTCCAAGTTCACAGGGCTGAAGCTGGAATGCACAGGACCTGGGGAGCAGACCGGGTCTCCAGGGAGCTAAGAGAAAGTTGGCTTTTGAGATGGGAGGGGACCAAAGTTTAGAATGGGGTTTTTCATCCCTGAATGGATCTATGTTCTGGGCTCAGGAACAAGGGCACTCGCTGTTACTCTCAATTTTGTTGGAGTTTACACATGTTGTTAGCTTGATTTCAGGATTTCCTTTCAACGTTCATAGCAGATTGTGTTTCCCTCTGCCACATCCCTCAGCCTGCATTCATCTACCCCACTAAACTGTGATGTTCCCCTCGGAGGGCAGGACTCAGTGCTTGGAACAATCTGGTGCATAGTTGGTGCTCATTAAATATAGGCTGATTGATTGAATAAATGAGGCCCTAACTCTGCCTAAAGGCATCCCAAAGCACATGCTTTTTAAAAAAAAAAAATTAAAAGACATAGAAACCTGGCTGGGAGTAGTGGCTCATGCCTGTAATCCCAGCACTTTTGGAAGCTGAGACAAAAGAATCACTTGAGCCCAGGGTTCAAGACCAACCTGGATAACAAAGTAAGACTCCGTCTCTTATGAAAATAAAAATGAAAAAAAAAAAAGAAATGATAACTGATTTTGCTTTAAAAGTTCAACAGAGATTCGCAAAAATCCCCAGAGATATTCTGTGCTATCATAAAATAGTCTAGCACCATGATGAGGTCCACTGTTGTAGAAGAGATGGACTGCTTTTTTTTTTTAATAATTTCAACTTTTATTTTAGATTCAGGGGTACATGTGCAGGTTTGTTGTCTGGGTATATTGTACGACAACGAGGTTTGGGGTATCAATGATCCTATCACCCAAGTAGTGAGCATAGTACCCAATAGGTAGTTTTTCGGCCCTTGCCCTCCTCCCTCCCTCTCCCCTTTTGGAGTCCCCAGTGTCTGCTGTTCTCATCTTTGTGTCTGTATGTACCCAGTGGTCAGCTCCCACTTATAAGTGAGAACATGTAGTATTTGGTTTTCTGTTCCTGCATTAATTCCTTTGAGATAATGGCCTCCAGCTACATCCATGTTGCCGCAAAGGATGTGATTTCATTCTTTTTTATTGCTGCATAGTATTCTATGGTGTATATGTACCACATTTGCTTCATCCAATCCACCGTGGATGGGCATCTAGGTGACTCCGTGTCTTTGCTATTATGGTATTTTTGGTAGAACGATTTATTTTCCTCTGGGTAGATACCCAGTCATGGGATTGCTGGGTCAAGTGATAGTTCTGCTGGGGATGTTCTTAAGGAGTCAGTGTGTGGATGACTGCAGAGTTTGTGAGGTTGCTTTGGCATTCTTGGGAGAGGGGGGCTATTCAGATATGAGGCCATGTTTTATTGAGGAAACAAAAGCCCAGTGGAGGTCAAATTCCACCAGCATAATAAAGGTAACTGCCTCTTTTGATTTCTGAAAGCTGTAACCTGCAATTGGAAAGACTGCATTATCAGTAGCATTGCTAAGCCCTGAAAATGCACCTTTAAAGGGATTTCTGGATTCCACATAACAAAACTTCCCCTGGAAGGTGAGGTGCAGGTGGCAGTAAAATTTCTGTTCTTTTTTGGTGAACCCAAGTTTCCTGATCTCGAAAGTAGAGACAGTCATCTCTTCTTCACAACGTACTGGTAATGGTTAAATGGAATGACAGTATATAACGTCCTTGGCACCCAGGAGATGTCAGTCCCAGTGAAAATTATCTTCTGTCTCTTAAAAGTAAAAATCCTGAACCGATATACACAGCCAGAGATGTGGAGATACATTTTGCTCTTAGATGCCATGTGTGTGGTGCCCAGTGATTCGGAGACCAATCTGGAAGGGAAAGAATCACTCTGCTGAATGCTGGCTTAAAGTGTAAATGTGTGCCGATAGTGTTGCTATAGCCAGCACTAGAGCATACTGGGAGAAGAAACTTCCCTTGCAAGAATAGTCACTCTCCTGGAAAGTGACTATTGGTTGGAATTGAGCCATAAAGGCTGCCGACTCTCACCCTAGCAAATTCTGTGTCAGCCCAAGGTCCTGGACATTCTGGGCAAACTGGCCAATGTCAGGGAGCTCTTTCTGTACCAGCCTCTGGGTCCTTTTTTTAATTTGTGGGTAAGTGACCTATCATACAGCCAGTTTGCATTTACCTCTGTCTACCACCTGTAGTTGTCAGGGTTCTGTAAGTTCTTTAAAGTTCTAGCACTCAGTGATGATTATGTCAGGGGAAAAAATTCAGGAAGGACCTCAGGCTTAGGTTCCTCCAACTTCCCACCTGCCCTTGGTCTCAGCAACAATGGAGAACAAATTGCCTTTGCAAGGAATTGGAAGATGCTGAGCTGCTCTGGCCACCTGATCTCTTTTTCCCTTCCCTTTATCATTTCTCTCCTTTGCCCTAAAACCTGAGATGAAATGAGAAGTAAATTGCCAAGGGAGATCCTCTCCTGGGGCAAATTTCCTGTCCTTGCTTATGGGCACAGAGACCCTGAGTGGGAAGGCCAGTTGCAGGGCACTCTCCCAGAACCAGCCCTGGGGTGACAGGTGCAGGCAGGATCCACGCTTTCATGGGGGAGGGGAAGGGTTGCAAAAGAGGAGGAGGAAGAAAGACTGTGGGAGACCCCAAGGGCTGCCCCTATTTCTCTACTCCACCCCAACCTGAAACTTACTGTCGGTCTCCACCAAGCCTGAGAGAGAGAGAGAGAGAGAGAGAGAGAAAGAGGGAGTGGGGAGAAAGAGACAGGGAGGGGGAAATCAAAGAAAATTGCAAAAGTCAATGGCCTGGAACTAGAGGCAGCCTCAGCAACTGCAGTGTGACTTTGATTCCCCTATCATAACCCTGAATTAAAAATTCAGGCAATTATCTGCATGGCTTCCTTCTGATTAGAACGAGCCGGAGCCTCATTAATGCATCAGCACAGAGGAAAGCCATTAGGGTCTGTGAAATGGAATGTTTCTCTGAGAACAGGTTCCGCTTGATGTAGAATACCCAGCAAAAAGAAATTTCACACATTTTTGAGCTCAGAGTCACAGGACGGCACCCAGCTTCAGGGCTGCAGACCCCGCCACCACAGTCGGCACCTCTCAGCTGGCTCTGGGTGAAAGCCACCTTTGTTTCGCAGCCTCTCTCTGGCACCTCCATCCACTGCATTGTGTGGAGGGAGGCTGAAGGAGCTGAGGGGCTGAGGGGCTTGCTGGGTCCTGAGACACTGAGTCAGCCTTCAGCCAGGATCCCCAGTTTCAAAGGCTTTGAGCCACAGGGAGCACGGGAACTTCACAGGAACACTGCCCTCCTCTGCTAGAAGAACTAGAATAGAAGCACCGTCGAGGACAGTGAAGGTCCTAGACTCCAGAAAAGGTCAAAGTATCTTCATGGCCCCCGCAATTCTCGGTACTTTCTTCACCCACGTGGTAATTTGGTCATCCCAAGATGGCCAAAGCAGGATCTGGTGAAGCCCAGTCAGCCTTGGAAGGTTGTTGCTTAAGAGAGGGTGAAGGATTGGAGGGCATCTTTTATTCATGGTCCAGGGTACCCTGTATCCATCCCTTATTCTATAAGCTCGGAGCTTCCAGAAATGCAAATCTATGGCCCAATTTCTAAGTGGGTGAATATCCCTACAATATTTGGCATTTGGAAACTCTCATGCACCCCACTTTGGGACTTCTATAGGGGCAGCTTTCTTCCCTAAATGACTATATTGCTTATGGGGAAACCCAAGAGTGCTGTTCCAGACAAGTACCTTTGCAGCCCTAGTAAGTTCATCTCTTGGGAGAGTTGGGTTCAACTTGACTTTGTCTAAATTTTCTTCTAGTTGGTGGGTAGGACTTGGGTTTCCTCATTTCAGACATCTTGACATTTCTCCAATATGGTGATTCTCAGGACACCAAACATTAATCCTTAGGATGAACAACAAATAATCTCTTTAGGAGAAAAGTCAATGTTATATGGGAAGAACTGAAAAAGGTGAAAAAGTTTCTGTAGGAAGAGAACTAGTTAAGAGTTGATAGGATGCCAACCAAGAAAATGATATCCTTCAAACGGTTTGACTAAGCCACGTTCTTCTCCTGGCACACCTGTTAACTCTTCAGTGTTAAGAACCAGGGCTAAATGTCCGGGTAAAGCTGTGAACAGGGCGCATCCGTGGTTAGTGCAATGGAGTCCATGTAGTACTGATGGAATTTGTATCAACAGCGCCCCCTACTGCATATGAGCAAAACTGGACAACCCAATAGTAATTTGTTTTCGAAAGTGTTTTCAGCCAATCCCACGTTAGAAGGATACATTCCTGGTCATCAGGGAGTTTTTATGAAGCATGTTTTCAATACTGCAGACAGTTTTATGGGTGAAGGCTCCTAGAGTTTATCTCACTCTCTAACACAAACAAGATGCTTGGTGATTCAACCATGCTATTTGTGGGCTGTGAGCATCCATCTCTCTAACACTTAGCTGACAAAGTCAGACGTACTCGAGAATTACTTGTGACTTCAGATGATCCCATGTAAAGCGCTAACCTAAAGGCACCCCGAGTCTTGAGGAGGTGGGGTTATCTATCTCGGCTCATGTTGGTAGGGGAGTGAAAAGAGCTGGCCAAAGGTCGGGAATGTGGGCCTTCCAGGGAGAGAAGCTACTCCACCAGCTCAACAGAAAAGGCCTCCTTTCTGCCATCGGAAATGGTCAAATCCCAGCCGTTAGTACTGTAGCACCATTCACTAATTCCTTGATATTTTAAACATAGATGCTCTTCCCAGGCAAATCATTCCTTTCTTCCCGAGATCACTCAGCTACGTTTGCAATTTGTCACTCTATATTCACATGACAAACATTTTTCAAGCAATTATGATATGCCAGACATTGTTTAGAACAGGAGTGACAGCACCGAGCAGATGGCAAATGAAGAATTCCCTGTTCTTTGGAGCATACATGCTAGTTGGGGGTACAGATGACAAACAGAAAGACAAGCAAGGGTGTCAGAGCTGTAAATGCGGTGATATACAATGCTGGGCAAGCGGGCAGAGAGTGATGGGGGGCTACTTTGCACAGGTGGTCAGGGGAAGCCTCTCTGAAGAGCACGTTAGGAAATCTTTCTAATGCTCCCTGCCAAGCGATCTTCTTTCTCTCTTTTAAAACTAGAATTGCCTCTCCCGTTAAACATTCCCAGTTAACTCTCCCTGTCCTTTGACTTTCCACTCAGCTCATCATCTCTGCTCAAGCTTCTTCATCTTGCAAAGAGACAGGATCATAATCTCCTTGAGGACAAGGGCCCATCTTCTGCTTCTTTGGCTTGCTACCAGAGTGGAGAGGAGGGGAACAAACATTGCTACTATATGCTAGAAACATGAACGCTTTAGTTCATTGACTCCCCTCAAAACTCCTGCCATCTCTTTATTATTTGTCCATTTTATAAATGAGGATAATGAGGCTCGGTTTATTCAAGGGTGTGAGCTGTCGAGGGGTGGAACTGGGATTTGAACCCTGTTCTAGCCTCATGGCCTGCAGTCTTCCCACTCCTAAGCATGGCATAGGGTGAGTGTTCATTAAATGTTGTCAATGAGTCATGAGCACAAGGAAGGGATGAGCTTTGTTTCTCAGAGAGCAGTCCTGCAAAGGAAATGATTAGACTCCCACCAGCTGGCTTATAAATTCTTCTTTTACCCACTAAGTGACCATGAGCCGTTCATTTTCCTCTTCCTGGGCTTTGTAATTCTTCTCTGTGAACTAAGGTTAGACCAGATGATCCCCCAGGTCTCTTCCAGCTCTGACAGTCTAAGGAATGTAATCTTTTGTAAGCAGTAGGGGTGGGTGGTGAATGGGGAGGAGTCAGGTGACTTCTTTACATCAAAGATCTGAATCTGAATTTGTATTAAGACAGAACAAAACACAACAGTTTGTTTCTTCAGTTAAAATTCAAAGCCTGGGCAACATAGTGAGATCCCATCTCTAGAGAAAATTTTTAAAAATTAGCCAGGTGTGGCGGTGTGTGCCTGTTTTCCTAGCTACTCAGGAGGCTGAGGTGGGAGGATCGCTTGAGTCAAGGACTTCAAGGCTGCAGTGAGCTATGGTTGTGTCACTGCACTCCAGTCTGGCTGACAGAGCGAGGCCCTGTCTCTAAAATAAATAAAAACAATAAATCAACATGTACTGAATATCTACTGTGTACTGGGCCCTGGTATGTGCTGAATCAGATGCGGAGATAAATTTTTAAAACGTTATCTTCACCCTGAAACATGTGTAATGAGAAAGACAAATATGACAACAACAATAAATGATAATAATCATAATAATAACAGCTAACAATGTACATGGCACTCCCTCTTTGCCAGAAACTGTTCTGAGCACTTCATACTCTGTAACTGATTTTAATCTTCCCAACCATTGTACGAGGTGGGCACTATCATTATTCCTACTTTACAAGTGAGTAAATTGAGGCACAAAGGGGGATTTGTCAAAAGGGCATGGTGAGCATTAGTAGTGCATGAAAAGTGTTTACCTATGGGGCCCGAAATGTAGAAATCATAACAGGCAGGTGTTTGAAGTGAAAGGATCTTGTGCAGTGTTAACTGGTGGGTTCGTTCCCCTGTCTTTTCTCTATTCCCTGCTTGACCCTTCTGCTACTTAGGATCAGCCACACACACCCAGTGGGAGGGAAGGGATTTTCTGTAGCGAGCAGAGAATGCTTTAGGGTTTGGAAACTTAAAATCCATGGCTGTGAGATGACCCAGGACCTAGAAAAAAGTGGGTGAGTTAGAACCAGTTTTCCCACCACCAGGGAAAGAGGAGAGTAAGAAGAGAAATGAGGCATGCGTAGATCTTCCTGAGAAAGGCAGTTATGACACCCTGTTCCCCATTTGAGCTAGATGTTCAGAGTTCTGGGGATCAGGCCCCAGAGCAGAAATGGCCCGTGTGCATGGTTGATGTGCCAGCCTGAAATGGCCCTGGGCATGATGAGTGAGCGGATGTGCCTGGGGTTTAGAAGTGCTTTGAGTTTGTGAGCAGGTGGAAGTAGAAGGGGTCCGAGCCAGCACGGTGCAGACAGCAGAATGCATGTCCACCTTCCTAGGAGAAGAGTGGAAGTAAACAGTCACAGGGCCCGAAGGGTCCCCTAGAATGAGAGCAAGGAAAAAAGCAGCCTGGAGGAAATAATGCCTCAGGACCAGGACAGGGAGTGGATGCCTCACGGCTGCTGCAAGAAACAGTGGAGTGAAGAGGCCAGAATGGAAGTTCCTTGAGGCAGGGATTCCTTTCTGTTTAGGCTCCATACTGTGGGCCTAGGTCAGATAATAGGTGATCCGTCAATATTTGTTAAATGAATGACCTTAGGTGTGCTACCTCTGGAATCAGGCCTTTGGTTTTAAATCTCAGCTCTGCCTCTTCCTAGCCAAGTAATCCTTTTGTAAGCCCCTTACCTTCTCTGTGCCTCATCTATAAAATGTGGGTAAAAATCATACGGATCACTACTGATCCAAGATATCAAAAGATGGAACACAGATGAAGCTTTTAGTGTCTGGCACAGCGGAAGTGCTCACTAAGTATTTGCTCCTGGTCTCATGAGATGCCACTGCCCCCGCCTTCTTGCCTTACACCTTGGCATTACACTAAGTACTCCCTCTCCTGACCCCTCCTAACTTCGATATTAACCCTGAAGAAAAGATGGGGACTCCAGAATAGGCTAAGATCAAGCTTCCGCCACCACAATACAATGGAGACTCCTGGCAGAACTTAAGCTAAGAGCTTTAAAAAAAGTTAAACTTCTTGCACAGCTGATGTTGCAGGCTCATTTTCATATTCAAGAATAGCTCAAACCTTTGAAAAGTAGGCATCCCTAGGAGGCCCTTTCTAGCATTTTAAGTTGAACAGTTTTCTCCCACATAGGCGTGTGTACACAGAGAACAACTGACCTCTCACCTTACTCGCCTTTCTAGAAAAGCACAGTTATCCGAGGAGTTATCTTTTGCAGGTGCTGCTAGATAAAACTCAACTTTAAGGCAAAGAGGCCAAGTCTAGGAAACAGGTCTCTGTCCTTCCTTTCCCTTACTGTATCCTCATGAAAGACCCCTGGGCTTTCCTGAGGAAATTCAGCACACACAGTTTTATTTCATATTAAGATATGTCCTCCTGAAGGTGAGTGATAAATGTGATCATTAATTTTTTATTGAAAAAAATAATCTGGATTTACCTGGCTTCTCAGTTATCTAAATGGCAATTGGATGACCAACCTTCCTATTTGCCTGAGAGTGGCCTCATTTTAGCACTGAAACCCCTCAGCCCTGGACAAACAAAGACGACGATCTAAATGTCCTTGACAAACCCTAAATGCCGGTGACATCTCAGGTAGACTTGTTGGCCCAAGGGAGTGTTTGGAGATTTTTGTTTTGGATGGAAAAGGAAATGTACTCCTTTGGAATCAGAAGAGCTCACCATCTAGGAACGAAATATGACATGAATTCCTCCCAGTGCATTCTGTACTCTGCTCAGGATTGGCAAGCCTGGCCCCAAAGACCCTGCAGAGGGAGATACCTGGAAATGCCTCATTTGACAAGGAGGCAATGGGAGGGCAGAGAGGAGGAGACTGCTGTAAATAGGTCCATGTGGCAAGTCTGTAAACTCTGTCTTCACATCTTTCCCATAGAGTCCCTTGATTTTGGTCAGACTCTAGACCCCCATGACAAACCCCTGCTGCCTGCACAGGGTGGGCCTGTGTCCCCTCCTTTACCAAGTCAACCTACCTGTGTGGGACACTGTGATTTGCTCCCAGGCAAAGGAGCAGCCCCTGGCATAGAGACTCCCCCCAGGACACACGGACCGGCTGCCAAGCCTGTACGACATTTTAGTGGCATTTTCAAACCACATGGAGTAGGCTCACTGAATGCCTAGTGAATTTCCAGTCACAGAGAATGCAGCACAGCCTGTTCTGCACCTCGTGGGCTGCTGCGAGAGCTCAGCCGGGCTGCAGACACTTGGTGCTTCAGGGTTGGATTCGGAGGCTGCAGAGCTCCTTGCATGGGTGGGTCCCTGGGCAGCTGGCCTCTCTGCATGGCTGGGATGGAGCCTCTCAGCCACCACACTCCTCACCCCGGTGCCAGTGCCTCTGCCTGGCCACAGCAGCAAAGAATATCCCTCAGCCTCTCCTTTCTTGAGAGCTATAGGGAGGATTCCTTTTAGACACGTGGGACGGAAAAACTTCCTTAACTCTCAGAAATGGATTTCTTCTTTCCCAAGGGCACGATAGACAAGGCTGGCCAAATAATTTGTGGGCTCAGTGCAAAATGAAAATGTGGGGCCCTGGGAAGTCAATGTCCCCTTTCCATGCACTTGCTGCCCCACCCACGGTGGACAGGTGACCCCCAGGGACTGCAAGCTCTGTGCTGGGGCATGATTGGTACCAGGATCCGGGGTGGACACGAGACCTCTGCCAAGTTTGCAGCCAAAGGTGACCTGCCACTCTGCATGGCTGGGATGGAGCCTCTCAGCCACACTCTTCACCCCGGTGCCAGTGCCTCTGCCTGGCCACAGCAGCAAAGAATATCCCTCAGTCTCTCCTTTCCTGAGAGCTGTAGGGAGGATTCCTTTTAGACACGTGGGGCACTTCCAACCAGAGGTGGGGACGACCACCACCTTGTCCTGCACCAACACACAATGGGGCACACACCTCTTATCCTACCCACATCTATGCCCAGGTCCCTGTGGCAGGGCAGAGAGTGATGGCAGGGTGGTGGCCTCCCTCTGCTGATACCTCCCTGGGTGGAGGGTGGTGGCTGTTGTAGAGCAGGCAAGGGAAGGGGAGGCGGGGCCAGCGTAGCCCACCAGGGGACAGGAAGGTGACAGGCAGCAGGCAGCAGGAACAGACTGTGAGCAGAGGCTCCAAATCCCCATTATATGCTCCATTGGGATGTCAGATTTCACTTACAAAACACAAATTCAAGGATAAAATACTGAAGAATTTCAAAATGGCAACCTCAGGGCACTACTCCCAAGTATGGGGCCCTTTGGAGTACAGGGCCTTGTGCAACTTCACTGGCTGCTGACACATGAAGCTGGCCCTGACAGTGGGAATTTGCTTCCTGTGCTTCCTCTGGGAAGCTCAGAGCCAAAATGAATGGCTTGTTTTGAATAACTGTGGAGGACCTGGAGCTTGCATAGCACATTCCAACTTGGCTCTAGTCTTGATCTTCAGATTGTTCAACATTCTGCTTTTGACTTTTGTTTTTCATTGTCTTATTTATATGCTAAAAGGATGTAATATTATAAAAAGTTTCAAATCCTTTGTCAAGTGAGAGAGATAACAAAAAATGAGATATTTTCCTTCTTAACCTTCGCTTGGGTCCTCAATGTAAAGAGATCATTTTGGTGATGGGAGGGCAGCTGGAAAATCTGCACCACCACAGCTAATCTGATTAATTGAGAGGATATTTGCAAATGCACATTAAAATACAATATTGATCCACCCTTGGTAAAAACGTGTATAAATTGTTTTCCAGTAGTGATGGATTTGCAGGGAGCCAATTGCACCCTCCCAATCCATCTCCCATGTAAACATTTTAGAAACACCTAGCCAGCATCTCCATTACAACAACATTAAGCAGTTCCCATATTAATTATCTATTGCTGCATAACAAATTACCCCCAAACTTAGCAGCTAAAAACATTTATTATCTCATAGTATCTGAGGGTCAGGAATCCAGGATCAGGTTTGCAATGAGTGGTCTCTCATGAGATTGCAGTCACGATGTTGGTTGGGCTACAGTCATCTGAAGGCTAGATTGGGGTTGGAGATTTGAGATGATGGACTTACAAAGCTGTTGGCCAGAGGTCTCAGTTCCTCACCATGTGGACCTCTCCATAGGCTGCGTGAGTGTCCTCATGACATGATAGTTAGCATGACCTGGAAAGAGTAGTCCAAGAAAGAGAGAACTAGAAGGAAGCCCCAGCATCTTTCAAGATCCAATCTCTTGCCATCATCCTCAATATTCTATTTGCTCAAAGCAAGTCATTAAGTCCAGCCTGCCCACAATGGGAGCGGAGTTAGGGATGACCTCTTGGAGGAAAGAGTACCAAATAATTTGTGGACGTATTTTAAAACCACAGTTTCCCGAAACATTAAGTGGCTGGACCATAAATGAATTTCCACAAAGGTTGGTTCTAGTAATCACACAGTAGGAAAAGCTTGGACTGTGGGTCACATCTGAGTTTGAAACCAAGACTTGCTCCTGACTAGTCTGTGGGATCTGGACAAAATGATCATCTCCGAACCTTAGTTTCTTCATCTGTAAAATGAAGATAATAATAGTAATTCTTTCATAGAGTTATTATGCTAATAATATCTAAATGAGATGGCCCTGCAGGGTTGGATCCAACCTGAGGCTTTTACAGTTTGATGGGGCTTTCTTTAAGGAAACAGGATGGAAAATTATAATAAGTTAGGTACAAAATGAGCATTTATTTACAATTAGAATTGACAAGAATTATATATTTTAAAAGCCAACAAATAGCATAAATATCACAAATCCAAGAAAAAATTAACTACCTGAACAAAGCTCTTTCAAATACTTTCTTTCCGATGAAATCATATCCTTTGCAGTGACATGGATGCAGCTGGATGCCATAATCCTAAACAAATTAATGCAGAAACAGAAAACCAAATCCTGCGTGTTCTTACTTATAAGTGGGAGTTAAACAATGGGTGTGCATGAACGTAATGATGGAAACAATAGACACTGGGGACTCCAAAATGGGGGAGGAAGGACGGGAGGGTGGGTAGAAAAACTATCTATTGGGCACTACGTTCACTATTTGGGTGGGGTTCAAGAGAAGCCCAAACGCCAGCATTACACAATATATCTTTGTAACAAACCTGCACACATACCCCCAAATCTAAAATTGAAATACTTGTCCGGGCACGGTGGCTCACGCCTATAATCCCAGCACTTTGGGAGGCCGAGGCGGGTGGATCACGAGATCAGGAGATCGAGACCATCCTGGCTAACATGGTGAAAACCCCGTCTCTACTAAAAATACAAAAAATTAGCCGGGCGTGGTGGCGGGCGCCTGTAGTCCCAGCTACTAGAGAGGCTGAGGCGGGAGAATGGTGTGAACCCGGGAGGCGGAGCTTGCAGTGACCCAAGATTGTGCCACTGTACTCCAGTCTGGGGGACAGAGCGAGACTCCGTCTCAAAAATAAATAAATAAATAAATAAATAAATAAATAATAAAATAAAATTGAAATACTTTCTTTCCTACGTTTTGACTAAATGCTGTTTGATCACTCCCTACAATGACAAAGATTTTGTAATATTGTCCATAGCCAGAAGAGAAGTATAATTCAGTCTTTTAATAGCACGGTTCATCAAAAGTTGGTTTTGATTACTGGGAGCTTATTATTCAGCGCCACTAATCATTATTTGTAATGTCATGCACATTTTTAGGATTGTTGTCAAATTTGGGAAAACCTCTCTGAGGTTTCTTTTATTTATGAGCTCAGGGTATTTCAGGTGTTCTTGTGTAGTCAATTGGTGGCACTCATTAACCGGGGCCACAGGAGGGGCTTGACGCTTCAGCTTCTCTGTAAATCCTCTCCTGGAAGCAGGTCAGTGTGTGTAGGGACCTGGCCTGCAGTAGGTGCACAGGAAGTGGAGGAAGCCTGGAGACAACCTTCATCTTCCTGCTCCATTGCCTCAGGTGGAGTAGGGGATTTCCCACCCTGGACTCAGCTTCCTCTTTCTCCAGTAGCCCATCAGGGCCTGTGAGAAGGTGGTGATAAAAATACACCATAGCAGGGTGCGGTGGCTCACGCCTGTAATCCCAGCACTTTGGGAGGCCGAGGAGGGCGTTCCATGGGGTCAGGAGTTTGAGACCAGCCTGGACAACATGGTGAAACCCCGTCTCTACTAAAAATACAAAAAATTACCCAGGTGTGGTGGTGGGCGCCTGTAATCTCAGCTACTCGGGAGGCTGAGGCAGGAGAATCGCGTGAACCTGGGAGGTGGAGGTTGCAGTGAGCCAAGATCACGCCATTGCACTCCATCCAGCTCAGGCAACAGTGCGAGACTCCATCTCAAAACAACAGCAGCAACAACAAAAAAAAAACAAGAAACACTGCTTGTTATGATGCAGTGGAAAGAACCCTGGACTCAGAATTAAAAAACCTGGGTGTGAGTCCTGTCTTTGTCACTTATCAGCTGTGTGACTTTTGGCAAATTACCCAAACTCTCTGTGTCTTCGTTTCCTCATCTCTGAGATGGGTGAACCTGTGCCAGCCTCATGGTTGTAGAGATGAAAGGCAGGATATAAGTAAAGGGGCTTTGTAAATTCTAAAGCAATTTTACTAATGTAAATGATTTTTATTTTGGTACCTGGAAGAGTTACTGAGGAATCAGATGGGTTACTATCCAATGCCTATGAGCATCTTAAGGTCTTTGTTGTCTGTGGCCTAAAGCAATGGGAAATTCAAGTTGGACTTTAATCAAAAGGATGGCAAAATTGCCAATGATTTCCACAAAAATGTACTGAGCCCCATCTGTTGGCCATAGTTTGTGCTAGAGATGGGGATTTAAAGACAGATGAGACACAGTTCTGGCCCTTCAGGGAAGGTAGTGCTGGTAGATGGAACTCCAGAAGGGCATCTGGAGGGTGGATTTAGCCCCTGAGCCTTCTAACTTTATAATCTGGGCCTCCCTGCACCTCCGTGTCTCCTTCTGCAAAGGGGCGGTGCGCTCTCTGTGTGAGCAGGTGTGGAAACAAGTGAGTTAAAGCTGGCAGATCTTGGAGGAAACAAGTGAGTTAAAGCTGGTAGATCTTGTAGGATGCTTGGACAGGTGTCTGACAAAGCCATCAGAGGGTTGAAGCCATCTGAGACTGGCTGTTCTCCTTGGGGAATTTTCAGGCAGCTTTGAAGTGCCGCCAGGACAAGGGAGGCCACCCCATCCTGGAGGTGCATTCACTTGTAATTTACTCCTCCACGTGGGCTCTGGAACTCCACTCTCATAAATACATCACCCACTCTGGCTCGCCCTGAGTAAAGGCAGGCTGACAGGAGAAGGGGGGCCGGAGGGGAGGAATCACTAAATTAAGAAGGTCCCTGGGGGTGGGTGGCCTACAGACACGATTGAGACTCCTGAGTCTCTCCCCTTAGAGCATAAATATTTCCAACTAAGATCACAGACTCCCTGATCATAAAATCAATGAAACCACAAGGGAAAATGATCTCCTGCATGACTGCCCCAGAGATATCTCAGAGTCCTTTCCCCTCCTGCAGAAGCGATTGTTCCGGGGCTCAGGATTTGAAATCCAGGCAAGACTGTTGAGAATTTGATGGAGAGAGAACATCAGTTGGGTTGGGTGCAGGACTATCCTGTTCTACTGCAGAATTTAGAACAGAAGCTATGTTCTGCTATGGGTCTGTGCAACACCTACTGCAACATGAGAATTTTTCTGAAAGTCAGAAGACCTGAGTTCAAGCTCTAGCCCTTCTAATTACTGGCTGAGTGTCCCTTGGCAGTAGACTCTCTAAGCCCAGTTTCCTCATCTATTAAAAGAAGGATAATAACGCAAGGTCTGCCTGCCATATTTGGGAGGTAACAACATCAAAAGAGGTCTGTCTATGCAAATGTTTTGTAAACTATAAAGCTCTTGATAAATAACATGTTTTATTATTAAAAGATAAAAAGCACCAATTCTGCTAGTGAACCTATGAGAACTCCTTATGCTATGACAGAAGCTGTGGCTTAAACGAGGGGATATTCTGACTTACATGATTGAGAAGGGCTAAGGTGGGACTGATTCAGAGAAGACTAGATTCAAACAATGTCACCAAGGCCAGCCTCTCCCCCTCTCCTTGCTCTGCCTTCTGTGGTATTAGATTTGGCTTCATCATCCAGTTTCATGGGTCTTTGTGGTCACAAATGTCCACAGTGACTGCAAGTCACATGTCTTCACACGATGCCATCCAGGGGAAGAGAGGTCTCTTTCCAGTAACTTCTGCTGAAGACAGATGGAGAGAGGAATGAGAAACTCTTCTTTTTCCAGACTTAGTACATGTATCAAATTTCACTGGCTTTCTTTATATAGGTGGGGGCATGTCAATTGCCTTAAGAGAATCAAGGCCCATCCCTCGATTTTTGCATAGGACTGGGATGCCAACCCAACCACATTTGGAAGAGGCTATTTTATCAGAAGACTGAGTGGAGGCTGGGTTGCAAAAACAACATATGTCTAGTACAGTCTACCCCCTCTAGCTGCCCAAAAGCCACACTTACCTCTATCTCCATAAACATGCCTTCAAAAATATCCACCCTCCACACCAAACCCAATCAACCTCTTTCCCTCAAAGAGACAAGCCATGATTTTATCCAGTTCTGGTTCTCTGGGTGATGTGTGGTCCTCATACATGGATCTCTTATTGGTCTCCTGTGGTCCACTAAGGTTAAGTGGTAAATTTAATCAGCACTCAGTAGACAGTGGTAGAGAGAGAACAGGGAAATTGCAGTAATAACTCTCCTTTGGAAAACGAAAGAATAGGAAACAACTCCTAGTGGTCACTGGCCCATAGCCCATATCTGACTCTGCCAGAAATCACATGGACTTGGTCTCCTGGGAGCAAATAAGTGACTTCCCCCAGCTCTGCCCTCTGCAAGGCTTCCCTTTGCCTGTTGGCTTCTGGGGCCCCTGCTTGTCTGTCTGGGAAAATCTGTCCTGTGGATTGTCCTTCATGGGACCCTGTGACATGCACATTGAGGAGGGGTACCCCTTTCTGGGAGCTGCTCTGTTTCAGCAGCTCTCTCTCTGTTGATGTGAGTTTGGAAGCCTGGAATTCACTATCCTAGGCCATTATAGGCCAGGCTTGAGGATTATTTGGCAAAATGACACCCTTAAAAAGTTAACAAGGTCCTGGTCTATTTGCTCCTGGCTAATGCCATGGAGAGTACCCAGAGTCAGAGATCTTATCATGTCATACTTTTTGAAACAAAACACTCCCTGGGAATATCAACCTCCTAGCATGGGGCCCAGTGCTCTGGCCATCCCCTGATCCCTTCAATTTGATGCTTCTGTCTTGGCCTCAACTGGAGAAAAGCCAAAATAATAGGGTGGGTGGGGAGGACTCAAACTACTCATTCCTCATAATAACAACAAAAATATTAGGAGTAACGTGTATTGATTGCTTACTACGGGGCAGGCACTGTTCTAAAGTCTTTATATGTATTATTAACTCACTTAATCTTCATAAGCAGCCCTGTGAGACAGGAACTGTTACCATGCACAATTTGGGAAAACTATTCATGGAGCAATAAAGTAACCTGCTAGTAAGAGGCAGAGTGGGGATTCAACCCCAGGGGGCCTGGGCCCGCAGTCCTCGTGGAGCAATAATCCCTGTTGTGTGCTGCTATCGGGCTGCATCCTGCTGCATCTTCCCAAGGGCAGTGTTGACTTCTTTGTTCAAGGCATAATAGGAGGTGCTTGGGAGGGCTGCCTCTCAGGCCTCAATCTTATTTCCTGTTTGGTTCCCATGTTCCTGCTTTTCTTTTGCTCACTTTATGTTTCCTATTATATTGTATTGTATTTTATATGGGGTCTCCCTCTGTCACTCAGGCTGGAGTGCAGTGGTGTGATCATAGCTCCTGCAGCCTTGAACTTCTGCACTCAAGTGATCCTCCTGCCTCAGCCTCCCTAGTAGGGGGGGAAGACACGTCACCATGCCCAGCCAATTAAAAAAAAATTTTTTTTTTTTGTAGAGGTAGACTCTCACTATGTTGCCCAGGCTGGTCTTGAACTCCTGGCTTCCAACTATCTACCTGCCTTAGTAAACTACTGGGATTATAGGCAGAAGCCACCATGGCCAGCTCTTTTGCCAACTTTGAGGGTGAAGAAAGGAGCTTTTCCTATACTCCCGGACAAATGGAACAGCAGGCCAGTGGCAAAAAAGGCAACTCTTAGCAAGCCTGCTATTTTCTCTTGTCTCTTGCTTTTAGATGGGCCAGTTTTGTTATTGGAAGTGAGTCCCAATCCAGACCCCAGGAGAGGGTTTTTGGATCTTGTGAAAGAGAATTCAGGGTGAATGCATACAGTGAAAGCAAGTTTATTAAGAAAGCAAAGGAATAAAAAATGGCTACTCCATAGGCAGAGCAGTAGCATGAGCTGCTGGTTGGCCATTTTTATGGTTATTTCTTGATTATATGCTAAACAAGGGATGAATTATTAATGAGTTTTTCAGGAAAGGGGTGGGTGCTTTCCAGAACCGAGGTTTTCTCCCCTTTTTAGACAGTATATGGTAACTTCTTGACGTTGCCATGGCATTTGTAAACTGTTAAGGTGCTGGTGGGAGTGTCTTTTAGCATGCCAATGCATTATAATTAGCGTATAATGAGCAGTGAGGACGACCATAGGTCACTTTTGTCACCGTCTTGGTTTTGGTGGGATTTGGCAGGCTTCTTTACCACATGATGTTTTATCAGCAAGGTCTTTGTGACTTGTATCTTGTGCTGACCTCGTATCTCATTCTGTGACTAAGAATGTCATAACCTCCAGGGAATGCAGCCCCGTAGGTCTCAGCCTTATTTTACCCAGCTCCTATTCAAGATGGAGTTGCTCTGGCTCAAACGCCCCTGACAGTTTCAGTCTAATCTTACCTCTTGCTTGGAAGACCTTACTGAAGAAGTTGTCAGCACACTCCAAAATCCAAAACTTTTTTTTTTTTTTACAACATCCTTTAGTGTTAAAGCCTCAGGAAGCATATAGTCTAAATCTCAGGACTTACTAGCCAATGGTTTAACCAGCCATTTACTATAACTTAACAAAGAATTACTAAATTCTCAGATATCAATTATTTCTTTTCACTCAAATGCTTCCACTTAGCCTTGCAACATCCCACTTCTGGTATTAGATTCTGTATCAGTGAGGAAACTTTTGGTAGTAAAAAATTTTAAGCAAAAAATAAAGATGTTGGAAGGCTCCCAGAGGCTCAAAGAATCATCAGGAGACTGGAGAGCATGGCTGGAAAACCTCAGCAGCCATCCTCTCGAGGAACTGCCTGGTCAGTGCGGGGCAGGGTGGCATGGTGCTGTGGCCAATCCCTGCTTATTTTCTCTTTGCTCAAGATTCCAATGCCTGGGAAAGAACATCAGACTGATCAAGCTTAGGCCACCCGCCCACCTCTCAGCTAGGAGTAAGTAGAACCACCAACCTATGCCTGGTGCAGAAGAGGTGATTCCAATAAAGGAAACTAGGATGCTGTTAGGGATGGGGAGTAAATGTGGGGCAGTTCTAATCCAACAGACTTCCCTTACACCTAGTGATGTTGGTTACATGGTACTGTAGACGTTATTCCATTCAGTCATGGCAGTTGGATCAAAATGAGAATGAGTTGGAGAGTTCTATAGGAAGTCAAATAGTAGTTAGGTGGTAAGACTTAAGCTGTTAGGGGTTAAAATGTAACAGAACAGGACGGGCACAGTGGCTCACTTCTGTAATCCCAGCACTTTGGGAGGCTGAGGCGGGCAGATCACGAGGTCAGGAGTTTAAGACCAGCCTGGCCAACATGGTGAAACCCCATCTCTACTAAAAATACAAAAATTAGCTGGGTGTGGTGGCACACATCTAGTAATCCCAGCTACTCGGGAGGCTGAGGCAGGAGAATCATTTGAACCTGGGAGGTGGAGGTTGCAGTGAGCCGAGATCACGCCACTGCACTCCAGCCTGGGTGAGACTCCGTCTCAAAAAAAAAAAAAAAAAGAAAAAGAAAAAAGTAACAGAACAAAATTTTTATTTAATTAATGTCAGTTTCGGTTTTTAAAAATCCCAGCACTTTGGGAGGCCGAGGTGGGTGAATCACAAGGTCAGGAGATCGAGATCATCCTGGCTATCATGGTGAAACCCAGTCTCTACTAAAAATACAAAAAATCAGCAGGGTGTGGTGGCGGGTGCCTGTAGTCCCAGCTACTCCAGAGGCTGAGGCAGGAGAATGATGTGAACCCAGAAGGCAGAACTTGCAGTAAGCCAAGATTGTGCCACTGCACTCCAGCCTGGGCGACAGAGCTAGACTCCGTCTCAAAAAAAAAAAAAAATCTTTTAAGCATTTTTATTTTTTTTTCTTTTTCTTTTTGTAGAGACAGGGTCTCCATATGTTGCCCGGGCTGGTCTTGAACTCCTGGGCTCAAGCGATCCTCCCATCTCGGCCTCCCAAAGTGCTAGGATGACAGCCACCACACCCAGTCTGTTTGGTTTGTTTATTTAGGTATTTGTCTCTGAGGGGCAAATGCAAATGCATCTAGCAGCCAGCAAGGCATTATGTTCTCAGAAGCTAGTTATTCACTCCCTTACTCACCCACCCATTTAATTGATCACTGAATCAGAACTTATTGAACAGTTTCTTAGTCCTGGGCAATGTCTAGCAGCTAAGTAGATACAAACATAGATGACATAATTTCTGTCCTCAGGTGGCAATGAGTGACAGTAGTAGTAGAGATATTTTAGTCTACTTAGAAGGCATGGTTCAATGTGAAGGCTCTGAAGTCAGACATAGAAGAGTGCAGTGTTGGGTTCAAATTCTGGCTGTGTGACTTTGAGCAAGTTACATAATCTCTTCAAATCTGTTTTCTCATCTCCCTAATGGGGATAGTTACTAATTCAAAGCATCGTTATTCTTATCAAATTGATTCATAAATTCAATGCAATTTCATTCAAAATCCCAGCATGTGCTTTAATGAAAATCGATAAGCAGTGGGAGTCTAAAATATGCATAGAAATGCAAATAGCCATGATAATCCTGAAGCAAAACAGAGCTGGAAGGATTATACTACTGCATATCATGCCTTATTGGAAGTTACAGTAACTAAGATAGTATGGTATTATGGACCCAAAATAGACAAACGCATGAATAGAATAGAGGGTCTAGAAGTGAACTGACACGTATAGGCCACTTGATTTATGATAAAGATAATATTTCAGAGCAGTTGGAAAAGATTTTTTTAGACAATGTCCTTTTATGTATGGCTTATTTCACTTAGCATACTGTCTTCAAGGTTTATCCAAGTTGTAGCATGTGTCAGAATTTCATTCCTTTTTTTTTATTATTATTATTTTTGAGATGGAAACTCACTCTGTCACCCAGGCTGGAGTTCAGGGGCACAATCTTGGCTCACTGCAAGCTCCGCCTCCCGGGTTCATGCCATTCTCCTGCCTCAGCCTGCCGAGTAGCTGGGACTACAGGCATCCGCCACCACACCCAGCTAATTTTTTGTATTTTTAGTAGAGACGGGGTTTCACCATGTTAACCAGGATGGTCTTGATCTCCTGACCTTGTGATCCATCCGCCTTGGCCTCCCAAAGTGCTGGGATTACAGGCGTGAGTCACCCTGCCCAGCGTTTAAGGCTGAATACTATTCAATTGTATGGATATACCACATTTTGCTTATACATTCGTGTTGATGGACATTGGGTTGTTTTTACCTTATAGCTATTGTGGATATTGCTGCTATGAACTTTGGTGTACAAATATCTCTTCAAGTCCCTGCTTTCCATTCTTTTGGGTATACATCTAGAAGTGGAATTGCTGGATCATGTGGTAATTCCATGTTTAATTGTTTGAGGAACCACCATACTATTTTCCACAGTGGCTGCACCGTCTTACATTCCTGTCAGCAATGTACAGGTTTCCAATGTCTCCACATCTTTGCCAACACTTCTCTTTGTCTGTTTTTTTTTTTTCCCAAATAATGGCCATCCTAATGGGTAAGATTCTGTTTTTCAAAATCACTTTTTGCCGTGGTAAAAAAAAAAAGTCTCACTTTGGCTCACTATGATTACTATACTATGAAATTTAACAATAAACATTTAATGGGTACTTGTCATCTGCTATGCACTTAATTTTTTATCTTATTTAATTCCCACAACATCATTTCTTGGCAACCTTTCTAT
The DNA here is from genome assembly GCF_000001405.40 of Homo sapiens. Lineage (NCBI taxonomy): Eukaryota > Metazoa > Chordata > Mammalia > Primates > Hominidae > Homo > Homo sapiens. Next base: position 37,808,259 of record NC_000017.11, read on the forward strand.
TGAACTATAACATACATACAGAGAAGTGCACAAATCAGAAATGTATAGATTGATGAATTTTCACAAAGTGAATATATCCATGTAATCAGCACCCAGATCAAAAGCTAAAAACATTACCAGTGCCCCAGAAATCTCACTGGTGCCCTCTCTCAGTTCTGTTCAGCCCCCACTACCCACCTACTCCAAGAGAAAGCAAAGATAATAACTTTAAACCCATAGATTGTTTTTGCCTATTTTTGAATTTTATATAAATGGAACAGAATATAAAATCTTTGGTATATTGCTTCTCTTACTATGTATGTTTATGAGGTGTATTCATGTTGTTGCATGTAATAGTTCAATTATTCTCATACTAAATAGTATTCCATTTTATGACTACAGCACAATTTATCCATTCTACTTTTGAGAGATATTTGGGTAGTTTCCTGGTTTTTTTTTTTTTTTTTTTTTTTTTTTTTTTTTTGAGACAGAGTTTTGCTCTTGTTGCCCAGGCTGGAGTGCAATGGCATGATCTTGGCTCACTGAAACCTCTGCCTCCTGGGTTCAAGTGATTCTCCTGCCTCAGCCTCCCGAGTAGCTGGGATTACAGGCATGTGCCACCACGCCCAGCTAATTTTGTATTTGCAGTAGAGACAAGGTTTCTCCATGTTGGTCAGGCTGGTCTCAAACTCCTGACCTCAGGTGATCCACCCGCCTTGGCCTCCCAAAGTGCTGGGATTATAGGCGTGAGCCACCGCGCCTGGCCTCCTGTTTTGAGCTATTACTAATGGTTCTGCTGTGAGCATTCTTTTGGTAAATACCTTTTGATGAAAATACGTGAGCAATTCTATCGGGAATTTTTCCAGGAGTGGAATTGCCAAGTCACAGTGCATGGATATGTTTAGCTTTAAAGATGATTTCCAAAGGAAATTGATAAGTATACACATCCAGCACTGAATATGAGTCCTAGAAGCTCCAAACACTGGCTGGCATTTGATATCATTTGTCTTTTTCATTTTAGCTACTCTGGTGAATGTACAGTGATATTATGTTATGCTTTTAAACTGCATTTCTTTGAGGAGTAGTGAAGTTGAGCACTATGTTCATATCTTTATCAGCCACTTGGATATCTTCTTTTTTTTTTTTTTTGAGACGGAGTCTTGCTCTGTCACCCAGGCTGGAGTGCAGGGGCGCGATCTCGGCTCACTGCAAGCTCCGCCTCCCGGGTTCACGCCATTCTCCTGCCTCAGCCTCCCAAGTAGCTGGGACTACAGGCGCCCGCCACTACGCCCGGCTAATTTTTTGTATTTTTAGTAGAGACGGGGTTTCACCGTTTTAGCCGGGATGGTCTCGATCTCCTGACCTCGTGATCCGCCCGCCTCGGCCTCCCAAAGTGCTGGGATTACAGGCGTGAGCCACCGCGCCCGGCCGGATATCTTCTTTTGAATAGTATTTGTTCAAATATTTTGCTCATTTTTCTGTTGGTACATCTTCATTGTCTGCCTTCTGCTTATTAATGATCAATGTTCTTTATATATTCTAAAAATGGGTTCTTTGTGCATTGTGTATTGCAAATATCTATTCTCATTTGTCTTTTTACTCACTTCATGATGTCTTTTGATGAACAGAAGCTTTAAATTTTAATCTAGTCCAATTTATTAAGTTTTGGTTAAGGCTTTTTACGTCCTGCTTAAGAATCTGCCATCCTACAAAGATCATGAAGATATTTTATGTCTTATTCTAGAATATTTATTAGTTTTTCTTCTACATTTAGATCTATAAGGCACCTAAATTATTTTTTATGTATGGTGTGAGGTAGGCATTTGGGATTCATTTGTTTCCCACATGCATAGTCATGAAAATGAATAAAATTGTGAATTTGGCACAGTTCAAATAATACTAACTCCTTTTTGAAATATTCTGCAGAACCTCAATTTTTTTTTTTTTTTTTTTTTTTTGAGATGTGGGTCTTAATATGTTGCCCAGGCTGGTTTCAAACTCCTGGGCTCAAGCAATCCTCCCACCTCAGCCTCCTGAGGATCTGGGATTACATGCTACTGTGCCTGGCCTAATTAGATTTGATGAATGAATTAATTATTTTAAATTAATTCAGTATTTTTACACATCTAGTGTTTGCCAGTTTAGCTAGGTTGGTAAAGAAAGTCCTCTCAGAGCCAACATTTGAGCTCAGACCTGATTGATGAAATGAAGCCAGCCACAAGGGGATTGGGGGAAGAACATTTCAGGAAGAGGCAAGAGGTAGGTAAGTAAAGTTTGATATGTTCAAGGAACAAGAGGAAGGCCAGCACCGCTGAAGTGTAATGCCCAAGATGATGTGAAATACAAGACAATTCTTATGAATGGGAGAGCAAAGGAAAGAGAACCAGACGGGGATCACTAGAAGATAATGGAGCAATGCTTTCAAAGTCCCGAGGGAAAATGTTTTTTTCAACCTAGAATTCTTTTTTAAAAAATTTCAATAGTTTCTCAGTTACAGGTGTTTTTGGTTACATAGATAAGTTCTTTAGTGGTAATTTCTGAAATTTTAGTACACCCATCACTCAAGCAGTATATGCTGTACCCTATATATAGTCTTTTATCCCTCACCCTCCTCACACCCTTTTCCCCTTGAGTCCCCAGTGTTCGTTATGTCATTCTTACGCCTTTGCATCCTCATAGCTTAGCTCCTACTTATAAATGAGAACATGTGATATCTGGTTTTCCATTCTTGAGTTACTTCACTTAGAATATGGCCTCCAGCTCCATCCGAGTTGCTGCAAAAGACATTATTTCATTCCTTTTTATGGCTGGGTAGTATTCCAATATAGCATATATAAACCATATTTTCTTTATCCACTTGTTAGTCGATGGGCACTTAGGATGGTTTCATATCTTTGCAATTGTGAATTCTGCCACTATAAACATGCACGTGCATGTATCTTTTTTATATAATGACTTCTTTACCTTTGAGTGGACACCCAGTAGTAGGATTTCTGTGTCGAATGGTAGTTCTACTTTTAGTTCTTTAAGGAATCTCTGTACTGTTTTCCATAGTGGTTTTACTAGTTTACATTCCCATGAGCAGTGTGGAAGTGTTCCCTTTTCACCACATCCACGCCAACATCTATTATTTTTTGACTTTTTAATTATAACTATTCTTGCAGGAGTAAGGTGGTATCTCATTGTGGTTTAAGTTTGCATTTCCCTGATACTTAGCAATGTTGAGTGCTTTTTCATGTTTGTCTTCTTTTGAGAATTGTCTATTCATGTCCTTTGCCCACTTTCTGATGGGATTATTTATCTTTTTCTTGCTGATTTGTTTGAGTTCCTTGTAGATTTTGGATATTAGTCCTTTGTCGGATACATAGTTTATGAATATTTCTCCCACTCTGTGGGTTGTCTGTTTACTCTGCTGATTATCTCTTTTGCTGTGCAAAAGACTTTTAGTTTAATTAGGCCCCATTTATTTATTTTTGAATGGGTATACAATTTAATTAGGTCCCATTTATTTATTTTTGTTTTTGTTGCATTTGCTTTTGGGGTCTTAGTTATGAATTCTTTGCCTAAGCCAGTGTCTAGAAGAGTTTTTCTGATGTTATCTTTTATAATTTTTTGTGGCTTCAGGTCTTAGATTTAAGTCTTTGATCCATCTTGAGTTGATTTTTGCATAAAGTAATACATGAGGATCCAATTTCATTCTTCTACATGTGGCTTGCCAGTTTTCCAGTTTTCCCAGCACCATTTATTGAATAGGGTTTCTTTTTCCCAATTTATATTTTGTATGCTTTGTTGAAGATCAATTGGCTGTAAGTATTTGATTTGATTTATGGGTTCTGTCCATTGGTCTACATGCATATTTTAATGCCATGCTGTTTTGATGACTATAACCTTGTAAATATAATTTGAAGTCAGGTAATGTGATGCCTCCAGATTTGTTCTTCTTGCTTAGTATTTCTTTGGCTATGTGGGCTCTTTTTTGGTTTCAGATGAATTTTAGGATTGTTTTTTCTAGTTCTCTGAAGAACAATATGGTATTTTGAGGGGAACTGAACAAATCTGTAGATTGCTTTTGGCAGTATGGTCATTTTCACGACATTGATTCTACCTATCCATGAGTATGGGATGTGTTTTTATTTGTTTGTGTCATCAATGATTTCTTTCAGCAGTGTTTTGTAGTTTTCCTCGTAGAACTCTTTCACTTCTTTGGTTAGATATATTTCTTTTTGTTTTTCTTTTCTTTTCTTTTTTTCTTCTTTTCTTTTTCTTTTTTTTTTCTTTTTTTTTTTTTTTTTTTTTTTGCAGCTTCAACCTAGAATTCTATACCCAGTCAAATTATCTATCAAGAATGAGGGCAGAATAAAGGCAGTTCAGATGTACAAGAACTCAGAAATTTTTCCTATAAAGCAGATTTCCTTAGTATTTTTACATGAGAATCTACTCCAACAAGGTGTGGACAGGAAGAGGAAGATAAAGCCAATGTAGGAAGACAATAGAGTGAAGGGCGACAAAGAAAGCCGTGTATCTTCTCTAGAGAACAATTGGCTCAGACTGGAGCACGTATGGAAGATATTTTTGAGTATTTTTAGCTGCTTCTTGTGTCCCTCCAATCCATTATCCATCATATTGCTCAAGCAAACTTGGTAAAGTTTTAGATTACCTTGCCCTCTCTGTTGAAAATCCTTCAATGGATCCCATTAGTTTCAGAATAAAATCCAACTTTCAAGTAGTATAAAAGGCCATTTGTTATTGACCCCTGCCTGCCTCTTCTGTCTCACTTCTTACTACTCTTCTTGGCCACTTCTGCCCTCTGCTCCAATCACTGATATTTTTAGATTTCTTAAAGCTACTTACTGCATCAGAAACGTTGCATCTGCTATTTTCTTTCTACAGAGTAACAATTCTTCCCCTCTTTTCCCTGGAAGATCCTTCCTTGTTTTTCAAAACTCATTATTTCAGGAAATCTTGTGCTCGCCTTGTGCTCACTTCCACCCACCACTGGTTTAAGTTCCCTTGGTTGGTACCTCTGTGGCTTTCCTATATGATTCACCTCTAATACCACTCTGTCTCTACTTAATTATTGATTTATTTATCTGCTCTCCTCACTTAATGATAATCTCCTCGAGAATAGGGACCACTTTTTTTTTTTTGATGGAGTCTCGCTCTGTCATCAGGCTGGAGTGCAGTGGTGTGATCTCAGCTCACTACAACCTCCGCCTCCCAGATTCAAGCGATTCTCCTGCCTCAGCCTCCCGAATAGCTGGGACTACACGTGCGTGCCACCACGCCCAGTTAATTTTTTGTATTTTAGTAGAGATGGGGTTTCTCCATCTTGGCCAGGATGGTCTCGATCTCCTGACCTCATGATCCACCTGTCTCGGCCTCCCAAAGTGCTGGGATTACAGGCATGAGCCACCACGCCCGGCCCAGGAACTGCGTTTTGATTGTTGTTGAAGTTTCTATAATGGCTAAGTACTCCAGCTTCTCTGCAGCCAGACTGCCTGGGTTAAAATCTCAGCTGCATCACTTGCTATGTTATCTTGGGAACCCTCTGAGTCTTGGTTTTCTCACTTGCAAAACTATGCGATATTTTCATCTGCAGCACCTGGCACACAAGATGCTCGACAGTGTGTGAGGAATGAATCCGTGCAGACAGGCAGAGTTCCTGGGGATGGGAACCTCTCAGCAGGGGAGTTAGGATGACTCACTTCAATCAATCTTGATTCTTACCCTCCCTTCCCAAGTAGGAATGCTCAGCTTCCTCCAGAACCGTTATGCTTTGAGGATTGTGAGCAAAATCTGAAAAATGTGGGGTCTTTTCCTTTGCATGTTTATCCATGTGTTAACCTAAGGAATTCAGGATATCTCACAGAGCAAAAATGTCTAAATCATGTCACTGCCTGACAATTCTTATGTGGCTGTCTAAACAGGATGTTAACTTTAGGACCTAAATTTTCCTAGGTGTGAGTATGTTAGTTAAGGATTACCGAGAGGAAGCGAAGGGATCATGTACCCATTCTGCAGGTGAAAAACCTCATGATCTTCTCTAAACTCCCCTGGGCCTAACGACTTACACAACTTGTCAGGAATCTACCAAGAGGAGGTCCCCGGCTCCCAAATGTCCCCTCTTCACCAGCAAAATGAATATTCTCTCTTTTTTTTTTTTTTTTTTTTTTGAGATGGAGTCTTGCTCTGTCGCCCAGGCTGGAGTGCAGTGGTGTGATCTCGGCTCACTGCAACCTCTGCCTCCGGGTTCATGTGATCTCGGCTCACTGCAACCTCTGCCTCCGGGTTCAAGTGATTCTCCTGCCTCAGCCTTCCCAAGTAGCTGGGACTACAGGCGCCACGCCACCATGCCTGGCTACTTTTTTGTATTTTTATTAGAGATGGGGTTTCACCATGTTGGCCAGGCTGGTTTTGAACTCCTAACCTCAGATGATCTGTCCACCTCAGCCTCCCAAAGTGCTGGGATTACAGGCGTGAGCCACCACGCCCAGCCGAATATTCTCTTTTTAGTCTTATGGGGGAGGCAGCATTCCTGTGGGGCTGCTCTACTTGGAATGGGTTTCTAGAAGTAAGAAAGTTGATTCTTCTCAATGTGTTCACAAGTTTCAGAGCATAGTCAAGAATGAATCGTACCATCTATGTTTCCTCCCATGTTACCTATTCCTGCAAGCAATCATTTTCCAGGAGAAAGAAATAGTGGAGTTCAGACTGAGCTAGCTGACCATCAGGCCTTCCTCACCCTCTCAACAGAGAGAGTAATCAGATATCAGAGTGGGCTCCAACTCTGAAGCTTTGATGGTTAATGCTTCCAATCTGAGCTTCTCCAATTCTCTTTTTCTTTTTTCATCTCCCTATCCTATACTCAGGGACCCCTTTGTCACACAGGTAGATCTGTGGACGACAGCTTGGATCACAAAGTGGGGACAATCCATTTTCTAGAAAGTATATTGAGTGCAACATTGATTCAGAGTGCAATACCCTGAATTCAAGGTTGCGTTTCAGCTTTTCTCTATTCAAGATGCTGTAAAGATGGTCCCTTCTTGTAGAGGGCTTATGGTCAAGCAGGTCAAGCCAATGCATGTCAAGAAAGAGCTCCGAATGCAGGTTAAGTAGCTTTTCTTCTCCACGAGTTATTAAACTTGAGGCTGGCCAAGGGCTGCCAGCTATGGGCAGGAGGTGCAATACCCACGTTTACATATATGCTGCTAAGTTTTGATCAACATATAAAAATTAGTTTTCTTACAAATGATTACACTCTTCCCTGTCAAACTGAACACTGAGGTTCTATGCCTCAAAATAGTTTAGGTCCAACTTACTTTAAGATCTAGATGGCACAGGGCAAGGTTCCATCAAGCCATTGCCAAGGAAAGCAAGGGAGTTTGCTGAAGCATTCAAGAACTTTGCCTTGATTACATAAGAGATGTGTTCAGGGCAGGAACGCAATGACTTGGGGGGCAAACCAGGAAGTAGTGGGTTCGTTGCTAAGGCTTTTGGACCCTGAAGACATTGTCGTGCTGTAGTTGTGATGGTGTTGTCATAATTGCTGGCTTGTTTCCTGTGGCTTTGAGTCTTTTGATCCCTCCAAGCATGCCAGCAAAAATTCTAGTGTTTGAAAAAGCTAAGAGCTATTGTATTATCTACTTATTTCCTGAAGTCCCCCCCGCAGTAGAGTTGCCAGGTAGAATTTAGGACATCCAGTTAAATTAGAATTTCAGATAAACAACGAGTAGGTTTTATTTTTATTTTTATTTTTTTTAGCATAAGTATGTCCCATGCGATATTTTAGCTAAAATTCAAATTTAACTTTAAGCCCTTTTTTTTTTTTTTTTTTTGAGACAGAATCTTGCTCTGTCGCCCAGGCTGGAGTGCAGTGGTGTGATCTCAGCTCACTGCAACCTCCACCTCCTGGGTTCAAACGATTCTTCTGCCTCAGCCTCCCCAGCAGCTGGGACTACAGGCGCCCACCACCACGCCCAGCTAATTTTTGTATTTTTAGTAGAGACGGGGATTTACCATATTGGCCATGCTGGTCACGAACTCCTGACCTCGTGATCCACCCACCTGGGCCTCCCAAAGTGCTGGGATTACAGGTGTGAGCCACTGCACCTGGCCCCTGGAAGTCTTGTATTTTGATTTGGTCAATCTGGCAGCCCTACCTCTGATTCCCTTCTAGTTATTGCAAAGTGACAAATGCAGCTCCGCTCCTGGGCTAATGTTTTGTAATGTGCACCATCTAGTGGTGACATGAACAGAAGGAAACTTCAGAAACAACCTGAAACCGTGATGGGATAAAGCTGAAAAGAAAGAACTATAATTTTAAAAATTATTTAAAAACTTTTTTCGGCCAGGCGCGGTGGCTCCCGCCTGTAATCCCAGCACTTTGGGAGGCCGAGGCGGGCGGATCACGAGGTCAGGAGATGGAGACCATCCTGGCTAACACGGTGAAACCCTGTCTCTACTAAAAATACAAAAAAAAAAGTTAGCCGGGCGTGGTGGTGGGCACCTGTAGTCCCAGCTACTCGGGAGGCTGAGGCAGGAGAATGGCGTGAACCTGAGAGGCGGAGCTTGCAGTGAGCCGAGATTGTGCCACTGCACTGCAGCCTGGGCGACAGAGCAAGACTCTGTCTCAAAAAAAAAAAAAAAAAAAAAATTCTAATTTTCTTCTTTGGATGTGGTGTTTGTGATGAGACCAGTAGTTTAGATTGTCCAGTGAATATTTGAAATCCCTTAAGTCATCAAGTGTTTAAACAGCCACACCCACCTGGCTGAGGCCTTGGGCTCCTCTATTAAATGCTAATGCACAGTGTTGGCCTTGATCTATTGTGGTTCCTAGTGCTCCAAGTGATTATTTTACAATAAGCACGTGGTGTCCAGCAGTATCTATCAAGTACAATAAATGTCGGGTTGGTGCAATTCTGTTAAACCCAACTGGGCCTGGAGGAAGACACAAGAAGCAAGTATTTCCTGTTTACTATTTTACTGGGGTTGGGAGGATGGTTAAGAGCTCAAGGAATTGGCACCCCCTAATGGATCTCCCTCTGGCTGCACACTGGAACTACCTGGGGTGTTTGTAAGACATACCAATACCTGGACCTTACCCCCAGAGATGTGGATGTCATTGGTTTGTAGTGGGAATCAGGCTTGGTTTTTTTTTTTGTTTGTTTTTCTTTTAAGTTTTCCAGAAAACTTTTTTTTTTTTTTTTAAATTTGAGACGGAGTCTCGCTCTTGTTGCCCAGTCTGGAGTGCAATGGCGCTATCCCGACTCACTGCAACCTCCACCTCCTGGGTTCAAGCGATTCTCTTGCCTCAGCCTCCCAAGTAGCTGGGATTACAGGTGCCCACCACCATGCCCTGCTAATTTTTGTATTTTTGGTAGAGATGGGGTTTCACCATGTTGGCCAGGCTGGTCTCGAGTTCCTAACCTCAGGTGATCCGCCCGCCTTGGCCTCCCAAAGTGCTGGGATTACAGAAGTGAGCCACCACACCCAGCCCAGAAAACTTTTAAATGAAGCCAGGGTTAAAATGCCTATTAGCAGAAATGGCCCAGACTGAAAAAAGGTGTGATCTTTGAACAAGTGCCTTAATTCCTCTGAGTCTCAGTTTTCTCATTGGTAAACAGGGAGAATTTAACCAACCTGCTAGGAACCTTAGAGAGAGTAAATGTAACACATGCAAGGCATTTAGCCTATAACTAGCACTGAGTAAATGCTGTTCTTCTTCTAGACAGGAGGCTAAGGGGGTAGATTCCTACCACTCTGGAGGAGAGAATCCAGATCTGGGATGAGCTACAATCTGGTCATAGGGGCCAAATGTTATAGCAGAGAGAAGGGGTATGTTAAGTTCTGCTAACTACCCAGGCCTAGGTGTGAATGGGGCTTCACGGTCTTGACAAGGAAGGCAGGGCCTTAGTGAATTACAATCATCTATTGTAATAGTAAGGTTCTGCCTATAAAAGTGGAAAATATAGACAGCATGGAGCAACATAAAAAAGAAAATATAGGCCAGGCGCAGTGGCTCATGCCTGTAACCCCAGCACTTTGGGAAGCCAAGTTGGTTGGATCATGAAGTCAAGGATGAAGACCATCCTGGCCAACATGGTGAAACTCTGTCTCTACTAAAAACTACAAAAAATTAGCTTGGCATGGTGGCGCACGCCTGTAATCCCAGCTACTCAGGAGGCTGAGGCAGGAGAATCACTTGAACTCGGGAGGTAGGGGTTGCAGTGAGCCGAGATCGCGCCACTGAACTCCATCCTGGCGACAGAGTGAGACTGTCTCACAGAAAAAAAAAGAAAATATAAACTAACTTAGCTCCAGAGAGAGCCACTATGAATATTTGATAGTATTTATTTCCAGCACTTTTCTCTCTGTAGTTTCTGCTTCCCCAAATTGTCATATTTTATACTTAATTTTGTAAACTGATTCTCCCCACTAGTTTATCATTGTATCAGGATCATCTTCCAATGTCATTAAGTATCTTTTGAAACACAATTTTCAGCGGCTGCATAATATTGTGTTATGTCAGTGGTTCTCAAGCTTGAGTGTGCATCAGAGCCACCTGGTGAGCTCCTTCAAACAGATTTCTGGGCCTACCTCCAACACTGTTGACTCAGCAGGTCTGGGGTGGGGCTCTGAGATTCGGCATCTCTGACACGTTCCCAGGTGCTGCTGCTGGTGTTGGTCCAGGGATCACACTTTGAGAACCTCTTGTTTATAATCTGCTTCCTTGTCTGCCACCCACTCCAAATGCAGGGGGTGGGGCCAGGGACCATGACTTAAACACCCCTGAATTGAATGCCCTGTGGCTAAAGCAGAGCCTGTCACATAGTGCCCTTCTGAGTCCAGGGTCCTGAAGCCAGCCTGCTGAGGAAGAGGAATGACATCTACCCTCTGTGGCCCTGAGGCTGACTGGGGCTCTATGAATGGAAGTAGCAGGGAAACTGAGTTTGGTTCTGCTGTTTCTAGCAGTCAGCAACAGAACCTACGAATGCCACGTTCAGCGATGCATTCTCTGTTACCAGAGATATTTCAGCACAGGTGGTGATGGCTCGGGAATTTTGCAGTATTTGAGGGTGGGTAAGAAACTCCACTGTCCACTTCAACCTTAAGTTTCTGTCAGTCTGAGTTCATCAAAGCAAAAGAATGGTGAATCATTTCTGGAGACTTCATGGGAATGGGGATTGGACCCTAAAGGGTGGGCAGGATTTAGAAGGCAGACAAGGAGAAGACAACCTCCAAATAGTGTTTGGTCACTGGTGGTGGTGGGGTTGGGGGAGCGGGGTTGTGGGGAAGCATGTGCTAATTGATGAGTTAGGTAAATCAAACTTGGTAAACCTGGTTCCTAGAACTCCTATGTGTAATGCATCGCCCTTGATTTTCCAGAGAAATTCAAAAGTTAGTAGCTAGCCAAGATCAGAGCTATTTGGTGCAGAGCAGTTGCTATTGCTACCACTTATTCTCCCTCTCCCTCCTTCCCCCTCTTCCTCCTTCTTCTGTTGAAACCATGTGAGTTTCTACTTCTATCAGGTGTTAAAGTAGTGCATTCCTGCAAAGCTGACATTTTAATAAGAAATAAAGATTGAAATCAGATTTCACGTGAAGTTTGAGACATTTTAGGGCCAAAATCTCCTTCTCAGCCTATCCACTGCGGCTCATTGGTGCTTTGTTGTATTTTGTTTTGTTTTACAGACAAGGCTGAAAGGCAGGGGAGTGGATGTCTAAAATCCGGTGTCTGATGTTCTGTGATTTTATCACAACGTACTCATTACAAAACGGCATAGAAACGCTATTTGCAATTTAGTCCAGGATAAAGATCCAGGGCTCAATTTGTTCTTTGAATAGGTTTTAGAATACACTGGAGGATTAGAGACAGTTTTTTGATGAAAAATTTATTTCCAAATACTTTCCAAATTTACAAGGTATAATTATAATAGTAACAGCAACAATGAAAAACAAGTCCTGCAGTTTACTGTCTCTTATTTGCCAGACCTTAATCAGGATGCTTTGACACCCATAATCTTTGTAATCTAAAAATGACACAGTGAGGTGGGCACTATATCCTCTTGTTACACATGAGGCTCAGAGTTTACCTTCCTAAGCTGACATAGCTGGGCTGTTACTACATCCAGCCTTGTGCGCCTACAAGTCCTTTGCGTTTCCACTTCTGATCTGCCAAGACTGCAGTGCTTAGTTGGGTAGATTTCTTTCCCCCGCTAAGCTCACTTTTGTGATCAAGAGCTCTCTGCTGAGTCCTTTCTGTATCTGTGACAGTTTCCAGCCAGAGCTGCCCAGTATTTTTAGGTACTTGAAACTAGATTAAAAAAATATTCACTTCCTTCTGGGTGGCTCAGGAAGTCAAAAAGCAGTTTTCATTTTTTTTTTTGTTTAGTAGCACTTAGCTTTGAGTAGTCAGGTCACCTGGGGGTCTTACTGGGGACTTGATGACCTTAAAGGCTAGATCTAAGGACCTATGAAGCACTCCCGCTTGAAAGGAGGAAGAAGAAAACACACAACCATTTGTAGGAGGAATAGTGGAGATGGACCAACCCAGAAACTGTATTTCAGAATAAATTCATTCCTTTGTGCTTCAAGGCCCCTCATACTGATATGATGTCACCAAAGCTGCTCCAGGGCTGTGACCTGCTAGTCATGGCCCTGGGGCACATCCCTTTGCTCTCCTTCTCAGCATACTGCAGCAGCAGAGGTAGGGTGTTAGGGGGTGTGCAGATTCATCCCTTTCTCTAGACTATGAGTTCTTGGGATAGGGTAGACCACATTTCCCCAAGGAGTTTGTGGGTATTCAAGAGAAAGTGGTTGCCGAGCACAGGGAATGGGCAGTGGGCTAGAAGCAGCCACCTTTTCAGGGCTTTGCCTGGGGACTTGGAACTGCCTGGATTAGTCACTAGGGAGAGTTTTCAAAATCTTTATGGTGTCATGATTTGTTAAATCTTGTCCACATCAGAGCCTGTGGTTTTTCTGAATGCCTTAGAAAGTTAGCCTCTCTGGCCAAGTGCAGTGGCTCACACCTGTAATCCAAGCACTTTGGGAGGCCAAGGTGGGAGGATTGCTTGAGGCTGAGAGTTCGAGACCAGCCTGGGCAGCATAGAGAGATCTCATCTCTACAAAAATAAAAAAGACTGGGCGCGGTGGTGCATGTCTGTAGTCCCCACTGCTGCGGATGCTTGAGTTTGAGGCTGCAGTAAGCTATGAAGGCACCACTGCACTCCAGGTTGGGCATCAGGGCAAGATTCTGTCTCAAAACTAAATAAATAAATAAGTAAATAAATAAATAAATAAATACAGTTAGCCTCTCCTCTGTGGCCCCAGAGCTCCTGTACATATACTTGTCTCAAGACTTCACATACTGACTCCTTCATTCAGTGAGTGCTTACTGAGATCCTACCAGGTGCTGGGCACAAGAATGAACAAGACACTTATGGCTCCTACCCCCATAGAGTTTACAGACAAGGGGAGAGGCTTATAGTCACCTGGACCGAAATGGTGCCCCCAGTACACTGTGAGCTCCTTGAAGGTACAGATCGGGTTGTATTGAGTTTTGCAAATTTTCATTTATTTTATTTTAAACTTTATTATGTAATTTACATGCCATAAAATTCACCATTTTAAAGTGTACAATTCAGTGCTTTTAATATATTCACAAGGTTGTGCAACCATCACTTCTGTCTAATTCTGGGACATTTTCATTGCCCCAAAAAGAAACCCTATGACCGTGAGCAGCTGCTCCTGTTTCTCCTCCCCAGTCCCCAACAGATAAGATGGTAATCACTCATCTATTTGCTATTCTATGGATTTGCCTTTGGACATTTCATATCTGCATATGGACATTTCATATAAATGGAACCATGCAATATGTGGTCTCTTTGGTGGACTTACTTTAACTTAGCATAATGTCTCCAAGCTCTTCCATGTTATAGAATGTATTACTACTTAATTTCTTTTTATGGCCCAATATCCCATTGAATCCATTGCATAGAGATACTACAGTTATCCATTTATCAGTTGATGAATGGTTCTACTTACTTTTTTCTTTTTGAGGCAGGGTCTCATTCTGTCACCAAGGTTGGAGTGCAGTGCTCCAATCACAGCTCACTGCGGCCTCTACTTCCTGGGCTCAGGTGATCCTCCCACGTCAGCCTTCCAAGTAGTGGGGACTACAAGCACACGACACCATGCCCAGCTAATTTTTTGTATTTTTAGTAGAGATGGGGTCGCATCATGTTGCTTAGGCTGGTCTCCAATTCCTGGGCTCAAGCAATCCACCTGCCTAGGCCTCTCAGTGAAGGGATTACAGGTGTGAGCCACCACACCTGACTGGTTCTATTTACTTTCGTATTTTGTCCCTTAATATCTTTCTCCCTCCCTCTTGCCCTTCCTTCTTTCCTTCCTCTCTTCTCTAGTCCTCCTTCCTTCCCTCTCTCATTCTTTCTTTCCTCTTTCAAATACTTGTTATTCCACACCTACCATGTTATGGACACTGTAATGAACCTTCTGGTAAAGGTTCCAGACTAAAGAAAACGAAAAAGCACCATTTTAAAAAAGTTTTAAATAAATGCTTTGTTTTAAAATAGTTTTAGATTTACAGAAAAGGGCCGGGTGCGGTGGCTGACGCCTGTAATCCCCACACTTTGGGAGGCCGAGGTGGGTGGATCAACTGAGGTCAGGAGTTCGAGACCAGCCTGGCCAACATAGTGAAACCCCATCCTTACTAAAAATACAAAAATTAGCCAGGCGTGGTGGCGGGCACCTGTAATCCCAGCTACTTGGGAGACTGAGGCAAGAGAATCGCTTGAACCTGGGAAGCAGAGGTTGCAGTGAGCTGAGATTGTGCCATTGCACTTCAGCCTGGGTGACAAGAACGAAACTCTGTCTTTTTAAAGTAACTCTCTTTTTTAAGAAACTCTCGGCCGGGAGCAGTGGCTCACGCCTATAATCCCAGCACTTTGGGAGGCCGAGGCGGCTGGATCATGAGGTCAGGAGATCAAGACCATCCTGGCTAACACGGTGAAACCCTGTCTCTACTAAAAATACAAAAAATTAGCCAGGCGTGGTGGTGGGCGCCTGTAGTCCCAGCTACTTGGGAGGCTGAGGCAGGAGAATTGCTTGAACCCTGGAGGCGGAGCTTGCAGTGAGCTGAGATCGCGCCACTGCACTCCAGCCGGGGCGACAGAGCAAGACTCCATCTCAAAAAAAAAAAAAAAGATTTACAGAAAAGATGCAACAGGAGTACAGAGTTTGTGTATCTCATCCCAAGTTTCCCCTATTGTTAACATTTTACATTACTCTAGACAAGTTCAGGGTGGTGTGGCCATAGACTTACATTACTGTAGTCCATTTGTTGCAACTAAGGAGCCAGCATTGTTACACTACTGTTAACTAAACTCTACACTTTATTCATATTCCACTAATTTTTCCTAATGACTTTTTCCTATTCCTGGATCCCATCCAGGGTGCCACATTGCACTCAATCATCGTGTCTCCTTAGCCCCCCAGTCTGTGACAGTTTCTCAGGCTTTCCTTGGCTTTGGTGACCGTGACAGTTTTGAGTAGTAGGGGTGAAGTTCTTTGTAGAACATCCATTGCTTTGGGTTGTTCTGATGTTTTTCTCCTGGTTAGGCTGGGGTTACGGTTTTCTGGGGGAGGACCACCCTAGAGGTGAATAAAGGCACCATTTTTAAATTGCTGTGAGGTGCCCTGAACTAAGAAGTGAGACCAAATCTACCAGGGCTATTCAGAAAAAAATCAGAGAAATCTTACTTTTGAGGTCTTTAAATGGTAGTGGTGGGGTATAGAAGGATTCCTTGGAAATTTTTTCCTAAGGAAGTTGTTTGTTGCCTATCATCATGGTGGTGACTAAATGAGCCTTTATCTGACATATAGACAAGATTTGACATTTGTTCTTTTCCTCCCCATTGGCTCTAGAGTGTGGCCTTGGGTGAGTCAAGCCTTCTTCCTTGGCCTCTATAGAATTAGGAAGTTGGAGCTAATGACCTTGGAGGCCTCTTTCCACTGTAATGGCTTATGCTATAATAGGTGGCCCATAACTCCCCTCAACATCTGTGAATTCCAAAGTTGGGCTCCCCTCTGCTCCTCTATCAGTCCAGGCTGTTTGTATTCAGGTGACATGTGCCCCTAGGGACGTGGCCCACCCCAACCCCCTTTTCAAAGCCTTCCTTGCAGACAAACACACACACAAAAACAAGCCCTAGATATTTGCAGCATGGATCTCCACTTCGAGGCACTCAGTGAACATTCCAGGGCAGCAGTGCCCAGAGCCGGACCCCTGCCCTGGCCATCCCTGCAGCCCTGCTGACACAGCACAAGAGCCAGCATGGCCAGGGTCACAGGCAGACCTACACGCCACACCATGCTGGAGGCTCTTTCACCCCAAGGGGCTGTTTTGGTTCAGCAGCTCCTGTGTCTTGAATAAGTTAATCACTGATGACAAGAGATTAATTTATAACCGGACAGCAGACAAGATAGTTCGGGCTTTGGCGAGGTGGCACTGAACTGTGGCGCAGGGCATTGCTCAAAAGACACCTGGGTCTGCAGCTTGGTGCAGAGGCTGGGAACTTCAGATCCTCACCGGTTCCCCAGAGGCCACTTGGTCCAAAGAGAGGAAACACGTGCTGAGGACTTCTGTTTCCTCTCTCCAGCACATTTACTTGTAGAAAACATGTCCAGGCAACAGGCAGGCCCGTTAGAAAAGTCCAGTTAAGAGAGAGCACCGGCATGCCAACCCAGCCCAGGCCCATTGGAGGAAGAGGGAGAGGGGTGGGGAGAGAGGAAGTCATGGAAAGATGTGGAAGGATAGATGGGAGCCTGGGGTGAGAGCTCATTCCTACAGCCTGAGTCACCCAGCGTGTGGATTCTCCCCTCCAGCTCAGGCAGGGCTCAGGCAGGTCTTTGAGGATCTGCCCTCCCATCCCACAGGCATCCTCTCTGTTGTTTCTAACGTTAACCTCCTCATTCTGGGCTCAAAAAAGAAAAAAGATGGAAGTGCAGCATGATGTGCAGGCCTCTCTGGGGCCTGACCTTCATGCTCCAGATACTGCTTTTATATTAAGTAAGGTGACCCTTCTCTGCCACACTGGAGATGCGTGGCTGTAGATATTGGCTTTAGGGACTACTATTTCTGCCAGCTTCAGCAGTCTCCTATATCCAGCCAGGATAGTTTAGAGTTCTTAAATCAGGCCTATTTATCAAAGAAGTCCATGGCAATACTTCCCTGATGGCCATGGGACCTCAGGAGCCCACAGTCTAACTAGAGAAAGAACATGAGAAAGAGGGAGACAGGAAATGGGACTGAAAATAGGATGGAAGCTGCATGAAAAATGGGGGTGCAGAGGAACTCCTCTGGGGACTGCCAAAATATGGGCTTCTTACCTAAAAGGGCTCTGGGAGCCCAGCTGAGTGGTGGGTGACTTACGCTTGATCGTCCCCCAGGAATGGATTCTTGTCATTTGGATTCAACCCTGCTGCCCTGTCCCCATTTGTTCACCCCATGTGCACCAATGTCTCTGTCTCTGTCTTTGTTTATGTCATTCCCTTGACCCAGAATGCCCTTCCCAGCCATCAAGACCTGGCTGGGACATCATTTGTGCTGGAAAGCCTTCCACAGATCTTTATGTGGGACCTCCTTCTCTTTGGTCCCCGTGCTTCTTTGTATCTATTGCAACAGTATCTGTTGGTTCTGATAGGCAGATTCGTGTCACCTGGGGGACCTTGTTAAATACACAAATCCTAGCCCTGAATCACAATCTCTTGGGGTGGGTTTTGGGAAGCTGCTTTCATTGGTCTTCATATGTGTTTTGAATGCCTAGCCAGGGTTGGATATGTCTTTTCTGGACTGTGTCTCCTGGGGGTGGGCACAGAACTTACATCATGGTGACCACATGTCACTGTGCCCAGACAGCCTCCTAGGCCTGGCAAAAAGGGATGCAGAGTGCAAGGCCCACACCCTTTAATTCACACCATTTTAATTCATTCATAGTTCCTGCTTCATGCCCCAGACACTATGCTGGGTCCTGGGGATACAAGAGCAAAACCCAACATAGTTTGCCTTCACACGGCTTCCAGTCTAACGGGGGGAGAATAGAGGTGACTCAAATTCCCTACACCCACATAATTACAAAGTGCAGCTTGAGTGTTGTAAAGGAAAAACAAAGGTGCTCAGAGAACCTGCAATGGGGACTCTGATGTAGGCTGGGAGGTCAGGGAAGGCTGAGGAGAGCCCGAAAGGAGGGGCAGTAAAGGAGGGGAGGGGCTGGAAACAGTCTCTTACTGGGGTCTTCTCAGAACTGTGTTCATTTAGGCCAGCTGGGAGGCATTAGGGTGTAAGCTCCTCTACAGACACCCAAGATCGTTTCCCCATCTTCTCCCCACGCCTGCCCCGCCACCCAGCCTTCACTTCTGCTTTCCTGCCATCTGCTCTTGCTGTGAGCCTTTGGGAGCTGTTGTGTTTGTTAACAAAGGAAAGACCCATTTTTCCATGCTGAGTGGCTGCCTGCTAGCATATACAGTGCCTCTACTGAATTACCAAAAGGTGCACCTCCATTTGAACTGACCTAACCTTGCACTGAACACATGACTTGGCCGGTGGAGCTCAGGCTGGATTTAAGCAGCTACTCCTGCCTCCCCTACCCACTTTTGGCCCAGTGCCCTTGTGCAGTGAACAACTTGGACAACCTTCTGTAGTGGCCCTGCTGCAGTCTCCTCTTAGGCAGAAAGTTCTGGCTTCTTGGCTCACCCTCACAGCTAGAAGATTCCTTTATCCCAGAAGGAGATAATTACATCTTCTATGGCATAAATCTGTTTGGACATTTAGAGAAGAATTTATATGTATTTTCTGAAGGACTGGGTGTTTTTCTGATCTAAATTGAAATGATGATTCTTTTAAATATGATCCAAGAGAGTCCTTTCATGTGGTAATTCACACACACTCTGGCTGATAAGCCCTAGACTTGGCAAAAGGTTCAAAGCAGAAACTGGGTTCAGATGAGGCACAGGGATACTTTTTGATCTGATTTTCTTCTAGCCACTGACATTGGGAGAATTTTGGCCTCTGAGTGGCAGTGGGCCCCAAAAAGCCTGGTAAAGTAAGATCTTTTTTTTCTTTCTTTTTTTTTTTTTTTCTTTTTTGAGACAGTCTTGCCCTGTCATCCAGGCTGGAGCACAATAGTGCAGTCTCGGCTCACTGCAACCTCTGACTCCCAGGTTCAAGTGATTCTCCTGCCTCAGCCTCCTGAGTAGCTGGGATTACAGGTGCACACCACCATGCTTGGCTAATTTTTTCTTTCTTTTTTTTTTTTTTTTGTATCTTTAGTAGAGACGGGATTTCACCATGTTTGTTAGGCTGGTCTCGAACTCCTGACCTCGTGATCCACCCGCCTCGGCCTCCCAAAGTGCTGGGATTACAGGCTTTAGCCATCGCGCTGGGCCAAAATAAGATCTTTTTAAAGAAAGTCTGAAATGCCTAGAAAGAGTAGAGGAGTCCTTACTACACTTGGCTTTAGAAAAAGAAGCCTTTTCTGGGAGAAGATAACTCTCATCACACACTAAGCAAGTCAGAGGATCTGAGCTGGAGTGGCCCTTGAGAGGTATCTCATCTAGATCCTTCTTTTTACCCTTTGGAAAACTGAGGCTCAGAGAGAGGAAGTGGATTGGCTTAGGTCCCACAGTGAGTGGCAGAGCCAGGATCACACCTGACGGGTGCTTGCTTCTGCACCTGAACCTTGAGGGTCGCTGTTCCCCCACATAGTAGTGCCAACAGGGTCCCCTATGAGGATGGTGCAAGCTCAAAGGGTGGCTGTGTGTGGGAATGGTGAGAAGGGGACATCATCTAGGACCATAAATCATGGTGTCTCCTCAAGCCCAGTGTGGCCCCTCCTCTTCCAGATACAGAAAGCTGCTTCTGCTACTTAAGGGACAGGCATCATCTTCAAGAGGTAACACTAGGAATAGAATGAGAACTGGGAGTGGTGGAAGCGGAAGACAGAAGCTGATCTTATGGACACAGAAGAGTATGTAAGTGAATCACAGGCCATATCACAGTTTCATCAGTGATTATAATAATTGGTTTTGGGCTGGGGGAGTATTGGTTGTCAAAGTGACATCCTCTTTTAGGTGCCATATTTTTCCATGTCTGACGTCGGAAAAAGCACTTTCAGTTGTGAGGATAAGATGAGCTCACAGGTGCTCAGGAAATGGCAGCATCTCTTGAGAGATTCTGTTAAGGAAAGTGGAGGAGGAAGGGAACTAGATATAAATCTTCTCCTTTAATACTTTCAGGAGGTATGGTTCTCCTTATCTCACTGAAAAGGAAACAGGGCAAATTTCCTGCCCAAGGTCACACAGCCCAAATGTAGGGAAGCTCAGCTCTTCTGATTCTGGGCCATTCCCCCCACTTCACCTTGCAGTGCCATGCTAGCTTCTCTTAGACTTACCGTTAATTTCCATCAGTTTCAGCTGACTCATCCTTTCCTCCCAGGCCCTGAGACCACACCCAGGGTTGTTTGTTTTTAACTCTAAGATCATCCTGTTTTCCATAGGCCTGAGCTCCATCAGCAAGCCAGGACCCTCTTCTGATCCATACTCCAAAGTCAGCATAAACATCTCCAGCCAAAGCTGTTCCTTGTTCTGTCAGTAACACAGTTCCCGAGGAGACCAGGGCCTCTTTCCTTCCGTTGTCTCCTGGTTGCTCTGCTTCTGGTGACGAAACAGGGGCAGCGTCAAATGAAGAACATCATCTGTCCTACAGACTAGGCAACTGTGAATTTTTCATCAATCCTGATTTCTCTAATGAATTGCAACATGCTCTAACTCCAACATTCAAAATTCAACATTTCCATTCCCTATTTGTTAAGGGTGCAGGTGAATATGAAAAGGCAAATTCAAAAGGTGAACTTTCCTATCTCTGAAGGGCACATGCAGGAGCCTGAACCCGGCTGGGAGCCAGGAGACCTGCATTTTGGTCCTGACTCCCTCCCTGCTGCCTGTGTGCTCTTGGGCAAGTTGCTTAATCATTCTGGGTTTACGTGCTTGTTAAGGACTCTTTCAGTGCAAATATTTTATAATTATAAACACTGAGAAGATCCTGTCAATAATGTAGTTCCTTTGTCATGCTAAATGTCACACATGCATCATGGCCTATGATACCTGATGAGTTTAGAATTTTTTCTTGATTGGAACAGGGATGGGTGTTTAAAACAAAAGACTTGAGTCCTTTCCAGCTGGGGCCCTGAGTCTGTGGGTTTGGTAAGTCAATTAGGCTGCAGAGTCACAAGTAGTTTACCTTGTCAAAATACTAGCCATTTGTTTAAAATCAAATCCTCAAGATGGAGTGGTATTTCCAAACTCCACTGAGTTGGAGCCTCAGAACTAGAGAACTGGATAATGGAGTTAGTCCAGCACATACTTCTGCTTTGCTAATACCTTCCGTTTTTGTCTAGTACCCCTTGGTAGTGAAATATCTGTTCTGGGTCTTTCCAAGGACAACCACATCCGAGTGGGGAGAAGGCCGACATTCAGGGTGCTGGAAGGGTGGGGTGGCATGATTCAGATCAACAGGGCTGACTTTCCACTGTTTCACCTCACTTGCACTGTAGCCACCAGTTCTGGGACTCCTCAGTTGACAGATGTGGAGACCCAGAGTCAAGGAATGATGTCCCCTAGGACCCCTGGGGAATTTGACACAACCACAGTCAGCACCTGGCTGCCATCAGCCTAAGGCTGTCACTCGAGAGGGCTTCCTCTCCAGATGAATACAAGCTGACTTGAAGGGTAAAAGAGTCTAAAAAACATACGATTATCTTAAGAACAACTTTAACACATGTAAATAAAGACCCATAGATTTTTATTTCTATTTTCAGTCAAACACATATCAAAACCCGGCATGTTTTCAAACACCACGGCGGATACTTGATTTGTATTTCCTGAAGCCACCCCAGTGAGCCACTCTGAAATAAATTAAAAAGAATGGTCAAGGCTGAATGCACACTGAGGTTTCCATGTGCTCAGCTCAGCAGATTCAGGTATGACCCCTACAGAGCTTGGACTCTGAACTGGCACTGACATTCTCTACGCTCAGCGACCATTTCACACAATGAATTCATCTGTGTAATTGTGCCTAGCTGTCCCCAGATTAACTCCATGTTTGCATGAAGATCAAAATGCTTACTTTTCAAAGTTTGGTTTTCTTCCATTTCTGTCTTATCTGGGGAGGCATTCATGCTTGGAATTTCCTGGGCTTTTCTTTTTTAAATCTCATGGAGAGACTGAGAGTGTTAAGGGGGAAAGAGTAGCAGGCAGGGGCAGGGGGCTTGCCTTTTATTGTTCTTTTTTTGAAACAACAATTGGCAATTTTTCTTCACTGTTTTAGTGTTCTCTTGTTAAAGACAACCCAGACCTCAGAGTAATAGCATTCTTGCTTGCCCCCACCCCTAAATCCTACCTTAGTCAGAACATGAGCTAGAATTCTGCATCATTAAAAAAAAATTCAGCCGAGGCAGGTAGATCATGAGGTCAGGAGTTCGAGACCAGCCTGGCCAACATAGTGAAACACCGTCTCTACTAAAAATACAAAAACTAGCCAAGTGTGGTGGCACGTACCTGTAGTCCCAGCTACTTGGGAGGCTGAGTCTGGAGAATCGCTTGAACCCGGGAGGCAGATGTTGCAGTGAGCCGAGATTGTGCCATTGCACTCCAGCCTGGGTGACAAGCGAGACTTCATCTCAAAAAAAAAAAAAAAAATTCGATTGGGTTGTCAGTTACATAAAGAGTGCACGACTGAAGTACCTACCTTGATAAGTACTTATGTCTGCTTTGCTTATACCTTCCGTTTTTGTCTAGTACCACTTGGTGATGAAACGTCTGTTCTGGGTCTTTCCAAGGACAACCACATCTGAGTGGGAAGAAGGCTGACATTTGGGGCGCTGGTAAGGTGGGGTGGCATGATTCAAATCAGCAGGGCTGACTTTCCACTGTTTCACCTCACTTGAGCTGTTCTAGGAGAAATATTGGAAGGCATGCTGCACCTTTCTTCACAATGGGATCGGCAGGTGAAAGCAAGACATTTGAATGGAGTGGAGTGTTTCACTTAATCATTAGCACTGCTGACATCAATAAAAAACAAATAATGCATATCATCAGCATGAGCACCTACAGTGAGTGGAAAGGAGGCCAGGTTCTTAGTAAGCTTTATGATGAGGTAGGGGACAGATGGGATTCAAAGCGGAGCCGAGGAAGCAGTGTGGCTTGTATTTCAGCTGCAGCGTACAATTATTTTTGTGGTCGAAGAATCCAAACTGCGCCAGCTATTTCAAAACAACATCAGGAGGGCAGAGGTGTGTTTTCCAGCATCCCCAATGGGTGCCAGGAGACAGCCTTGAGAACAAACACATCTTTTCTTGAAATAGGAAGCCAACTATTTAGCTTATGCAAGTAATACTATAAAAAGGCATTGTAAGTTGACTTGCAGCTCCTGAGCTTTGGACCAACCTCTAGACTTGTTTCAAAAGGCTCTTTCTGGAGGAAGAAAAGTCCTGAGGCTCTCAGGTCAAGCCCTGGCTCCAACAACAATTTAAATCAAGTAAAAGCCTCCTTCGCCTATAGGTTGAACCAGCCCAGGCAAACACCATTAAGACAGCTTCCAAACAAAGATGACAATATTACCATTTCAGCCTGAACCTGGTTTCAAAATTCATTTTGTGAAATGTTTAAAGTTGGACAAGCCAAGCAGAACTATAGCATTAATGAGACCCTAATGAAAATTCATGCATTCAACTCATTCATTCAACAAATATTGAGTGGGATGTGCCAATATCTATTGACTGGGAATGTGTAGTATGACTCCCTGGCATCATTAAATGTGAATGTGAATGCAAGAGCAGCTGGTATGGTTGTGCTTTCTTCACAAATTTTGTTCAGCTACACAGGATCAGGTGCCAAATAAGCAGAGTTGGATTTAACCAGGGCTGTGGTTTCGGCAAAGCAGCGTGAAGTGAAGGAAGAGAGAGTTGAGGATATGCAAGGAAGTGATGGAGATGAATAATTATGGGATTGAAAAGTGAATTTTATTTTATGTTTTTGAGACAGGATCTCTCTCTGTCATCCAGGCTAGAGTGCAGTAGCGGGAATATGGCTCACTGCAGCCTTGACCTCCTGGGCTCGAGTGATCCTCCCACCGCAGCCTCCTGAGTAGCTGGGACCACAGGTGTGTGCCACCACTCCTGGCTCATTTTTGTATATTTTGTAGAGATGGGTTTTCATCACATTGCCCAGGCTGGTCTTCAACTCCTGGGCTCAAGTGATCTGCCTGCCTTGGCCTCCCAATGTGCCGGGATTATAGGCGTCAGCCACTGTGTCTGGACTGAAAAGTGAATTTTATTGAAAAATAATTTTGTTTTTTAATGAGTAATAGTCTTGGGTTTTACTTGCATTCTAAGCCTAACACTGCCATCTACGAGCTGAGTGATCTGAAGCAAGTCACGCTTCCTCTCTGGGACCAAGTCACTTCTATAAAATGAGGTGGCTGGACCAGGAGCACTAGAAGATAGAGAGGATCTGTATATGATTGAATGAGTCATATGAGGTCCCTCCTGCTGAAGGTCATGGGTCCAGTTTTCTTTCTGCTTTAGTAGACTGGGAGCAGTAAGTATAGGATCAGTTTTTTGTTTGTTTTTTGTTTTTGGTTGTCTTTTGTTGTTGTTGTTGTTGTTGTTGAGACGGAGTCTCGCTCTGTCACCCAGGCTGGAGTGCAGTGGTGCGATCTCGGCTCACTGCAAGCTCCGCCTCCCAGGTTCAAGTGATTCTCCCGCCTCAGCCTCCCGAGTAGCTGGGACTACAGGCGCCTGCCACCACACCCAGCTAATTTTTTGTCTTTTTAGTAGAGACGGGGTTTCACTGTGTTAGCCAGGATGGTCTCGATCTCCTGACCTCGTGATCTGCCCACCTTGGCCTCCCAATGTGCTGGAATTGCAGGTGTGAGCCACCATGCCCGGCCTGTTCTTTCTTTTTTACTGGGGTGCAGAAAGAAACAAGACTCAAGGGCTTGTCAAAACTTCTATGCATGTGAAATGATAGAAGTTCACTTAACAAGAAGCGGCAGTGACCAAATGACTCAGCACCCGATTTCCACCGCATGGTCTCTTGAACAGCCGCGAGAAGACTAAAGCCTTCTAAGCACTTCCGGTGGAAGGATGGGCCACAGGCCAGCAACATGGGCAGGACCTGGGAGCATGTTAGATGTGCAGAATCTCAAGCCCCATCCCAGACCTACTGGATCAGCATCTGCATGCTAAGCAGGTGATCATGCACATGTTAAAGTGTAAGAAGCCCTGCTCTAACTGCCCCATCCCGTGGTGCAATGAGGCTCGGTGTCCCCACAGAGCAGTCAGCAAGCCAAGGTATAGTTATGGGAAGACTCATGCCAGGTAGGACTGCGGAGCTGGGGTGAGTGACATGGGCACAGGCCTCTGCAGAAGCTTAGCTCTGGTTCCCCTAGCAGCAGCAGCTCAATTTGGAGGGACTGAAGGGGAGGGGGTATTGGATGGTGGTGTTTCTGTTTCACTTTACTGTCCCACTGACACTAGCACTGGCGGGAGAGATTTTCTCTATAATCTGCTGAAACCTGAGAAGGAATCTGCAAGAATAAACAGAGCCTTTAGAGCTTACCAATTCTGATATTTGGAGGCCTTTGCAAGGTTTAATTCAATTTATTATTTATTGATGACCTACCGTGTGCCAGATATCAGGAATACAAAGAGAATAAAATGTCCTAGTGTTGTATTGGGAAGGGAGGGTCACATTCTTGCATGTGTCTGTGTTTGGAGATGAGATGAGTCGGGGGCAAACCTGCAGCAATAGAGCAACTGCATGCCCAGTGTCACCTGGGTCCCGAGGGGCAGGACGAAAAACAGGTTAAGGAAGGCTTCCTGGAAGAGGTGGCTCCTAAGCTGTTAAGTAGGCTAAGAAATGCTCTGTGCATGAGCTAACCCATTCCATACACTCACCACACACACTCACTCACATGCACTCACACACAAACTCCCACCCACACACATCCACATCCACACACACACTCACATGCATGTATATCTACTCCATCCACACACACACTCACATGCACTCACATACAATCTCCCACCCACACTCACAATCCGCATCCACACACACACTCACAGCATGTATACGTACTCCATCCACACACACATATAGGCACATTCACACCCACCCACATATGTGCACATGCACCTACACACACACACACCACACATTGTAGTCTTTCTGGGGAAACAGAGAAAGTCACTCTTTTGAAGAACCTCAGAAACTGCACAATAAGAGCTCTTCTTAATTTGCCACCAAAACTCAGATAAAGTTGAAGGTCTAACTTCCAAGAAGATCTTCTAGACTGTTTTCCAGATTGTTATAAATGCACCTTCAGACATGAAGGAGCACCTCACGGTTGCACTCAGATACCTCCTGGGATGTGATTTAGTCTTGATGATTATCGTTACATGTCACTGAATATAGTTTGATGAAAACGTTTTAGGGAAACAAGTTTTCAGAAACTGTCCCCAGATTTATTATAGTAGTCGTCAACTCTGAGGATGCATTTTTTGACTGGGCAACTATTGTTGGGGGTCTTATACCTGACTTGGAGAGGTGTGTTTGTGCCTTTTAGGTAAGATGGGGAATAGAGGGTCCCCAGACTTAAGAGCTATGTGTGATATTTGAGATAAATTGATCCTTAACATTTTTCCCAAGTCAGAGTTCTCATTATTTGTCTCCTAGATGCCAATAGAGTAAAATGCAAAATGGCTCACCACATGGTCAAAGCCCCTCCCTTTCAACTGGCCACATCCTGGCTTTCCCATGCTCTTTCTACTGAACCAAGCTCTGTGTTCCAAGAAATCACCCTGTCCTCAAATCTCTGTACCTTGTTCTCTGCCGAAGCCATGCCCAAGCAGTTCCCTTTGCCTGGTATGTTTCGCTCTCCCATTTCCCCGCAATACTGCCTGTCAACCTCTTCAATGAGAAGTTCCAGCCCCACCTTCTAGAAGCTTCCAGAAGCCAGTATTGGGCTTTGGCATTAAACAGCCTGTAACAAGGAATGATCCTGCCCCAAATGTCGCTAGTGCCAGGTTGAGTCACTCTGTCATTGACAGGGTAGACTCTGAGTATGTGGGTCCTTTTGAGCCCGTTTTCTAATCTTTAAAAAAAGAGGGAGGGGAAAATATTTACTTCACACTTTTATTTAGTTTTTCAAAGATTAAATGAGATAATGCTAGTGAGTTTCACTAGCATATAGGAGATAGTCAAGAAATATTTCAGTGGATAATGGCATTTCTCTCCTGATCAAGTTGGATTAACCCTCTCTTTTCTACAGTCTGGAACGTTCTGTACCTTACATAGCTGCCTTGGATCTGAGGTTTCTGTGTTTGTGAGGCGGGCTTATCTTGGTCTCTTGCCTGGTGACTTTAGCATAATCCTTGCTCAAAACGTTAAATTAAATGAAATAGATTCTTTGGGTATCACTCTTTTTTTCTGCGAAATTCCTTCTAACAGCCGCTGAGCCTGAAGACAACAAAAGCTGCCCAGACTTTTCTCCTGGGCTCCAGCCCCTCCTGTCTGCCTGCTCAAAGGAATCTCAGCGCGCAGGTCTCACAGGCACCTCAAATCCAGCCTGTGTAAACCTGAGCTGCCTGTGTACACACTCCTATATCCTAGAACCATGGTTCTCAAATGTGGGTGTTTTTGCCCCCCAGGTTACATTTGGCAGGGTCTGGGGATATTTTTGTTTGTCACAACTAAGACAGATGGTCCTTCGTGGAGTCTTGTAGACAGAGGTCGGGGGTGCTGCTGAACATCCCACAATGCATAGGACAGTCTCCATTACAAGGAATGATCCTGCCCCAGGTGTCACTAGTGCCGGGTTGAGAAATCCTGATCTAGAGGGAGACTTTACCTGGTAGGTCAGGCCATGGTACCGCTCTGCTCACAATCCCCCATGGCTCCCACATCACTCAGAGTAAGATGCATACCCTCCGGGTGGAGGACACGGCCTGCAGGGTTCCACTTCCCAACCTGCTGAGCCCCGACTTATCATCGCCCTCTCTCCCTTTCCTCCACCCCTTCTCCTCTTTCCTGCCTTGCTTGTCTGCCCTGCCTCCCACCGTGCCTCCACTACGCCTGCCTCAGAGCCTCGCACCAACGTTCCCTCTGCTTGGAATGCTCTTCCCTCAGTCACCCAAGTTCATCCCTTGCTGCCTTCAAGTCTCTGCTCACATGTCACCTTTCCTGCAAGGCCATGCCTGCCCACCCCTTTTAAAGCCGCAGCCCTTCCAGGCATGCCATCCTTCTTGCTTGCTATAGGTTTTTCCATTGCACTGATCACCTTACAAATGGGTTTATTTATTGTATAATTTTCTCTTCCCACTAGAGTGTAAGAGCTACAGGAAAGGGATATTTTTGTTTTGTTCACTGATATTTCCCACTGCCTAGTGCTCAAAAAATATTTGCTGAATAAGTGAATAAATCAGTATCATACTGTCCCCAACTTGCTCATCTTACCTCTATTTTGTAACTGATCTATGTAACCACCACTTAGCTGACATCCTAGTGTCAGAACCCAAACTTGAGTCTTCCCTTTCTCTGTCTTTTTTATTTTTTGAGATGGGGTCTCACTTCTCACTATGTTGCCTAGGCTGGACTTGAACTCCTGGGCTCGGGCGATCCTCCCACCTCAGCCTCCCAAGTAGCTGGGACTATAGGTAGGCACCATTGCACCCAGCTTCTCTCTTTCACAGCTTTATTGAGATATAATTCACATAAAATAGAATTTATCCATTTAAAGAGTACAATTCAATGGGTTTTGGTATATCATAGTTACGCAAACAACACTGCAACAATCTTTGAATATTTTCTTTCTTTCTTTTTTTTTTTTTTTTTTTGAGACAGCTTCTTGCTCTGTCACCCAGGCTGCAGTGCACTGGCGCAATCTCGGCTCACTGCAACCTCCGCCTCTCAGGCTCAAACGATTCTCCTGCCTCAGCCTCCTGAGTAGCTGGGATTACAGACACATGCAACTACACCCAGCTAATTTTTTGTATTTTCAGTAGAGATGGGATTTCACTATGTTAGCTAGGCTGGTCTCTAACTCCTGAGCTCAGGTGATCTGCCTGCCTCGGCCTCCCAAAGTGCTAGGATTACAGGCACGAGCCATTGTGCCCAGCCCAAATATTTTCATTATCCTCGAAGAAACCCCATATTCCTTAAACATCGCCCTCCAGCTCCCCCACCCCCACCGCCATTTCTCCTCATCTCTGGCAACTACTGATCTATGTGCTGACTCCATGGGTTCTCCTGTTCTGGACATTTCATGTCAATGGACTCATACAACATTCTTCACTGGCTTCTTTGACTTAGCACACTGTGTTCCAGGTTCATCCATGTTTTTGCCTATATTAGTATTGCATTATTTTTATAGCCAAATACTATTCCATTGCATACAGGCACAGCATTCTGTTTATCCATGTATCACTTGATGGGCATTTGGGTTACTTCCAGTTTGGGGCTACTATAAAAATGCTGCTTTGGGCTGGGCGCAGTGGCTCACACCTGTAATCCCAGAACTTTGGGAGTCTGAGGTGGGCGGATCACTTGAAGCCAGAAGTTCAAGACCAGCCTGGCTAACATGGTGAAACCCTGTCTTTACTAGAAATACAAAAATTAGCTGGGTGTGGTGGTGCGTGCCTGTAATTCCAGCTACTCAGGAGGCTGAGGCACAAGAATCACTTGAGGTTGCAGTGAGCGGAGATCAGACCACTGAACTCCAGCCTGGGTGACAGAGCCAGACTCTGTCCCCCTGCCTCAAAAAAAAAAAAAAGAAAAGAAAAGAAAAAAAACCGCTGCTCTGAACATGCTTGTCCATGTTCTTGGGTGGACATATGCTTTCATTTCTCCTGGGCATGAACCTGGGAGTGGGGCTGCTGGATCATCTGGTTACTCTGTGTGTAACCTTTTGAGGACCTGCCACTTTTTTTTTTTTCGTTTTCTCTATGAATCCACATCCAACTCATAAGTATGGGCTGTGTTTCTCCCTCCTGAATCTGTGCTCACTTGCATCTGCACGGAAACCACCTCTTCAGTTCATACCTGGAAGGCTACAGTGCCTGCTAATGGGGATCCCTCTCCACTTGGTCACCCTCGCCTGCACAGGGGAAGGAGTTTCCCCTTCTTGATGCTGAGGCCACACCCCGGCCCATTCAGGGTTGCCTCTGGAGGTGGGACCCAGGCATCAGTGCTTCCCAGAGCTCCCCGGGTGATTACGACGCACAGCCAAGCACCCGCTTCCTTCTGATCCACATTTTATCACCTGCCACCCAAGTGCCTCCATGACAGCAAATCTGATTGTGTGATCTGGATTCTTCTTAAAACCCCTGTGTGGCTCTCCACGGTCTCCACAATAAAATCCAAGCTCCCCAGGATGCACATGCATCTCGGTGACCTGTGTCCACTGCCACCCGTCTTGCCTCCTTCCTCTCCCTGACCCACGCTGCACATGCCACGCTGAGCTCCATGTGCCTGCCCATCCACACCTCCACGCCTTGGGACAGACTGGTCCCTCTTCCTGAAGTGCCTGTTCCCATCTTTCATCCTCCTCTAGGAAGTCTTCCCTGACTGCTCTCCCTCAGCGGGCTGTAACTGTGTTCACTGGCCTCTAGTCCAGGAGCGCCTCAAGGCCAGGGCTGGGATATCACTCTTCTCTGGATCCTCAGCCTGTAGCTGCCTGACTCATGGTAGGTGATGGGTTCTTTCTTTTTTTTGGCATATGTATGTTGGGTGGTGTGATGAATGAAGAGGTGAGTGAATGAACCTGGCCTATGTAGGAGCCGTGACCAGGTGCAATCCTACCAGCTGCCCAACTGTGCTCTCCTGAGTCCTAGCAATAACCCTGGGGGCACTCAGCAGGGCCTGCTCAACCCCCGACCTGGACCAGCGAGACCCATGCACGTCTCCCTCCCGTGGGGACATCTACCTGCATTTCCCAGTCTCAGGCTCAGTGTGTTTCATTTCTCCAGCCATGGGGCCCAGCAGGTGTCAGCAGCAAAGCAGAACTGGGTGGGACAGTCCTTCCTGAAGATAAGGCAAAGTGCCCCAGCCCAGAGATCAATCCTGTAAATCCACTTTCAAAGGGCTGAATAAGGTGGGACATCCCTGGTTCCTTCTTCAGCCATAAATCTCTAGGCTCAGATGGTAACTGCCCTCCTCTTGACAAAGCTGTAAAGAGCACGGCATAGCAGCAGTCGGGAAAGAGCATGGACAAGAAAGGTCCTTCGGGTGGGGCAAGGCCCACCTGTCTTGCCCCCTAAGCTTTGCCTCCCTCCCTGCATGGGCTTTGCTGTCTCTGTGGGGACCTGTTGGAGGTTGCAGGGCTTGACTGCCAGTGCCGGAGGCTTCTGTGAGCATCTGTCCTGTAAATACCCAGGCTCCATTCTGCTGCTCAGCCCATGCCGATGCCACCTGACTTCCTGTGAATGAATGGAGCACTGTAAAAGGAGTCCAGCTCGGCTGCCCCCCATGTGACTGTCTAAGAGTCACCTCCCCTCTCGAGGAGGCAGTGGGGTGGGTGGACTAGATGATCCCAGAGGCTGCTTTCAGCTCTAACGCCCCAGTTGCTCCTGTTTTTTGTTTTTTGTTTTTGAGACGGAGTCTCGCTCTGTCGCCCAGGCTGGAGTGCAGTGGTGCAATCTCGGCTCACTGCAAACTTCACCTCTCTGGTTCACACCATTCTCCTGCCTCAGCCTCCTGAGTAGCTGGGACTACAGGCGCCCGCCACCACGCCCGGCTAATTTTTTGTGTTTTTAGTACAGACGGGGTTTCACCGTGTTAGCCAGGATGGTCTCAATCTTCTGACCTTATGATCCGCCTGCCTCGGCCTCCAAAAGTGCTGGGATTACAGGTGTGAGCCACCACGCCCGGCCTCCTGGTTTTTTTTAGACAGAGTCTCTCTCTGTCGCCAGGCTGGAGTGCAATGGCCCGATCTTGGCTCACTGCAACCTTTGCCTCCTGGGTCCAAGTGATTCTCCTGCCTCAGCCTCCTGAGTAAGTGGTATTACAGGTGCCCACCACCATGCCCAGATAATTTTTTGTATTTTTAGTAGAGTTCAAGTTGGCCAGGCTGGTCTTGAGCTCCTGCCCTCAAGTGATCCACCTGCCCTGGCCTCCCAAAGTGCCAGTTGCTCTTTCTGACCCGTTTGAGAGCAAAGCTGTGTGAAGGTTTTCCTCTCAGGTCCTGAATTTTCAAGAAAATCATGTTTGGAAAGACCAGAGTCAAGCATAGTAAAAAATAACAAACTTGAAAATAATGACTCTTTGTGTTTTGATTTCTCCTAAATCCGGCTTCTGTAACTGTACAGTAACAGGGCAGTGCAGGGAACAGCACCGGACAAGAGAGTCTCCAAATCCTTAATTCCATTCTGCCCCGCCCCGGACTAGCAGTGTCATTGGGGTGAGTCATTTTTCCCTCTGTAGGCCTCAGTTTGCTGATCTGTAAAATGGGGATATTTAATGCCTTACAGAGAGCTTGCCATGTGCCTTCTCCAGTACTAAGTAGAGAGACAGGTAAATAAGACAGGATCCTAACTTTTTTTTTTTTTTTTGAGATGGAGTCTCGCTCTGACCCCCAGGCTGAAGTGCAGTGGCATGATCGCGGCTAACTGTAAGCTCCACCTCCCGGGTTCAAGCCATTCTCCTGCCTCAGCCTCCCGAGTAGCTGGGACTACAGGTGCCCACCACCATGCCCGGCTAATTTTTCTGTATTTTTAGTAGAGACGGGGTTTCACCATGTTAGCCAGGATGGTCTTGATCTCCTGACCCTGTGATCCGCCTGCCTTGGCTTCCCAAAGTGCTGGGATTACAGGCGTGAGCCGCCGCGCCAGCCTAATTTTTTTTCAAAATTTTGGTTTTGCTTTAGGAGAATTGCTTGAACCTGAGAGGTGGAGGTTGCAGTGAGCCAAGATTGCATCAGTGCACTCCAGCCCAGGCAACAGTGCAAGACTATGTCAAAAAAAGAAAGAAAGAAAAAGGAAGGAAGGAAGAAAGGAAGGAAGGAAGGAAGGAAAGAAGGAAGGCAGGCAGGCAGTCAGGCAGGCAAGCAGCTTATTTGGGAGGTGATCCCCGGAAACACTGGCAGAGAGAGAAGTCAGGTAGGGAAGTGAAAGCAGTCAATACAGAGTGCAATTTCAAGCCAGCTACCATTATGAGCTTCATCCCAATAAGGAGCTCAACAACTCTATCCAATGACTTCTCTCTCCTTTCCCACAAAACATCTGTGACCAGACACTTGGCTTAACCTCCACATTTCTCTGCATCTTTATATAGCTTCTCCTCCTTTTATGATAACTCAGAGGAGCAGATATCCCCTTCCTCTGAACAAATGCCTCCACTTCAACTCTTCATCTACTCCCTTTCTACCCCTCCAAAACCTTGCTCCGCCAGAGGCCCCCTGCCTTTCTCTACTCCCGCTCCCTCTTCATCCTCATTCCTTGATAACACTTTGCAACCTGACTTTCATTTCCCCTTCTTCCTCCCATGCACTGAGGCTTGGGGGCTTTACTAAGATGCTTTTCCCAGAGGATCCTTCCTCGAGTTTCCGATACACGTCTATCCACCTTGTTTCATAAACAGTCTATTATTATTCACTGCTAAAAAACTCTCATCTCAAAATGTTAAGGATCATCATAGCTACATAACAAAGTTGTGGTAAGGATTCGAGGTTAAATACACTGTCTAGCAGAGCCTGGCACAAAGAGGCAGTCAGTACACAGCAGCAACCAATACCATCACCAAGCTTAATTATTGGAGTTTGCAACCCATGGGTGATCAGGACAGAATATGACAAGAAGGAGAGCTGTTAGAGGCAGAAGAGTAGTAGTTTGGGATCATTTTACAGAACTGCAGGAAGTCAGTGTCACCAGAGTTCTTGAGATTTCCCAGTCTCTTGGACATTGGTGGTGATGGGCGTTCTTAAGGATGACGACTGTAGTTAGAAGAGCTAGTTCCACAATCATCACAACAGTTTTTCCCTCTTAAATAGAAAGTGCTGGTTTTCCATGTCAATACTAAATGTTCAGTAACAACTGGCTGCAGTTGACATTCCCAAGCAAAAGCAGGGGTCAAGCCCTATCCAGTAGAGGAACCAAAGCAGAACCAGCCTTGCGTGGTTGGTCATCCGGCCACTGAACTTTCTGCCACAAAGTCAAAGAGGTTTGGGACTAGCACGAGAATAGAACAGCAGTGGGATGAGTAGACAAGGGAGCCCACACACAGACCCGCAGGAATGTACAAATGAAGTACATGGGCACCGAGGCATTTCAAAGCCGTGAGGAGAGGATGTCTTGATTATTAAATCAATGGTGCAGGGATGATTGACTAAGGGCTTGGAAAGGCATAAAGTTCCCGTCTGTGCCTCACATCCCATGTCCAAATAAGATTCAACGTCTAAAGAGTTACACATCAATCAACCAGAAATTGGAAAACAAGTGCCTGGCTTATTTCACTTAGCATAATGTCCTCCAGGTCCATCCATGTGGTTGCAAATGGCAAGATTCCCTTCTTTTTTAGGGCTGAATGGTATTTTCTTGTATGTATACACCACCATTTCAATAAAGAATTGGTTAAGTGATTGTATATTGATACAATGGACTTTTATATAGTCATGAAAGTCATGTTTTAGAATAGTCAATGCTCATGATCTATTCTTAAGTAAAATAGTAAGCTAAAAAAACATATAGCTCCAGGAGTTGAGCAAGAGAGGCACCCTGCCTGCTGGGCCTGTCTGCTCCCCTGAGTTAGGCACTCCA
Source organism: Homo sapiens (assembly GCF_000001405.40). Classification (NCBI taxonomy): domain Eukaryota; kingdom Metazoa; phylum Chordata; class Mammalia; order Primates; family Hominidae; genus Homo; species Homo sapiens. The sequence goes on from NC_000017.11 coordinate 37,843,121, forward strand.
GGAAGGGGTTGAGAGCATCTGAGTCTTGGGGCCCAGCCCTGAGGCCCTCACTTTCCCTGCCTACTAAGGGGCCCTCAGGAACAAAAGCAGAGCCAAGGAGTTGTACAGCTATAGAGTCCAGTGTGCTCAGCCCCTCAAGTGTGTGATGGAAATAGGCCCAGAGAGGTCAGGTGACCTGCCCAGGGCCTTCCAGCCCTCACACAGCTGGAATCAGGATCCACGGCCCCCAGCCTGGAGCACTGGACATCACATTTCAGGGGAAGTGGGGTGCTGGGCTCACACGTGAGAGGTCTTGCTAGCTGCCAGCCTGGGGCTCACCCGCCTGCTGTCCACCCCTTCAACATCGGTAGTGGGACTCACAGGCACGAGGCTGGGGCCTTCTGCTGCAGACACAAAGCATACCGCCACCTGAGGTCCAGGGTCATGATTCAAAACCTACTAAGTGCCCATCAGTCCTTTCCCAGGTTGAAGGGAAAACAGGACTCCAGCCCCCACATAGTGCCTGGCCACCTGCTGCTCATGAGGCCTTGTCTCCCCATCTTTAGGAAGGCTTTGTGTGTGTGAAAGTTTTTGCATGCACTTGTCTTAAGCATCTTCACGGCCCTGCAAGGTGGGTTTGATTGTCATCCCCATCTTACAGGTGAAACAGGTTTCCAGAGTCTGAGTAGTTTGCCAAGGCGGGGAAGGGGTGATCCAGGACTCAAACCCAGGTCCTCCAACTGCCACTTTCTCTGACTTTCTGGGGGTCAGTAACCCCAGTCCCTTCTCTCCTAGCCTGTCAGAGATTCAGCAGAGACCCCAGGTGGAGGCTCAGTGAGCTCTGGTGTGTGATAGGGACCTGGGGTCTTGTCACTGTCCTGACACCTTATCCTCTAGGTGGCTTTGAAACCATCCGTGTCACTTTGGGCTTCACCAGAGTTGCCAATCCCAGCCTCAAAATTCAGCCACCCCACCCCAACCTCTGGGGGCTGAGGCAAAGACTCTTCTTTTCTCCACAAAGCTAGAATGAGGACCTTCTGGGGGCCTAAGGTAAGAAATGGTCTATTTCTAAAGGGCCTGGTGTCTGGGTAAGCTCTGTGTATTTTCTTACGTTTGCTTTTTGGGGAACTTCATTCAGAGGAGACTTGGCAGCCTCTCTGAAGACACGGAAGTGATCAATGGCAAAGCTGCAAGAGGCTGTAAGCCCCACCTAGCATGACTTCCTCATTAGGCACATGGGGAAACTGAGCCTCAGTGGGTGGAACAGGCCTGCAGGGGCACAGTTGGGACAAGAACTCCGAACTCCAGGGCCCTCTACAGCTCAGGCTGTGCAAATGGGGCTGGTCCCGAAAGACGGTCCGGGCTGATGTGGGGACTGTCAGGCTGTGAGACGGGGCTCACTGGCCAGCCAGCCCAGAGGCAGCGTAGGCGCTCTGGCAGGAGACCCCCCCCAGGAAGTTTCGAAACCTTCAGCAGGATTTCAGAACCGTTCTAGACCCCATGCAGATTGTTTCTCTGTTAAAGAAGGCGCTTTAAGAAGCTGCCGAAGAGGCTCTGCCTTTGACCGTCAACAGGCATCTTTCCTCTAGTCCATCAGCCCACAAAGACAGGAAATCTGATGGGGGGAAAAACAAATAAAGTCATGCCAAAGTCGGGTGTCAGTAACCAGGGGGGCCGCCTGAGGCGTCGCATCCAACCCCCGCCCAGGTTTCCGCCCCGGGCCAGCAGTAGCCAGTCCCCGAGGGCCCATCTTCCAGCCCTGAAGCGGTAAACGCCTCACCTCTAGTGGCGAGTGCGAGGAACCGCACCCTAGCCCGCCTGACTGTCCAGCCCCGGGTGGTGCCCATCCTGCCTGTTGTTCCCTCTCAAACCAAATAAACCTCCCGACGTATGGACTCTGGCTGTCGTAGATGCAGACTCTCCTGCAATGCTTAACACCGTTTTGCTACCACGTGACGGCTGCAGACACTGTCCTCAAACTGCAGCCCCACAACGCAATTTTTGTACTTTCATCTGACATACCCGAAGGTGTCCTTTTTAAGTCTTGTTAATATTCATAATGACGTATAATCCAAAGTAAATGGAAATGTCATATTGTGATTGCAATGGAAACGGCATATTGCGACTGCATTGCCTTGGCGAGACTGTCGTCCTAACAGATTTTGAGGGGGCGGGGATGGTGGCTCACGCCTGTAATCTCAGCACTTTGGGAAGCCAAGTTGGGAGGTTCACTTGAAACCAGGAGTTCGAGCCCAGCCTGGCCAACATGGAGAAACCCGTCTGTACAAAAAAAACAGAAAACAAACAAAAAAAAACACAAAACCAATTAGCCGGGTGTGGTGGCACGCACCTGTAGTCCCAGCTGCATTAGAACTGAAGATGGCTCCCCATCTCATACACGGTGAAAGCCAGTCTTTATCAAGTTCTACATGTAGCTGGTGCAGTGTTTCACACCTGTAATCCCAGCACTCAGCACTTTGGGAGGCTGTGGTGGGTTTCACTTGAGCCTGGGAGATAGAGGCTGCAGTGAACCGAGATCACTGCATTCCAGCCTGGGTGACAGAGTGAGACCCTGTCTTAACAAAAGAGACTTGGAGGGGCTGGAGGGGAAGGTGGAAAGGCAGAGGAAAAGGCAACTGGAACTTAGGGTATGGTCTTGTTACTCTTCACCAGGAACCATTTGAGGTAGGCCCCCAAGTTACAGATGGGGAAACTGAGGCCCAGAGAGGTTAAAATACTTGTGCAGAATCACACAGCTGGCTGATGACAGAAGCACGACGCAAACTGAGGCCTCCCAAGACTTTCTGCACCAGGACCAGCCAGCCATGCTGTTACCTACTCATTCAACAAACAGCTGTGGAGTATTGACTCTAACGTCAGTCCCTGCCTGGGCCCCTGAGAGACAGTCATCAGGGAGATCATCTATGAAGACACAATAATGGTATGTTAGAAGGTGACCAGTAGCAAAAACTATGAGCATAAAGGAACTGGGTGGGCAGGCAAGGTTATGCTTAATAGGCAGGTCGGGCGGGCCTCAAGGTAAGTGTTGAGCTAAGACTTGGAGGGGCGGAAGGGAGCAATGGGGACACCTGGGGAAAAGGTTCTGAAGGCAGAGCCATGCTTGGCATGACTGAGGAAAAGCAAAGTGGCCAATGTGGCCAGAGCAGGATGGGGCAAGGGAAGAACAATGGATGGGGGCAGAGGATCGGACCCAAGTCATGTAGAAACTTTTTTTTTTTTTTGAGACAGGTTCTCATTGTATCTCCCAGGCTGGAGTGCAGTGGTGTGATCATGGCTCACTGCGGCCTTGACCTCCTGCTTTAGCCTCCTGAGTAGATGAGACTAGGCATGTGTCATCATGCCTGGCTATTCTTTTAATTTTTATTTCGCAGAGATGGGGTTTTGCTATGTTACCCAGGCTGGCCTTGAACTCCTGGGCTCGTGCAATCCCACCACAGCCTCCTAAAGTGCTGAGTGCTGGGATTACAGGCGTGAACCACTGCACCAGCTACATGTAGAACTTTATAAAGACTGTTGCTTTCACTATGCGTGAGATGGGAAGCCGTCTTGAGTTCTAAAAGACGCCCAGTAGAAGACAAACCTGTCATCTGGGGCAGGTCAGCAGGCCCAGGTTGAAGGTCCCTCTGTTGGGGGCCTGCCAGAGGGTCTGGCCTTCAAGGCCCAAATGGCATCCAGTATCCAGGGTGGCGGCAGCTCGGTCCCCACCAGATCCCTCTGCAGCATGACTCCGCTGAAGGTTCTGGCTGCCGACTCCCTTAGGAAGCCCCTGTGTGCTGGCCCAACTCTCCAGGCCTCCAGCTCATTCTCTGAACCACCTGACACCCCTTCCCATGCATTCCTTTTCTGCTTATGTTAACCAGAGTGGGATACTGTTGTTTGTGACAAACAGCCCCGCTTGGTACTCTGACGTGATCTATCGTCCAGGTCTCAACTCAAGTGCCCCTGTGAGGCCTGCCCTGCCAACCCCAGGCACTTCCACATCTCCCTGCTTTCTGTTCTTCAGGGCGTTCATCACCAAAAGCATCTTGTGTAGTTATTTCTTCCTTTCTCTCACCACTAACCTTCATGAGAGTAGGGGCCATACCCACCATTACCCCCAGTAACCCCAGGGCCTACACCAAGGCTGAGGGAACAGGAGCCTGCTAATGAGTATTTGTTGAACAAATGGGTAAAAGCTGCTGATGTGGACGTTTTATGAAAGGAGTCGAAGCCATGTGTCTAGAGCGTCAGTTCTGATGATGTTGGGTCCAAGCCCAGATGTGCGTGTGCAAGAGCCTCGGTTCAGCTCCAGAAGACTCCTGGGGTACAGATGAGAAAGGACCCCAGGGACCACTGGCTTATCCTGAACAGAAAAAGGGAGAGAGGAGGCCAGGCGCAGTGGCTCACGCCTATAATCCCAGCACTTTAAGAGGCCAAGACAGGAGAATAATTTGAGCCCAGGAGTTCAAGAAGAGCCTGGGCAACATATCGAGGTTGCATCTCTACAAAAAATTAAAAAAATAGAAATTAGCAAAGCCTGGTAGCACATGCCTGTGGTCCCAGCTACTCTGAAGGCTGAGGCGGGAGGATCACTTGAGCCTGGGAATTCAAGGCTGCAACGAGCTATGATCGCACCACTGCACTCCAGCCTGGGAGATAGAATGAGACGCCGTCTCAAAAACAGAAAAAAGAAACAGCCTTATTGAGGAATAACTGATATGCACAGAACTGCACGTGGTTAATGTGTACAATTTGGTAAGTCTGGACATTTGCAAACACCCATGATACTGTCACTACCCTGAGGGAATAGACATAGCCAACACCTCCCCAAGTTTCCTTGTGTCTCTTTGGTTTTGGTTTTGTTTTGGGTTTTCCCGTGTGTGGTAACAACACAACAAGAGACCTACCCACTTAACAGATTTTGAAATGTACAGCATTGTTATTCATAGGCCCTGTGTTGTACAGCAGATCTCTAGAACGTATTCCTCTAGCATAACTGAAACTTTACACCCATGGAAAAACTCCCCGTTTTGCCCACCCTCCAGCCCCTGCTAACCACTATTGTATACACTGCTTCTGTGAGTTTCACTGTTGTAGATACCTCATAAAAATGGAACCATGCGGCCGGGCGCGGTGGCTCACGCCTGTAATCCTAGCACTTTGTGATTGGGAGGCCGAGGTGGGCAGATCACGAGGTCAGGAGATCAAGACCATCTTGGCTAACACGATGAAACCCCATCTCTACTAAAAATACAAAAAATTAGCCGGACGTGGTGGCGGGCACCTGAAGTCCCAGCTACTCAAGAGGCTGAGGCAGGAGAATGGCGTGAACCGGGGAGGCGGAGCTTGCAGTGAGCCAAGATCGCGCCACTGCACTCCAGCCTGGGCGACAGAGCGAGACTCCGTCTCAAAAAAAGAAAAAAAGGAACCATGCAGTATTTGTCCTTCTGTGCCTGGCTTATTGCACTTGGCATAATGTCCTCCAGGTCCATCCATGTAGCTGCAAAAGGCAAGATTCCCTTCTTTTTTTGGGGTTGAATGTTATTGTCTTGTATGTCTCTACCACCATTTCTTTACCCATTAATCTGTAACTGACGCTTGAGTTGTCACAACACACTTTCTAGGCTGATCCATCAGTACATGGGTGATGCAAAATGGTAGCCTCCGGTCACAATAGCTGACATCTTTGATTCCAGCACTTTGGGAGACTGAAGCAGGTGGATCAGTTGAGCCCAGGAGTTCACGATCAGCCTGGGCAATACGGCAAAACCGCGTCTCTACGAAAAATACAAAAAACTAGCCGGGTATGGTGGCATCCACCTTTGGTACCAGCTACTCAGGAGGCTGAGGTAGGAGGACCGCTTGAGTCTGGGGGACAGAGGCTGCAGTGAGCCGATAGCGCACCACTGTACTCCAGCCTGGGCAACGGAGTGAGATCCTGTCTCAAAAATTACACTACAATACACTACACTACACTACACTACACTACACTACACTACAATACTAAAATAAAATAAAATAAAATAAAATAAAATAAAATAAATAAAATAAAATAATAAAATAAAATAAAATAAAATCGGTGGCCTCAACCCCAAGTGTGAGTGGCTTTTCAGTTTGGCTCTCCAGGGCTGCTCAGGAGCATTTCCTGTATCTCTTAATTTAGCTTCTCAGGAGAGAAATGACAGCACAAGTTATGACTCATCTCCTTAAGTCAAGTGTCAGTGATGTGGTGACATCACATGGTAAAACCATGGCTATGGGCAAGGCACACAAAGCCAGACGTGTCTTTCCCAGGAAGTCCCTGACCCAGTGGGAAAGGAAGAAGGGAGAGGTGGCAGCCAATGGAAAGAAGGGGCAGGAGCCAAGCAGGGCCACAGGACCCGAAGCAGAAATGATTCAGAAAGCAAAGACTAATAAACAGCCAATAGCAAGACACTTAAAAAAAAAAAAAGAGAGAAATGACCTACATGACCAAGAAAGGGTGAATAAATTTCACTATGGCCATCTGAAGGCTAGAAAGTTATGCAGCCATTGCTGTTTAATGATGAATAATGGTGTGGTATCTTGCAAATGTGTAGGGAACACAGAAGGATGAAAATTGAGTTTAGACTGAGTTCTTTTTCTTTTCTTTGAGACAAGGTCTTGCTCTGTTGCCCAGGCTGGAGTGCAGTGATGCAATCATAGCTTATTTCAAGCTTGAATTCCTTGGATTCAGGCGATCCTCCTGCCTCGGCGCCCCACCCAGAGTAGCTGGGACCACAAGTGTGCACCACCATGCCTGGCTGAGTTTTATTTTACTTTTTGTAAAGATGGGATCTCACTATGTTGCCCAAGCTGGTCTCAAATTCCTGGATTCAAACCATTCTCCCTCCACCATGAGCCACCGCCCTGGTGTGATCAGTGATGTGGAGCTTCTTTTCATGTGTGCTTGTCTTCTTTGGGGAAATGTCTAAGCCTTTTGCCCAGTTTTGAATTGGCTTCCTTGTTTTTGTAATTGTTGAGTTGTAGGAGTTTTTTTAATATGTTCTAGATATTAATCCCTCATTATACATACAATTTGCAAATATCTTCTCTCATTCTGTCAGTTGTCTTTTCACACTTTTTTTGGTCTTTTCTTTTGAGATAGGGTCTCACTCTGTCACCCATGTTGGAGTGCGGTGGTGTAATCATGGCTCACTGCAGCCTCGACCTCTTGGGCTCAAGTGGTCCTCCCACCTCAGCCTCCCAAGTAGCTGGGACTACAGGCACATGCCACCATGCCCAGCTAATTTTTTATTTTTTATTTTTTTTTATTTATAGAGATGGGGGTCTCCCTGTGTTGCCCAGGCTGGTCTCAAAACTCCTGGGAACAACTGATCTTCCCACCTTGGCATTCCAAAATGCTGGGATTTACAGGCATGAGCCACCACACCTGGCCTCTTGTCACTCTCTTCATAGTGTTTTTTGATGAAAGTTCTTCAACTGATGAAGATCAATTTATCTATTTTCTTGTGTTGCCTGTGCTTTGGGTGTTATATCCAAGAAAACATTGCTGAATCCCATGTTTTCAAGGGTTTCCCCTATGTTTTCTTCTAAGAGTTTCATGATTTTAGCTCCTATGTTTTTGATCCATTTTGAGTTAAATTTATATATGGTGTATGGTAAGAGTCCTACTTCATTCTTTTACATATACTCAGTTTTCTCAGCACTGTTTATTGAAAAGATTGTTTTTCCCCCCATTAAATGGTCTTGGCACATCTCTCTTTCCTTTCTTTCTTTTCTTTTCTCTGTCTATTTCCTCCCTCCCTCCCTTCCTTCCTTCTCTCTTTCCTTCTCTCTTTCTCTGTCTTTCTATCTCTCTCTCTCTCTCTCTCGTCTCACTTTGTCACCCGGGCTGAAGTACAGTGGAGTGATCTTGGCTCACTGCAACCTCAACTCTCTCTCTTTCTTTCTCAAGAGTCTCACTCTGTCACCCAGGCTGGAGTGCAGTGGAATAATCTCGGCTCACTGCAACTTGAACCTTCCAGCTTCAAGTGATTCTCGTGCCTCAGCTTCTCGAGTATCTAGGATTACAGGCATGCGCCGCCACGCCTGGCTAATTTTTGTATTTTTGGTAAAGACAAGGTTTTGCCATATTGGCCAGGGTGGTCTCAAACTCCTGACCACAAGTGATCCTCCTGCCTCAGCCTCCCAAAGTATTAGGATTACTGGTGTGAGCCACTGTGCCCAGCACATCTTGGCACCCTTTTCAAAACTCAACTGACCACTGACGTGAGGGTTTGTTTCTGGGCCCTCTATTTCACCCCATTGATCTAGATATCTGTCCTTATGCTAGTATCACAGTTTTTGGTTTTTCTTTTCCTTTTTTTTTTTTTTTGAAACAGAGTCTCACTCTGTCACCCAGGCTGGAATGCAGCGGCGTGATCTTGGCTCACTACAACCTCTGCCTCCTGGGTTCAAGTGACTCTCCTGCCTCAGCCTCCCGAGTAGCTGGAATTACAGGTGCACGCCACCATGCCCAGCTATTTTGTATTTGTAATAGAGATGGAGTTTCACCATGTTGGCCAGGCTGGTCTCGAACTCCTGACCTCAAGAGATGCACCCACCTGGGCCTCCCAAAGTGCTGGGATTACAGGTGTGAGCCACTGCACCCAGCCTGTTTTGTTTTTTTGAGACAGGAGTCTCACTGTTGCCCAGGTAGAGTGCAGTGGCATGATCTCAGCTCACTGAAAGCTCTGCCTCCCGGGTTCACGCCATTCTCCTGCCTCAGCCTCCTGACTAGCTGGGACTACAGGTGCCCACCACCACGCCTGGCAAATTTTTTTGTATTTTTAGTAGAAACGAGGTTTCACTGTGTTAGCCAGGATGGTCTCGATCTCCTGACCTTGTGATCCACCTGCCTTGGCCTCCCAAAGTGCTGGGATTACAGGCGTGAGCCACTACGCCCGGCCAAGTTCTCCAACTCTTCTTCTTTTTCACAATTGTTTTGATTATTCAGGGAGGGTGCCTTGAAATTCCCTATGAGGTTTAGAACGAGTTTTCTATTTCAGAAAGAAAATCAAACATGCCATTGGAATATTCAGAACGATTACATTGAATCTGTAGATTGCTTTGGATAGTCTTGACACATCATAATAATATTAAGTCTTCCTTCATAAACATAGGATGTCTTTCATTTATTTATGTCTTCTTTAATTACTTTCAGCAAGGTTTTATCATTTTCAGTGTGTGAGTCTTTCACCTTCTTGGATAAATTTATTGTAAAGTGCCTTATTCTTTTTGATGCTATTACAATGATTTTCTTTTCTCTGGACTGTTTATTGCTATCGTATATAAATGCAACTGATTTTTGCGCTTTGCTGAATTGGTTTATTTGCTCTAACAATTTTTTGTAGAATCTTTATGGTTCTCTACATAGAAAATCAATGGGCAAACAGAGATAATTTTTCTTCTTGGCCAGGTGCAGTGGCTCATGCCTATAATCCCAGCACTTTGGGAGGTGAGGTCAAGCTGATAGCTTCAGTCCAGGAGTTCGAGACCAGCCTGGCCAACACAGTGAAACCCCATCTACTAAAAATACAAAAAAAAAAAATCAGCCAGGTGAGGTGGCACGCACCTGTAGTACCAGCTACTTGGGAGGCTGAGGCAGAAGAATCGCTTGAACCCAGGAGGCAGAGGTTGCAGTGAGCCGAGATCGCACCACTGCACTCCAGCCTGGGAGACAGAGTGAGACTCCATCTCAAAAAGAAAAAAACAAAAAGCAATATCAACAAAGCAAAATGACAGCCTACCAAACAGGAGAAAATACTCACAAAGAGATTACTATCTGGGATAGATAAAGAACTCCAAACACTCAAACAAAAAAACAAATTCAAAAATGGGCAAAAAGGCCAGGTGCAGTGGCTCATACCTGTAGTGCCAGCATTTTGGGAGGCTGAGGCAGGAGGATCACTTTGGGCCAGGAGTTCAAGACCAGCCTAGACAACATAGCGAGACCCTGCCTCTACAAAAAAAAATTAAAAATGAGCCAGGCATGGTGGCACGAGCCTCTAGTGCCAGCTACTTGGGAGGCTCAGGCAGGAGAATCACCTGAGTCCAGGAAGTTAAGGCTGCAGTGAGCTATGATTGCACCACTGCAAGGACAGAATAAGATCCTGTGTCTTAAAAGAAAGTAATTATCTGTTCCACTTCCACTCCCAGGTGGAATTGAAACAAGAACTCAAGCAAATAGTGCACCAATGTTCATAGCACCATTAGTCACACAATAGGAAAAGGTGAAAAGAAACTCACTGTCCATCAAAAGTTCAATGGCTAAACGATGTGTGAAAAATACATAAAATGGATTATTATTCAGTCATAAAAAGGACTGAAGCTCTGATCCACGCTTAATATTAACAAAACATTGAAAGCATTATGCTAACTGAAATAAAGACAGCCACAAGGCACAAATATTATATGATCCCTCTTCTATGAGGTATCTAAAATGGGCCAATTCATAGGGACAAAGTAAAATAGAGGTTACTGGCAGCTGGGGAGGGGGAAATGAAGAGTTATTGTTTAATGGCTATAGTTTGTTTTGTGTGAGTGAAGAAAAAGTTTTCACATAGTGGTGGTGTTTACACAACACTATTGATGTACTTGGTGCCACTGAACTGTACATTTCAAAATGGCTATAATGATAAACTTTATGTATATTTTGTCACAACTTTTTAAAAGTAAAAAGTTATATACATATAAATATTCCTTAAATTTGTATCTACATTATCAAAAACTGGGAACAAGCTGAAGTATAAAAGGGGGAACAATTTAACACACATCAGTAAGAATGAAACTTGTTTATGCTAAAACAGAAAATATAAAATGATGTTTGCTAGGAGAATAACTATTAAAAACATGCCCACAAAGACTGAACACTAATATACAAAAATTAAGATAATTCTATTATAATTTTCTCTCATTTCCTTCCTCTAGTTATATTAACATGTTAGATTTCTTTTCAGTCTACTAACAACAACAATATGCCACATCAAAATAATTATCCTGACTGCTAAGCTACTGGGTTGAGATAGGTCTGTTTTAATACAAAGCAGCTTCAACTAAGAGCCTAGGAATTACTACGCAGCCAGGCCTACAAAGGCAGTCCCAAGAAACAAGACGGAACACTCAAATGGCTATCCTTCTTCACTTTCACACTGACAGCTTGTGTTCTTCCCCACATCTTACCTGAAGGCAGGGTCAGGGAAATTCAGAATTTCACAGGAGAATATGGAAAAATTGAGAGCAAGACATAAATGAATGGGATGCATTGGTGAAAGTTCTCTTACTGCAATATCACTAGCAGCTTTGTAAGCCACCAAGCTGTTCTCTGCCACCTCCTTCCTGTCATTTCCTGTGGCAAATTCTGCCAGATACCTGTGGTAGACCCCTTTCCTACAGCAAAATTAAAAAAAAAAATTAAACCAGGAACAATGATTTTTAAAGTAAAAGAGCTAAAATTGTTCTATATAATATAAAATATGTGACAAAAAATATACGTAACAATTAACAAGTGTACTTCAATAATTTTAAACACTCAGGAATATTTGGCTTCATTTCATTTTTTTCTTAGACATTTCATACTATTTTCCTTATTAAATGTAACCAAAAATCCCACAGAGATTAACTGAGGAGCCTCTAAATATCAGCAAAACTATCGCTTGATAGACTAGAATTAAACAAGCAAGTGGTTCCAAGAAATGGCACAAGTGTATTAATCATAAAATAAAATTTCTACATGAAACATTCAGCCAGCACTGTGCAATATGTGGCCATTTAGGGGAGGGGAATGAGATAGGTCCCATGAAAGCAAAACAATATAAATAAGTAAAGCAAAAGCTAATGCATTTTTATAATAGCCTGACCATCTTTTTATTCCAACATCAACTATCCTTCTAACATTAAACAATTATTTGTAAATAAAAGTTGGAAACCTACATAGAAGAAAGTCATGATTCTAAAAAGGCCAACTTTTAATCTTACATTTTCCTTTCTAGTATAGAACCTACATTTCATAATAGAAAACCTTGGACTTGCCAGTGGTAGCTGCTGGAATGAGGTGTTTGTCCAGTGCATCCAGAACATCGCCGCAGATTAACTTTAGCTCAGTCTCAACCTGAAAAAATAAAGATAAATTTTAAAAAATCAGACTGTTTCAGTCTAGAAATTCTGTAAATTTATTACACATTCTATCTACCTCTGGTTTTGAGGAAGAGAGCTTAGTGTTACAGAGAATTCATTTCCCTCTCCAAACTCCCTTCCTCCCTTTTGACACAAAAGCAGAGAAAAGCTGCCTGTCGGTTATCAAAAGTATCTTTTCCTTCCTGCCTGCAATTAAGTGCTACACACACACCACCCCCCACCCCAATACCCCCTCACAGTCCAACTGCAGAATCACCAATGACTGAAACTAAACACTGATGCTACTTGGTAAACGCTGGTCAATTACATGAATCTTTCACAAGGTAGCAACTATTGTATCCATTTACTGGGAAAGCAGAACCTAAGACATTTGCTCAAAGATCATCACCTTAAAAGAACTTAATAAGCAGAGCTAGGATTTGAAACCAGGCAGGGTGCAAGGGACAGAACAAAATTCAAACCCAGGCAATTTGCCTTCAGTACTTACATTCCTAACAACGTTGAACAGGCAATCCCTTTAGTGGAAGAGACCAAAACTAGTTAAGATACCAAAAATCTATGGACCAAAAAAACTACTGCCACTCATCTCTATTCATTTATAATGCTGAAAATGTACAGCACCTCTAAACGCACATACCCAGCTTGCTTCCTTTTTTTTTTTTTTTTTTGAGACGGAGTTTTGCTTTGTCCCTCAGGCTGGAGTGCAATGGCACCATCTCAGCTTACTGCAAGCTCTGCCTCCCGGGTTCACACCATTCTCCTGCCTCAGCCTCCCGAGTAGCTGGGACTACAGGCGCCACCACCATGCCCGGCTATTTTTTTTTTTTTTTTTTTTGTATTTTTAGTAGAGACAGGGTTTCACCATGTTAGCCAAGATGGCCTCGATCTCCTGTCCCCGTGATCCTCCCACCTCGGCCTCCCAAAGTGCTGAGATTACAGGCATGAGCCACTGCACCCAGCCTGGGTTTTTTTTTTTTTTTTTTTTTTGAGACAGGAGTCTCACTCTGCTGCCCAGGCTAGAGTGCAGTGGCGTGATTTCATATATGATGTTTATTCTAATAACAGCAAAAGGGGGAAGAGGGCAATGGAGCTTTACAGGAGAAAACTGCTTTCTGCAAGTCTTTATCTTTTTGCAGGTAAAAAGTCCTGCCTCAGTGTTGATGGCTTCTGACTCACTGAGGTGGTGGTTGTGGCACTTTCACTTCACTGTTTTTGTTTTGTTTTGTTTTGTTTTTAGTAGAGACAAGGTCTTGCTTTGTTGCCCTGGGTGGTCTCAAACTCCTGGCTTCAAGCAATCCTACTGTCTTTGAAAAGGTTGTGATTAATGAACTTCCAGCCCTTTTTTAAAATAACAATAAAAGTGGCTACATCAATTGACTCTTCCTTTCATAAAACACTGCTCTGTAGCATGTGCTGCTGTTTGACAGCATTTTACCTACAGTAAAACTCTCTTCAAAATTGGGGCCAATTCTCTGAAACCTTGCTGCCACTTTATCAACTAAGTATAGGGCATATTCTACATCCTTTGTTGTCATTTCAACAATGTTTACACCATCTTCACAGGAAATAGATTCCATCTCAGGAAAGCACTTTCTTTGTTCATCTATGAGAAGACATTCTTTCAAGTTTGACCATGAGATTGCAGCAATTCAGTCACATCTTCAGGCTCCACTTCTAATTCTAGCTCTCTTGCTACTGGCCACCACATCTGCAGCCTCCATCAAAGTCTTGAATCTCTCAGTCATCCATGAAGGACAGAATCAACTTCTTTTCAAATTCCCGTTCATGTTGATATTTTGACCTCCTCCCATAAAACACAAATGTTCTTAATGGTACCTAGAATGGTGAATTCTTTCCAGAAAGTTTTCAATGTACTTTGCCCAGATCCATCAGAGGAATCACCCTCTATATAGCAGCCATAGCCTTTCAAAATGTATTTCTTAAATAATAAGACTTTTATATCAAATTGTCTCCTGGATCCACGGACTGCAGGATGGATGTTGTGTTAGCAGGCACGAAAAGAACATTTTCTTATACATCTTCATCAGAGCTCCTAGGTGACTATGTGCATTGTCAAAGGGTTACTAATTGGCCTACATTCAATATTGCTGTGTCTTAAGGAATAGGGAGGCCTGAGGAGAGTAGAGAGAGATGAGGGAACAGCCAGCTAGTACAGCAGTCAGAACACTTACAACATTTATTAACTTCACCTCATAGTAATATCAAAGGTCACTGATCATACATAACCATAACAGATATAATAATGAAAATGTGTGAAATATTATGAGAATTTTAAAAAGGGACAAAGAGCCACTAAGTGAGCACATGCTGTTGGAAAAATGAAACTGATAGACTTGCTTACTCCAGGGTTGCCACAAACCTTCAATTTGGTAAAAAAAAAAAAAAAACCATGCAATTCCTGTCAAGTACAATAAATAGGAGCCCAATAAAATGAGATATGCTTAAGAAAAAAAAGATATGCTTATACATCTTACTACAATTAAGTACAGTCTAGCAAGATAAAGATAGTAAGCCCTACAACAACCACTAAGAAAATAACCCAAGAAAAATCGTTTTAAAAATCATAAAGAAGGCCAGGCCAGTGAGCCAAACACCTGTACTTCCCAGCACTTTGGGAGACTGAAGCAGGAGGATAGCTTGAGCCCAGGAGTTTGACACCAGCCTGGGCAACATAACCCGTCACTGCAAACAAGAAAAAACTTAGGCATGATGGCATGTTGTTGCGGGAATTCAGGGACCCCGAACGGAGGGACCGGCTGAAGCCATGGCAGAAGAACATAAATTGTGAAGATTTCATGGACATTTATTAGTTCCCCAAATTAATACTTTTATAATTTCTTACGCCTGTCTTTACTGCAATCTCTGAACATAAATTGTGAAGATTTAATGGACATTTATCACTTCCCCAATCAATACTCTTGTGATTTCCTATGCCTGTCTTTACTTAATCTCTTAATCCTGTCATCTTCGTAAACTGAGGATGAATGTTGCCTCAGGACCCTGTGATGGTTGTGTTAACTGCACAAATTGTTGGTAGAGCACGTGTGTTTGAACTGTATGAAATCTGGGCACCTTGAAAAAAGAACAGGATAACAGCGATGTTCAGGGAACAAAGGAGATAACCTTAAAGTCTGGCGGCCTGTGGGCCGGGCGGAAGAGAGCCATATTTCTCTTCTTTCAAAAGCAAATAGGAGAAATATTGCTGAATTCTTTTTCTCAGCAAGGAGCATCCCTGAGAAAGAGAATGCATTCCTAAGGGGGGGGTCTCTAAAATGGCCGTTTTGGGAACGTTTGTCTTTTATTGTTGTTGATAAGGGATGAAATAAGCCCCAGTCTTCCGCAGCGCTCCCAGGCTTATTAGGACAAGGAAATTCCCGCCTTATAAATTTTGGTCAGACTGGTTGTCTGCTCTCAAACCCTGTCTCCTGATAAGATGTTATCAATGACAATGTGTGCCCGAAACTTCATTAGCAATTTTAATTTCACCCCGGTCCTGTGATCTCGCCCTGCCTCCATTTGCCTTGTGATATTGTATTACCTTGTGAAGCATGTGATGTCTGTGACCCACACCTTATTCGTACACTCCCTCCCCTTTTGAAAGTCACTCATAACAACTTGCTGGTTTTGCAGCTTAGGGGGCATCACGGAACCTGCCGACATCGGATGTCTCCCCCGGACACCCAGCTTTAAAATTTCTCTCTTTTGTACTGTTTCCCTTTATTTCTCAGACCGGCTGACATTTAGGGAAAATAGAAAAGAACTCATGTGAAATATCATGGGCTGAATTTCCCCTGACAACGTGGCAGTAGTCCCTGCTGCTTGTGAGGCTGAGCAGGGAGGATCACTTGAACCTGGGAGGTTGATGTTGCAGTGACCATGACAGTGCCACTGCACTCCAGACAGGGTGACAGAGCAAGACCCTATCTCAAAAATAAAATAAAAGGGCAGCGGCAGCAAGACACAACTCCCAGTCAGCCACACCATCATGAGACTAAACAACCAATGCTTGCTTGACCAGTGAACCATGTAGCCAGATGATTTTTTCCCAATTGTAGGCTAATGTAAGTGTTCTGAGCATGTTTAATGTAGGCTAGGCTAAGCCAAGGTGTTAGATAAATAAGGTATATTTCTTTCTTTTCTTTTTTTAAAGAGATGGGGTCTCACTATATTGCCTAGGCTGCAGTGAAGTGGCTGTTCACAGGTGCAATAATCACGCACTAAAGCCTCAAAATCCTGGGCTCAAATAATCCTCTTGCCTTACCAGAATGTAATCTGCTCATAACTCAAGAAGCATCTGTACTTAAGATTAAAAAGGTAGAAAAACAAAACAAAACAAAACAGGAACTAAGTAGTCATAAGAAAAAAAAAAAGGGCAGGCTGCCAACCCAGGACCAAGGGGTAAGGCCATGCCAGTGGGCCTAGAGAACAGAATATCAAGCCACAGAGAACTATTTTCAAGTCTCAGAACTGAATGGAATTAGTCCTGCAGACTTATAAACCTGCTTTAAGCCCTTTTTCCTTCCAATTTATCTCTTTTGGAATGGGAATGCTTCTCTGCCTGTCCCACCATTGCATCTCAGAAACAGATAACTTGTTTTCTATGTATCACAGGTTTAGAAATAGAAGGATTTTTTTTTCTCTTTTTTTTAAGACAGAGTCTCACTCTGGCCACCCAGGCTGGAGTGCAATGGCGCAATCTCAGCTCACTGCAACCTCTGCCTCCCAGGTTCAAGCAGCTCTCCTGCCTCAGCCTCCCGAGTAGCTGGGACTACAGGCATGTGCCACCACACCCGGCTACTTTTTGTATTTTTAGTAGAGACAGGGTTTTACTGTGTTAGCCAGGCTGGTCTTCAACTCCTGACCTCAGGTAAGCTGCCTGCCTCAGCCTCCTAAAGTGCTGAGATTACAGGCGTGAGCCACCATGCCCAGCAGAGATAGAAATTTTGCTTCAGGATTAACCAACGTCTTAACCCATCGCCAATTCAGATGATTCAGAAGTTGAGATTTGGGACTTTCTGAGTTTATTCTATTCAGGTAAGATGTGAGACTTACTTATAGAGTTTACATCAAAATAGATTAACACTTTTGGGGGATACTGGGATACAGCACATCTATTCTGTATGTGGAAAGAACACAAATTCTGGGGGGACCAGAAGGCAGACTGCTATGGGTTGAATTGTGGTCCCCAAGAAATGTATGTGAAGTCCTTAACCCCCAGTATCTTAGAGAGTAACTTCATTTGGAAAAAGGATCATTGCAAATGTAATTAGGATGAGGTCACATGATGGAGTAGGGCAGGCCCCTAATCCAATATGACTGATCTCCTAATAAGAAGATGGCCATATGGAGACAGAGACAAAGGAAGAATGGAATGTGAAGACAGAAGCAGAGATTAGGGTGATTAAAAAAAAAAAAAAAACGTGCCAATCATTGACACCCATCACCAGAAGCTAGGAGGCATGGAAGAGATTTCCCTTAATAGTTCTCAGAAGGATGCAACCCAGCTGATATCTTGACTTCAGACTTGTAGCCTCCTTAATCGTGAGAAGAAATTTCTGCTGCTTTAAGCCACCCAGTTTGTGATATTTTGTTACAGCAGCCCTAGGAAACTACTACAGGGGGTGTATGAAGAATTGGCTATGAGCTGTTCATGTTTTAGAATCGGTTGATGAATGTACGCAGGGTGTTTGTTATATTGTTGTTTACTGTTTTATATATTTGACAATTTCAGAAATAAATTCTTTTTTTTTTTTTTTGAGATGGAGTCTCGCTTTGTGGCTCAGGCTGGAGTGCAGTGGTGTGATCTCGGCTCACTGCAAGCTCCGCCTCCTGGGTTCACACCATTCTCCTGCCTCAGCCTCCCAAGTAGCTGGGACTATAGGCACCCACCACTATGCCTGGCTAATTTTTTTGTATTTTTAGTAGAGACAGAGTTTCACCATGTTAGCCAGGATGGTCTCGATCTCCTGACCTTGTGATCCGCCCATCTTGGCCTCTCAAAGTGCTGGGATTACAGGCGTGAGCCACTGCGCCTGGCTCAGAAATAAATTCTTAATAAACAAAACAATGTCATAATAAGTAGAGTAAGTATTAAAGCTTTAAAAAGCAGAAGCAAACAAATTAGAAAACAGTGGAATAAAGTTGGAAATAGGCCCCAAAGCTG
Source organism: Homo sapiens (assembly GCF_000001405.40). NCBI lineage: Eukaryota > Metazoa > Chordata > Mammalia > Primates > Hominidae > Homo > Homo sapiens. Next base: position 37,861,440 of record NC_000017.11, read on the forward strand.
TTCTTTATATCAGGTATAAAAGAAATCGATCAATGCCAGCACAGCGGCTCGCACCTGTAATCCCAGCACTTTCAGAGGCCAAGGTGGGCAAATCACCTGATATCAGGAATTCGAGACCAGCCTGGCCAACATGGTGAAACCCCGCCTCTACTAAAAATACAAAAAAAAAATTAGCTGAGTATGGTGGTAGACACCTATAATCCTAGCTACTCGGGAGGCTGAGACAGGAGAGTGGCTTGAACTCGCGGGGAGGAGGTTGTAGTGAGCCAAGATTGCACCACTGCACTCCAGCCTGGGCAACAGAGTGAGACTCCATCTCAAAACAAAAGAAAAAAATTTTTTGGTTAAGAGTTTAGATAAAGGAAAAAACTCCATTTAAATGTTTGTGTGAAGAAAACCATAATGGATTACATGGCACAACAACAGTTTCAAAAAATTAAAACCAATTTGTAAACATTAATCATCACGGTTACTTATATGCCCTTAAAAATGATCTATATGCTCCTAGTGTCACATAAGACACGTTAATCTAGGAGTCTACTTCACTCAGACTTTTTGCAACTAACATGCATTCTTTGTTTCTTCATCACTGTGGGGAAGAGGTGGTACATACAAAAGGTTCTTGACATAACCCTATAAAAAGATGATCACATGGTGTATTATCTGGGAATTTAAATGGTCACAATTCCAGGATACGTCAATGCTATCAACTTTAAAAAAAAAATAAATTTGACCTATAATGGGGGGGCCAGCAGGGGGTAGGGGAGAAAGAGGCAAACTGTGTATCCTGGAACTTTGTAACTGGAAAAAAATTACCAGCAGCAGCAGCCTGATCAAAACTGCAACTTCTTGCCCACCTGGACAACCCAGCTCTCTTTTCTAGAAATTAGCATCTATGCTCAATTTCTAATAATGGAATGGTGCCTAGGTACTCATGTTTGTCTAGGTGAAAACAGCTTCTAAATCCAGGTGCTTACATCAGAATGGCTCTCCTGGAAATTTAGGACTGAGACATTGAGTCAGTTACCTGTAGGGTAACCTGTAGAATCAGAGATTTCTCAAATTTGACCTGTCTTATTTTGATACCATGTTTCCCAGCAATGTATCCTCCCCTTAAGTATCAGTTTTTGTAAAATCTCCTAATCAATTTCTTATCAGATTATATTATATAAATACCTATCATCTAGAGTACTCCAGAAGCCAAATGAACATTAAAAAAAAAATACTGAGATAGGGCCAGGCATAGTGGCTGAGTGTAATACCAGCATTTTGGGAGGCTGAGTTGGAAGGATAACTTGAGGCCAGGAGTTCATGACCAGCCTGGGTTATATAGCAAGACGCTGTCTCTCTACCAATTCTATCAATATTTAAAAAAAAAAACTGGGTGTGGTGGTGGCACCTGTACTCCTAGCTACTTGGGAGCCTGAGGTGGGAGGACGGATTGATTGAGGCCAGGAGTTTGAGGCTATCGTGAACCATAATCGTCCACTGCAGTCCACCCTGGGGTGATGGACTAATAAGACTGTCTCTAAATAAATAAATATTACAAAAAGAAAAGCACTGAGATAGGTAATGTTGGTAAGTGAGATTATAGATTTTAATCTCATGAACAATTTTAAGTTAGCTACTATACACTCCCATTTCCAAAAGTTTAGATTGGAATGTTTGCTGCCTTTGGTAGCTAAGAGAAAAGAAATAACAATGAGGGATATTATAGTGCCATTCTTCCACAGTCCTTATCAAATAAATAGGCCTTTGAGTCTTGGAATTGTTGAGAGTAAGAAAGCAAATAATATATAAAGTTGACAAGCACAAAAGACACAAAGAGGCCAGGCATGGTGGCTCAAGCTTGTAATTCCAACACTTTGGGAGGTCAGGGCAGGGGGGTTGTCTGAATCCAGGAGTTCAAGACCAGCCTAGGCAACATAGTGAGATCCCATCTCTACAAAAAATAAAAACAAAAGTAGCCAGACATGAATGGTGCATGCCTGTAGTCCCAGCTACTCAGGAGGCTGAGGTGGGAGGATCACTTGAGGCTGGGAGGTCGAAGCTACAGTGAGCTGTAATTGCACCACTGCACTCCAGCCTGGGGAACAGTAAGACCATGTTGGAAAAAAAGAAGAGGGGAGGGGAAGGGGAGGAGAGACCACAAGAAACAAATATAATGAATAATAGTTTACTATTCCTGAGAAAAAGAGAATACCAAATGTGAGAGAATGTGTAACTAGGGTTGGGGAGAGCGGGCTGGAGAGAGAGAGCACGCAAAGACAACAGAGAGAAGTCAAATAGGAAATTTCAAAATGAGAATCAGCTGATGTATAAAAAAAGAGCAAAATAATTTTTTTACCGATAGAACTGCAAGATTTAGCTTTCCAAAATGATTCCATTCTCCAGAAAAGAAAAATTAATTTAAGCACTCATCTAAGTAACTAGTATAAAGTGCCAAGCAAAAATAAACATTTATTAGGTATAGACAAATGCAAATATATTCAATGCTTTCGTACAAATGTGAATATCTGGGGGCCTTATTATCATCTTGTTAATATATGCCAGTGAACAATTTGTAGACACAAGACTTGTTTTACAAGCAGGGTAATATGTTCCATGAACGTAAGCCAGGAATTTAAGACTTAGTGTCTATATCTTCATTCTAAGAAATGTTTCAATTAACTCACTGTGTGTGTGTGTGTGTGTGTGTGTGTGTGTGTGTGTGTGTGTGTGTGTGTGTGTGTATGTTTTCTATCTCATGTGGTGGTGATGAGCCTAGTACTTATATTCTTGAAATGGAAATCCCATTCTGATATTTCTTCCTCCCTCTTCTCTGTCACATTAAACTGATCACCAGGCTCTTACATATTACATACACCAGCTGAAGCTCTTACATATTACCGAATGTCTCTGTCCCGTTGTTCCTACTACTTCAGATCCTCATTCCAGTGTCTGGGACACTGTCAGAGTCTAAATAGATTCTAGGTCTCTTGTCTCGTCTATCTTCCATCTCCCAATCCTCCTTCCCCTGATCCATTAGAATGACAGACCTAAGCATATCCTTTCTGAACATAAAAACCCTTCAATAACTTTAGGGATAAACTTTAGGCTCCTTAACATGATGCATGAGGTGCCTGAACATCTGACCCTTGACAGTCCCTCTCAGCATTCTGGCACATTCAGGGTCCTAACAATACCACCCTTCTCCCTGCCACCATCCCAAATCCCTCCCCCTGCTCACCACTCTCCTTGTTATTTTCCACTTCAAAGCTTTTGCTCCTTCAATCTGTAAAATTAACAGCCACTCATGTGTTCCTTCCTTTCTCCTCTCTTCACAGCCAGCACCTGGAGGTTTCTTACTCTTAGGAAAAACTGCGACCTTTTCTAAGATACCTCCTCCCTCTTTCCTTAGTCCTGTTAAAGGTTAGGTGGACATTCACTGTACCTCGAAAATCCTTGCACATATTATTTTTTAACAATCACCGATTGATGTACGTCTATCCACCATACAGACCTGGTACATATAAGAGGACATGCCAGAAATGAGGACGAGATCAATGGGCAGGTAGATGAAATGTTTAGCTTCCCTATTTACCTGAAACCTCATTTTTGGGAGTCCTAAAACCCATAAAGAATATTTAGTGCTTTCAAAAATATCTTTTACTTGGCCAGGTGCAGTGGCTTACACCTGTAAACCCAGCATTTTGGGAGACTAAGGCCACTGGATCACTTGAGGTCAGGAGTTCGAGCCCAGCCTGGCCAACATAGCAAAACCCCATCTCTACTAAAAATACAAAAGTTAGCCGGGCATGGTGGTCCCGCCTATAATCCCAGCTACTCAGGAGGCTGAGGCATGACAAGAATCACTTAAACCTGGGAGGCAGAGAGGGTGCACTGGGCCAAGATCACACCACTGCACTCCAACCCGAGTGAGGGAGTGAGAATCTGCCTTAAAAAAATAAAAAATTAGCTGGGTGTGGTAGTGGATGCCTGTAATCCCAGCTACTTGGGGGCTGAGGCAGGAGAATCGCTTGAACCTGGGAGGCGGAGGTTGCAGTAAGCCAAGATCTCAGCACCGCACTCCAGCCTGGGTGACAGAACGAGACTCCATCTCAAAAAAAAAAAAAAAGTCCTGGCCAGGCGCGGTGGCTCACGCCTGTAATCCAAACACTTTGGGAGGCCAATGTGGGTGGATCACGAGGTCAGGAGATCAAGACCATCCTGGCCTGTAGTCCCAGCTACTTGGGAGGTTGAGGCAGGAGAATCGCTTGAACCTGGGGAGGTGGAGATTGCAGTGAGCCGAGATTGAGCCACTGCACTCCAGCATGGGCCACAGAGCGAGACTCCGTCTCAAAAAAAAAAAAAAAATCTTTTACACAGACGCTAAATATACTGATAAAAACTTAATTGCTATCCACTACTATTACTTTTGGAAAAAAATAAGGGGGAGACAGGTTAGCAATTTCTAAGCCTTCCATTAGGTTTAATCTTACAATTAGATGACATCATGTTTTTTGATGTTTTTGTTTGTTTCTCTGGCCTATGATCATCCTTCCTATGCTTATAAACAATCTTTACTTCAGGGCTATCCAATAAAGAAGGACTATTAAAAAAGCATATATATATATACACACACACACACACACACACACACATATACATATGATATAGTCATCATCTGCTAACTACTCTCTATGCAAACTGTAGCTTTCTAAAATGAATGCTTCCTTGACTCTGAAGAATACAAGCTTCTACCCCAAAAAAGTTCACAAATCCCTTTGCTGCCACAATCTTCACATTTCTGAAAACTTATTAAAAGGTAATTTTAACAAAACATGTCAGTGAAATGATGAGTTAACGCATGTTACAGAAGAAAATATTAGCAGTCAAAAATATAAAAATAGGATACAATGATTTAAATTTTACAAAAACTGGCCACTGGCCAGGGATGCTGGCTCACGACTGCACTTTGAGAGGCTGAGATAGGAGGATTCCTTGAGACCAAGAGTTAGAGACCACCCTGGGCAACATAGGGAGATCCTGTTTCTATAAAACATAAATAGACCAGGTGCACTGGCTCACACCTGTAATCCCAGAACTTTGGGAGGCAGCCAAGGTGGGCAGATCACTTGAGGCCAGGAGTTCAAGCCCAGCCTGATCAACGTGGCGAAAACCTGTCTCTACTAAAAATACAAAAAACTATTCGGGAGTGGTGATGCATGCCTGTAATCCCAGCTACTTGGGCTTGGGAGGCCGAGGCATGAGAATTGCTTAAACCCAGGAGGTAGAAGTTGCAGTGAGCCAAGAGTGAACCACTGCACTACAGCTTGGGTGACAGAGCAAGACTCTGTCTCAAAAAAAAAAAAAAAAAAAAAAAAACAAACAAAGAAATAAATAAAAGGAAGTTAAGCTATGAGAACACAAAGGGATCAGAATGATACACAATGAACTTTGGGGACTTGGGGGAAAGGATGGGAATGCGGTGAGAGATAGAAGACTACACACTGGGCACAGTGTACGCTGCTTGGGTGATGGGTACACCGAAATCTCAGCAATCACCACTAAAGAACTTAGTCATGTAACCAAACACCACCTGTTCCCCAAAAGCCTACTGAAATAAAGAAATAAATATTTTTAAAACTGGCCATTATATATTTAACGACATGTAGAAAATTTAACAGGTCAATACAGTGAATTCTCTGCTATTTAGATATACAATAAAGATATTCTAGTAAATTTTTTCCCAGTACTCACAAAATTTCATTTTTTTCTAAATTCCACAATGTTCTAGCCACATAGGAGTATTTCTTATTCTCTGAACATGCCTACCTGCCACCTCTTCCCTTTGCACCTGCTATCCTAGGTTACGTCACTTTCTCTGTCTGGAATTTTTAGTTGATCATTTTCTGCAAAGGTCAAATGCCTAATTATTCTGCAAAGCCCTAGAAGCTCTTTGTATGCCTTACTCAATTCCTGAGACAAGAATAATTTCTCATTATTTACCCATAATACTCCATTCAGCCTTATTATTATGTAATATATATTTTAATTTTCATACATTTATTGACTTGTCTTCCTACTTGAGGAGGAAACCCCCTATTTTATTTATCCTTGAATTCCTGGTATCTAACAGAATGCTTGATACAAAGTAGGTCCATAGTAAATGCCCAGTAAATAAATGTTCCCAAACTTATCCTTTATTACCTACCATCCATTAAGGACTGATGTCTTCAAGCCCATTTTCCAATCATTCCTGTCATTTCAGAATTGCATGCCCCATTATTAGGCATAAAGAATTTATATGAACAAAACCTTATTAACTTTTTTTATTTTTTTGAAACAGGGTCTCACTCTGTTACCTAGGCTGGAGTACAGTCACACAATCATAGCTCACTGCAGCCTTGACCTCCCAGGCTCAAGAGATCCTCCCACCTCAGCCTCTCGAGTAGTTGGGAGGGACTACAGGCGAGCACCACCATGCCCGGCTAATTGTTTTTCTTTTTTGCAGAGGTGGGGTCTCAGAATGTTGCCCAGGCTGGTCTGGTACTCCTGGGCTCAAGCAATCCTCTCACTTCAACCTCCCAAAGTACTGAAATTATAGGTGTGAGCCACCACACCCGGTCCATTAACTTACTTTCTTTTTTGTTTTGTGTTTCTTTGCTTGCTGTTCTTTTTTGAGACAGGGTCTTGCTCTGTTGCCCAGGTGGGGGTGCAGGGCACAGTCACGGTTCACTGCAGCCTCAACCTCTGGGCTCAAGGGACCCTCCCACCGCAGCCTCTTGAGTAGTTGGGACTACAGACACGTGTGCCTCCCCACACCTGGCTAAATTTATTCTTTTTTGTAGAGACAGGGTCTCGCTTGTTGTCCAGGCTGGACTCAAACTTCTGGGCTCAAGCGATACTCCTGCCTGGGCGTCCCAAAGTGCTAGGACTATAGGCATGAGCCACTGAGCCTATTCTAACACTAAGTAGAACAAAACAAATCATCAACAACAAAAATCCAACAAACATAAAGCAATCGCATATAAGAAAAGCTATAAAAAGGAAAGAAATAGAAAGAAGAAAAAAATAAACTTGATAAACAGATACACCATGCTTCTGGAAGGAAGGATTCAATACTGTAAAAATATATTCATCCCTAAAACAGTACTTCACTGTAACTCTAATGTAGTCTAAATTGTGCTCTTATTAGTCCTAATGTTCATCTAGAAAAATAGATGACAATATTTGTCTTACCATATACTAAAATGTATATAAAGCTATAATAATTTAAAATAGTGTGGCACCAGGATAAAAACAGACACACCAATGGAACACATAAAAAGTCCAGAAACATACTCAAGTATTCAAGAATTTAGTAATGATTCAAACAATATTTCAAATCACAATGGAAAACAGATTATTCAGCAATAGTGTTGAAAAAGTTGACTAACCAGGTGGGAGGGGAAAGTTGGGCACGTATCTTACCATATTCTAAAATTAATTCTAGGCTAATAAAATATTTATATCTAAATAATTCCTTCTTTGGTCTACCCTCGCTCCTTTTCTGCTTCAACACTTTAGTCTTAAAGCCATGAGATGGGGCTAGGCATGGTGGCTCACGCCCGTAATCCTAGCATAGGCGTGGTGGCTCATGCCTGTAATCCTAGCATAGGCGTGGTGGCTCATGCCTGTAATCCTAGCATTTTGGGAGGCCAGAGCAGGCAGTTCACTTGAGCTCAGGAGTTCAAGACCAGCCTGGGCAACATGATGAAATCTCAACTCTACAGATAATACGGAAAACTTAGCTGGGTGGGATGGGTGCGCCTTGTAGTCCCATCTACTTAGAGGGCTAAAGTGGAAGGACTGCTTGAGCCAGAGGTCGAAGCTGTAGTGAGCCAAAACTGCACCACTGCACTCCAGCCTGGGTGACAAAATGAGACCCAAAAGCCATGAGGTGAGTTCAAGCATAGTAATTATCCATGAGGGGGTCATGGATATTGGAGGGGGCAGTCCAATACTAGTATAAGAGCCTGAGTAAGGCTGGCTTCCCTAAGGGGTTGGGGATAGGGGTGAGGACAATCTCAGAGCAAGGTGAAAAGATCAACAAAAGTGGAAGCAGTGAACTGAGGCTGAATATCAAATCCCAAGAGGGGTGAAAAGGACTGGCATGCAGGAAAGTAGCAGCAACCCTGAACTGGGTTAGAACAGCATCTGCCTTAGGTGGAGCAGCAACAGAAGGTATGTCAAAACAGGAGAAATTGATCAAATAAGTAAACTATTAAAAATAGTGAGAGTCAGGTTTCTGTCTGAGCATCATAAATACGTGGGAAAAAATTAAAATGAAACCCTGTTTTGTTGGGTTGGATTTGGCAAAGTTAATATGAGCATATGGAGTTCAATATATAGAGATGGATACAGTAATAGAGATGTGAGTGTGTATGTATATTCACATAATGAATCAAAAGTATTGTGACCTCACAGTTTGTTCTCTTTTTTTTTGAGACAGCGTCTCATTCTGTCACCCAGGCTGGAGTGCAGTGGCACAATCTCGGTTCACTGCAACCTCCGACTCCCAGGTTCAAGCAATTCTCCTGTCTCAGCTTCCTGAGTAGCTGGGATTACAGGCGTCCACCACCATGCCTAGCTAATTTTTTTTTTTTTTTGAGATGGAGTCTTGCTCTGTCGCCCAGGCTGAGGTGCAGTGGCACAATCTTGGCTCACAGCAACCTCCGCCTCCCGGGTTCAAGCAATTCTCCTGCCTCAGCCTCCTGAATAGCTGGGATTACAGGTGCCTGCTACCACACCTGACTAATTTTTGTATTTTTTAGTAAAGACGGGGTTTCGCCATCTTGGCCAGGCTGGTCTTGAACTCCTGACCTCATGATCCACCTGCCTCAGCCTCCCAACGTTCTGGGACTAGAGGCGTGAGCCACTGGGCCCAGCCCATTTTTTTTCTTTTTGAGACAGAATCTCACTCCGTCATTCAGGCTGGAGTGAAGTGGTGTGATATTGGCTCACTGCACTCTCTCTGCCTCCAGGGCTCAAGTGATTCTCGTCATGCCTCAGCCTCCCAAGCAGCTGGGATTATAGGCGTGCCCCACCATGCCAGGCTAATTTTTGTATTTTTAGTAGAGACGGGGTTTCATTAGCCAGGCTGGTTTCGAACTCCGGACCTCAAGTCATCCCACTGGCCTCGGCCTCCCAAAGTGCTAGGATTACAGGTGTGAGCCATCGCGCCTGGCCCACAGTTTTCTACATAGATATAAAAACAATATACGATGTGAATTTATAGAAATATGTATCTCTGTAGGAATACACACACACACACACACACACACACACACACACACACACACACACAAATTTCCTAGCCATGCTGACTGAGAGTAGCAATAACCCACACCTAGCACCCGCTTTGGCTTCTAAATATTATTCTCACCTAAACGGAATCAAGGCTCTTCAGAGAAATGGTGATTTCAGAACTACAGCAGGAATAATACAAGATGAGCCTAGATTATACTGTTGTGTCAGAAGTAGAGAAATGCTTCTCTGAAATGATAGGTCAAAATACACAGAAGCCGGCTTAAAGAGGTCCCACCAGGCAAACCTGAGACAGTATGTACATCAAAATAAATGATATTAGTGGAATATGACCCATTAAAATAAAATAGCGTAAGTCCATACTAATACAAATAATCAGGGAGTAAAGAAAGCTTCACCTTACAGTGGAACATCAACTGATGAATGTGAAAGAAAAGGTGAAATTAGAAAATCACTACTTGCCATCAATCCTAGTCATAAATTAGGTCAAGAAACATCAATGAATACTAAAATTAGTGAGGAAAAGGTGCAAGGAACAAGATGTTTATATGAGAAGTACTTCCCCCACAAAATCCATACTGACTATAAAGAGAAAAAAGATTAACCTCACAGTGGAGAAACCTGATAGACACACCTTAACCAAGTGGTCAAGGAAAAACTGAAATCATGTACCACCTGATAGGATGCAAACAAAAAACACAGAATCACATATGTGATACTCCTGCTAAAAACATAACTGCATTTAATCATGATGAAACATCAGGCAAATACAAATAGGAGGTCATTCTACAAAATAACTGACCTGTAATATTCAGAAGTATCAAAGTTATGAAACTCAGGGAAAGACTGAGTTACTATTTGAGATTTAAAAAGACCAAAGAGGACTGGGCGTGGTGGCTCAGACCTGTAATGCCAACAGTTTGGGAGGCTGAGGCAGGCAGATCACTTGAGGCCAGGAGTTCGAGACCAGCTGGGCCAACATGGCAAGAGCCTGTCTTTACTAAAAGCAGAAAAAAATCAGCTGGACGTGGTGGTGCACACCTGTAATCCCAGTTACTCGGGAGGCTGAGGCACGAGAATCACTAGAACCCAGGAGGTGGAGGCTGCAGTGAGCCAAGATTGCGCCAATGCACTCCAGCCTGGGTGACAGAGAGAGACTCTGTACAAAAATAAAAAGAAAAAGAAATAAAAAGACCAAAGAGTCAAAATGCAGTTTGTGATCCTTTTGCTATAAAGAATATGTCTACAAAAACACGAATGGGTTCCAAAGATCAGACAGGAATAATGCATCGCTGTTAATTTCCTTATTTTGATGGTATATTGTATATGCCCAGGAGAATATCCTTCTTTATGGGAAATTCTGAAGTATTCAGGGGTGACAGCATATTATATTGGTAAGTTACTCTCAAATGGTTTAGGGAAGGAAGAGTTCTTTTGTACTATTCCTGCAACCTGTTTGTAAGTTTTAATGCTTTTAAAATTAAAAAGAAAAACAAGGTTTTTAAAAATGAACTTCCAAAGCACTAAAAAAAAGTGCATTAATATGAAGATTTTCTTTGCACAGCAAAGGCAGAAACAATAAAGAGCATTTGCGTAAATTACCTCAAAAATGTAAACTTCTGCATTAGAAAAAGTTAACCTGCTAGAATCCCAATAACAAAAACTATGAAGACATAATAAAATTAAACACCAAACGTTAAACTATGGGAAAAAACACACACAGCAAATATACAAGACAAAAGAATATGATCTCTAATATAAAACACTTTGTAAAAAAATTATAATATTAAAATAAACAGATATGGAAGGTCAATTAACATACATGAATAATCTTCAAAAAAAAACTTTAAAATAACCAACCTTACCAGTACTCAAAGAAACTCATTCAAACATTTTAATATTTTTTTTACTAGAAAGAATAGCAAAGTTTTTTTAAGAGTAACACAGTGTACCTAACATAATAGAGGGTTATGAGCAATCTCACATACAGCTAATACAGTGTAAGTTCTAGAGGACAATTTCACACAGTGTATTTCTTGAAGCTTCCAAAATGTTCACACACTTTTACAGAGATGCTAGCAGTGTATACTAAATGCCAGACACCAAACTAGGCCCTTCAACCACAAAGGGTTGCTTAATTAAATTTACAGTTTGTTGAATCTCATGATATTCTGTATTACAGACTAAATATCTATTAAAATACAGCAGAAACACAATTTATTGACATACAAAAGATGCTGTGTAATTTTCAAAAGTAAACAAAAAATATAAGCAAAACAATTCAACTTTTTCATAAGTATATATTATAAGCAAAAATACACAGAAAAAACCCCGTCTCTACTAAAAAATAGAAAAATTAGTCGGGCGTGATAGTGGGCACCTGTAATCCCAGCTACTCAGGAGGCTAAGGCAGGAGAATTGCTTGAACCCGGGAGGCAGAGGTTGCTGTGAGCCGAGATCGTGCCACTGCATTCCAGCCTGGGTGACAGAGTGAGACTCTGTCTCAAAAAAAAATAAATAAATAAAAAGTAAAATAAAATAAAATAAAATAAAATAAATATTAATTACAGAATAAAAAGTTTTTTTGCACAAAAACATTTAAAATCTTAAAGCTGGCTGCAATTTCTTCCACGGTTGGAATGTGAACCTTCAATTAAGTGGTAAAACTGTATTTAAAGGCACATTGGGTAATGGTGAAACCTAAAATGCAGAGGAGAATAAAACAATAACATACTAAATGAAGAAAAATATACAGGAAAAAAGCAAACATTAAGTTTTTTTTTTAAGGCCAACAATAAAAACAGTATCTTGGGGTACAAATAACTTGAGGGGGGGGACAAGTAACATTCTAATGTAGGACTGTTTTTCAAAAAAGAATATGATACATTGTAATGAATATTATGCAAAATAATAATTAATTCAAATTTAACAGACTCTTGATACCTGAAAGAGCAAAAGAGGTCAGTAATTCATAAAGGGCCAATCTGTAAGGATTAAAATATCCTGTAAATCGTAGAATACTACATACCTAGGTTACTATGAAAGGTAACACAGTTTTGCTTGCTTTGTACTCCTGTGACCTTAGTAACATATTAATAACATTTTAATAACTGTAGTTTGGTGTAGTAATTTTTTTCCCACATCTCCCTGAACTTGATGGAGACCTACAATTTTTTTTTTTTTTTTTGAGACAGAGTCTCGCTCTGTTGCCCAGGCTGGAGTGCAGTGGTGTGCTCTCGGCTCACTGCAAGCTCTGCCTCCTAGGTTCACGCCATTCTCCTGCCTCAGCCTCCCGAATAGCTGGGACTACAGGCGCCCGCCACCACGCCCAGCTAATTTTTGTATTTTTAGTAGAGACGGGGTTTCACCGTATTAGCCAGGTTGGGGAGAACTATCATTTTAAAAACACAAAGACTTCCTTTCTATTTCCCAGCAGTGATATTCAAACAGTAATAAAATAATATCCACTGTACCTTATTACAATGATCATGTGGAACAGACTGTAAAACAATTGGTTCCATTGTGGAATCATTGGCAAATTGTACCTCCGGAATATACAGAGCACACACCTCATGGGCCCAACCTAAAAATAAATAAATAAATGTCATCTTTTCAGTTTTATCAAAAGCAAATTAACATCATTAATTTCCTTAACAGATCCCTACAATGTCTATTGAAACAAATGCATAACAAGGACATTAACAAATTCTCATTGCTGTCTTACTTCCATTGCTTGAGGATACTCAAACCACTACTAAAAAAAGCATTCTTAATCATTTCCCCAGTTATGATGTACAGGAACATAAACAAAGGGAAACATTTATAAATTCAGATGTTGGCACTAACACTTCTTATACAGGCAGACTAAATATTCAGATCAACACTACTAATGAGAACCACTATAAAAGGAGTTTTTAAAAGTTTAATACTTATGATAAAATTTAATAATCTTAATCATTTTAAATGTTAACATGAAATTATTTTTATCTCGGTGTCAATATTTTTAATATTAGTAATAACAATCATTTCACTATTTTAATTGGAAAAGTTTTAAATTTGGTATTAAATATATATATTTTATGAGATGGAGTTTCCCTCTTGTTGCCCAGGCTGGAGTGCAATGGCGCAATCTCGGCTCACCGCAACCTCCGCCTCCTGGGTTCAAGCAATTCTCCTGCCTCAGTCTCCTGACTGAAGGTATTAAGGAGCTGATGTGATAGTGAGGAATTTCTGGGCTAAAACTGGAAAAGAATGTAAGTCCTAGGCACAGTTTTTGGCCACTTTTGCCCAGGGAACATTTGCCTATTTCAGAGAAAGCGGTGGTGAGGATGAAGGGTACAATTCTTTTTTTTTTTTTTTTTTTTTTAGACAGAGTCTCGCTCTTGTTGCCCAGGCTGGAGTGCAATGGCGCGATCTTGGCTCACTGCAAACTCCACCTTCTGGGTTCAAGCAATTCTCCTGCCTCAGCCTCCCCAGTAGCTGGGATTACAGGCATGCACCACCACACCCGGCTAATTTTGTATTTTTAGTAGGGGTGGGGTTTCTCCATGTTGGTCAGGCTGGTCTCGAACTCCTGACCTCAGGTGATTCGCCCACCTCAGCCTCGCAAAGTGCTGGGATTACAGGCGTGAGCCACCACGCCCGGCCTGAAGGGTACTTTTGACAAACTCAGAGGCCCAACAGTACAGGGATGTACATTCACAAACAACCAAGAGAAAAAGAGTACAAGTAAACCCCTCTCCTCCTTTCAGATGCAACACTGAACGGCAAACTGGGGATGAGAATACACTAAAAGTACATAGACCCTCAAAGAGACGACACCAGGGCTCTGACCATCTCAAACTCTGAAATTTGATGAAGGTAATCCGAAATTACAACTCCCAAGGCACGAAGCAGATGTAAACATACATCCTCTCTAAAAGAAAATAGTATCATTTTGGCTACAAATAATTTCTACCTTTTTTTTTTTTTTTTTTTTTGAGACAAAGCCTTGGTCTATGGCCCAGGCTGAACTGCACTGGCGTGATCTCGGCTCACTGCAACTTCCTCCTTCCAGTTCAAGCAATTCTCCTGCCTCAGCCTCCCAAGTAGCTGGGATTACAGGTGCCCACCACCACACCTGGCTAATTTTTGTATTTTTAGTAGATATGAGGTTTCACTGTGTTGACCAGGCTGGTCTCGAACTCCTGACCTCAAGTGATCCACCAGTCTCAGCCTCCCAAAGTGGCGGGAATACAGACATGAGCCACCACACCCAGCCTAAAATTTCTTAATTACATATAATTTCCAGCACAATAATAAGTACCAAACACATGACAGACAAGACAATATGAATGAGAATAAGGAGAACACGAACATCAAAACAGATCAGTATTTTGGAGTTATCAGATAAAGATTTTAAAATAAGTATGCTTACTATGATCAAGTACACACAAGACAAAATTCTAAATTGATGCAAAGAACCGAAAACTATAATAATAAATTAAAATTCCAGAAGTAAAGCGGAAATTTAGAAATCAGTCAGGCACAGTGGCTCATGCCTGTAAGCCCAGTACTTTGGAAGGCTGAGGCAGATCGCTTGAGACCAGGAGTTCAAGACCACCCTAGGTAACAAAGTGAGACCCCATCTCTACAAAAAAAAAAGTAATGAGCCAGGTGCAGCGGCATGCACCTATAGTCCCAGCTATTCAGGAGGTTGAGGTGGGAGGATTGCTTGAGCCCAGGAGTTGGAGGTTGTTGTGAATGATTATTGTGCCACTGCAATCCAGCCTGGGTGATAGAGACCCTATCTCAAGAAAAAAAAAATCAGTGGGTGGGATTAACAGCAGTTTAGACATGGATGAAAAGAGAATTAGTAGGAACACAACAGGTCAGAAGAAGAAATCCAGAATGTTAGCACAAAACACAAAAGTAAGAAATACAAAAAATGGAATAAGACACATGAAAAATGTAATAGGCAGGCAGGTCTAACACACATGTAATCAGAGTCTCGGAGAAATATGAGAGAGAAAATGGCATGAAAGCAGTATCTGAATTGATAATGCCTAAAAATTTTCCAGAACAGAAGACCCAAAGCCACTGACTGAAGAACCACTATAAATCAGAGTAAATAAATACACGAAGGAACATTAATAAAACTACAGAAAACTAAGGGAAAGAAATGAAAATCTTAAAAACAAAAGGCAAGTTATCAAACGAAAAACTAGATAACTAAATAAAGCCAGAAAACATTATGTAAAAGATTTCCATGAAAGGGAACACCAAACAATTTTCCTTGGGCAATAGGAAAATGATTCCAGAAGGAAGCTCAGAACTGAAGAAAAATATAAAGAACGATAAACATGTAGGTACATTTAATATATAATGCACATATAAAACAATAATGCCTTCACACTCATTTACAATACAAATGACCACTTACACTAAATATTAAAACACTGGTACGGTCTGTGGATGTATGTAGCTTTCCTATAAAACTACAGCAAAGACTGGAAAAGGAACAGGTAAAAGAAGTCTATATGGTTTCATTCTACATTTCGTGTTAAGTGGTACACACAGGCCAGGTGCGGTGGCTCACGCCTGTAATCCCAATACTTTGGATACCCAAGGCGGGCAGATCACTTGAGGTCATGAGTTTCAGACCAGCCTGGCCAATATAGCGAAACCATGTCTCTACTAAAAATACAAAAATTAGCTGAGTGTAGTGGTGTGTGCCTGTAGTCCCAGCCACTCAGGAGGCTGAGGCAGGAGGACTGCTTGAACCCAGGAGGTGGAGGTTGCAGTGAGCCAAGATAGTGCCACTGCAGTCCAGCCTGGGCGACACAGCAAGACACCGTCTCAAAAAGAAAAAAAAAAGTGGTACACTCAGTAGACTGAATTTACTGATAAGAAAATTATAATCCCTACAGCAACCACTATATAGATAAATATAAATACTTATATAAATAGGAAGAGATATGGCCAAAAAGGCAATTTAAGGCAATTTAATATAATTAATTAAGTTTAAATGCAATACTATCTAGTTGCATTGTTAAACTGATTAAAATACAGCACTAAAAAATAATCACAAAAAGAACAGAAGAGAAATAAGAAATAAGTGGGAAAAATCAATGTTAAGAGCAAACAGCAGAAGACTTCTACTTCTGTCCAAGGTAGACTAAGGCAGTCAAGAGAAAGTCACAAGGGAAACTGGAAAATGTCTTGAACGGAATGGCAACAAACATGTAATTTATCACAATTTGAGACGCAGGCTGGGGACAGTGGCTCACGCCTGTTAATTGCTTGACCTCAGGAGTTTGAGACCAGCCTGGGCAACATGGTGAAACCCTGTCTCTACAACAAATACAAAAACATTAGCCAGATAAAGTGGCGTGCACCCGTAGTCCCAGCTGCTTGAGGGGCTGAGGTAGGAGGATCGCTTGGACCCAGGAGGTCGAGGCTTCAGTGAGCCGAGATCACACCCCTGCCCTCCAGCCTGGGTGACAAATTGAGACCCTGTCTCAAAACAACAACAACAATGGCAAAAACAAAAACAAAAAAACACAACTTGTGGGATTCAATAAAAGCAATAGAGAGGAACTTGCAGCATATATATTTTCATTAGAAAAGAATATCTAAAACAAAAGACCTAAGGTTCCACCTTTATAAGTTAGAAAAGAAGAGGAAAATATAACACATAGTAAGTAGTAGGAAGGAAATAATAAAGAGCAGAAGTTTAACACAATAGAAAACAGGGAGATGGCATAAAAAATTAACGAAGCCCAAAACTTCTTTAAAAAGGTCAACACAACTGAATGATTCTATTTGGACTGGTCAAAAAAATAAAAATAAAAACAAAGAAAAACCAGAATACAAATCACCAACATCTGGCCGGGTGTGGTGGCTCACGCCTGTAATCCCAGCACTTTGGGAGGCCGAGGTGGGTGGATCACCTGAGGTCAAGAGTTCACGACCAGCCGGGCCAACATGGTGAAACCCCATCTCTACTAAAAATACAGAAAATTGGCTGGGCGCGGTGGCTCACGCCTGTAATCCCAGCACTTTGGGAGGCCGAGGCGGGTGGATCACGAGGTCAGGAGATCGAGACCATCTTGGCTAACACGGTGAAACCCGGTCTCAACTAAAAATACAAAAACTTAGCCGGGCGCGGTGGCGGGCGCCTGTAGTCCCAGCTACTCGGGAGGCTGAGGCAGGAGAATGGCGTGAACCTGGGAGGCGGAGCTTGCAGTGAGCCGAGATTGTGCCACTGCAATCCGGCCTGGGCTAAAGAGCGGGACTCCGTCTCACAAAAAAAAATACAGAAAATTAGCTAGGCGTGATGGCGGGCGCCTGTAATCCCAGTTACTCAGGAGGCTGAGGCAGGAGAATTGCTTGAACCAGGGAGGCGGAGGTTGCAGTGAGCCGAGATCCCACCACTGCACTGTACCCAGTGGTGTACCCACTGCACAGTTACCCAGCCTGGGTAACAAGAGCAAGGCTCAGTATCAAAAAAAAAAAACAAAAAAATTACCAACATCAGGAATAACAATGGGGTAATAACCACCAATGCTAGCAAAATTAACAAAATAATACTAAAATACTATTGACAGCCGGGTGCGGTGGCTTGTGCCTGTAATCCCAGCACTCTGGGAGGCCAAGGCGGGTGGATCACCTGAGGTCAGGAGTTCAAGGCCAGACTGGCCAACATGGCAAGATTCTCTCTCTACTAAAAATAAAAAATATTAGCTGGGTGTGGTGGTGCCCGCCTGTAATCCCAGCTACTCGGGAGGCTGAAGCAGAGAATCACTTGAACCTGGGAGGTGGAGTCCGCAGTGAGCTGAGCTCATGCCACTGCACTCCAGCTTGGGTGACAGAGCAAGACTCCATCTCAATAAATAAATAAATAAATACTATTGGCAATGTTAGTCCAACAATTTCAGCAACTTATACAAAGTAGTCAAATTTCTTGAAAAAATAGAGCGCACCAAAATTGACAAGTTTATACAAATAGGCCGGGCCCAAGGGCTCATGCCTGTAATCCCAACATTTTGGGAGGATGAGGCAGGGGCATAGTTTGAGCCCAGATGTTCGAGACCAGCCTCGGCAACAAAGCGAAACCGCTTGTCTCTACAAAAAATACAAAAAGAAAAAAATATTAGCCAGGCATGGTGTGCCTGTGGTCCCATCTATTCAGGAGGCTGGGGGAGGAGGATCATTTGAACTCAGGAGTTTGAAGCTGCAGTGAGCTATGACTACATCACTGCACTCTAGCCTGGGCAACAAAGTGATACACTGTTAAAAAAAAAAAAAAAAGGAAGAAAGAGAGAGAGAGAGGGAGGGAGACAGGGAGGGAGGACAGAAAAGAGAAGAAAAGAAAAAGAGAAAGGAGGGAAAAAGGAATGTCCCTATAATTTTGCCAAAAAACGAATTTATCAAAAATTTTCCCAGAAGAGTTTCAGTTGCTCACGAAGTTCTATATAGAATTCAAAGAAAAATAACACGAAATTTACACAAACTGTTTCATTTTAAGTGACTAGCATAATCCTCAACAAACACCTGACAAAACCACTATAATTCTTTTTTTTTTTTTTTTGAGACGGAGTCTCGCTCTGTCGCCCAGGCTGGTGCAGTAGCTGGATCTCGGCTCACTGCAAGCTCCGCCTCCCGGATTCACGCCATTCTCCTGCCTCAGCCTCCCAAATAGCTGGGACTACAGGCGCCTGCCACCACACCTGGCTAATTTTTTGTATTTTTTAGTAGAGACGGGGTTTCACCGTGTTAGCCAGGATGGTCTCGATCTCCTGACCTTGTGATCTGCCCGCCTCAGCCTCCCAAAGTGCTGGGATTACAGGCGTGAGCCACCGCGCCCGGCCCAAAACCATTATAATTCTTAAGGAAACAGAGAATGAAAGTACATGACAAAAATAAAACATACGTCAGGAGATGGACAAGTGAATTTACAGTATCCTAAGAGTTTCAGAGGATTCAGAAAGAGGAAAGAAGCACATAGTAACATTAACTTTTTAAAAAGCTAATAGAGAGGGTAGAATGGAACGAGTGGAACAAACCAGAATAGGAAAGACAAATACAAAACATTTAATAAGATGGGAGGCTTACACCAGGTGCAGTGGCTCATTCCTGTAATCCCAACACTCTCAAAGCTGAGGCAGGAAGATCACTTGAGCCCGGGACTACAAAGCTGCAGTGAGCTAGGATCCTGCTACTTGCACTCCAGCCTGAACAACAGAATGAAAACCTGTCACTTAAAAAAAAAAACAAAACTTTGGAATAGTGAAGGCCTTTCTAACTAATAACTCAAAATACTGACATCATGAAAGACTAATAAATTGTACAAAATTAAAATCAAAAACCCATGCATGGTAAACAAATTTTTTAAAAAGCACAATATAAATAAAGACTAACCAGATGGGCAAAAATTAGTCCAACTCATATCAAAACAGCATAATAACATATAAGGGGCTCCTTATGGATGCTCCAATAAATCAAACTAAAAAGATCAACAACTGTGGCTGGGCATGGTGGCTCACGCCTGTAGTCCCACCACTTTGGGAGGCTGAGGTGAGTGGATCCCATCTCTACTAAAAATTAAAAAGTCAGCTGGGCCTGGTGGCGTGTGCCTATAATCCCAGCTATTCAGGTGAGTGAGGCAGGAGAGTCCTTTGAACGGGGGAGGCAGAAGCTGCAGTGAGCCAAGATCAAGCCACTGTACTCCAGCCTACATGACAGACAGAGACCATCTCAAAAAAAAAAAAAAAAAAAAAAAGATCAACAACCAAGTCAAAAAGCAGACCACAGAAGAGAAAAAAACAAATTGCTCTTCAAACTGTTAAAAGATGTCAACTTCACTAATATTAAGAGAAATGCAAAACGACTGCTTGGATATACAAACTTTCACCTGTTAGGTAAGCAAAGGTATAAGGAACAGCTTTTTTATTCATATATTGGTAAAACTGGGAACATATATTGGTAAAACTACAGGGAGAATAACTTGGGACTATCCATCAAAATTAATTGCAAAACTCCTTTGACCCAATGTTTCCACCTACGGAAATTAATAATCCTATAGATATACTTGTATACCAGCAAAATGACATATATAAAAGAGTTAGTCATCAAAGTAGATCAGAAAGTGCATCAACAACTGATTGATTAGATAACATGGTTAAAAAGGAAAAAAAAGGCTCTATACTGATAACAGGATAAATTGTTCATGCCGGGTGCGGTGGCTCACGCCTGTAATCTCAGCACATTGGAAGGCCGAGGCAGTAGGATCATTTGGGGTCAAGAGTTCAACACCAGCCTGACCAATATTGTGAAACCCCATCTCTACTAAAAATATAAAAATTAGCTGGGCGTGGTGGCGCATACCTGTAATCCCAGCAACTTGGGAGGCTGCAGCAGGAGAATGGCTTGAGCCGGGAAGGTGGAGGTTACAGTGAGCGGAGACTGCACCACTGCACTCCAGCCTGGGTGAATGAGCGAAGCTTCAAAAAAAAAGAAAATTGAAGAAAAAAGAAAAGAAAAGTCTCAAAAAAAAGAAAAAAGATAAATTGTTCAGTGAAATAAATTAAGACGCAGAAGAGTATATAATATTAACCCATTTGTATAAAGATGGAGGGAGTAAAGAAGTATTTGTCCATTCACATCTGAATATGCAAAAGAAACCTAGAAAGATATGCAAGAAAGTAAATAATTATAAGGTAGCAGGAAAGCTATTGATAAACTGGGCAGATGGGGAAGAGGAGTAACAGGAAGGGTTTTCAATATATTTTTAAATTTTGTACAATCTGACTGTATAACATAGTCTGAAGATTAAACTGTATAATATATATAGCTAGCCAAAATGATTGTATTTTTCCCATTTATTCACACCATTACTCTAGTCTATGCCAAAACTACTTTAGAGGTGGCTACCCAAAATGGAGAAGAGTATAGTATCTACTTTTTTTAGCTGCCGCATCATGTATGCCATGGCTTAATAAACTCACGTCTACACATTTCAGAACAGTACTGAGCTACATGTACAAAAATACGAGTTCTCTAACAAAGATAACTAAAAGTAGAGAAGAAAATGAGTAATGCACAAGGGTCCATAGGAAAGCATACCAAAATGTGATACAGAAGTCAGCATTTCTTTTTTTCTTTTCTTTTTTTTTTTTTTGAGACAGGGTCTCACTCTCACCCATCTCAGGGACTGAAGTACAGTGGTGTGACCATGGCTCAATGCAGCCTCCACCTCCCACGCTCAAGCCATCCTCCTGCTCAGCTTCCCAAGTAGCTGGAACTACAGGCACGTGCCACCATGTGGAACTAAGTCTTTTTATTTTTATTTTTTATATTTACTTTTGCAGAGACCAAGGTCTCCCTATGTTGCCCAGGCTGGTCTCAGGCTCCTACGCTCCAGTGAGCCTCCTACCTTGGCCTCTCAAAGAGCTGGGATTACAGGTGTCAGGCACCCAGCCTAAAAGTCAACATTTCTTTATATTCCAGCCACAAAGATCCTCAGAGTTAAATGAAATTAACATTCACTAGAAACATCATCTGTCTAGAGATATACAAAACAGAAAAAAAGAATCTAAAACAACAGATTTTAGGTCTAACAACAACAACAACAAAATGTGGCTCATTTTTCAAAAAAAATTCCTAACACAAGAAACTATATCCATTTAACAAAATACACTTTCTTTTTTTTGAGACAGTCTCCTTCTGTCATGGAGGCTAATGGTCAATGGTGCAATCTCAGCTCACTGGAACCTCTGCCCCCCAAGTTCAAGTTTTTCTCCTGCCTCGGCCTCCCAAGTAGCTGGGACTACAGGCATGCATCACCACGCCCAGCTAATTTTTCTATTTTTAGTAGAAACCAGGTTTCACTATGTTGGCCAGGCTGCTCTCGAACTCCTGACCTCAGGTGATCCACCACCCTCGGCCTCCCAAAGTGCTGGGATTACAGGTGTGAGCTACCTCGCCCAGCCAAAAAAATAAGAATTTTAATTAGAAGTATGTATTTAATAAATCATTCTGCATAAAGTAGCCAATGCTTAAGTTTGTCCACAAAGTAGAAAAATTGTGGGTCAATACATAATAATGATTCATAAATTATAGCCACTACTGTTAAAAATGAGTAGAAAACACTGTTTAATTTGATGAAATAAAATAAACTACCAGATATTTGAAAATACTCCACCGCCCCAGTTTTCAATAAAAATTTTTTCAAGAAATCTCTGCACTTACCCCCATTATCTGTTCTTTTTAAAGCTCCATCCTTATGGGGACAAAGTTCACATCTCTATAAACAAGAAAAGAAACACGTAATGAAGAAATATTTCAGATTATCAAAAATGTAATATCTTCCCTGCAACTTCAAAACTACTGAAAATGTGAGAGCAGCATTTGTACTAGTTGCCCCCCAAGAATATTTAGGAACATTCTTCACAAACAGTTGTTCTTGACGACATGTGATCTTCTTCAGCGAACAAGTAATTTTTTTAAAGTACATTTTAACTTTTAAACTCCTGCCACGGGCCAGGCACGGTGGCTCATGCCTGTAATCCCAGGACTTTGGGAGGCCGAGGCGGGCAGATTACCTGAGGTCGGGAGTTCGAGACCAGCCTGACTAACATGGAGAAACCCCGTCTCTACTAAAAATAAAAAATTAGCCAGGCGTGGCGGCGCATGCCTGTAATCCCAGCTACTGGGGAGGCTGAGGCAGGAGAATTGATTGAACCCGGGAGGCAGAGGTTGCGGTGAGCCAAGATCGCGCCGTTGCACTCCAGTCTGGACAACAAGAGTGAAACTCCATCTAAAAGAAACAAAACAAAACAAATCCTGCCACAAGTTTTTAAATCTTACATTAATAAAAACACAAAGATGCTGGGATTATTTACCTGGGGAGCGGGAGAAAAAAACAAAAAAGTCCTCTCAACACAGGAATGGGGCAAGGTTTTTAA
The DNA here is from genome assembly GCF_000001405.40 of Homo sapiens. Lineage (NCBI taxonomy): Eukaryota > Metazoa > Chordata > Mammalia > Primates > Hominidae > Homo > Homo sapiens. The sequence goes on from NC_000017.11 coordinate 37,884,677, forward strand.
CATCTGCCTGTTACCTGTTTACTTCCTGTTTTATGGTCAGCTAGGATGACCGCAGTCAAGTGGGTCTGGTTTCTCTTAAAGAGCCAAACTCAAGAATTTAGAATTTGAATTTAAGTGGCAAGAAATGATCTCATGCATGCTGATTTCCCTTCTGAAAGGAATTAGGCTAATCAGCTATTATTATTCAAACACAGTGGTACTCAAAATTTATTGTGGATTCCTCTCCCTCCCATCCTCAGAATTTAAAAGCAGAAATAAATGTAGAGCCAGTACTACTACTTCTTATGAAACACAGTAAGTTTCAATGGCATTGTCTTACTATGAAGAATATGTTCCTGAAAGTCGCACTTGAGTATTATTTATATCCCACTTTGTTTCCAAAAGAAGTTTTCCAGCATACAGTATCGTAATATAGGCCGGGCACAGTGGATCACACCTGTAATCCCAGCACTTTGGGAGGCTGAGGTAGGCAGATCGCTTGAGCCCAGGGGTTCCAGGGCAGCCCGGGCAACATGGCAAAATTCCACCTCTACAAAAAAAAAAAAAAAAAAAAAAATAGTTGGGTGTGGTGGTGGTGCACCTGTAGTCCCAGCTACTCGGCAGGCTGAGGCGGGCTGATCAATTGAGCCCAGAAGGTCAAGGCTGCAGTGAGCCATGATTGCACCACTGCATTCCAGCCTGGGTGACAGAGTGGACCCTACCTCGAAAAAACAAAAACAAACAAACAAAAAAATGTGTGTGTATACATATATGTGTGTGTGTGTGTTGATTATATATGTATATATACACACACACATTTTATATATACACACACTATATATACACACACCATATATACACACCCTACATATAAATATATATACACTTACATACATATATAAATTACAACAAAAATTAGAGTAGAAAATTAAGTTGAAATAGTTTTAAAAGTACAGAAGGCATAAGCCATAAAAGCCTACTGAGGCTGGGTGCAGTGCCTCACACATATAATCGCAGCACTTTGGGAGGCCAAAATGGAAGGACCACTTGAGGTGAGGAGTTCGAGACCAGCCTAAGCAACAAAGTGAGACCTCATCTCTACAAAAATAATTTAAAAAAAAAATAGAGCCTATTTGCCAGGTGCGGTGGCTCACGCCTGTAATCCCAGCACTTTGGGAAGCCGAGGTGGGCGGATCACGAGGTCAAGAGATCGAGACCACCCTGGCCAACATGGTGAAACCCCATCTCTATTAAAAATACAAAAAATTAGCTGGGCATGGTGGCACGTGCCTGTAGTCCCAGCTACTTGGGAGGCTGAGGCAGGAGAATCACTTGAAACCGGAAGGCAGAGGTTGCAGTGAGTCGAGATCACGCCACTGCACTCCAGCCTGGGCAACAAGAGCGAAACTGTGTCTCAAAAAAAAAAAAAAAAAATTACAGAGGCTATTGATAAAGTTTGGATATTTGTGCCTCCAAATCTCATGTAAAAATATAATCCCGATGTTGAAGGTGGAGCCCAGCAAAAGGTGTTTGGGTAATGGGGGCAGAACCCTCATGAATGTCTTGGTGTTTTCCTTGTGGTAATGAGTGAGTTTCTTGCTGTTGTTAGTTCACGTGAGATCTGATTGGTAAAAAGAGCCTGCCATCTAGCTCCCTCCCCTCACCATGTGACACTCCTGGTCCCTATGCCCACTCCCCCATAAGTAAAAGCTTCCTCAGCCCAAAGATGGTGGTAGTATGCTTGTACTGCCTACAGAACTGTGAACCAAATAAACCTCTTTTCTTTATATTAATAATCTACCCAGTTTCAGGTATTCCTTTATAGCAACACAAAACAGACTAATACTGCTGTATTTCTTGCCTTTCAGTATTTCACTCTCCTGATTTTCCCTCTTTGGTGGCACCTTTCTGATCACCCTATCAAACCTTTAAATGGTGAAGTTCCTCAGGGTTCTGGCCTAAGATGTCATCTCTCTTTTTTTTTTTTTTTGAGACAGAGTCTTATTCTGTCGCCCAGGTTTGAGTGCAGTGGCGTGATCTCGGCTCACTGCAAGCTCCACCTCCTGGGTTCAGGACATTCTCCTGCCTCAGCCTCTGAGTAGCTGGGCCTACAGGCACCCACCACCATGCCCAGCTAATTTGTTGTGTTTTTAGTAGAGACGGGGTTTCACTGTGTTAGCCAGGATGGTCTCGATTTCCTGACCTTGTGATCCGCCCGCCTCGGGCTCCCAAAGTGCTGGGATTACAGGCATGAGTCACCGCGCCCGACCAAGATGTCATCTTATTTCACGTGAAACACTAGGTAATCTTATTCACTGTCCAAATTTCCATTACCAACTAAATTATAAAAATATAACAGTGACTCCCAAATTTTATCTATTTGTGTCTGTCCTCAGGGTCAGGTATAAACTCTATATGCTACATAAACACTTTATTTTATTTTATTTTGAGATGGAGTCTGTTGCCCAGGCTGGAGTGCAGTGGCTTGATCTCAGCTCACTGCAACCTCCAACACCAGGGTTCAAGCAATTCTCCTGCCTCAGCCTCCCAAGGAGCTGGGATTACAGGTGTGTGCCACCACTTCCATCTAACTTTTTCTATTTTCAGTAGAGATGGGGTTACGTCATGTTGCCCAGGTTGGTCTCAAACTCCTGGCCTCAAGTGATCTACCCACCTCAGCCTCCTAAAGTGCTAGGATTACAGGCGTGAGCCACCGCACCACCCAGCCTACATAGACACTTGAAACGCTCCACAATTTATGACAAAACCTGCTCTTCCTGCTCTTTCCATATATTGGTAATGATATTTTCAATGACACATTGCTCATGCGAGACACCAAGTATATATAATCTTTGACCACTTCATACCTTACTCCCTAACCTCACTTTTAATCCATAACTGTATTGTGCCCTTCCTCTTCTGAAATACTAGTGAGAGCTGCCTATCTCTCTCCATCTCCACTATCACCCTACTTAAAGCCAGCATCGCCTTTCATCGGGACCACTTCAGTCACCTCTTAAATGCAGTAGACCCCAGTTATCCATGGGAGAAACATTCTAAGAACCCCAGTGGACGTCTGAAATGACAAATGGTACTGAGCACTTGATTCTGTTTTTTGCTATACATACATACCTATAAAAAAGTTGAATTTATAAATTAGGCACAGTAACAGATTAACAATAATAATAAAATACAACAGGCCAGATGTAGTGGCTCAAGCCTATAATCCCAGGACTTTAGGAGGCTGAGTTGGGCAGATCACCTGAGGTCAGGAGTTTGAGACTAGCCTGGCCAACATGGTGAAACCCCATCTCTACTAAAAATACAAAAAAATTAGCGAATGTGGTGGCGCACACCCGCAGTCCCAGCTAAGCAGGAGGCTAAGGCACAAAAAGCAACTCAACCCGGGAGGTTGCAGTGAGCCAAGATCGTGCCACTGCCCTCCAGCCTGGGTGACAGAGAGAGGCTCCAACTCAAAAACAATTTCAAAAATTTAAAAAAAATTATAACAATCTACTATAAAAAAGTTATGTGAATGTGGTCTCTCTCAAAATACAGTCTGCATAAAAACAACCACATATACGATGGTGGCCCCATGAGATTAAATGGAACTGAAAAATTCCTATTGCCTAGTGACATAATGATGTAATAGCCATAGTAACATGACAGAGCAAATTTTAAAATAAATTTAGTGTACATTAAGTGCACAATGTTTATAAAGTCTATGGTAGTTGTAGCAGTCCATTCTCTCACTGCTATAAAACTACCTGAGACTGGGCAATTTATAAAGAAAAGAGGTTTAATTGACTCATGTTCCACATGGCTGAGAAGGCCTCAAGAAACTGTCAGTCACAGTGAGAAGGGAAGCAAGTACGTCTTACATGGCAGCAAGCAAGAGAAAGAGAATGTGTACATAGGAAAAAAACCACCACTTTCAAAACCATCAGATCTCCAGAGAATTCACTCACTATCACAAGAACAGGATGGGGGAAACTGCCCCCATTATCCAGTCACCTCCCTCCTTCAACACATAGGGATTATAATTCGAGATGAGATTTGGGTGGGGATACACAGCCAAACGCTATCAGTAATGTACAATAATGTCCCAGGCTTTCACATTCACTCACCACTTACTAACTGACTCACCCAGAACAACTTCTAGTCCTGCAAGCTTCATTCATGGTAAAGCCCTATACAAGTGCAATTTTTTTTTATCTTTCATATCATTATTTTAGGTGTACCTTTTCTATGTTTAAAAATACAAATACTTACCATTATGTTAAGTTGCTTACAGGATTCAGTAATGAAATGTACAAGTTTGCAGCCTAGGAGCAATAGGCTATACCATGTAGCCTAGGTATGTAGTAGGCTATACAATATAGCTTTGTTTAAGAACATTCTAAGATGATTGTGCAATGACGAAATCACCTAATGAGGTATTTCTAAGAACATACCTCCCTCCTGCATTACACAACACATGATTCTACCTCACTGTACTCACCTATTTTCAGAGGGGTTGACCATGGGTAACTAAAACCAAGGGAAGAAAAACCGCAGATAATGGAAAATGGCTGTAGTCTCCAAATATTCACTCTCAACCAACTATCACCAATCTGCAGAATGAACTTTTCACAACACAACGAACTTCAGAAATGCAATCCAAATATACCACTGCCCACTTGAAAACACTTCAATAGGCCGGGTGCAGTGGCTCAAGCCTGTAGTCCCAGCACTTTGGGAGGCTGAGGGGGGACGGATCATGAGGTCAAGAGATCAAGACCATCCTGGCCAACATGGTGAAACCACATCTCTACTAAAAATGCAAAAATCATCTGGGTGTGGTGGTGCGCACCCATAGTCCCAGCTACTCGGGAGACTGAGGCAGGAGAATCGCTTGAACCCAGGGGGTGGAAGTTGCAGCGAGTCGAGATCGCACCACTGCACTCCAGCGTGGCAACAGAGCGAGACTCCGTCTCAAAAACAAAAAAACAAAACAAAACAAAACAAAAACACTTCAATAGTTTCCCTATATCATATAGCCTTTTCTTATCTCCACCACCTTCTCTCCTTCCAACATTTCACTTCATGGGCAACACTGGCTTTTTCTTCTTTCAATTCTATAAATTTGCCAGAGCTCATTCTCACTTCAAAGGCTTTTAACGGGTTAGTTTGACTCTAAATGGAATATTGTCATTCACTGTACCCTCTTTTTCAGCTGGGTAATTTCTATGTATCCGGCAGGTCCTTGCTTAAAGCCACTTCATCAAAGACAATGTCTCTGAATCTCCAGATGAGGTTAGGTGCCATATGATGATTTACCTATGCTTTCCTTCTTGGGATATATTACAATTGCAATTAGCTATTTATGTAATTAAGTTAACTCCTCTGCTAGATTAGAAGCTCCATTTCATGGCTGTAGCTACCCCTAACATCAGGCACATTATCTAGGCACAATAACTCAAAAACTACATGATGAAGGAATAAAAGGAACAAAATCACAAACATCCCATTGCTGTTATAACCAAAAAAAAAAGAAAGAAAGAAAGAAATTTTAAAAAGGTCTTAATTTTGGCCGGGCGCGGTGGCTCACGCCTGTAATCCCAGCACTTTGGGAGGCCGAGGCGGGTGGATCATGAAGTCAGGAGATCGAGACCATCCTGGCTAACAAGGTGAAACCCCGTCTCTACTAAAAATACAAAAAATTAGCCGGGCGCAGTGGCGGGCGCCTGTAGTCCCAGCTACTCGGGAGGCTGAGGCAGGAGAATGGCGTGAACCCGGGAAGCGGAGCTTTCAGTGAGCCGAGATTGCGCCACTGCAGTCCGCAGTCCGGCCTGGGCGACAGAGCGAGACTCCGTCTCAAAAAAAAAAAAAAAAAAAAAGGTCTTAATTTTAAAAAATAGGCCAGGCGTGATGGCTCATGCCTGTAATTCCAGCACTCTGGGAGGCCAAGTCAGGCGGATGACATGAGGTCAGAAGTTCAAAACCAGCCTGGCGAACGTGGCGAAACCCTGTCACTACTAAAAATACAAAAATTAGGCCTGGCACTGTGGCTCATACCTGTAATCCCAGCACTTTGGGAAGCCAAGGCAGATGGATCACAAGGTCAAGAGATCGAGACCATCCTGGCCAACATGGTGAAACCCCATCTCTAAAAAAAAATACAAAAATTAGCTGGGTGTGGTGGCACATGGCTGTAGTCCCAGCTACTCGGGAGGCTGAGGCAGAAGAATCACTTGAACTTGGGAGGTGGAGGTTGCAGTGAGCTGAGATCCCAACACTGCACTCTAGCCTGACGACAGAGCAAGACTCCGTCTCAAAAAAAAAAAATTTAGCCAGGAGTGGTGGCAGGCACCTGTAATCCTAGCTACTCAGGAGGCTGAGCCACGAGAATCACTTGAATCCGGGAGGCGGAGGTTGCAGTGAGCCGAGATCACGCCACTGCACTCCAGTCTGGGCGACAGAGAGAGACTCTGTCAAAAAAAAAAAAAACTCAAAATTCATTTTTATATAATTTCGATGACACCATAATCCTATTCTTTTGGACAGCAGTTAAGCAATAAGAATCAAGAAAAAAAATCTGATTTAATTGCTTCACTTTTAGAGAGCCAAAGCAAATAATATAAGATATAGCATGTATAAATTACCTTTCTGTCTTTTATATCATTTATATACTTTATCTTCAAGACATGAAAATGTATGCACAAAGATATTTTATATAACCATTTATAACCATACAACTTTTATAAAAGTCTGGCCGGCTGCAGTGGCTCTCACTTGTAATCCCAGCACTTTGGGAGGCCGAGGCAGGTGGATCACTTGAGGTTAGGTGTTCAAGACCAGCCTAGGCAACATGGTGAAACCCATCTCTACTTAAAAATACAAAAAATTAGCTGGACATGGTGGCGTGAGACTATAGTCCAGCTATTAGGGAGGCTGAGGTCGGAGGATCACTTCAGCCCAGGGGGTCGAGGCTACAGTGAGCTGAGGTCACACCACAGAACTCCAGCCTGGGTGACAGAGTAAGATCTCATCTCAAAAAAAAAAAAAAAAAAAAAAGATCTGGCCGGGAGTAGTGGCTCACGCCTGTAATCCCAGCACTTTGGGAGGCCAAGGCAGGCAGATCACAAGGTCAGGAGATCGAGACCATCCTGACCAACATGGTGAAACCCCATCTCTACTAAAAATACAAAAAAGTAGCCGGATGTGGTGGCACAAGCCTGTAGTCCCAGCTACTCGGGAGGCTGAGGCAGGAGGATGGCGTGAACCCGGGAGGCGGAGGTTGCAGTGAGCCGAGATCGCACCACTGCACTCCAGCCTGGGTGACAGCGGGAGACTCCGTCTCAAAAAAAAAATAATAATAAAATAAAAATTCACTGAACATTAAAAGAAAATACACAAAATACGCTGGGCACAGTGGCTCACGCTTGTAATTCTAGCACTTTGGGAAGCCAAGGCAGGCAGATCATGAGGTCGGGAATTCGAGACCAGCCTCACCAACATAGTGAAACCCCATCTCTACTAAAAATACAAAAAAAAATAAGCCAGGCTTGGTGTGCGCCTGTAATCCCAGCTACTGGGGAGGCTGAGGCAGGATAATCGCGTGAAGCCAGGAGGCGGAGGTTTCAGTGAGCCAAGATGGCGCCATTGCATTCCAGCCCAGGCCACACTGCAAGACTCCGTCTCAAAAAAAAAAAAAAAAAAAACCACAAAATATATTAATAGGACTGTGGTAAGGATGGTAAGATTATGAGTGATTTCTTTCCTCTATTGCAAACTATACCATTTCCTTTATAATGTGAAGTGTTTTTTTGTTTTGTTTTGTTTTGAGATGGAGTCTCACTCTGTCACCTAGGCTGGAGTGCAGTGGCTCAATCTCGGCTCACTGCAACATACACTTCCCGGGTTCAAGCGACTCTCCTGCCTCAGCCTCCTGAGTAGCTGGGGTTACAGGTGCACACCACCGCGCCCGACTGATTTTTGCAGTTTTAGTAGAGATGGGGTTTCACTGTGTTAGTCAGGCTAGTCTCGAACTCCTGACCTCGTGATCTGCCCGCCTCAGCCTCCCAAAGTGCTGGGATTACAGGCGTGAGACACCGCGCCTGGTCTATAATGTGAAATTTTATAGAAAAATGTCGCTAAATGCTAATCAAGTCTGCCCACCAAAGATAAACCTATAATAAAACAGGGTGTCTCAGCAACAACAACAACAAAAAAAAAAAAAAAAAAAAAAAGAAACCATAAGCCAAGCATGGTAGCACCAATCTGCAGTCCCAAATACTCAGAAGGGTGAGGCAGGAGAATCACTTGTGCCTGGGAGTTTGAGGCTGCAGTAATATAATCGCACCACTGCACTCCAGCCTGGGCAAAAGAGCAAGACTCGGTCTCAAATTAAAAAAAAAAAAAGATAGAATTTTTTAAATACTAAAAATACAACATGTGAAGTGAAAATTTCACTCGGCAAGCTTCACAACAACAAATCTGAGATGACAGAAGAGTCAGTGAACTTGAAGCTACATCGATAGATAGAATCTAATGTGAGGCCAGGCGCGGTGGCTCACACCTGTAATCCCAGCACTTTGGGAGGCCGAGATGGGTGGATCACCTGAGGTCAGGAGTTTGAGACCAGCCTGACCAACATGGAGAAATCCCATCTCTACTAAAAAATACAAAATTAGCCAGGTGTGGTGGCACACACCTGTAGTCCCAGCTACTCAGCAGGCTGAGGCAGGAGAATCGCTTGAACCAGGAGGTAGAGGTTGGGGTGAGCTGAGATCCCACCATTGCACTTCAGCCTGGGCAAGAAGAGTGAAACTCTGTCTCAAAAAAAAAAAAAAAAAAAAAAAGAATCTAATCTGAAAGAGAAAATAGAGGTTAAACAAACAAACAAAAAACAGGGCTTCAGGGACCTACAGCACAGTACCAAAAGGTCTTACATACATAACCAAAGGCCTAAAAAAGAAGACAGAAAGAATATGAGGCAGGAAAGGAACTTTTGAAGAAATGATGGCTGAAATTTTCTTCAATTTGAAAAAAGACAAATCCACAGATTCAGGAATCTCAGCAAACCTCGAATAGTCAAATGCCTTGCTAAAAAGCAAACACAGAGGGAAAACTCTTGAAGCACCAAAAGAAAATGTCACATTACACAGAGGGAACCATGACTGGATAAACGGCAGATTTCTCATCATAAAATATGGAAGCCAAAAGAAAATAAACTAAAATACCCCTTGCTAAAAGATAAGGCACTGTCAACACAGAATTCTATATCCAACCACAATGCCCTTCAAAAATAGAGGTGAAATAGATACTTTCAGGTAAAAGAAAGCAAGCACAATTTATCACCAAAAGATACGCCCTGCAAGAAAGGCTAAAGAAATTCTTCAGGATTAAGAGAAATGATGCTAGAAAATGCAAATCTTCAGAAGACAAAGAAGACTACCACAAATGGTAAATATCTAGGTAAACTTAGATGACTTTTAGCTCTTAAGTTCTTAACATTACATGATTATTGAAAGCCAAAATTACATTGTTGTTTTCTGGGGCTTATAATGTACATAGTTCCAACACACATGACAATAGCATAACTGACAACAAACAGAGGTGATATAAAAGAACAACTTACAAGCTTTGTATACTTTACAACTTGTACAATATTAGTCAGAAGTGGTAATACTATAAAAACAGACTGAAAAGAGTAAAGAAATATATTTAAATTGCTAGAGAAATGTGCCAAAGAATTAAGTTGAAACCCTTCCTGATATTAAAAAATTAATTCAAAAGTGAATCGCAGACCTAAATGTAAGAGCTAAAACAATAAAACTTTAGAAAAAAACATAGGAGGTAAGTCTTTAGGACTTGGTTGAACAACAGTTTTTAGACATAACACTAGATAAAAGTAGAGGCAACAAAAGAAAAAATAACTAGAATTTACCAAACCTACAGACTTTTTTGCTACAAACAAAATCATCAGGAAAGTAAAAGGATGGAAGAAATATTTACAAGTCATATGTCTGATAAGTAGTTTGTATCCAGAATACAGAGCTCTTCCACTCAGAAATAAAAAGCTATACAGCCCAGTTAAAAATTGAACAAAGGGGCCGGGCACGGTGGCTCACACCTGTAATCCCAGCACTTTGGGAGGCCTAGGCAGGGGGATCACCTGAGGTCAGGAGTTTGAGACTAGCCTGGCCATCATGGTGAAACTCCGTCTCTGCTAAAAATACAAAAATTGGCCAGGCGTGGTGGCGGGCACCTGTAATCCCAGGTACTCAGGAGGCTGAGGCAGGAGAAGCGCTTGAACCCGGGAGGCAGAGGTTGCAGTGAGCCAAGATATCACACCACTGCACTCCAGCCTGAACAACAGAGTGAGACTCTGTCTACAAAAGAATATAATGAAAAAAGATAAGTAAAAATCAACACCACAATGAGATACTACCTCATGCCCTGTAGGATAGCTAAAATCAAAAGCCAAACAATAAAAAATGTTGGCAAAGAGATGGAGAAATTAAAACCTTCATATATTGTTGCTGGTAATTTAAAATGTTACAGCCTCTTTGTCAGTTTTTCAAAAGGTTAAACAGAGTTGCAGCATGAAACAAAAATCCTAGGCCCAAGAGAATTGAAAACAAATGTCTGGATTTGCAGACAAATGTTCATAATAATAACATTATTCATAATATTGCAAAAGTATATACAACCTAAATGTTTATCAATTAATGAATGAGTAAAGAAAATGTAGTATAGCCATGCAATAGAATATTATTTGACAACAAAAAGGAATGAAGTTCTAATAAATGCTACAAAACAAATGCTTGTACATGATGCTAGGAGAAAGAAGCCACTCACAATACACCAAATGATTCCATTTATATGAAATGTGACAAATAGGGATGGAGACAGAATGAAGATTAGTGATTGCCAGGAGCTGGGCAAGTAGGGTAATGGAGAGTGACTGTTAATGGGCCAAAGGGCTTCTTTTTGAGGGGATCCAAGTGTTCTAAAATTGATTGTAGTGACGTAGAGACTCTCAAAAAAAAATAGTGTATTAGCACACATAGAAAAGTAAAACTCAATCACAAGGTGTCTGTAAGAAACACACTTTAAGGGAAGACACAAACAGGTCCAAAGTAAATGGATAGGCTGGGTGCGCGGTGGCTCATGCCTGTAATCCTAGCACTTTGGGAGGCCGAGGCGGGCACTTGATCACTTGAGGCCAGGGGTTTGAGATCAGCCTGGCCAACATGGCAAAGCCCTGTCTCTACTAAAAATGCAAAAATTAGCCAGGCATGGTGCCACACACCTATAATCCCAGCTACTAGGATGGCTGAAACAGGCGAACTGCTTGAACCTGGGAGGCAAATGCTGCAGTGAGCCGAGATCACACCACTGCACTCCAGCCTGGGTGATAGATTAAAACTCCATCTCAAAACAAACAAACAAACAAACAACAACAACAAAAAGATGGTGAGTGGCTACATAGTAAAGAGAGGGAGGGACATTTCACAGTAAGTCAGACAATGAAGAAGTCATAATAATTATAAATGTATGCACCTAAAAACAAGGCTTCAAAATACATGAAGGAAAATTTGGCATAAGGCATAAACAGTCAGAATACTCAGTGCCCCAAACATGGTAAGATATTTTAGCATCCCTCTTTGTGATTGACAAAACCAGACCAAATAATAATAGTCATCATCATCATCTAGCAATGTTAAAACCACTATAAACATTCTTTTCAGGTAAACTTGGTGCATTCCCCATGAAAGACCACATACTGAGCCACAAAGCTGGACACAATAGAATGAAAATAATGGGAATCATACAGATTATGTTCCCTAACCACATTAGAAAAAAAGATATGAAATGAATGACCTAGCAGCCGGGTGCGGTGGCTCACGGCTGTAATCCCAGCATTTTGGAAGGCCAAGGCAGGCGGATCACCTGAGGTCGCGAGCTCAAGACCAGCCTGGCTAACATGGTGAAACCCCTTCTCTATTAAAAATACAAAAATTAGCTGGGCGTGGTAGCGGATGGCTGCAATCCGAGCTACTCAGGAGGCTGAGCTGAGGCAGGAGAATCGCTTGAACCTGGGATGCGGAGGTTGCAGTAAGCCAAGATTGCATTACTGCACTTTAGCCTGGGTGGCAGCGCAAAACTCTGTCATAAAATAAAATGAAATGAAATGAAATGAAATGAAATGAAATAATGAAATGAAATGAAATGAAATGAAATGAAATGAAATAAAATAAAATAAAATAAAATAAAATAATAAAATAAAATAAAATAAAATATGTAGGGTTCTACCTAAAGAACCTATATATAAAAGGGTAAAGTAAACCCAAAGTAAGTAGAAAAAAAAAAGAAATAGTAAAAATAAGAGCAGAAGAAATGAAACAGAAAAGTAACAGAAAATTTGAAGTCAAAGCTGGTCCTTTTGTCAGAGACCTCTGAACCAGAGTGCTTCTATCTTGAACAGGTGCTGGGTCAAATAAGGCTGAGTCCTGCTGGGCTGCATTCCCAGTAAGTCATGCATTCTAAGTCACAGAATGAGGTAGGAGGCTGGCACAAGATACAAGACAGAAAAACCTTGCTGATAAAACAGGTTGTAATAAAGAAGGGAGCCAAAACCCACCAAAGCCAAGATGGTGATAAAACTGACCTCTGGTCATCCTCACTGCTCATTATACACTAATTATAATACATTAACATGCTAAGAGACACTCCCACAAGCGCCATGAGTTTACAAATGCCATAGCAATGCCAGCAAGTTACCCTATATAGTCTAAAAAGGGGAGGAACCACTAGTTCTGGGAATAGCCCACCCCTTTCCCAGAAAATTCATGAAGAATCCACCCCTTGTTTAGCATACAATCAAGAAATACTCATAAAAATGGGAAACCAGTGGCCCATGGCACTGCTCTGCCTATGGACTAGCCATTCTTTTATTCTTTTACTTTCTTAATAAACTTGCTTTCACTTGATGAATCCGCCCCAAATTCTTTCTTGCATGACATCCAAGAACCTCTCCTTGGGGTCTGGATTGGGACCCCTTCTGGTAACACGTTGGAAAGACCTACAAAGTTGACAGTCTGCAAGCGAAATTAATTTATTTTTAAATAGGAAGAATACAAATTACCAAGAATAAAAGGGGAATTAGCTCTACGATCCCAAAGGTATTGAGGGCCAAAGATTATTATTAATGACTTCATGCTAACTAATTCAACAGCTGAGATGAAAAGAAGAAATTCTTTGAAAACAAAACTTATCAAAACTGATAAAACAGAATATCTGAGAAGCATTTTAAGTTGAATTATCAAAATCCTTTCCAAAAAGAAAACTCTAGACTCAGATTTTTTCACTGATAAGTTCCTTCAAACACTAAAGAAAAAATAGCATCAATCTCACACAAACATTTCCAGAAAACAGAGAAGACAATGCTTCCCAAATCATTTTCTAAGTTGAGCATGAAGAATACCAATGCATATGCCAAAAATACCAGCACCTGACAAAAAGCAGCAAGGTTACACCAAAATCCCTCACATACAAAGATGCGCAAATATTTACTATTAGCAATTTAAATCCAACAATATATTAAGAGGAATAGGCCAGTTGCGATGGCTCACACAGATTACGAAAGTAATCCTGGCACTTTTGGAGGCCAAGGCGGGAGGATCACTTGAGGTCAGGAGACCTGCCTGGCCAACATGGTGAAACCTTGTCTCCACGAAAAAAATTAGCTGCTCATGGTGGCACATGCCTGTAATCCCAGCTACTCCGGAGGCTGAGGCAGGAGAATCACTTGAACCCAGGAGGCGGAGGTTATAGTGAGCAGAGATTGTGCCACTGTACCCATCTCCAAAAAAATAATAATAATAATAATACACCATGACACCAAATGGCATTTAGTATAACATTTGAAAATAAAACAATGAAATTTACATTAATATATTTAAATATATAGCATTATCTCAATAGATACAGAAAAAGCTTCTGAGAAAACTCAATATCCATTCAGGACATAAACCCTCAGGAAGCTAGGGCTAGACCTTACTCAACTGTGTATTCTCCATGGCATGGCATGATTATTCCTCTTAGGGTCTGTGACTATAACTATCTTTTCAATGGCAGTTATGTTGGGTTCTGTTGTCCTTGTCATATCTAAACAGTAATAAAACCTATATTTGAAAACAATCTGATAAAGTTCATCAATAAAACCCCTACAGCTGACTTATAATTAGTGGTGTAACACTGAATGCTGTATTCAAAGAATGAAAACAAGATTAAGTCAATTCTGTGAGGGAAGAGAATAAAAGGCATTACAACTAGGGAAAAAAAGAGATAAAACTGTGTTTTATGACAATCATCTATTAGAAAAATCTAAGAAATGTACCTAAAAAAACTCGTAGAATTAATATGACTTAAGGTTGTAAGAAACGGGTCAATATACAAAAATTCTATTTCCAACAAAAAATTAGAAATTTTTATAATACTTCATAATTGCTGAAAAAGTATTTAATATTTTAAAATACAAATAGCATCAAAAAAAGACAAAATACTTAAAAATAAAAATAATTTTAGGCCAGGCGTGGTGGCTCATGCCTGTAATCCCAGCAGTTTGGGAGGCCGAAGCAGGCAGATCATTTGAGATCAGGAGTTGACCAGCCTGGCCAACGGGGTGAAACCCCATCTCTACTAAAAATATAAAAATTAGTTGGGCTTAGGGTACATGCCAGTAATCCCAGCTGCTTGGGAGGCTGAGGCAGGAGAATTGTTTGAACCCAGGAGATGGAGTGAGCCAAGACTGGGCCACTGCACTCCAGCTAGGCGACAGAGTGAGACTCTGTCTCAACAAAAAGGAAAAAAAATAAGTAATTTTAAAAACAGAAGACATGCGAGACCAAAGGCTAAAAGCAACAAACGACTGCTCAGACAAAACAAAAAAGACCTAAATAAATGGAGAGATATACTATACTAATGACTAAGACTCAGTGGTTGTTAAGATGTCAGTTCTCCTCAAACTGATCAACAGATTCAAGACAATTACAATCATGATCCCATCAGCCTTTTTTGGAGAAGACAGAAAAGAGATGATTAAAATTTATACGGAAATGTGAAGGACGTAGAGTATGCAGAACTTCGAAAAAGAAGAAAAAGGTTTTAGGACTTGCAATTCTGACTTCAAGACAATATAAAGTTACCAAATAATCCGAATACTCTAACAGGGCTAGACAAACAGATTTTTGAAGCAGAATAAAGATTTCTGAAAGAGATCCCACTTAGGCAGCCACGCGATGTTCCCAAAGCAACCCGGTGAGAAAAGGAGACTCTTTTCAACAAATGGTGACAAACAACTGGATAGCCACATGCAAAAAACTCAGACCTACAAAAATAACTTCAGACGCATCACAGACCTAAATATAAATTAGCAAAAGCAAGCCCTTTTACAGGAAACAAAGGAAATTACCTTCAAGACTTTGAGGTTAGGCAAAAGTGTCTTAGCTCACAGTAAGCAATAACTACAAAAGAAAACACTGATAAATTAAACCTAGCAGATATAAATATTTCTGCTCATCAAAAGGTACAGTTAAAATAAATAGGCCGGGCGCGGTGGCTCACGCCTATAATCCCAGCACTTTGGGAGGCCGAGGCGGACGGATCACGAGGTCAGGAGGTCGAGACCACGGTGAAACCCCGTCTCTACTAAAAACACAAAAAGTTAGCCGGGCGTAGTGGCGGGCGCCTGTAGTCCCAGCTACTCGGGAGGCTGAGGCAGGAGAATGGCGTGAACCCGGGAGGTGGAGCTTGCAGTGAGCCGAGATCGCGCCACTGCACTCCAGCCTGGGTGACAGAGCGAGACTCCGCCTCAAAAATAAATAAATAAATAAATAAATAAATAAATAAATGGGTAAACCACATAGACTTGGGGAAAGTATTTACAAAACATTTGTCTAACAAAGGATGAGTATTTAGGACATATAAACACCTTCTGCAACTCAAATAGATGAAAAACGAAAACAAAGAACAGTAAAGGCAAAATGAACAAACTCATCACAAAAGAGAACACACAAATGGCCAACACACAAGCTAAAACGTGCTCAATATCACCAGTTATCATGAAAATGTAAATTCAAACCACAGTGATACCACTTCTGGTCAAGATGGAGTGAATAAAGGGGACCAGATTTAGCCTCCTTGCGTGAAATAATAAAAACCTAATAAAATGAATGAAACAACAGCACTGAAGATATTGGACAAGTAACAAAAGACAGTGATCCCTGGAAGACAAAAAACAAACGGGCCACACGTGTGCCCAGCTTACTGCCTTGAGAGAGTTTTCCAGGTCGTGGAACAGGGAGGAGGAACCCAGGCAGAGCCTGTCGTCTCCCCAAGTTGAGGAAATGGAGCTGGAAGTCCAAGGAGGCCAAGGTGCCTAGAGCTCACAAGGGAGACCAGCACTGAGTAGAGAGCTGGAGAGAGAGAGAGAAATGAAGAGATCTACAAGGGCTCACCCTAGAACTTTTGGTTGAATGACAAATCAGCACTTGCAATGTAAAGGAGCTGTCCAAGGGCAAGGTGAGAAATCACCAAAACAATTAGACGTAATAGCATCCAGGACTGACTTAAGGAGGTGTATAGTACCCACACCCAAAAGTCCAAAAGGAAATGACGTGATATAATTTATATCACATTGGAGATGTGACATTGGAATACTAAGAAAGAAAAGGCTTCAGAAGGAGGAAAAATTTAACCCTAAACACAACCCTGGTCCAATCAAGGAAAACATAAAAGACCCAACAGAAAGAAACTGTTTTCAAGCAACTTAATAATGCCACAGAACAAAGTCCACAAATATTTTTAAAAGGCAAACAAAACTAGAGAAACTAGAAAACAAGGTAAAATTCACACTGGCTCAAAAGTCAATCCAAATTTATAAGACTTACATAGAAGCAGGAAATTATACCCCATAATGAAACAAAAAACAAACCAATTTTGAAATGAAACAGAAAATAGAATTGGTAGACAAGTCCTTTAAAACAATTATGATGATATTTCATATGATGAGAAGGCTAGAAGAAACAACATATTAAGTAAAAATATGAATTATTTTTAAAATTTGAACTTCTAAAGATGAAAATTACAAAGTCTAAGATGAAAAATACACCTTGAAATTTGCAACACATGAAATCAAAATTACTAACCTAAATGAAACACAGAAAAAAACACTAAAAAATGTAATACGTGATAATTGAAATAACTTCAAGAGGCCAAACATATTTGTAACTAGAGCCACAAAACAGGAGATAATATTGAAAAAAAATTTTTAGAAATCATGGCCAACAACTTTTCACATATTTGAGGGAAATTATAAGCATATATAACAAGGCACTCTTTTAATGAATTATCATTCGCTAGAAACATGAAGAAAAGTGGCTGAGCGCAGTGGCTCATGCCTGTAATCCCAGCACTTTGGGCAGCCAAAGTGGGAAAATCGCTTCAGGCCAGGAGTTCGAGACCAGTGTGGGCAACGCTGCAGAACCCATCTCTAAAAACATACATACCCCCCCCCCCCCACACACACACACACACCACACACATGAAAAATGGCCTGGCATGGTGGCTCACGCCTGTAATCCCAGCACTTTGGGAGGCCGAGGTGGGCAGGTCACCTGAGGTCGGGAGTTCGAGACCAGCCTGACCAACATGGAAAAACCCCATCTCTACCAACAATACAAAATTAGCTGGGCATGGTGACTCATGCCTGTAATCACAGCTACTCGGGAGACTGAGGCAGGAGAATTGCTTGAACCCGGGAGGTGGAGATTGGGGTGAGCCAAGATCGTGCCATTGACTCCAGCCTGGGCAACAAGAGCAAAACTCCGTCTCAAAAAAAAAAAAAAAGAATTAGCCACGGGTAGTGGCACACACCTGTGGTCCTTCCAGCTACTCAGGAAGGCTAAGGCAGAAGGAGGTCAAGGCCATAGTGAGCCATGACTATGCCACTGCACTCCAGCCCAGGTGACAGAGTAAAAGCCCATCTCCAAAAAACAGGGTAAACCATGACCAAAATGACTACAATCAGAAATTAAAATTCCAGTGCAGCCAAGAAAAAGATCTTATTACACACTACAAAATCAAAAGAAAGTTGAAATCGTTATAATACTATCATGTAAAGTGGACAAAAATAAAAATTTTATCAGGAAAAAAGAGCATCATTTTATATACATTAAGGGTTTAATTCATCAAGAACACACAAAAATCCTAAACATTTATTTACCTATTAATAACAGGGCTTCAAAATAAATAAAGCAAAAATGAGAGAACTGTAAGAAGAAATGAAAGAATCCACAATTATATTTTAAAATTTCAGCAAACCTCTCTGTGTAATAGAACCAGGCCAGGCATGGTGAATGACACTTGTTATCCCTGAACTTTGGAAGGCCGAGACAGGATTGCTTGATCACAGGAGTTCAAGACCAACCTGAGCAACACAGGGAGACCCTGTCTCTACAAAAAGAGTTTTAAAAATTAACTGGGTGGGCCAGGCGTGGTGGCTCACACCTGTAATCCCAGCACTTTGGGAGCCAGAGGCAGGCGGATCACCTAAGGTCAGCAATTCAAGTCCAGCCCAGCCAACATGGTGAAACCCTGTCTCTACTAAAAATTCAAAAATTAGCCGGGCGTGGTGGCACACAACAGTAATCCTAGCTACTCGGGAAGCTTAGATAGGAGAATCGCTTCAACCCAGGAGATGGAGGTTGCAGTGAGCCGAGATCATGCCACTGCACTCCAGCCTGGGCGACAGAGAGAGATTCCAGACCAGCAGACAGAAAATCAGTAAGGATACAGAAGCTTGAATAACACCAAACTGACCTAACTAACTTTAGAACACTCTACACAACCTACCAGAATACACATTCTGTTCAAGTGCATTTGGAACATTCACCAAGATATACCATATTCGGGCCAAAAAAAACAACTCTTGGTACATTTAAAAGGTTTGAAGTCTTATCATGATTTTTTTCTTACCACTATGATATTTAGAAATCAGTGACAGAAAAAAAAATCAATAGGCAATCCCCATATTTGAAATCAAAACATACTTTTAAAATAACCAATGGGGGCCAGGAGCTGTGGCTCACGCCTCTAATTCCAGCACTTTGGGAGGTCGAGGCAGGTGGATCACAAGGTCAGGAGTTCAAGACCGGTCTGGCCAAGATGGTGAAACCCCGTCTCTTCTAAAAATACAAAAATTACCCGGGCATGGTAGCCGGCGCCTGTAACCGCAGCTACTCAGGAGGCTGAGGCAGAGAATTGCTTGAACCCGGGAGGCGGAAGTTGCAGCAAGCCAAGATCACGCTGCTGCACTCCAGCCTGGGCGACAGAGCGAGAATCTGTCTCAAAATATAAAATAAATAACATAACATAACATAACATAACCCATAACACCAAGGGGTAAAAAAAGGACAAATATATCAAGTATTTTAAGACAGTTAAAGCAGTGATTGAAAGAGAAATTTATACAATTACATGACTATATTAGAAAAGAAACAAATCAGTGACTTCACCTTGTTCCTTAAGAAACTAGAAGAGCAAAAGAAAGATCGAGCAGAAGTCAATGAAATAGAAAACAGAAAAATAGGGCACACTCAGTGAAATCAAAGGTTAGACTTACACTTCTGGGACGATGGAATGGACATACTTTTCCCTATTCCTCCCACTAAGTACAAATTTAAAATGTGAACATTGTAAATAAAACGAATATTCTCTGAAAGGTGGAGAGAAGGCAAATTAGCTCAGGATCACAGGACACAAGGCACAATATAGCAGTAAATTCCCTGGGTATTCTTCTTTTTGCCTAATGTATCCTACTCCTGGAATGGAAGAAGTGAGTACATCAGGACACCGATGAACACAGACCAAAAAAAAAGAATCCCCAACAGGGCCCGGCGCGATGGCTCACGCCTATAATCGCAGCACTTTGGAAGGCCGAGGCGGGTGGATCACCAGAAGTCAGGAGTTGGAGACCAGCCTGGCCAACATGGCAAAACCCCGCCTCTACTAAAAATAAAAATTAGCTGGGCGTGTTGGCCGGTGCCTATAGTCCCAGCTACTCCGGAAGCTGAGGCACGAAAATCGCTTGAACTTGGGAGGCGGAGGTTGCAGTGAGCAGAGATGGCGCCACTGCACTCCAGACTGGGTGATAAAGATGGTCTCCAAAAAAAAAAAAACAAACAAAAAAACTAAAACAGTTGTTTAAGTAAGATGCATAGTCTCATGACAACACAAAAATGCCCAGGTTTCAATCAAAAGTTATTTGTGATACCAAAAAGATATGAAGAATCCAGAAGATTTCAAATTGAATGGAAAAAGGCAATAAACAAATGCAAACATCAAGATATCTTAATTCTAATATCTCACAGATACATCAGAATTAACTGAAAAAATTTTTTGTTTGTTTGTTGTTGCTTTTTGTTTGTTTGTTTCTTGAGACGGAGTCTCGCTCTGTTGCCCAAGCTGGAGTGCACTGGCATGATCTCAGCTCACGGCAAGCTCTGCCTCCCAAGTTCAAGTGATTCTCCTGCCTCAGCCTCCTGAGCAGCTGGGATTACAGGTGCCGCCATCGCTCCTGGCTAATTTTTGTATTTTTAGTAGAGACGGGTTTTCGCCACGTTGGCCAGGCTGGTTTTGAACCCCGGACCCCAGGTGACTAACCCACCTTGGCCTCCCAAAAACAATTTTTAGGCCGGGCATGGTGGCTCACGCCTGTAATCTCATCACTTTGGGAGGCCGAGGTGGGTGGATCACCTCAGGTCTGGAGTTGGAGAACAACAGCCTGACCAACATGGACAAACTCCGTCTCTACTAAAAATACAAACTTAGCCGGGCATGGTGGCACATGCCTGTAATCCCAGCTACTTAGGAGGCTGAGGCAGGAGAATCACTTGAACCTGGGAGGCGGAGGTTGCAGTGAGCTGAGATCACGCCATTGCACTTCAGCCTGGGCAACAAGAACGAAAGTTTGTCTCAAAAAAGAAGAAAAAAAAATTCAGCGGAACAAATATCCAAACCATATCAATGAACTAAAATAAGCAGATATAAAATACAATAAAGAAAAATGGTTTTGGCGTAGTGAATTGGGGTAGAAAAAAAATACGACAAGAAAAATGGGATTCCAAAAATGTTCAAGTAACTCAAAAGAAAGCAGGAAAAAGAACAATCAAAAAACTAAAACTAAAACGAGGCGTGGTGGCTCAGACCTGTTATTCTAGCACTTTGGGAGGCCAAGGTGGGTGAATCACCTAAGGCCGGGAGTTCAAGACCAGCCTGGCCAACATGGTGAAACCCCAACTCCACTAAAAATATAAAAATTAGCTGGGCGTGGTAGCACATGCCTGTAATCCCAGCTACTTGGGAGACTGAGGCACAAGAACTGCTTGAACCCGGGAGGCAGAGGTTGCAGTAGGCCAAGATTGAGCCACTGCACTCCAGCCTGGGCAAGAGTAAAACTTTGTCTCAAAAAAAAAAAAAAAAAAAAAAAAAAAGGATTCTGACAACATCTGTAAGTATGTAAATGGCCCAAATACCTAAAAACAGCAAATAAAAGACAAAAACTGGCCAGGTGCAATGGCTCACAACCATAATCCAAGCACTTTGGGAGGCTGAGGAGAGCAGATCACTTGAGGTTCGGTGTTCGAGACCATCCTGGCCAACATGGTGAAACCCTGTCTCTACTAAAAATACAAAAAAAAAAATTTAGGCAGTCATGGTGGTGGGCACCTGTAATAGCTACTCTGGAGGCTGAGGCAGGAGAATTGTTTGAACCCACTAGGCAGAGGTTGCAGTGAGCCGAGATCATACCACTGCACTCCACCCTGGGTGACAGAGTGATGAACTCCGTCTCAAAAAAAAAAAAAAAAAGAAAAAGACAAAGATTGACAAACTAGATTTAAAAAACATAACCTACAGCCAAGCATGGTGGCTCACGCCTGTAATGCCAGCACTTTGGGAGGCCATGACAGAAGGGTCTCTTGAGCCCATGAGTTCGAGACCAGGCTGGGCAACATAACAAGACCTCGTCCCTACAAATAATAAAAAAATTAGCCGGGTGTGATGGTGCACATGTGTGGTCCCAGTTACTTGGGAGGCTGAGGTGGGGGAATTGTTTGAGCCCAGGAGGTCCAGGCTGCAGTAAACCATGATTGTGCCACTGCAGTCCAGCCTGGGTGACAGAGCAAGACCGTGTCTCAAAAAAAAAAAAAAAAAAAAGGCCAGGCACAGTGACTCACACCTGTAATCCCAGCACTTTGGGAGGCCAAGGAAGGCAGATCAAGAGGTCAAGTGTTCGAGACCAGCTTGGTCAACATAGTGAAACCCGGTTTCTACTAAAAATATAAAAAATTAACCAGGCATGGTGGCGGGCACCTGTAATCCCAGCTACTCGGGAGGCTGAGGCAGGAGAATTGGTTCAACCCGGGAGGTGGTGGTTGCAGTGAACCAAGATGACGCCATTGCACTCCAGCCCAGGTGACAGTGCAAGATTCCATCTCAAGAAAAAAAAAAAAAAGAAAGAAAGAAAGAAAACATAACCTAACACTGTTTTGTGTACAAGACATTTACTTCGAATATAACAATCTAAGCACATTGAAAGCAAAAAAAAAAAAAAAATTCAAAAGGTATATGATGCAACCATTCACTAAGGAAAAGTGGATGACTATATTAATATCAGAAACAGTATACTTCAGAGCAAAGAAAAAGTACTAGAGACTAAGAAGGAAATTATTTATTGAGAGAGGGGTCAATCCACCAAGAGGACATAACATTCCTAAATGTGTATGCAGCAAAAAACCAGACTACGAAATCTGTGAAAGAAAACCTGATGGAACAGAATGAAGAAATACACAAATCCACTATAGAGACTTCAGTATTTCTCTGTAACAACTGTTAAAACTATACATATGATCACAGCAAGAGTATTTACTTCAACCCCATGAACTAACTGGATCCATGGACATTTACAGGACATTCCACCCAGCAAGAGTGGAATACTTTTTTTTTTTTTTTGACAGAGTCTCACTCTGTCGCTCAGGCTGGAGTACAGTGGTGCAATCTCAGCTCGCTGCAACCTCCGCTTCCTGGGTTCAAGCAATTCTCCTGCCTCAGCCTCCCAAGTAGCTGGGACTACAGGCATGTGCCACCATGCCTGGCTAATTTTTGTATTGTTTTTGAGTAGAGATAGGGAGACTCCGTCTCAAAAAAAGAAAATAGCCAAAAGTGATGAACAGGGGATATATAAAGGTACTACTGCTTGTCTCAGCAGCACATATACCAAAATTGAATCAATACAGAGAAGATTAGCATGCTCCCTGCACAGTGATGACATGCAAATTCTTAAAGTGTTCCATATTTTTAAAAAAAGATACCAAATAAGCACCCGAAAAGATGGTCAACATCATTAGCCACTAAGTAAATACGTATTAAAAACACAATGAGGTGTGTGTAGTGGTCTGTAATCCCAGCACTTTAGGAGACCAGTCTGGAGCATGACTTGAGCTCAGAAGTTCAAAACCAGCCTGAGCAACATAGCAAGACCTTATCTCTTCAAAAACATATTTCTAAAAACATTGGCTGGGTGTAGTGTAGCACACACCCATAGTCCCAGCTACTCAGAGGGTTAAGGTGGCAATGAGACATGATCATGACACTGCCCTTCAAAGCCTAGGTAACAGAGCAAGACCCTGTCTCAAAAATAATAATAATAATAATAATAATAATACACACAATGAGATATCACTACCCACCTATCAACATTACTAAATGAAGACTTACGTTCACATGAAAACCTGTGTGATGTTTCTAACAGTTTTATTCATAATAACCTACAAGTGGAAATAACTGAGATTATCTTTCAGCAAATAAGTAAACAAAGTGCAGTATAACCGTAACAAACACTAAGCAACAACCCGGAGGAATCTCCAAGGAATTAAACTTAGTGTAAAAAACTCAATCCCAGAAAATTACATGTTGTTTTGTTTTGTTTTGTTTTTAGACCAGAATCTCATTCTGTCACCCAGGGTGGAGTGCAGTGGTGCAATCTCGGCTCACTGCAACCTCCACCTCCTGGGTTCAAGCAATTCTCATGTCTCAGCCTCCCAAGCAGCTGGGATTACAGGTTAATCCCTGTAATTTTTGTATTTTCAGTAGAGACAGGGTTTCACCATGTTGGCCAGGCTGGTTTCCAACTCCTGACCTCAAGTAACCCACCCACCTCAGCCTCCCAAGGTGCTGGGATTACAGGCGTGAGCCAGGCACCTGGCCTTCAGAAAATTACAAGTTCTATCATCCCATTTATATAACATCCTTGAGATAACAAAATTACCAAAATGAGGAATACATTAGCAGTTACGACTAAGTCTGGCGGCAGGAGGAAAGCAGGTGTGGCTATAAAAGCACAACAGGAAGGGAGAGGATTCTGGGAAGATGGTGCAATAGGAAGCACCAGGAACCTGAGGTCGGGAGTTCAAGACCAGCCTGGCCAACATGGACAAACCCCGTCTCTACTAAAAATACAAAATTAGTCGGGCGTGGTGGTGCATGCCTGTAATCCCAGCTACTCAGGAAGCTGAGGCAGGAGAATTGCTCCAATCCAGGAGGCGGAGGTTGCCGTGAGCCAAGATCGCGCCATTGCACTCCAGCCTGGGCAGCAAGAGTGAAACTCCATCTCAGAAAAAAAAAAAAAAAAAAACAAGTATATATAAGTCAGCAATGAAGAAAATGCAGGACTTGTACACAGAAAAATCATAAAACTTTACTGAAGTAAACTGAAGACAACATATATAAATGGAAAGACATTTCATGTTCTTGGATTGCAACACCTTAATGTTGCTAAGATGTTACTACTCCAAAGCAATCTACACATTCAATAAAATCCCTGTCAAAATCCCAAGAATGTTTTTTGCAGAAATTAAAAAAAAATACATTCTAAAACTCATGTAGAATCTCAAGGGACCTCAAATAGTCAAAACAATCTTGAAAAAGAATAAATTTGAAGACATCACACTTCGTGATTTCAAAACTTACTACAAAGCTACAGTAATCAAAACAGTGTTGCCAGGCTTGGTGGCTCATGCCTGTAATCCCAGCACTTTGGGAGGCCGAGGCGGACGGATCACCTGAGGTCGGGAGTTTGAGACCAGCCTAATCAACATAAAGAAACCCCGTGTCTACTAAAAATACAAAAATTAGCCGGGTGTGGTGGCACATGCCTGTAATCCCAGCTACTCGGGAGGCTGAGGCAGGAGAATCGCTTGAACCCAGGAGGCAGAGGTTGCAGTGAGCTGAGATCAGGCCACTACACTCCAGCCTGGGCAACAAGAGTGAAACTCCACCTCAAAAAAACAAAAACAAAAACAAAACACAGTGTTGTACTGGCATAAAAACAGAGCACTGAAAGAGAATAGAGAGTTCAAAAATAAACTCTCGCTTATATGGTGAAGTGATTTTCAACAAAAGTGCCAGGATCATTCAGTGGGAAAGAGACTCTTTTCAACAAATAATTTTGGGAAAACTGCATTATCTACATGCAAAAGAATGTAGGTGGACACTTCTCTTACACCGCACACAAAAATTGACTCAAAATGGATCAAAGACCTAAACATAAGAGCTACATCTGGTGGCCGGGCGCGGTGGCTCACGCCTGTAATCCCAGCACTTTGGGAGGCCGAGGCGGGCGGATCACGAGGTCAGGAGATCGAGACCATCCCGGCTAAAACGGTGAAACCCCGTCTCTACTAAAAATACAAAAAATTAGCCGGGCGTAGTGGCGGGCGCCTGTAGTCCCAGCTACTTGGGAGGCTGAGCCAGGAGAATGGCGTGAACCCGGGAGGCGGAGCTTGCAGTGAGCCGAGATCCCGCCACTGCACTCCAGCCTGGGCGACAGAGCGAGACTCCGTCTCAAAAAAAAAAAAAAAAAAAAAAAAAAAAAGAGCTACATCTGGGCCGGGCATGGTGACTCACACCTGTAATCCCAGCATGTTGGGAGGTCGAGGCAGGTGGATCACGAGGTCAGGAGATCGAGACCATCCTGGCAAACACGGTAAAACCCCGTCTCTACTAAAACTACTAAAAAACTAGCTGGGCATGGTGGCAGGCGCCTGCAGTCCCAGCTATTCAGGAGGCTGAGGCAGGAGAATGGCGTGAACTGGGGAGGCAGAGCTTGCAGTGAGCTGAGATCGTGCCACTGCACTCCAGCCTGGGCAACAGAGTGAGACTCTGACTCAAAAATAAATAAATAAATAAATATAAAAATAAAAATGTCAACAAATTTGCTCAACTATAACAGAAAAAGAAAGCTTACAAGAGAATGTAGAGCTCATAGTTTCTACTTAGTGTTTGTTAGATAGATGGTTTAAATGGACTGAAAATCCTGAAAAACTGCTTGAATCATAAAGAATCTTTGAAATATTATGGAAGCATTTTCTAGCTTGTTTCTGAAACCTCTGAAAAAAACCTCCTCATGTATCAATACAAGCTAACCTGCTTTACAGAAATCAGAAGAAAACCATGGCTGGGCACGGTGGCTCACGTCTATAATGCCAGCACTTTGGGAGGTCGAGGTGGGCGGATCACGAGGTCAGGAGTTCGAGGCCAGCCTGGCCAACATGGTGAAACCCCTGCTCTACTAAAAATACAAAAATTAGCCAGGCATGCTGGCAGGCGCCTGTAATCCCAGCTCCTTGAGAGGCTAAGGCAGGAAAATAGCTTGAACCTCGGAGGCAGAGATTGCAGTGAGCCGAGATCGCACCACTGCACTCCAGCCTGGGACCCAGCGAGACTCTGTCTCAAAAAAAAAAAAGAAAAAAAGAAAACTATGTATTTTATTACATGTACACATTTGTCTTTCATATACTTGTAACTCAGAAAACCATGCTTTCACAAATGTAATAATAGAAATACAATAATATTAGCAATCATAACATTTGTGAAAGTGTAAAGAATAAACTGGTCAGATGCTGTCTCTTACACCCTAGAACCCAGGTTCTGGTCAAGGCTTGTCTTGGTTGTATGAACTCACTTCATGGACCTGTCATAAGGCTCAAAAGAGATACTGTAAACAAAAGCATCTTGTAAACTGCATAAGCCTGTAGATTTGTGGTCCATCTAAATCCAGGCACTTTAACGACTGATAGCTGTCCCCCCAGAACCTCCTTTCTCGATTCTTAACATAAACAACTTATACTTCCAAGTCCAGTTCAAAAGTTATATTCTTGGAAGCCTCCACGTCCCTCCTGTCCATCCAGGCAGAACTAATCCATCTACACTCTAGTATTATGCTCTCATAACTCTTGGCTCTTCCCCAGTTCATTCAAGAGTGTAACGAGCAGTTAAAATATGTCAGACATCATGCTATGCACTGGAGAAAAAATCTTAAATGTGTGAAGCTTACAAAGCTTTTTCACACACATTATCTCATTTCATACTTTAAAAATATCCCATAGGATCATGATTATGTGTTTACAATTTCTCTAACCAGAATAAATTCCCAGGGGGTAGAGACTAAGTGTGATTCATCTTTGATTCCCCAGAGTCTAATGCAGTGTCTGGCACCCAGAAGGCACCCATTAAGCACTTGATAAATGAATGAGTAAAGGAGTAACAAACACTTGTTCGATTACTAAAATGTCAATCAGGGTTAACACTGAAATAATCTTTCCACAAAGTTTCCACAGGGGAGAGGGGAAAAATACATTATATTATATACAAACACATCTGGGGAGCGAAAATTCCTCCCTATAGCAGAGCATCTCCAACTCAAGTTTAACTGTTTAACAAAGCCACATAGCAACTGAGGATGGATTTGATTTTACTACTGGACTAACAAGCTCTTGGTGAAGAACAATGAGTTCTGCATAAAAGCTCCTATGTAGATCATTCTGCTTGGTAAAACTGGACATTATTACACAAATATTAAAATAAATACTTAAAGAGCTTCTGCACAGCAAAAAAAAAAAAAAAAATCATCAGAGTGAACAGGCAACCTACAGAATGGGAGAAAATGTTTGCAATCTATCCATCTGAGAAAGGTCTAATATCCAGAATCTATAAGGAATTTAAACAGATTTATAAGAAAAAAAAACCATCAAAAAGAGGGTGAAGGATATGAACAGACATTTCTCAAAAGAAGATATTTATGCAGCCAACAAACATATGAAAAAAAGCTCATCATCACTGCTCATTAGAGAAATGCAAATCAAAACCACAATGAGATACCATCTCACGCCATTTAGAATGGTGATCATTAAAAAGTCAGGAAACAACAGATGCTGGAAAGGATGTGGAGATACAGGCATGCTTTTACACCGTTGGTGGGAGTGCAAATTAGTTCCATCATTACCAAAGACTGTGGCGATTCCTCACAGTGACCAATTGAAATTATATTTTACATGTAATAAAACCATTTTCTATTTACAAAAATCAAATAAATTCTCGTAAAGCAAACACGCCTCCATTTATTTCCCACTTTTTGCACAAAATTGGATTTTCACTGTAACTGAGGTGTGCTAAATGCATGGTTAATCTAGTGTCAGCATCATCTTCCTATAAATTACAGATGCCTTCTGTGAGCAGGTCTCCTGCAGGCTCATGTATGTTGTATTTTGAAATCTACTTTAGAGGATATTTTAAGACTTTTAGAACCAGAAATACCATTTGACCCAGCAATCCCATTACTGGCTATATACGCAAAGGATTGTAAATCATTCTACTATAAAGACACATGCACATGTATGTTTATTGCAGCACTATTTACAATAGCAAAGACTTGGAACCAACCCAAATGCCCATCAAGGATAGACTGCATAAAGAAAATGTGGCACATATACACCATGGAATACTATGCAGCCATAAAAAAGAATGAGTTCATGTCATTTTCAGGGACATGGATGAAGCTGGAAACCATCATCTCAGCAAACCAACACAGGAACAGAAAACCAAACACCACATGTTCTCACTCAAAAGTGGGAGTTGAACAATGAGAACACATGGGCACAGGGAGGGGAACATCACACACCAGGGCCTGTCAGGGGATGGCGGGCAAGGGGAGGGATAGCATTAGGACATATACTTAATGCATGTGGGGCTTAAAACCTAGACGACAAGTCGATAGGTGCAGCAAACCACCATGGCACATGTATACCCATGTAACAAACCTGCACGTTCTGCACATGTATCCCAGAACTTAAAGTATAATTTTAAAAAATTTAAAAAATAAAAAATAAAATAAAGTCTTGTTTCAGGGTAATATTAATTTGCGTTACCACCTATTTCAACACGGCAGACAATTGTACCATCTGAGACAAATGGAGCTTTGACATGAAATCTTAAAATACCCCATAAATGGTGGCCGGGCGCGGTGGCTCACACCTGTAATCCCAGCACTTTGGGAGGCCGAGGCGGGCAGATCACAGGGTCAGTAGATCGAGACCATCCTGGCTAACACGGTGAAAACCCGTCTCTACTAAAAGTACAAAAAATTATCGGGGCGTGGTGGCAGGAGCCTGTAGTCCCATCTACTCCTGAGGCTGAGGCAGGAGAATGGCGTGAACCCGGGAGGTGGAGCTTGCAGTGAGCCAGATCGGGCCACTGCACTCCACCCTGGTCAACAGAGCCAGACTCCATCTCAAAAAAAAAAAAAAAAAAAAAAAAAAATACCGCATGAATGGATTGATAGACAAAAAGCGAAAAAATCCAATGCTACCAGCTCTCATAAGCTCAAAATTCAATTCTCTACTCTACAAAAATCCCTGGTATAAGTGAGAGATATACTTCAAGATCTTTGCATATTCCAAAGTTTATGGCTATTACTGCCACAGAGCTTCTTCCATAAACTTCAAACGTTTGCACTGAAGAGCACTGTGTCTGGGGACTACTTTACTATCACTAGCTTCATAATGGTGTTTTCTCCTTGGTGTAATATTTCACAAGGAGACAAAGAATACGTATGTGTGTATGTGAATCATTCATGCTAGTTACCACGTAAATAACAACAAGCAGCAAATACGAAGTTAAAAGTGAAGTTGCAGTGTAAATGCTGCTGTCCAGATGGGTGAGGCTTACTCATCCGCCAAGCGAAGTCCTCAACCTCGCCTCCACCGCACACAGCGTTCAAGTTTCCATCTCAACAGAACTTACGCATCATGAACCTTTACGGTTCATAAACAGTTGAGAAAGCTAACATCAAATTCTTGCATGCCAAGAGTCTACAAATTATTCCATTCACAGATGTTATAATCGGATTTTTTTTTTTTTTTGATACGGAGTCTTGCTCTCACCCAGACTATAGTGCAGTGGCGCGACCTCGGCTCACTGCAACCTCCGCCTCCGGGGTTCAAGCAATTCTCCTGCCTCAGCCTCCCGAGTAGCTGGAATTACAGACACGCGCCACCATACCCGCTACTTTTTTGTATTTTTAGTAGAGACGGTGTTTCACTATGTTGGCCAGGCTGGTTTTGAACTCCTGACCTCAAGTGATCCGCCCACCTCAGCCTCCCCAAGTGCTGGGATTACAGGCGTGAGCCACCTCGCCCGACTCTGATCATTACTTAATTAGGATAAAACCATTCCTTAGAAAGGTCATTCAATTCTGATGATTGTATATCTCATATTTTTCAAATACTCTCATTGTTAATAAGCATTTCACTCCACTAAGGCTACCCTGGCATCAAACGTATTTCAGATTTGGCCAGGCTCGGCAGCTCATGCCTGCAATCCCAGCATTCTGGGAGGTCGAGGCGGGTGGTTCACCTGAGGTCAGGAGTTGGAGACCAGGCTGGCCAACATGGCAAAACCCCATCTCTATTAAAACTACAAAAAATTAGCTGGGCGTGGTGGCAGGTGCCTGTAATCTTAGCTACTCGGGAGGTTAAGGCAGGAGAATCCCTTGAACCTGGGAGGGAGAGGTTGCAGTGAGCCGAGATTGCACCCCACTGCACTCCAGCCTGGGCGACAGAGCAAGACTCCATCTCGAAAATAATAATAATAAAATACAGTGAGGTGGTTTTTTTTGTTTGGTTGGTTTTTTGGGGGGTTTTTTTGTGTTTTTTTTGACCGAGTCTCGCTCTGTCACCCAGGCTGGAGTGTGGTGGCGCGGTCTCAGCTCACTGCAAGCTCCGCCTCCCGGGTTCACGCCATTCTCTTGCCTCAGCCTCCCTAGTAGCTGGGACTACAGGCGCCCGCCACCACGCCCGGCTAATTTTTTGTATTTTTAGTAGAGACGGAGTTTTACCATGTTAGCCAGGATGGTCTCGATCTCCTGACCTCGTGATCCGCCCACCTCGGCCTCCCAAAGTGCTGGGATTACAGACGTGAGCCACCATTCCCGGCCCAACACAATGAGTTTTAATAGACAGAGTCAGGTGACATTCATCTATCTAGTCCTACACGCCATTTT
Organism: Homo sapiens; assembly: GCF_000001405.40. Lineage (NCBI taxonomy): Eukaryota > Metazoa > Chordata > Mammalia > Primates > Hominidae > Homo > Homo sapiens. Next base: position 37,916,100 of record NC_000017.11, read on the forward strand.
GGCATTGAAGGGTTCCACAGGGCTGGAGTCACTTAGCTCTAGGTGCACAATTCTAGTGTATGAGTATACTTTTCTATTCTAAAGCCGCAATGAGCAAAATGGGTCAGTGTAATTGTAGAATTCATCTTCTACATATCAAGCACTGTAATAGGTAAACATTTTATATACATCCTCTCTAATCTTTGCAACATTCCACAAAGTAAGGGTTATTTTACCCATTGAAAAATCACTGGAAAGTCAGAGGATTTAGGGCCATTGCCCCCAACATCTACAGCCCACACCAAGATTTGAACCCAGATCTCTCTGGTTTCAAAACCCTGCCCTAATCATTTCACTGTATTACCAATCCAAGGAATAAATAAAGTTAAGGTATCTTAGTCAGATAAAAGTGGCAAATTAGACCAGGCGTGGTGGCTCACGCCTGTAATCCCAGCACTTTGGGAGGCCGAGGCAGGCAGATCACGAGGTCAGGAGATCGAGACCATCCTGGCTAACACGGTGAAACCCCACCTCTACTAAAAAAATACAAAAAATTAGTCGAGCGTGGTGACACACGCCTGTAGTCCCAGCTACTCGGGAGGCTGAGGCAGGAGAATCGCTCGAAGCTGAGAGGCAGAGGTTGCAGTGAGCCAAGATTGTGCCACTGCACTCCAGCCTGGGTGACACAGTGAGACTCCATCTCAAAAAATTTTTTAAAAATGTGGCAAATTAATGAGAGGAAAATTTAAAAAGTTAACCCCACAAACCAAGAAATCTATTTATGATTATGTTTGTTGTAAGAGACAGAGTCTTGCTCTATTGTCCAGGCTAGTCTCAAAGTCCTGACCTCAAGCAATCCTCCCGACTCAGCCTCCTGAGTAGTGGGGATTATAGGCGTTACAGGCATGAGCCAATGCCCCCAGCAAGAAGTCTGTATGTTCTTATCATACGTGCGACTAAACAAAATTATACTTAAGAAACTGACAAATCATGGTAATATTTTAAATATCATGACTACACTGAAACCCTGCCAGAGGTATTTTTAAAATGTCAAGGATTTTTTTGATTTTTTTTTTTTTGAGACAGAGTCTCCCTCTGTTGCCCAGGCTGGAGTGCAGCAGTGAGATCTTGGCTCACTGCAACCTCTACCTCCCGGGTTCAAGCAATTCTCCTGCCTCGGCCTCCCGAGTAGCTGGGATGGCAGGCACGTGCCGCCACACCCGGCTAACTTTTGTATTTTTAGTAGAGACGGGGTTTCACCATGTTGGTCAGGCTGGTCTCGCACTCCTGACCTTGTGATCCGCCCACCTCGGCATTCCCAAGTGCTGAGAATACAGGCGTGAGCCACCGCGCCCGGCCAAAATGTCAAGGATTTTTACGCTGATGTGCTTAATGTGCCCAATCTGCAATTCTAGTGGTAATCAGTGACATACCCATAAATCAGAGAGTACTTCTATGAAAATAATCACAGCCTACAAATACGGATAAAACTCCTCAGCTTTACCTCTTAGATGGTTCTAGACAGTTTCAGAATTCGTGCCTCTTTCTTCAACTCTCTCATTAATTTTATTACCCTTGGCAGTAAAATAATCTTACCAATTGCTCTCCCTATGAAATTGTGAATGAAAATTCCCATTTCTCTTTGCTAGGTCTTGTTAGCTGCCATCTCTGGGAAGGAGAAAGTGTTTTTATAGATAGGCATGGCAAGGACAAATAATGGAGTTGAAATGCAAGGGTGGATGGCAAATAAATTGCATCTTGTGAACTACCTCCAACTAACTTCTGCCTGGAGCACTGTGTTTAAAAGGATTCCTAGGCCACATCTGGAGGGATCCGGGAAAAAAAAAAAACAAAAGAGATGTAACGAAGGTAAGCGGAGAACCAGTAAAGTGTAGTGCTACAGTAGCCTAGGGTTTCAAGGAAAGGAGATTATAATATCCAGTCAGGCAGAGCAGCAGTCAAACAACATGAAGAAAAATGTCCACGAGACTTGGCATGTAGGAGATCACTGATGTGCCTATTGACAAGTTCAGTAGCGTTGTGAGGGAAAAGTCAATGGGCTAAAGCGGAAATGAGTGCTGACACAGAGACAGCAGGTGTAAACCAGAGACAGAGCCAGTGTACCGGATGGCTGAAGTCAAATACTTACGTAGCAAATGGGGATAGAGACACGTGTCCGATGGATGTATTGGCCTTCTCAGGACAAATATTCCATCCCCTGAAAACCACAGGAAAGGGGTAAAGAAGGATACTCCTATAGGTCAATTTACAGAAGAGAGCAAAACCTTAAAATTGTCAACGAAGTAGGAGCTAAGAACCTCTGTATCAGGTGAAGAGACAGGAAGGTCAAGACGGGGAAGGAGAAGATTTGCTAAAGATGTTGAAGAGAATGAGAGAACTAAACAGGGCTGGGCAAGCAAAGGCATCAGGCAAGGCTGAGTACTCAGATGAGGTTGAAATTATGTAATAGTTACATTAAAACAGGGTTAATCTGTATGACTAGGTGCTTTTTCTTTAGCCTTCAGATACAGAAGTAGAACAACAGACTGTGGATTGGGCTGGCATTTTGCCAGGATACACCAGGAAGACGGGCACAGGAAAGGCCCAATGTTGGGAGTATTTCCATTAATCTCCTATGAGATCCAGGCTGGCTAGGGTAGCAAGGCAGGTTATAAGAAGAAAAATACAGACAAACTCGTGAGACTGCAGAGGCTTGGAAGGAGAAAATGTGTTGGGTGACAGTGAGATGCAGAAGATTTCTAAGGTGATACACCTGTAGAGGAGAAGGTGGAGGTCCCAGCCCGGGGAAAAGGTGGCTAATCTGCCCCTGGTGATGACCACTGGCATTAAAGGAATCCAGAAGAGACGAGGCTTTTTCTGTTTGTGGAAGTTATCTCCTTGTCCAAGTTTCTCTTCACCACTGAAAACCTCTGAAAGTTGTCAACTTCATTAAGGTAGATTCAGAAGACCTGTTTGATTCAAAATGACAAAATGCTTCTAGAGAAAAAGCACATATGTCTGGTCAGATAATGCGTGTATGACTTCGGACAAATCATAGCATTTCAGTGTTTGAGGTAACCTAGTCTGTCTGTCCTCTTTATTCCTTAACTCTCCATCTGTACAGACAGAAACAATGTAATCAGCCACATAACTTGTATAGAATAAATATGAAGAGAGAACCAATTATGAAGGTAGAAGTTCTTGGGGTGAGGGGAAGAATTTTAAAATACAAAATTAACTAGCTACTTCTTCAAGAAGAAAAATATCAGGGAGTACTGAAAGAGAACAATTGCAGAAAGGAAGAGAAATTAACGTGAACAGCAACCAAAAACCTTCTAAGAATGTATCAACAGTCCAGTGGAAAACAAATACCCACCCTGATGACACCTTGATCTTGGACCCACGGCCTCCAGTACTGTGAGACAGTAACATTCTGTTGCTGAAGGTGCCCAGTCTGTGGTACTGTAAAACAGCCCTAGGAAACTAACACAGCCTGTTAGCCCACAGATGGTGGAGAGAAGGAATGCTCAGTGGAGCTCCAGGCTTACTGTCTACAGCTCCCAAAGTGTGCTACAGGACCCCTGGATGGGTGTAGGTATGCAAGATAATTTTGGGTGGTGCAGGGTGAATAATTTCAAATGACATAAAAATGTGTTTCTCTTACTGGGTAAATCAGGGGTCCCCACCTGTTAGGAACCAGGCAACACAGCAGGAGGTGAGCAGCCAGCCAGGGAGCAAAGCTTCATCTGTAGAAACAGCCGCTCCCCATCCCTCGCATTACCGCATGAGCTCTGCCACCTGTCAGATGAGTGGTGCCGTTCCATTCTCATAGAACCCAACTGGGAACTGAGCATGCCAGGGATCTAGATTGCGTGCTCCTTATGAGAACATAATGCCTGATGATCTCTGACTGTCTCCCATCACCCCCAAGTGGGACCACGTAATTACAGGAAAACAAGCTCAGGGCTCCCACTGATTCTATGTTATGGTGAGTTGTGTAATTATTTCATTATATATTACAGTGAAATAATCACAGAAATAAAGCACACAATAAATGTAATGGGCTCGAATCATCTCTGCACCATCCCTTCCCCTTCTCCCAGGTCCGTGGAAGAGTTGTCTTCAAGAAAACTGCTCTCTGGTGCCAAAACGTTTGGGGACCGCTGGTGTAAATGTTTCTAAGAATAGTTAAGCAACTTAAGCTTCACATGCTACGAAGAATACAGCTTTAAATGCTAATAAAAATAGGTGCAAATGAAAACATTCTTTCTGTGGTCCAGGGAATCTTAACCATTCTATCAGAAAGACTTGCAGCTTGGAGCTGCAGCTGCCCTCCCACATCCTGTCCGCTGTAAAGCCCTGCAACACACACATACAGGCGCACACACACACACGCACACATGCACATACATGCACATGCATATACTTGCACACACACATGCACACACACATGCACACAGATGCACATACATAAATACATTCACATGTATATACCTGCACACACACACATGCACACACATACACATGCATATTCCTGCAAACACACACACACACACACACACACACACACACACACACACGCTGTGCTTCATGCCCTCACTAGGGTGGCCTGGGAGGAAATGCGTGTTTTTAGGAGAAATGAAGACAACTCAGGCCCCTCATTCTCCTGGTGTTTGCACAAGTGCCTTCTCTGCAGACCATGCTTCAGCCTCTTTCTTGGTTCTCCCTCTTACTGAAAGAGAGAAGCAGAGGCCCGGCACATACTCGGCTGCTTAGGGCTCAAGCCAAGTTCGCAAGCTTCCTGGGGAGCCTAGTGAGATGAAGGCACTGCAGAGCCTCCCCAAAAGAGTCGTCGGCTTTTCGTGGATCCTTGAGCCCAGGAAGGCGATAGGTGAGACATCACAGTTCATCAGAAGACACGAGCAAACTCCGGCGAGAAAGGGCAACGGTCAAAGATTTTATTCTCTCGGAAAAGGGTTCTCGGGCTGTAAGCAGCAGGCAGAAGACTTTATTGCACGCGTAGTTAGGTGATGGCGACCTACGGTTTTCACTGGGGACTGGGATCGAGAGTGATCCGACCTCCTACTCATGCTCGTCTCTCCCTGTCTCTCTCTTTGCCTTTTGTGTCTCTCTGCCTGTCTCTCTCGCTCCTTTTCCTCTCAGCCTCCTCTGTCTCTCTCCTTATCTCTCATCCTCTCTCTCTCTATCTCACTCCCTTCTCCCCATCTCTCTTTCTCTCTCCTTCTTTTCCACTTCTCTCACCCTCCTCATCTCTCTGCCTGCCACTGTTCAGGCTCCTGGGGCCCCACGTGGATGGGCGGACACAGGACTCCTAGGCTACCTTTCATAGCGCAAGCAGAGGGCTGCAGGACCTTGGTCCCCACCTCCCAGCATCCTCAAAATGAGGGGTGTGGGGTGTGCCGTGCTCTCCTGAGTGGGCGCCCCACACTCCAGGAAGCAGAAACTGCAGGTCACAGCTGGCTCGAGTGGTGCCCACGGGGCTGCCAGCTTCCATCGTGTGATCTGCTGAGGCCAAAGCAGAGGACAGCAGCCCAGGCCCATCTCTGCAGCAGGGTGGGGGTAGGGGTGGGCTTGGGGGTGGGGATGGGGATGGGAGCCGCCAATGCAAACTGGCCCCTGGCTGGTTTCCTACCCTGCACCCTGCCATGCAAGTCCTCCTCTCCTACCCCTACCCCTGTCTGCCCCACCTCCACCCCTAGGCTGCCCCACACCCAGGCTCCAGAAGTCTCCCAGGATCCAGGAAGTAAGGGCAGCCTCTGGGTTCCATAGCCCCTAGTCCATGAGTCAGCCACCCCTCTGCGTGCTGACAAACCTTGGCTCTCATGCCCCACCCCAAGCCAAGCACACAGCCCTGTCCCCCCACCAGCATTATCACCGCCTCCTGATTTTGGCCCTGACAGCCCTGCTTCCTGGTAACCTTGCCCCCTCCCACCCTGCTCCAGGCTAGCCCAAAGGCCAGGCCCTCCACCCACCCTTCCTGGGGGCCACTCTACTATCTCCTTGCCCAGATGTCTTAACCTGGCTTTACCAAGATAGAATAAATAACAGGGATGAGGCCCCGGACCCCGCCAGGAAGATGTGCCAAAATACCCTCCATTTAGAAGCGGGAACAGTGATGGGGCCTATGGATGACCCCAGGATTGTCACCCAAGCAGCAAGAAGGGCAAGGAGCCCGGTTTCCTGCCCTTACCTGGGGAGGACGTGGCCAGGGCTCCAAAAGGCCCTGGAGAGGGGTGGGCAGGAGAGCAGATCCACCCTCCTCTTGAGGAAGCAGCCACCATCCCCAGGAAGAGCAGATGGGGGCACACAGGCAGAGTCCCCACGTGCTGTAGAGCAGGACCAGCAGAACTGTACTCAGCCCCAGCCCCAGGGGAGCTGCAAGATAGACTGAGACCCTCACAGGTTGGGCTCTGTGTCCCCACCCAAATCTCATCTGGAATTGTAATCCTCCTGTGTCAAGGGAGGAACCTGGTGGGAGGGGATGGGATCTGGGGACAGGTTCCCCCCTGCTGCTCCCCTGATAGTGCGGGAGTTCTCAGGAGAGCTGATGGTTTGAAAGTGTGGCACTTCCTGCTTCTCCGCTCACTCCCTCCTGCCGCCTTGTGGAGAAGGTGCCTGCTTCCCCTTCGCCTTCTGCCATGACTGTAAGTTCCCTGAACTGGGAGTCGATTAAACCTCTTTCCTTTATAAATTACCTAGGCTCAAGTATTTCTTTATAGCAGTGTGAAAACAAACTAATACCCCTTCCCTGAGGCGCCTTCTCCTTAGGCAACCCGCTGCCCCCATGCTCCTCCTCTGCCCCCTGTTCTTTCTTTTCCCCTCATGAGGCCCAAGTGATAAACGGGGCCAGCCCCAGCCCCAGCCCCAGCCCCAGCCCCATCCTACTGCAGGCCTGTGTGGCTGCTGGAGAGGCCGTGTTCCTTTCCTCTCCCTGAGCCTGCCTGATATGCTTTCTGGATCCTGGAGGAAACTGACCCCCTATTCTCATACTGGTGCAACATCTTCCAAGACCTCAAAGCTGTACCATTTGAGCCAGTCTTTTTTCTTATCTCCACTTGCTAGGGCTGTCATTGGGACAGTCCTAGAGGGTGGTGCCAATGGATGAATAGATGGATGGACAGTAGTCCAGGGATGATGTCCCTGTCTGTCCTGAACCGGGCCCTTCCTCCAATGAGAAGCCTTCCTGAGTGAGTTTATACAGTCATCCCTTGGTATCCATGGAGGATTAGTTCTAGGGTCCCCGGGAATGCCAAAATCCATGGATGCTCAAGTCTCTGATATAACGTGGCCTAGTATTTACGTATAAGCTATGCGCATCCTCCCGTATACGTTAGACCGTTACTAGATTATTTATGATGTGTAATACAATGCAGATGCTACATAAATGGTCGTGATACTGTATTCTTTAGGGAATGATGACAAGAACAAAGTCTGCACATGTTCAATAGAAACATAACCGTCCAATTTATTTTCTGAATATTTTCCATCTGCTGTTGCTGAATCTACAGATGCAGAGCTCCTGGATACGAGAGCCAAGTGTGCTTTGAGAGTAGGGTGGGTGAGGTTGCTAATGAGTACAGGGGAGCAGGTGTTGATCAGGAGGACCCTGCACTGGGGCATCTGGACGTCCTGCCTCAGGACTTGAGACTCCAGTTGGATGGCACAGGCAGACTCAGCCCAGGTCAAAGCCGTCCCCTTGAAGTTTCTTTTTATCCCAAGCTCTTTCTGGCCCCTGGAATTTGGCATCCCCTAGGCCCTGTGTGGAAGGACAGATGAACCAGGTTTTAGATAACATGTCTAGAAGAGTGAGCCCCTACTGTGTGCCCGGCACTTTCCCCACAGGATCCTCTAGCTAGAATATCCAAGGGTCATGGAGAGAAATACCCAGTTAAAATATCAGAAATGAAAAAGCGATACCATTAGAGACACTAAAAAGACCATTAGGTAATAGTACTAGCTTTTGTATTCTGAGATCCAACAGCAGCAGTCACTTCCCTCCACCGCTATGTGTATCCCAGGACCACCCTGGGCAGGGAGGGCTGAGGTTAGGGAGCAGCCATGGATGCTCTGATGCTGGCCCTGGGCCTCGGGGGTGACAGTGATGAGGAACTGGGTGCACACATGAGTGGGGCAGCCGGGCCTGGCCAGAGAAGCAGCACACACGTGCACAGATGTGTTTACCCACATACACATGTGCACGCACGTGCACAAACACATTGCAGGCAGGCATGTTGACGCCTCAGGCAGCGGAGGACCCTGACTCTGGGCACTGCTGACCCGGGCAAGGCCCCACTGTGATTCGTGCCATGACCTCAGAATGTCACTGGTGCTTAGCACCTATCTGCTCTCTGGCCTGCGTCAGTGGTCTACAGCAGTTACACACAGGCAGTGGTATCTGTGAGCAGCTCTGTGGACTCAAAGGTTTTCTCCCTGAGAGGCATGACCCAGGCCAGCTGATTCATCAGAATCAGGTGAGCGTGACCTGCTCTCTTCCCTCCAGGCGGACTTGGGGGCAGTGGCTACGGTGCGGGCGGTGTTGGCCTCTGTGGGGCAGCTACCGAGGAGGGTCATCCCTGAGCACTCACCAGGCGCCCGTTCTACACTGCCCGTGTAGACGATTGGCTCTTTCGTCTCCATGGTGGCTTCGTAGAGTGGGTGCTGTTCCCAAATGTCCCCATTCGACAGATGAGACGTCTGGGGTCAGAGAGGCAGTAACCGGCCTGGGAATCCGGACATGACCCTGAGTTTTGCTCTCAGCCCTGCCGTGTGCTGTGCTGGAATTCAGGCCTGAACCCTGTGACCTCCCTGCCCTAGATCCCAAATCTGCCCAGGTTTCCCATCCCGATGGGGCAGAGCCTGGTCCTGGCAGAGCCACTGGTATAGAGCCACTGGTACAGATCCACTGACGGTCCTCAGAACACCTCTGTGCCCTAAGCTGGGTCCTGATGGTCGCTGTGGGCCCCACTGAACACACATGGTCCCTTGTCCGGGGGAGCCTGCTGCCCTTGGGCAGCTGTGGAAAATGAAGGAGCCCTGGAGGGCTGGCTGAGGGGAGACTATCTTCCCTTGTGTTCAAAGGGGTCCGGGCACTAGGGTTCTCCCCAGGTATTTCTTGCTCTGCGTGGTCCTCTTGAGGCCTCGCCCTCCTTTTGCCTCGAGTATTCCCAGGAGGGACGGTCCATCCAGCTGTTCTCCAGGACCAAGGACCCACTGTTCTTCCTCAGTGACCCAGGAAAATGAAGCCTCCTCCTGTTGGGACGGCTCAGAATGGTGGACTCCACAGTCCCTCCGCGAGAGACGTGGTTTCCATGCGTACAATAGATCTTCCTCATCCCCCAAACCCAACACCCTCCTGCTCAACAGGCGTTATTCCTAAAGTGGCTTCACTGTTCAGACTGAAGAGCCACGGTAGCCAAAGTGATGAGCGGAGTAGAACCGAGCAGTCGGGAGAGATCTTGTTCCCTGTAGGAAACTGGGCATCGCTGAGGCCCTGAGCATCCCAGGAGGCCGATTGCACAGAGACCTCTGGTCGCTGACCCCAGTCTGCCTCCACATCCCTGGAATAGCCCATCATGGGCCCTTCACCCTTGGCAGGTGGAAACCATTCAACCTGCTGGGGCCGGTGTGTCCCCATTTCATGGCATTGGGGGACAACAGGATTCTCTGTCTAGGTCCCACTGTACTCAAGTCCTTGGGAAGATGCCCACCCCTGCTTGGGACTTGAGACTCCAGAGACTGGAGCAGCTGTGGGCCACTGGGTCTGGCCCCTTTTTCCCTGGGGGCGGCGGTGGAATGGGGGTTACGCAGCCAGCCAGCATCTGGGAGCCCGGCGAGAGCGGTTCAGGTGTTCTCCGAAGCCGCCGCGTACGGTGTGACCTTTAGACAATTCTGTCTCACAGGATGGACGTGGTAGAGGTCGCGGGCAGTTGGTGGGCACAAGAGCGAGAGGACATCATTATGAAATACGAAAAGGTACAAGTCGGTCTGCTTCTTGGAGGGAGGCCTCTTCCAGTGTGCCCTGGTCAAAGGGTCCTGGGCTCCCTAGGAGCACAGGGCAGGGACGGGTGGCCAATGCCCCCAGGCCCTTGCACCCTTTACCTTGGACCCCTCACCAAGGCTCCCTCTGGGCTACAGGGACACCGAGCTGGGCTGCCAGAGGACAAGGGGCCTAAGCCTTTTCGAAGCTACAACAACAACGTCGATCATTTGGGGATTGTACAGTGAGTCCTCTGCACTCCCCTCACCCCTAAAGCACCTGTCTCAGCTCAGGGATGGGTTTGCTTTTAGAAAGGCCTTTCTGACGCAGGACATGTCTCACCAGGTCGGGTCAACCTCCTTTCCAGGGACAGAACTCCTCCCTGACTCCCCTGCAGGTCCAGCCCGAGGTTGTTAGGCCAGAGGTGTGGGGCCCATCTAGGGAGCCGGTGGGAATGGAGACTGGGCTAGGTCAGGCCCCTGGGCGCTCAGCAGTTCTGTCGGCAAGTGAGCACAAGAGGAGCGGGGCAGCCTGAGGGTCTGGCCCTGTCTACTTGGAGACAAACCCGGTGAGATGCAAGGGTTATGGCCACAGGGTGAGGGGACTCCTGGCCCAGCCTCAGGGCTGTTGTGCAGCAGGTCTCTGAGGGCCCACCTGCCCCTGTTCTCCCCCATTCCCCTAGAGCTACAGCCCTCACTGTCCCGTGAGGGGAAAAGGCATGGTGACAATGGGGGCTGTAGCCCTAGGAGAACGGGGGAGAAGATGGGCAGGGCCCCGTTCTGGGCATCTCACGGTGAGGCCAGGGAGGCAGCAGGGCTCGCGGCTAAAGACCTGGGTCTGGTGCTGGGAAGGGATCTGGGGCCGGGTAAGAGGAGCCCAGCCAGGAGCCCATCCCTCAGGGATCACAGGATGGAGAGACAGAGGATCCCTGGGGAGGTAGGGCGGGAGGGAGCTGACGAGCCGTGCCACTTCTGAAACGCAGGGTGTGTGGCTCGGGTGCAGGGAGAGGCAGGTGGATGCTGGGAGGTCAGAACCTGCAAGGGCCTTGGGGCTGTCAAGTGGGGTGGGCCCCTGGTGCAGCCAGAGTACACCGGGCAGGTCTCAGGGCAGGCTCCCTTGACCCTGGCGGGGGGATGTGGTCACTCCCTGAGGGACTCCTGTCAGGGCCCGGTCGCCCACCCTGGGCGGCCCCCATCCCATCTCAGGGCTAACCTTTCTCAGCTCCAGCAGAAAGCACCACCTCGAGTCCAGGACGGGCAGCCCCATTGGGCAGCCTGACCGCCCCCCACGCCAGGGGCCCCAGTAACCCCGGCCAGGCTGTCCCTACACTCCTTCTTCTCCCAGGTCCTGCCCCTCCTGGGAGTCAGCCCCACAGGAAGGCCCTTGTCCTCCCTTCCCTGTGCCTTCTCCTGGGCTGAGCCCTGAGCTGGAAAGGGACAGAGCCAGTCCTTTCTGGGGGTCGGCACCCAGGCTGGGGCCGCTCCAGGCCCCGTGCAGTTCCTCAGCTCTGCCTGGGTTGCCTTACAGTGAGACGGAGCTGCCTCCTCTGACTGCGCGGGAGGCGAAGGTAAGAGCCTGATGCGTGGAGGGGCTGGTCCAGGGACGTAGGGACTGGGCGGGTGGTCAGTGAGGCAGAGGAAGCAGCTGGCCTGAGCGGTGGCGGGTGAGGGCAACACGCTGTCACTGGGAGGGGCAGCAGTCCCTGCTGGACCTGACCCCAGGTTGCTGTTCACTTTGGCAGTTTGATAAAATTCCAAAAGGAGAACCACAGTCCTGGCTTGGGGGTGGCTGCGCGCTTGTGTCAGGACCCCACCTAGAGGCTGGGACCTAAGACTGGTGTGTCTGTGGCCTGAGGATGGTACATCCCGGGGTCCCAAAGCCAGCCCACTGGTGCTCATTTGCTCAAAGGCTCTCAGCCCTTGAGGTCTGCCCTTCCCTGGCTCCTTCCAGCTGGCTCCCACCAGGGCTCCAGAGCCCAAGACCCAGCATCCGCGGGCGGCTCTGGGAAGCCTGGCAGCTCCGCTAACTCCAACATGCCTCATTTGACAGCAAATTCGGCGGGAGATCAGCCGAAAGAGCAAGTGGGTGGATATGCTGGGAGACTGGGAGAAATACAAAAGCAGCAGAAAGGTAACGTGTGGAGGGAGGAAGCACTCTCTGCAGAGACAGGGGACAGGCACCCATGGCTGTGGCCTGGCACCATCAGCCTCTCAGAGGGTGGGCGGCACACTGTCCTCGCCCAGAGGACTGCAGGCCTGGTCGCCAGATTTCCTGCCTATTCGTGCAAGCGTCACCTTGCAGGGAGGGAATCTGAATCTAGGGCTGGGACTACCCGGAGCTCAAGGCTAGGGATGCCCTGGTGACCTGAAGGAAGGAAAAGGTTCAGATCAGAGTTTCGACTCTGAGTGTCCATCCACTCTTTCAGTCCTGGGAAGGGAGACCCTGTCCCAGCTTGATCTCACCTCTACTGAGGAATCATGGGGCCAAAACCGACAATTTCCAGAATCCCCGGGCTCTGGTCCTCACTGGGGTCACCCCGTGGCCTGTGACACCAGATCGTTTTCTGCCCACAGCTCATAGATCGAGCGTACAAGGGAATGCCCATGAACATCCGGGGCCCGATGTGGTCAGTCCTCCTGAACATTGAGGAAATGAAGTTGAAAAACCCCGGAAGATACCAGGTACGCTCAGCCAGAGCACAACAAACAGGACAGGCCGTGTCGGGGCCCAGGTCTCCAGCTGGAGGGAACGTCAAGACCACCCTGGGGAGCTGGGGGTGAAGGTCAGATGAACACCCTGGGCACAGATGGTGACACAGTCACCACAGACAAACTCAGCTCTGGTGACCCTCCCTGGCTTCAGTAACAAGCCAAAATGCAGCTTTCTGCAGAAGGAAACCTTCCTTCTGTCCTTCCTTCCCGAAGTGCTGACTGTGGGCTGACTGCCACTGGGGGCAGGGAGTCTTCCATCTGTTCTGAGACTGCTTCCTCCTCTTGGCCCTGCCCTACAGATCATGAAGGAGAAGGGCAAGAAGTCATCTGAGCACATCCAGCGCATCGACCGGGACGTAAGCGGGACATTAAGGAAGCATATATTCTTCAGGGATCGATACGGAACCAAGTAAGCCTACGGGAGCCACAGGGTCCCAGCAGAGATGGGGTGAATGAGAGGGATGGGGGCTTCCCCGGAGCAGAAGCCAGGGTCACCCAGGAGGGATGACACAGCTGCCAAGAGCTCTCCCGGCCCAGGGAGCAGCCGGCACCATGAACCGAGCACCTCCCTGGTTCCAAGCCCTGGGCCAGACTGGAACATGTGGGGCCAGAACCCAGGAGGATCCTGAGGAGATGGAAGGCAGCAAACAAAATCATGCACAATGGTGAAGGGTGCTCTCCCTGACCCATGGGGACCCATGGTAGGACCCACGGGAGGGTGGCAGGATAGAGGGCCCATGAGCCCCCCCCAGGCAACAGTGACAGCACCAAATGCTGGGAGAATTAGGGGTCCTGGAAACTCTCATCCAGGTCCGCTGGGAACATGACATGGCACAGCCACGTTGGCAGCCCGTTGGGCAGTGGCTCACAAAGCTCGATGGACTTGAACCACACATCCCCAAAGTGTCACAGATATTGAACCCACTGATTTGCAAACTGACATCCACATGAAACCAGCATGCCAGGTTCACTGCTTGACTCCTCGTCACTCACACACGGAGCCTTCGGGGACGGCCTTCAACACGGGGATGGGGAGAGCAAGGCTGGTCCTCCCTTCAAACGGAAGACCCAGTGAGAAAAGGGAACGAGCCGGTGATGCCCGCACGAACGTGGGTGGATCCTAGATGCATTTTGCTGAGGGACAGAAGCCAGACCCAATAAGCTACCACAGTAGGATTCCCATTCCTAGGCCATTCTGGAAAAGGCCAAACCACAGGGACTGAGAAGCAGTCTGGGTGGCCAGGGGCTGACGGATCGGGGAGAGGCTGGGTGCATAGGGGCCACCCTGGAGACTTGGAGGATGAAGGAGTCGCCCCAGGAGGGGCTGGAGCGGTGGCCGGGAGACTCTGCACATCGGTTTGGAACCGTGGAGGAACTGTACACCCACAGACTGAACTGGCGTGTGTGCAAACTGAAAAAAAAAAAAAAAATCATTCAGAGTGAAAAGGATCAGGCAAGTCACTGTACAACTGGGCTATTTGCATGTCACAGATGTGGATTTTACTGAAACATTTCTTCAAGGGTCTCAGGCCCTGAAGAGCTCACTGCTTATCTGGTGAAACATCTGAACCTGAAATGGGATTTGCTGTTAGGCTTTGTAGACAAAGTGAAATTAACAACATCTGCACAAAACAAACCAAAGCCCCCTTTCTCTGTTTCCTAGGCAGCGGGAACTACTCCACATCCTCCTGGCATATGAGGAGTATAACCCGGTGAGTATTCCCGGCAGTGAGGTTCCCGGGCCATATTTCCATATTGACAGGAGTGGGTGTCTGGTGGGGGTGTCGTTGCTTCTTTTAAAGTTAGTATTTGTGACCCACCAGGATATAGGAGGTAGGATGTCAGCTCACCGCTGGCATAAACCTCCAAGGAAGGGGGTGGTCTCAAGGGGTCAAGCTGAGACACAAAGGAGTCAGGGCCTGGACTCCTGGTGTCACCTGGGCCTGACCACCACTTCTCAGAACAAGAAATGACGCCCTCCTCCTGGGGCTGCCCCAAAGCCCAGGAGCTTGGCAGCATCGCACACAGGATGGTGCTATCAGCAGACATTTTGGACAAGGTGCTGAAGTGCCTGATGGACTTGGCTCTTGTCATGAAATGAATGTGCATCCTGAGGAAGCCTCTTTTTCAGAGGAAGTCTCTCCTTCAGAGGAAGCCTCTCCAGTCACCTCTGCCCTCTCCAATGACATGAGTCCTCCCAGGTGACCTCAGCCCTCCCAGGTGATGTCCTTCCATGGTGACTCTGGCTCTTGCAGGAGGTGGGCTACTGCAGGGACCTGAGCCACATCGCCGCCTTGTTCCTCCTCTATCTTCCTGAGGAGGATGCATTCTGGGCACTGGTGCAGCTGCTGGCCAGTGAGAGGCACTCCCTGCAGGGTAAGTGAACAGCTGCCCCGGGGACCTCCTGCAGCCAGACCTGGGGATGGCCACCCTGGCCAGGTGATCACAGCTTTCAGCCAAGGCACCCTCCTTGTGTCGCCAGCTTGTTGGGAGACTTTAGAATGTCTCTGCTGAGGGTCCCACAGGAGTCCACGGCTGACCCCCAAAGCCCAAATCAGACGCCTCTCATCCCCATCAGCAGAGGGCATCTCATCCTCCCCGTGGCCACCCTCTGTGTCCTGGAGCCACGCCCTCCGGCTCTGATTCTGTGCAGCTGACTCTCCCCTCCCTGAGAGTCCTCCTGCCCTCCAGCTGCCCGGGCTCCTGCTGCCATCGGTGCCCACGAATGGGCCGACCAAGCCCAGGTGGCAGCATCTCCCCATCCCCTGTTCCCTGGCCCGACCCCACTACCAGGAGATGACCGGGAAGCCCAGCGCCCACCCAGTTCCGGCCACCCTGTCGTGGCCTGAAAGTCAGGCTTGCCCTTTTTGCACCCTGGCCCAGGAGGCCTCCAGGGGAACCTCCAGCCAGGCTCCAGGGAATGTTCCCGCCCCACCTCCCCAGGGTAAAGGCCGCATGTTGGGGTCACCAGACGGGAGGGTGGGAGGCCTTGGGGTTTGGGGGCCTCTCCAGCTGCCCAGCTCTTGCAGCTGATGGCTCCACATCTTGGGGGAAGGCTCTGATTTCATGATGGGCTGGGGGCTTCTCAGGATTTCACAGCCCAAATGGCGGGACCGTCCAGGGGCTCCAAGACCAACAGGAGCATGTGGTAGCCACGTCACAACCCAAGACCATGGGGCATCAGGTGAGTTTATGGTCCCCTCAGCTCTTCCCAGAGGCCCTGCCTCCCGTGGGGCTGTAGGAGCAGGGGGGCTGGAGCCCCTCGTGGGGCTGGTGACTGGCTGAGTCCCAGCCAGGGCCTGACCTGGGACGTCGGGTTCTCCATGGGCTGGGAGTTGGTTTCCTTTCCTGCCCTGGAGGAGACAGAGGCACAGGGATGGGGGCCCAGCTCCCGCAGAGCAGGGCAAAGGGCAGTGTGTCCACCGGGAGTGTGGGAAGGTGACAGTGTTGTGGGGAGCTCTGGACACCGCCCAGTGTTCTGCACTAGGGGAAGGGTCTTCAGAGGCCCTGGAAGAGGGAGGTTTTTAGGGCAGCCCAGTGGCCTGAGCACCTCTGTTGCTTCCATCAGGACAAGAAAGATCTATGTGGGCAGTGTTCCCCGTTAGGCTGCCTCATCCGGATATTGATTGACGGGGTAAGGAGGCATAGGGAGACCCTGGCTCAGGGACCTTCCTTGCCCTGCAGTGCCCTGCTTCCCCAGCCCGGGGGTCTGGCTCACTCCCAGCCCACAGGAGGCTCAGGCGGGTCCCCAAAGGACACACAAGCAAAACCCTCTGCCCAAGGGGGGTCATCCCAGGGCCATGGCTGGGGCTCAGGCCCAGCCTCATGGGCAGACTGGGCCAGGACCCGACTTGAGAGGGCTCAGGGAGGCCTCAAGCCCTGGGCAAGCCCCTCTCTCCAGGAGCCACATCCCCACTCAAATGAGTGCCCCCCATGAGGAGCTTCAAGACCTTGTCTGACCCAGCGTCCTGGAGGGCTCAGGCGACCCTCATGGGGAAGGTCACTGACTCTGGAGACTGAAGCCCCAGTGTGCGCAGCTCGAGCCACCAGCCCCAGCCTGGAAGGACCAGGTTCTTTCACACCTGCTGTCCCCACAGATCTCTCTCGGGCTCACCCTGCGCCTGTGGGACGTGTATCTGGTAGAAGGCGAACAGGCGTTGATGCCGATAACAAGAATCGCCTTTAAGGTTCAGCAGAGTAAGTCTACGTGTGCCCAGCGGGGCCTGGGGAGCCCTGGGGTCAGACCCCGACTGGCCCGAGGGCAGCTTCCTCACACTGTCCTCATGATCCTCTGTTCTGGCCCAGAGGGAGGTCTGGCCAGGTGGGCTGGGCAGGACACTGTGACACCGAGCCCATCCCCCACATGACCCAGATGAAAGTCGAGAGTGTGGTGAGCACTTCCCTGTCCGGATCGCCCCCCAGCCACAGTCTCCTGTGTGTATCTGGACACCTGGGGTGGCCACAAAAGGATCCGGCACTGCCCAGTAGGAGACTGAAGTGGCCACGGGGTATGAGCTGTGACCATTCCCAGGTAACTCCCCTGGCCTGATATCCACCCTGTCCCTAGAGCGCCTCACGAAGACGTCCAGGTGTGGCCCGTGGGCACGTTTTTGCAACCGGTTCGTTGATACCTGGGCCAGGGATGAGGACACTGTGCTCAAGCATCTTAGGGCCTCTATGAAGAAACTAACAAGAAAGAAGGGGGACCTGCCACCCCCAGGTGGGCTCCAGTGCCATGTCCCCTCCCATGTCACCCTCTGGGGTAGTCAGTAGTAGGGGAGTGCCCGGGACCCGCAACCCTACTACCTGGGCCTTCCTCTTCACCTTTTCTTCCTCCTCTTCCTCCTGGACTCTAAGAAAGTACAGGAGGCCCACCGGTCCTCAGGGCAGGCGCTCAGTGCGTGTATACTGGACATGCTGTGCACGCAGGAGGGGGATGT
Source organism: Homo sapiens (assembly GCF_000001405.40). Taxonomy (NCBI): domain Eukaryota; kingdom Metazoa; phylum Chordata; class Mammalia; order Primates; family Hominidae; genus Homo; species Homo sapiens. Next base: position 37,933,727 of record NC_000017.11, read on the forward strand.
GGGCAAGACCCTCCAACAAGCCCCCTCCCACTTTCCACGGTGTCTCCCTCTCCCCCTCGCAGGGCCCTCCAAGTTACTAGACGAGCCCAGACCCATTTGTGGGAGACCCCGCCCCTCCCTGCAAGCACCCACAGCCTCAGAGAGCAGCAGAGGCCCCTCACTCCTGCACGCTCCTCCAAGGTTGCCAGGACAAGAAGCCTGGAGCCAGGGAGACAAGGGAATCCGTGTCCCTGACCCACAGAGCATTCAGGGAGAGGGCACAGGCGGGACCCCGGGCCCAGAGCCAGAGCCAAGAGTTCAGCCAGAAGTGGGAACGGTCAGTCCTGGCATGGACTGGGCAGCCCAGGAGGGCAGAGGGTGACCCACGTCCGGGCCCAATCACCCACTGCGGAGACGGGTCCCCACGTGAGGTGACAAGGGGCTGGGTGACATCCAAGGCCCCTCCCACCTGAGTTCTGACTGGGGGCCGTATCCCAGGCCCAACAGCCCTGGGACGAAGGTGTGTGGCAGGAAGCCCCCAGCCAGTCTGAACCCTGGGGGCAGTCCCAGGAGCCACCCGCCATGCCACGACAGCTTCCCCACGCCAGGCAGCATGCACCCCTCCCTCTGGGATCAGCAGACTACAGGCGTGTCCTCGGTGTCAGGCCACGGGGGCCACACAGAGACCCCGAGGACTCCAGAGACGCAGGCAGGTGGGGCCCAGCCCGGAAAGGCCTGCGTGGGCTCACTGGAGATGCTGACCGCGTCTGTTTTCCTTTCAGCCAAACCCGAGCAAGGGTCGTCGGCATCCAGGCCTGTGCCGGCTTCACGTGGCGGGAAGACCCTCTGCAAGGGGGACAGGCAGGCCCCTCCAGGCCCACCAGCCCGGTTCCCGCGGCCCATTTGGTCAGCTTCCCCGCCACGGGCACCTCGTTCTTCCACACCCTGTCCTGGTGGGGCTGTCCGGGAAGACACCTACCCTGTGGGCACTCAGGGTGTGCCCAGCCCGGCCCTGGCTCAGGGAGGACCTCAGGGTTCCTGGAGATTCCTGCAGTGGAACTCCATGCCCCGCCTCCCAACGGACCTGGACGTAGAGGGCCCTTGGTTCCGCCATTATGATTTCAGGCAGAGCTGCTGGGTCCGTGCCATATCCCAGGAGGACCAGCTGGCCCCCTGCTGGCAGGCTGAACACCCTGCGGAGCGGGTGAGATCGGCTTTCGCTGCACCCAGCACTGATTCCGACCAGGGCACCCCCTTCAGAGCTAGGGACGAACAGCAGTGTGCTCCCACCTCAGGGCCTTGCCTCTGCGGCCTCCACTTGGAAAGTTCTCAGTTCCCTCCAGGCTTCTAGAAGCATCTGGGCCAGGGCTCATGGCTGGATAATTTCCCTAGGCTTAACAACCCAAGCAAGCTTCGCATCCTCGTTTTATTTTTGGTTAAACTTATGAAAATGTATTAAGAAAGAGTGCAGCTCGAGAGAGATTCAGAGATGGAACACACCAGACCCCAGATCACAAAGCCAACCATGCCCAGCCCCTCCCAGCACCCCCAGCCCCACGACCATCGTTCTGAATTCTGACGACACCGTGAGCCTGCCTTTGTACTTCAAACTCATGGAAGGATAACCACCTTCATGTTTTGAAATAAATGTTTCCTGTTGAAATGATTTTAGATTTTAGACAGAAATATTGAAAAGGCACTATAGTATCCTCCTATACCTTCCATCCAGCTGCCCCTAATAATGATGTTTTGCAGTCCCATGGCACATAAGAAATTTAGGCCGGGTGTGGTGGCTCACACCTGTAATCCCAGCAATTTGAGAGGTCGAGGCGGGAGGTTCAGGTTCACTTGAGTCTAGAAGTCTGAGACCAGCCTGGGAAACCTAGGTGGACCCGGTCTCTAGAGAAAAGTCAAAGAAATTAGCCAGGCATGGTGGCGTGTGCCTATAGTCCCACCTAGTCAGGAGGCTGAGGCAGGAGGATTGCTGGAGCCCACGAGTTCCAGGAAGCAGTGAGCCATGATTGCACCACTGCACTCCAGCCTGGGTGACAGAGTGAGACTTTATCTCTTAAAAAAATTTAAGAAATTTAATGTGGGTACAGTTCTATTAACTAAATAATAATGTGAACTATTATCTAAGGTTATGAAGGCTAGAATTATCCCATTTTTGCCTAACTTCTCGTACCTGTCCCAAGATCCCACCTTGGACTCACCCTCTGCCTTCAGCTCACGTCTCTTCAGCTTCCTCCACATGGTCCAGCAAACACACACCTGGGCTGAATGGTAGAGCTGATTGCTCATACACAAAGGTAGACCGGTGGGCAGGGATTTTCAGACTTACACAGTCAATGAGTTTTCCTTGGTGTTCTGGAGAGCACCGTTTGAGAAACACTTTGACAGTGAATCTAGGCCTCAAGATCCATCAGCTGCTCTAGCTTGAATTTTGCTCAAGCTCAGTGAACACCTGCTCTGCCGGGTGCACGTGAAAGGGGCAAGGATGAGAAAGCTGTAGATAAAGAAGACAGGACGCAGGGGGTCTGTCTAAGCTCTATCCCCTGCCTTCAGCACTGAGGGATGAAATCCAACTCTTAGGGAACGGTGGCCACGTGCTGGGCCAGCCCCAGGCTCTCAGGATCTGACAGTGGGTGACGCAGAGCCAGGCCTTGCCCCTGGGGAGCTCTCCAGCATACACCTCCCTCTCCCCTCCCAGCGTGCCGCAAAGCAGGCGTCAACGCCATTGTTAATGCACGGAGGAGGAAGCTGACTGTTAGACCTGGGTTTTCCAGGGTTGCACGGCTTCTGGGAGACGGATGTGACCCTGAGGACAGGGCACAGGCCAGTGTAATGCCAGGATGGAATGAGCTGTGATCTGTGCTGTATAGAGGCCTAGGCCAAGGTGGGACTGACGGATGACCAGGTCAGCCGGGTCACTGAAAACACTCTTGGGTCCTCACCTGCCGGTTCCCAGGAGTCCGGAACTGCCAGGAGAGTGGTGGCAGGTCCCCCATCCTCAGCTGGGTGGGCCTGGATAGAACAGCAAGGCGAGGGCACATTTCCCTGGCCATTCCCTCCAGGCACAGCCGTGACCTGTTCATTCCAAATTTGTGGAAGTATTTCCACACACACAGAACTGCAAATAGCAGTGGACATGGTGAGAGGCGTTTGCACATGGGATAGGCAGGATTTTGGAGGCAGAGCCTCCAGGGCTTGCCGATGGGTTAGCTGCAGGGCTTGAGAGGGAACGGAGAATCCAGGATGATGTGTTCAAATCGGTCCATTCACCTCTTCCGTTCCACGCCTGTGCTGGGCACTGGGAGAGACAGATGCACACAGGAGCCCCGGCCGAGGGGAGGTGTCGGGGGAAGCCCAGAGTGTCTGGGCAGGGTAGGAAACCCAGAGCGTCTACTGGGAGCTGAAGGCTTAGGTCCACCTGGGTGCCGTCCAGGTTCTCTGCATGTAGAAGTATAGGCTGAGCTTCCCGGAGGAGGAGCAGCTGCTGTTGCTGGTGACCAGCACATTCAGGAACGGAGACTACTCTGTCAACAGACAGGGGGATGACCTGAGGTCTGGATGGTCTAGGGGGTGGTAGGGCCCAGGAGGACCCAGGAAAGGGTCTCGGGGATGCAGAACATCCTATGGAGGGCATTTGGGAGTCAGTGCTCAGGCCACTCCGGGTCACGCAGGTCATTTGCCGGCCTCTGTCATAATTATTGCCATATGAGAGTGCCACCTTTCCTGTGACATAATTTAGACATTCCTGTGAATGGCCTACCTGTTTATATTTACAACTTCATGTTTAAAGGAAATTTGTATCACTCTCATAAATGGAAAGCCAGCAAAACATAAATTCAATGAAAACAAAATGAAGTCAATGAACTTTAGCTAGATACTATTCCCTGACCAAGGCCTGCTGGAGGCCGTACAACCGGGGTTTGAATTGAGATCTGCCAAGCTTCTGAGTTTATTCTGTTTCCCCCACACCAAGGATCCTCAATACTGCATTACTGACATCAGGGGCCAGACAATTCTTTGCGATGGGGGCTGTCCTGCACCTGGCAGGATGTTTAGCAGCTTCTCTGGCCTCCACCCACTGGATGCCAGGGGAATGCAGAAGAGGCTTGCTTATTCTCCCATTTAATGCTCAGGACAATATCTGACATCAATGTTACGTCTTTTATTTTATAAATGAAGACAATGAGACTCAGAAAGGTTTAAGTGAGTCACCTAAGAACACACAGACAGCAAGAGGTAGAACCCGAAACTGAACACAGGTGTCCACAAGACAACAAAAAAGTTCAGGTTCCAGCTTCCTTTGAGTCTCTCATTTCAACAATGGCCATCATCTGCATACGAGCTGAAGTACAGGAAAGCTGGGCTGAACTCTCTTCCCATCAGGCCTAGGAGCCCCAGACCAGAACCCCAGCCCAAGTTCTCCCAGTCAGGCCCGCTGGAGGGAGCTGGCATCTACACTAGCATGGTTTCTCAAAGCTACAGGGATGCCAGTCTCGCTGCTGATGAAGAAAATGAAGGGCATTTGCTTCTCCTGCAGGCTGTCGGGATTTAACACAGATTCCTTTTCTTGCTCTCTTCTCCCATAGCACAAAACTGGGTGGTCCATCCCCCTCCCAGTGTCCCAAGGCTTTGTTGCGTGTTCTCTTTAATTTCTCCCACTCTCGCAGTGCACCCTACCCTCGTCTCCCTGGCAACCTTTCTGCTCTATCCTCTCGCCACCTGGATCACAAGAACACTTGTGAGACCCCTTAACAAGCTACATCCCAAATTATCATTCCCCTTTGTCCTCAGCCAGTGCCCGGGTCCAACTCGCTCTCCTGGGGTGACTTTCTTTCCTGCCCAATATGGTTTCATCATCTGTAAATTGGGGATAATTGAAGTCTTGATCCTGATATTGGGCTCTGAAAGCAGAAGTAGCAAGCTCAGCCAAGTCACTTCAACAAGAGGAGACGTTCCTTGTGAACCAAAAGGGCACTGGTCACAAGGGCCGCTCCTTCTCTCAGGCCTCTCCAGCACGCCCTTGGCTCAGCCAAAGAAGAGACTCAGGCTGTGCTTCTGTGCTGTGGGGATAACGTAGGTACCTGGTCCTTGACCCTGGGACTTTAACAGTTCCCTCTTGTGGCTCAGTTCTACAGCTTCAATGACACAAAGTGGCTTTTGCTCAAAATAGCCTTTGATAGGTTAAGGTACTCCTCTGCCACTCTAAGTCTGTGTGGAACAGACAGGGTTTTGCTTCACAGAGAAGATGCATAAAATTTGGTCTTAAAAATGAGTTCACCATGCACACATACACACGAAAAAAGTAAATACTGCATTACTGTATATATGAGGTTCCAAAATAGGCAAAACTAATTTATGGTGACAGAATAGTGGTGACCTCTGAGGGTCAGTGTTGACTGGGAGAGAACAGAAGAGAGCCTACTGGGGTGCTGGAAATGTTCTGTATCTTAATTTTGCAGGATAATTCCTTGGATGCATCCCTAAAAATTCAGTCAAGCTATATAGTAAGATTTGTGCAGTTTATGTAAGTAATAGGAGAGATAAGAGGGGGAACCTGTGGAGAAGCAGAACATTTCAAGATCTAGAAAGCAACAGTTGCAAGGGTACACAGTGTTCAGACAGGGACCAAATCATAGAAACTACTAGGGCTTGCCATGCTGAAATGACTGACTTCAAACCATAGGGCATACGTACCTTCCACTGAAGAAGAGCACCTGAGTAAAATGACTAGAGGTGCATTTCAAAGATTATTCTATGGGAAATATAAAGAACGAATTGGAGGAGTAGGAGGCAAATAGTCCAAGGGACAGATACAGATCTTTCTTTTTCTTTTTTTTTTTTTTTTGAGATAGGGTCTCCCTCTGTCACCCTAGCTGGAGTGCATTTCTGCGATCATGGCTCACTGCAGCCTCTACTTCCTGCGCTCATGCAATCCTTCCATCTCAGCCTCCCAAGTATCTGGGACTCCAGATGTGCGGACCACACCTGGCTAATTTTTTTATTTTGTTGTAGTAATGGGAATCTCACTGTTGTTTCCCAGGCTGGTCTTGAACTCCTGAACTCAGGCAATCTTCTGGCCTTAACCTCTCAAAGTGCTGGGATTACAGGTATGGGCTACAGTGCCTGGCCTTATTAAAATGTTGATGTAATAAATGGGACTACCTAGTGCTGTGCTTTCTCCTTAAAGGAGAGAGCTGACAGAATAAAACTAGCAGTAATAATCTGGTAAATTGTGCTTTCTACAGAGTAAATTTTGTTTGTCTCATGACATTTATGCAAATATTCAAATGTTTCAGGAATATAAACATTTAAAATTTGGGTTATAAATAATGCCTCCTGGCTCTGAAATTATCTGAATTCATGAAGCAATCAGTAGTAAATATGAAGGAAAAATGAAACACAGCCTTATATGCAAGGACAAACACAAATTTCTAATTCTTGTTATAATTTGGGTGCCCACCTGGTTTTGAAGGTGAGCCTTGGTCTGACTGGTTCTGAGACATTTCTCTCAAATAGCAAATGAGTAGTGGGTATGAATAGGGTACATTGGAAAGTCATGTCAAAATTCCATGTAATTTTTGGAGCGTTTTTTCTCCCATATGATTTATATAATTTGACATGTGTATTCCTATGTAAAATATTTAACCACTTCTCTACAATAAGCATTAAGTGGGCTCATTAGTATGCTCTTCTTATTCCATATTTCTGTGATTTCTCTTATCTGGAACGACTTTTTTATGCCACCCAGGCTGGAGTGCAGTGGCACATTTACTGCTCACTGCAGCCTCAACTCCCCAGGGTCAAGCCATCCTCCTATTTCAGCTTCCCTAGCAGCTAGGACTACAGGTGTGCACCACTATGCCCTGCTAATTTTTGTGTTTTTTTGTAGAGACGGGGTTTTGCTATGTTGCCCCGGCTGGTCTTGAACTCCTGAGCTCAAGAGATCCACCCACCGCAACCTCCCAAAGTGTTGGGATTACAGGCGTGAGCCACTGCACTCAGCTTCTTTTCTAATTTGTTTTTATTCTGAGATCAGATGAGATCAGCATGTTCAGGTTGGTATGGCCATAGACTGCTTTTATCTATTCTAATAATTTTGTATTGTACAATGTGTTGGAAAGGCAAGATGAAGTTAGATTATGAAGGGTTCATTTCCATTCAATTCTGTCTATCCTTCTGGACTTTGCCTAAATCTTACCTTCTTTGGAGCTTTCCTGAACTAACTTATCTCCTTTGAATTCTTACATTTGGATCCTTTGTATTTGAGTATTTTTACATATATATGTACATAAATAACACGTTTTATGTGTAGTAATTTACTCTCCCAACTAGATTGAAAGCTGCTTGAAGAGTAACCTTTTTTTAAAGTCACATTGGACCGTTTTAAGTACAAATTTAGCATATGCTTGATGATTGAGAGAAGAACCATATGGTTACAGTCATTGGTGTGTCTATGATTGTGATATGTTGCTATTTAAAAATCAATAGTTATTTCTTATTTAGTTTTCTGTTAAGCCATAACCTTTTGCTCTCATTTATACGTCTTCTGAACGTTAAGTAACATGTGGCTCATATTTCAAACTCCCAATTTGGAAGTTTATAGCAATGTAACTGAAGTTTATAATTACAGGTCTCAGAAAACTGCACTACACAGAAGTTCTCTATGTGTTAGAAGAATTTATTAGAAGATAGACAATTGTAGGTTACACTGTAATTTAGAAGACTTTTGCGCATCTCATGTATTTGTGTCAGTTTGAGAATTTGAAAATGCCCCCAAAATGTCTGTTCTTCACTAGTGCCTCTTGTGATCCTGGCAGAGATAAGCTAAACTTTTGAAAGGGTAGACTTTTTCTGTTTATCTTAGTATCCTGAGTCCCTAAATCTGGAATGTAGTAGATGTTTGTGCATTTCCCTATGTCAGTGAAGTCAAAATACTAGAGGTGGATTTTTCAGCTTTTCAAAGTTTTCACATTTACTAAGTCCTTCACAGTTATCGCCTACTAGTTAAAAAACTATTTGCCTCAATTTAGGCCAGTGCTACTTTGACATTTGCATTGCTGTAAAACCCTTACTAAAAGGTATATTTTTCTGGTATATAAATACATGTATGCAGCTTTTCTCATATCTTTGAGAAAGCAAAAAATTGTACTAAATTATGATTTCCACTGTAATAGGATTATGGCTTAGTCATGATCAGTATTATGTTTTCAGCTATGTCTTACTAGGATTATTGTAAAAGACTTTCAAAATAGTTCATGTGAATCTTTGTCTGATCTTCACAAACTCGGGTATGTACATAGCTCTCCCCCACCTTCTCCTGGCTTTGGCAATTTATTTTATTTTTATTGTGGTTATATATATATATATACATAAAACATACCATTTACCATTTGAACTATTTTAAAAAGTGTACAATTAGTGGCATGAAGTACATTCACAATATTGTATAACCATCACCACTGTCCATTTCCAGAACTTGTTCATCATCCCAAACAGAAATTCTCTATCCCTTTTCTTCCCCAGCCCCTGGTAACCTCTATTCTACTTTCTCTTTTTATGAATTTGCCTATTCTAGACACTTCATGGAAATAGAATCAAACAATATTTGACCTTTCTTATTTCACTTAGGATAATGTTTTCAAGGTTTATCCATGTTGTAGTACATAGCAGAATTTAATTTCTTTTTTTGACTGAATAATTTGTATATACTACATCTTGTTTATACATCCATCTGTTGATGGGACATATTTGGGTTGTTTCCACCTTTTGGCTATTGTGAATAATGTTGCTGTGAACACTGGTGTGCAAATATCTATCTGAGTCCTGCTTTCACTTCTTTTGGATATAAACCTAGGAATGGAATTGCTGGGTCATATGGTAATTCTATATTTAACCTTTTAAGGAACAGCTAACCTGGTTTCCACGGCTTCTGTACCATTTTATATTTCTACCAGCAATGCACAAGTGCTCCTTCCATTTTCTCCATATCTACCCAATACTTGTTATTTTCTGTTTTCTTTCAATTAATAACCATCCTAATGGGTGTGACATAGTATTGTCATTTTGATTTTTAGCTTCCTAATGGCTAGTGCTAATGAGCATTTTTTTATGTGCTATTGGTCATTTGTATGTCTTTTTTGGAGAAATGTCTGTTCAATCCTTTGCCCATTTTTGAATTGAGATGTGCGCTTTTTTGTTGTTGAGTTGTAGTTCTGTAGTTCTTTATACATTCTGGATATTATTCTCACATCAGATATATGATTTACAAATATTTTCTCCCAAATACTTCTGTGGGTTACAGATATATTAATATCTGTAGATTGTCTTTCATGGTCTTGATAGGATCTTTTAATGCCCAAAAGTTTTTAATTTTGATGAAATAATGTATGTAGCTTTGAACTTAAACAATGTTACAGATTGCGCAAAGGATATAACCATGAAATTCTGATGGAGTGACCCCACAGCTGCAGAAAACCAGAAAGAACCCTACTCTAAAACCCAAAAGACTTCCCTAGATAGAGTCCTTCGAAAATAATTTTCTAAATTATTCACACAGCCTGTGGATAAATTAAGAGGAAATGATATCTGTAACAGTGCTGCTTGTGATGAAAACACAGAAGAGTCAATTATATTATCAAATCTTAGCTGGAATGGAAAATCAGGAGGATATTTATTAGCAAACATTAATAAAAGGTTGGCCTTTATTATTGTAAGCATGTACACAGACGACAGCATGTAGTCTCTACCATAAGAATGAGAAATGCCTCCTATCTTTATGCATTCTGAAATTTAACCTTTCTTAACCCAATTGCTGTAAGGGCCTAGGGTTTATTTGTTATGTGTGTTATTGGAGTAGAGACTGTTTGAAGGTTAAGGGGGTATTTAGTGATGCAAGTGACATTTATATGTTTTAAAATCTTCTGCTTTTCTAGGCACTTTTTAAAATGAAATGCTATATTTTTAAACTTTTAAAAATTATTTTTATTATTTTTTGCAGAGATGAGGTCTTGCTGTGTTGCCCAAGCTGTTCTCAAACTCTTGGCCTCAAGAGATCCTCCTGCCTTGGCCTCCCAAAGTGCTGGGATTACAGGCGTGAACCACGTGCCTGGCCCAAACTTTTTAAAGACTTTATTTCTGGAGGCAGGTTCTCAAAAGATATCCTATCTTAATGGGCATATATAGAGAGAGAGTAGTAGGTGAGTTTAAGGGGGATGTAAATATTGGCCGAAAGAGGTTTCTTTTAGGTATATAACCCCTCAAATGTAGCCCTTTGGATATCAAAAGTTTATTATGGCAATGTTCTTTGTGCATTTTTATTCGATGTTGTCAGCCATTCATCTAATAACTCTTCAGAAGATTTTGTCTCTGGGCAGTGGCATTTTATAACTTCCTATATGGAAGAAAACTTTTATCCAACTGATAACTGATATGCCAATGTGTTAGTATGAAAAAATTTTCCCAACATTCTTACCAGGTGTGGTGGCTCAACCTGTAATCCCAGCACTTTGGGAGGTGGAGTCGGGCGGATCACTTGAAGTCAGGAGTTCGAGACCAGCCTGGCCAACATGGTGAAACCCTGTCTACTAAAAATACAAAAATTAGCTGGGCGTGATGGCAGGCACCTGTAATCCCAGCTACCTGGGAGGCTAAGGCAGGAGAATTGCTTGAATCTGGGAGGTGGAGGTTGCAATGAGCCAAGATTTCCTCACTGCACTCTAGCCTGAGCGACAGAGTGAGACTCTGTCTCAAAAAAAAAAGAAAAGGAAAAAAAAAGAAAATTTCCCAAAATTCAAATGTCGTTTCACTGCGTGGCTTTGTTTGATTATTAATACTTTAATACTGTGTTTAAAATTAATATTTATTATTTTTAAAAATCAGCTTCCTTAGGTCGAAGAAACATTAATGTTTAATATTAAGCTATTATTGTAGCTTAGTGTAGTTATAATAAGATACTGGAACTCATGGAAGGGGTTAGATTTTCTTCATCTTAGAAACCGTTACTTTTCATAAAATATATATTGTGCAATTATATATAAAATTATATAATAATTAGATATACAAATAAAAAATCGGATTATAGTTGGGCTCAGTGGCTCGCATTTGTAATCTCAGCTCCTTGGGAAGCTTAGACTGGAGGATTTCTTGAGTCCAGAAATTTGAGGCTGCAGTGAGCCATGATTGTGCCACTGCATTCCAGCCTGGGCGACAGGAATGAGACCCCGTCTCTAAAAATAAAAACTAAAAAAAAATAGATTATGATTGGCAAAAGATTGAGTGACAGTGAAAATGCAATGAATATTTTGACTACTATTTTTTGATTACATACATAGGAAGATACGAATTTTTCTGTCTTTCCAAATTAGTTTAGAAACTAAAGATTTGGCCGGGCATAGTGGCTCACCCCTGTAATCTGAGCACTTTGGGAGGCTGAGATAGGCAGATCACCTGAGGTCAAGAGTTTGAGACCACCCTGGCCAACATGGTGAAACCTCGTCTCTACTAAAAATACAATAAAAATTAGCTGGGCATGGTGGCATGCACCTGTAGTCCCAGCTACTTGGGGAGACTGAGGCAGGAGAATCACTTGAACCCAGGAGGCGGAGGTTGCAGTGAGCCAAGATCGTGCCACTGCACTCCAGCCTGGGCGACAGAGCGAGACTCTGTCTCAAAAACAAACAAACAACAACAAAACACCAGAAAAAGGAAAAATAGTGTTAAGAGATAACTTAGTATGTACTGTTTGTACACTTCATGGGTGTGCATATATGACGTGTTTGGTTTTATAGTGAAAATTCTAACATTCTGCTGTATGGTTTATGGTGCATTGTAGACGTTCCTTTAAGCACTCAATGATAAAGATTAAAATTACTAAGATAGAGAGTAAATCTATGTTATATGTAGTCATTTCTCAGTTTGCATAGTAGTATGGGACTGTAAAGATGACCATGCAAGCTAAGACTATTCAAAGGGATCATAGTAATCAGTGGAAAAAATTGTGATTGTTCTGTTGGACCTTTAAAAATTTTTGTCAAAACATTAAAAACTCTCTCACAGTTGGTTATAGATATACAGGGTAAGAAGAAGCGTGGTATCCACAGAGAAGGAGGGAGCTTCATAAACAAAGACAAACAGGAATATCAACTACCAGCCACCAACAGCACTCTTGTAAAACTTATTTAAATATTACAAAAAACAATATACAAGATTACTAAGAGATTGGAAGATAAAGGGAGAAAATTTCACTAATGATCTCATCACCAAACACAGTTAATTATTTGCTGTTACTCTTTTATCAAATTAGTGTTTAGTATTGTTTTAATCATAATGTACATACAATTTTGTATCTTGCTTTTTCTGAGATGTCTGTTTCTGTCCATGTTATACATACCTATACAGTCCTGTGCTGCATGATGATGTTTTGGTTAACGATGGACTGCATACACAACTGTGATCCCATAAGATAATAGTAGAGCTGAAAAATTCCTATTGCCTAGTGACATTGTAGCCATTTACTTGTTTTTGCTTTCTGCTTTTTTTATGTAGTCATTTACTATACTAAACCTTTAATCATTATTTTAGAGTATACTCCTATTTATTTAGAAAGGTCCCCCAAGGGAGGACAGAAAACACTCATAATTTAATGTTATTGTCCTTTTCACACATATGTAGCTATATCTATTATATTTTATTTTACTTTATTTTATTTTAATTTTTGAGACAGAGTTTCACTCTGTCACCCAGGCTGGAGTGCAATGGTGCAGTCTCAGCTCACTGTGACCTCCACCTCCCAGGTTCAAGCAATTCTTCTGCCTCAGCCTCCCGAGTAGCTGGGATTACAGATGTGCACCACCATGCCTAGCTAATTTTTGTATTTTTAGTACAGACGAGGTTTCACCATGTTGGCCAGGCTGGTCTTGAACTCCTGACCTCAGGTGATCCACCTGCCCCAGCCTCCCAAAGTGCCGGGATTACAGCACTTTTACAGCATGAGCTGCCATGCCCAGCCTATTTTATTTTATTTTGTTTTATTTTATTAGAGACAGTCTTGCTCTGTCCCCAAGCCTGGAGTGCAGTGGCGTGATCGTAGCTCACTTGGCTAATTTTTAAACTTTTTGTAGATATGGGGTCTGGGTATGTTGCCCAGCCTGATCTTGAACTCCTAGGCTTAAGTGATCCTCCTGCCCTGACCTCCCAAAGTGCTGGGATTACAGGCGTGAGCCATCCTGCCCAGCCTGTATCTATTATATAAGCTGGTTTTTTTGATTACTTTAATGTAAATGAGATTATACCATACTCTCTTCTCTGTCACTTCCTATTTTCATGTAATTTATGTTAGACATCTGTCAATGTCAGTATAAATAGGTCTAGATCATTTTTTATAGTTGTATACCTTTCGTTACATGGATGTTTCACAATTTACTTAGCTAACTACCTATTGTTGGACATTTGGTTATTTCCAAATTTTTGCTGTTTTATATAATGCTGCGCTTATATAAAATATAGTTCTATATAATTATGTTTAATTATGTACTACCGCTGTATCTGACAACTGACTTGTATCAAGAACATACAAAGAACTGTTACAAGTTGCCAGGCAGAGTGGCTCATGTCTGCAATCCCAGGGCTTTGGGAGGCCAAGGTGGGCGGATCTCTTGAGCCCAGGAGTTGGAGACCAGCCTGGGCAACATGGGGAGACCCCGTCTCGACAAAAATACAAAAATTAGCCAGGCATAGGGGCACACATCTGTAGTTCCAGCTACTTAGAGGCTGAGGTGGGAAGACTGCTTGAGCCCAGGAAGTTGAGGCTGCAGTGAGCCAAGATGACACCACGGCACTCCAGCCAGCGCGTCAAAGGCCCTGTCTCAAAAAAAAGGAAGAAGCGGGGGCGGCAAATAAGTAGAGTATAAGCCACCTCATCCAACTTTATTGGAACCAGTAGTTGACTGGTTAATCAGTCCAAGCAAGGAAGCATAAAAACTGATGCATGTGCCGGGCATGGTGGCTCACGCCCGCAATCCCCGCACTTTGTGAGACCGAGGCGGGCCGATCACCTGAGGTTAGGAGTTCGAGACCAGCCTGGCCAACATGGTGAAACCCTGTCTCTACTAAAAATACAAAAGTTAGCCATGCATGGTAGTACACGTCTGTAATCCCAGCTACTCAGGAGGCTGAGGCAAAAAAAGGAGAAGAAATGCTATGTGAAGCCTTTTTATAAGCACATTAATTTCATTCAGGAGGGCAGAGCACTCATGACCTAATCACCACCTTGAAAGCCTCACTTCTTAACATCATCACATTAGGTCTTAGGTTATAACATGAATTTTGGAGGACTCCAGAAAAAAAAAGTGAAAGACAACCCACAGAATGGGAGAAAATACTTGCAAATTATGTACAAAGTAGGCTCACTTTATTTGTGGAAAATATGTAGCCAGACACAGTGGCTCATGCCTGTAATCCCAGAACTTTGGAAAGCTGAGGTGGGAGGATCACTTGAGCCCAGGAGCTCAAGACTAACCTGGGCAACATAGGGATACCCTATCTCTACAATAAATAAATAAAATTACCCAGATGTGGTGACATGTGCCTGTGGTCCCAGCTACTTGGGAGGTTGAGGTGGGAGAATCACGTGACCCCAGGAGGTTGAGGCTGCAGTGAGCCAAGATAACATTAATGTATCCCAGCCTGGGCGATAGACCGAGACCTTATCTCAAAAAAAAAAAATATATATATATATATATGTATATATTTATCTATCTACCTATATATTCATATATAGATATAGATTAATATAGATATATAAACATATATTTATAGATATATAGATACATAAATATATAGCTATATATAAATATATATTTATAAATATATAGATATATATGTAACAAAATATGTTCCAAGACCTCCAGTGTATACCTGAAACTGCAGATAGTACCAAACTCTATATGTACTATGTTTTTTTCCTATACATACATACATACCTATGATGAAGTTTAATTTATAAATTAGGCACTGTAATAGAATAACAACAATAACTAATAATAAAAGAGAACAATTAGAATATACTTTTTGTTTTTGAGATGGAGTCTTGCTCTGTCACCCAGGCTGGAGTGCCATGGCGCCATCTCGGCTCACTGCAACTTCCACCTCCCAGGTTCAAGCGATTCTCCTGCCTCAGCCTCCCGAGTAGCTGGGCCTACAGGCACCTGCCACCACGCCCGGCTAATTTTTGTATCTTTAGTAGAGGCAGGGTTTCACCATATTGGCCAGGCTGGTCTCCAATTCCTGACCTTGTGATCCACCCACCTCGGCCTCCCAAAGTGCTGGGATTACAGGTGTGAGCCACTGTGCCTGGCTAGAATATACTTTAACATAAGTTACATGAATAGTTTTCTCTGTCTCAAAATACTGTAATATTTGGGATTGCAGCTGCCCGCAGGTAACTGAAACTGCAGAGAGCATACGGGAGACTACAGTATCTGACAATGGACTTGGATCTAGAATACATAAAGAACTCTTACAACTTGATAATAAAAAGGATATAACCCAATTTTAAAATGGACAAAAGATCTGAACAGATATTTCTCCAAAGAAGACATACAAATGGCCAATAAGGGCCAGGTGGTGGCTTATGCCTATAATCCCAACACTTTGGGAGGCCAAGGCAGGTGGATCACTTGAGGCCAGAAGTTCAAGACCAGTCTGGCCAACATGGCGAAAACCCATCTCTACTAAAAATATAAAAATCAGCCAGGCGTTGTGGCGCATGCCTGTAGTCCCAGGT
This sequence comes from Homo sapiens, assembly GCF_000001405.40. Taxonomy (NCBI): domain Eukaryota; kingdom Metazoa; phylum Chordata; class Mammalia; order Primates; family Hominidae; genus Homo; species Homo sapiens. The sequence continues at coordinate 37,949,499 of NC_000017.11, forward strand.
ACTCAGGCAGATGAGGCACAAGAATCACTCGAACCCGGGAGGCAGAGGTTGCAATGAGCTAAGATTGCACCACTGCACTCCAGCCTGGGCAACAGAGCAAAACCCCACCTAAAAATAAATAAATAAATAAAAATAAAAGAAAGAAAATAAATGGCCAATAAGCACAAGAAAATACACTCAATTTCTGTCTTAGTCTGTTTGTGCTGCTGTAACAAAATACCTGAGACTAAGTAATTTATAAGTAAAAAAATTTATTCCTCACAGTTCCGGAGGCTGGGAAATCCAAAATCAAGGTGATAGCACATTTGGCATTTGGTGAGGGCCTGTTCCATTGTTCCCGTTCTCGCAGTGGCATCTTCACATGGCAGGAGAAGAAAGGAAAAAAGAAGAAGAAATGTTATGTGAAGCCTTTTTATAAGGGCATTAATTTCATTCATGAGGGCAGAGCCCTCATGACCTAATCACCACCTTGAAGGCCTCACTTCTTAACATCGTCACATTAGGTCTTAGGTTATAACATGAATTTTGGAGGACTCCAACATTCAAACCATAGAAACATCATTAGCCATCAGGGAAGTGCAAATCCAAACCATGTTAAGATACCACTTCACACTCACAAGAATGGCTATAATAAACAGACACATAATAACAAGTGTTGGAGAAAATGTGGAAAAATTGAAACACTCATATGTTGCTGGAGGGAATGTAAAATGCTTTGCAATGAAGTTGGAACTGCTTTGGAAATAGTCTGGCAGTTCCTCCAAAGCTTAAACATAGAGTTATCATATGACCTGGCAATGCCAGGCTTCATCATATTCCCAAGGGAAAGGAAAACATATGTCCACACAAAAACTTACACATGAATGTTCATAGCAGCATTATTCATAATAGTCAAAAAGTGGAGACAGCTGGGTGTGGTGGCTCCCAACACTTTGGGAGGCCAAGGCGGGAGGATTGCTTGAGGTCAGGAGTTCGAGACCAGCCTGGCCAACAGAGTGAAATCCGATCTCTACTGAAAATACAAAAATCAGCGGGACATGGTATACGTGCCTGTAATCCCAGCTACTTGGGAGGCTGAGGCAGGTGAATGGCTTGAATCCAGGAGGCGGAGGCCGCAGTGAGCCAAGATCACACCACCGTACTCCAGCCTGAGTGACAGACTGAGACTCCATCTCAAAAAAAAAAAAAAAAAAAGTGATAAACAGATAAATGAAATGTGTTATATTCCTACAACAGAATATTATTGAGCCATAAAAAAAAAGGAAATAAGTACTGACACATGCTATAACATGAATGAACCTTGAAAACATTAGGTTACTTGAAAAAAGCCAGTCACAAAAGATCACAAATTGTATGGTTCCATTTATATGAAATGTCCAAATAGGCAAATCCTATCCTAAAAGAAAGTAAATTAGTGGTTGCCTAGGACTGAGGGATGGAGAAAATGGGGAGTGACTGCTCATAGGTATGGTATTTTTTTTTGAGAGAAATGAAAATATTCTAAAATTGATTGTGGTGGCCAGGCACAGGGGCTCACGCCTGTAATCCCAGCACTTTGAGAGGCCGAGGCGGGCGGATCACCTGAGGTCGGGAGTTCGAGACTAGCCTGACCAACATGGAGAAACCCCGTCTCTACTAAAAATACAAAATTAGCCGGGCATGGTGGTGCATACCTGTAATCCCAGCTACTCGGGAGGCTGAGGCAGGAGAATCGCTTGAACCAGGGAGGTGGAGGTTGCAGTGAGCTGAGATCGTGCCACTGCACTCCAGTCTGGCGAGAGAGTGAGGCTCCATCTCATAAAAAAAAAAAAAAAAAAGAAAGAAAGAAAAAAGAAAAAAAAGAATGTTTCAGGCAAAGGGAAGAGAAGTGCAATGGTGCTATTTCAGGCAGAAGCTTGTCAGGTTTGCTGTGGTGTGGTAGTGTGGAAGGACTCAGTGGGAAGGAAAAGAAATGAGGGCACAGTAGTGGGCAGGGCCAAGATAAAGCCATACGCATACTGCTACATTTTTTCCTTGTCCAATATATTTCATTAAATGTAGACAAAACTTATTATAAAGACATAACTTTTGATGTTTGTAAGGTCATCTGTTATTTGCACTCCTTTTTTTTTTTGAGATAGGGTCTCACTCTGTCACCCAGGCTGGAGTGCAGTGTTGCCACCACAGCTCACAGCAGCCTCGACCTCCTGAGCTCAAGCACTCCTCCCACCTTAGCCTCCTGAGTATCTGGGACTACAGGCACATGCCACCGTGCCCCACTAATTTTTTATTTTTTGTAAAGACAGGGTTTCTCCATGTTACCCAGGCTGGTCTCAAACTCTTGAGCTCAAACAATCTACCCACCTTGGTCTCCCAAAGAGCTAAGATTACAGGCGTGAGCCACTGTGCCTGGCTTGTTATTTACATTTGTGATTTTAAAATTCCATGTTTTTTATCATAAGATTGTCAGGTGCTTTCTGGACAGGAAATGCCTTAATTTATGACTCAAAATACAAACAAGTGTAGGTGATCAAATGCATATCTATGTCTTCAATGGAAATATATATACATACAAGTCATTAACGAAGACAAATGAGAACATGAAATTCATGACCTATTTTCCTTTCCATCACCTAGCCCCCTAAAGGAGAGATCTTTTTCATTCAGAGCCCTGGGTTTTGTTTTGTTTCATGATTTGCTTTTTTTTTTTTAAAAAAATAAGAGTTTATTTATTTATTTATTTGAGACAAGGTTTCACTCCCATCAGCCAGGCTGGAGTGCAATGGCGTGATCTCAGTTCACTGCAACTTCTGCCTCCTGGACTCAAGTGACTCTCTTGCCTCAGCCTCCTGAGTAGCTGGGACTACAGGCACGTGCCGCTGCATCCAGCTAATTTTTTGTAGAGACAGGGTTTCACCGTGTTGGCCAGGCTGGTCTTGAACTCCTGAGTTCAAGCGATCCGTCTGCCTCTGAGTCTCAAAGTGCTAGGGTTACAGGAATGAGCCGCCGCGTGGCCAAAAGAGTTTATTTTTTAAAGAAAATTGACTTCTTTGAAAACGTAGAAATGAGGCCGGGCGCAGTGGCTCACACCTGTAATTCCAGCACTTTGTGAGGCCGAGGCAGGTAGATCGCTTGAACTGAAGAGTTTGAGACCAATCTGGCCAACATGGTGAAACCCCATCTCTACTAAAAATACAAACATTAGCCGGGTGTGGTGGCAGGTGCCTGTAATCCCAGCTACTCGGGAGGCTGAGGCAGGAGAATCGCTTGAACCCGGGAGGCGGAGGTTGCAGTGAGCCAAGATTGCGCCATTGCACTCCAGCCTGGGCAACAAGAGCAAAACTCCATCTCAAAAAGAAAAGAAAAAGTAGAAATGAGGAAGCGGCCAGCCTGTGTGGGGATCTAATCAAACAAATCTTCCCCTGATGAGGGTAGCACTTAAGTTGAAAAAAATTTGCCTATATAATAAATATTGCAATACTTTATTTATTTATTTATTTATTTTTCGAGATGAGGGTCTCGCTGTGTTGCCCAGGCTAGTCTTGAACTCTTGGGCTCAAGGGCTTCTCCTGCCTCAGCCTCCCCAGTGGCTGGGCTAATAGGCACACACCACCATGCCCAGCTCTACATACTGATTTTTTTTTTTTGAGATGGAGTCTTCGCTCTGTCGCCCAGGCTGGAGTGCAGTGGCGCGATCTCCGCTCACTGCAAGCTCCGCCTCCCGCGTTCACGCCATTCTCCTGCCTCAGCCTCCCGAGTAGCTGGGACTACAGGCGCCTGCCACTGCGCCCACTAATTTTTTGTATTTTTAGTAGAGACGGGGTTTCACCGTGTTAACCAGGATGGTCTCGCTCTGCTGACCTCGTGATCCGCCCGCCTCGACCTCCCAAGGTGCTGGGATTACAGGCGTGAGCCACCGCGCCCGGCCCATACTGATTTTGAAATTTAAAAAATCTACATTCTATATTCGCATCATAGCTTCTCCCTAATAAAATCTTTGTGAGTGTTTATGGGACTTATTCCCCGAAAAATCTGCAAGCAGCCTGGTAGCTTTATATACACAGGAAAGCCAAAGGACAAACTAGGAATTACGTCAGAGATGGGGAAAGACTAAGGATCTTACCCAAATCAGTTGAGAATCAGCCTTAAGTATAAATGGGCCAGGTGTTGGTGGCTCACACCTGTAATCCTAGCACTTTGGGAGGCCAAGGCGGGCAGATCACTTGAGGTCAGGAGTTCGAGACCACCCTGGCCAACATGGTGAAACCCCGTCTCTACTAAAAGTACCAAAATTAGCCAGGCGTGGTGGCACGTGCCTGTGGTCCCAGCTACTTGGGAGGCTGAGGCAGGAGAATCGCTTGAACCTGGGAGGCAGAGGTTGCAGTGAGCTGAGATCACGCCACTGCACTCCAGCCTGGGTGACAGAGTAAGACTCCGTCTCAAAAAAAAAAAAAAAAGGATAAATGAAGCACAATTAACATTTGTTAATTTTATAAAGCAAAAGTTCATAAAAATAAATATTCTAATTAACTCTCCTACATCTTATAAACACTATTACCAAACCCATTTAAGATTGAAGATAAATTATATCATGGCATGGGTAAAGATTTTCAATAAGGAGTTGCTAGGATAAAAGTCAAAATTCTCCAGCATAAATTCACTGACAGGGATTTCTGTTTAATCTTTTCAAAATTCTAATACCCAATTTGTTTCCTCTAGAGAATAACTCGTGTAGAATCATAACCTCTTTGGTGGACCTTGATTTTTCCATCTGTAAAAGTATAGAACTAGTTTTGACTTAACAGTCAACAAATGCCTACCCTCTCCACATCTAGCTGATTAGAGCGCCCTCATGTGCGCATTTGCTGTAATGTTTTAGAAATCTGAAAAAGACAATATTAATCTCAGCAGTAATACAATAAATAATGTCTTCATTTGCACATTTATAGCAAATGCTATAAATATATAGCTCCAAGTATTACTCAGTAAAAGCTAAAGGCAAATGCTGTAGTAGGTTAATCTTACTGTCGTTCACTATCAAACCTTTCATATGCCAATTTTATCCTAAAACAGTGAAGTTATTGTTTTGGTTTCAATTTTAATTTAATGACTTAAAGGATTTTTTCCCTTAAAACTTCTAAGTATTTCATTATAATATTATTTCATCATTAGGCTTAAAGGAAAATATGTGGTCAATTGAGTTGTTATTTATTATACATGATAGCTTGACATCATCTTTTTAGGGATGGAAAACAGCTCCAGGGACCAAGTCTAACTCAGTTTTTTGATATAAGAATTTACCTGTCGGCCGGGCGCAATGGCTCACACCTGTAATCCCAGCACTTTGGGAGGCCGAGGCGGGCGGATATAGGTCAGCAGATCAAGACCAGGAGTTCAAGACCAGCCTGGCCAAGATGGTGAAACCCCATCTGTACTAAAACTACAAAAATTAGCCAGGCGTGATGGCAGGCACCTGTAATCCCACCTACTTGGGAGGCTGAGGCAGGAGAATCACTTGAACCCGGTTCAAGTGAGCCGGCTGCAGTGAGCCAAGATCACGCCACTGCACTCCAGCCTGGGCAATAAGAGCAAGACTCCATCTCAAAAAAAAAAAAAAAAAAAGAATTTACTAGTTTGAATCATAACAATTTCTTCCTACTCAAAGAGACTACATTGGAGGAAGCCAAAACAGAAGCTTATTTATTTATTTATATACTTTATTTATTTATTTTTGAGACAGAGTCTTGCTCTGTCACCCAGGCTGGAGTACAGTGGTGTGATCTTGGCTCACTGCAACATCTGCCTCCCGGGTTCAAGCGATTCTCCTGCCTCAGCCTCCCTAGTAGCTGGGATTACAGGTGTGTGCCACCACGGCCAGCTAATTTTTGTATTTTTAGTAGAGACGGGTTTTCACCATGTTGGCCAGGCTGGTCTCAAACTCCTGACCTCAGGTGATCCACCTGCCTCAGCCTCCCAAAGTGCTGGGATTACAGGCATGAGCCACCAAGCCCAGCTTAGAGAAGCTTATTTTTTAAAAGAAAATACACAAAAAAATCAAAATCTCATAAGTCCAATTGTAATTTTTTTTTGGCTTTTAAAAATTGTTAATGCCCTCAAATATTCTCCTATCCAATCACTGTATTTTAAATGGCATTCCTCCAGCAAATATTTGTTGAGCCCCCACTATGTGCCAGGATTGAAATGTCAAATTGAAGGAGGCAATAGCTACTGAAGTAAAGCAAAAAAAAGTACTGGTTATTTTTCCTTCTATAAAATGACCTAGTAATAACCGCTTTACCCAGGAGAGTTGCTGTAAAGATCTAATAACATGACACATATAACCACACCCCTAAAGAATGAGGTGTTACTGCATGTTCTCACTCATAGGTGGGAATTGAACAATGAGAACACATGGACACAGGAAGGGGAACATCACACTCTGGGGACTGTTGCGGGGTGTGGGGAGGGGGGAGGGATAGCATTAGGAGATATACCTAATGCTAAATGACGAGTTAATGGGTGCAGCACACCAGCATGGCACATGTATACATATGTAACTAACCTGCACATTGTGCACATGTACCCTACAACTTAAAGTGTAATAATAATAAAATAATAAAATAAAAAAAAGAAATTTTGCTTAAATAAATATTATAATAAAAAAAACAAATGAGGTGTTATTAAAATGTTTGCAAGAGAAACCCTAGTAATTCCAAGCACATATTTTAGGAATGGTTTCTTGTGTAGAAAATCCTGGAATGTGAGGCTCTGCTGATTTTTTTAATGCATATTCTCTTCTTATGTATGCGGAATTTTTTTTTTTTTTGAGATAGAGCCTTGCTCTGTTGCCCAGGCTGGAATGCACTGGCACGATCTTGGCTCACTGCAACTGCCACCTCCTGGTTTCAAGTGATTCTCCTGCCTCAGCCTCCCGAGTAGATGGAATTACAGGCGTGTGCCACCGCACTTGGCTAATATTTGTATTTTTAGTAGAGATGGGGTTTCACCATATTGGCCAGGCTGTTCTAGAACTCCTGACCTTGTGATCCACCCACTTCAGCCTCCCAAAGTGCTGGGATTACAGGCATGAGCCACTGCACCTGGCCTATTTTTGTTTTTACTAATGTTTCAAGAGACCCGCTTTATGTACAGAATTCTGGCTACAACCTAACAAATGAGTTGCTCTGTTCATCAGTTATAGCCAATTTAAGTAATTATGAAAAGCTCAACAATACTTTTAACTGGCAATGAAAGCGTCAATAGCTCACATTTACCACCACAACTTAGGATTTCTTGGTAGCTAAATAAAATGCTTCTATTTTGTGGGGGGAAACTGTCACATAAGTTGAAATTCTGCAATGTTCAATTGATGAAAAGGTCTCTATGTTAAATCAAAGGTATAAATTCCACATCAGTAGTACATGAAAGAGAAAAAAAAAGCCAAAATTAAAGTGATTCATGCCCACTTCCCTGAGTGAACCTAAGATTTTACTAACAGAGATGCCGTAACTTTGATCATGCACACATCAAACTTGAATTTAAAAACATGCATGCACTCACTCATCTTTTATCTCTTATGTAATTAATACTGTAAGATTATATTTTGCCTACGTGCTCTATATTACTAATTTATAGGATTATTACTATTCAGTGTTGTTTACTTGAAACCATACTGTACTATACACAACTTTTGCATTCCATGCTAACTTTATTTTTTTAATTATTTTTTTTTTATACAGAGTCTCACTCACTCTATTGCCCAGGCTGGAGTGCAGTGGCACGATCTTGGCTCCTGCAACCTCTGCCTCTCGGGTTCAAGTCATTCTCCTACCTCAGCCTCCCAAGTAGTTGGTACCACAGGTACATGCCACCACACCCGGCTAATTTTTGTATTTTTGGTAGAGATGGGGTTTCACCATGTGGGCCAGGCTGGTCTCGAACTCCTGACCTCAAGGTTATAGGCCTGAGCCACCATGTCCCAGCTCCATGCTAACTTTAGAGCTTATTTCCCATCCCATAAGATACAACACTACTTGTGTTATATAGTGAGCAGTGTGGGGAAGAAAAGCATAGAATTAAGTTAGTGACAAATCCAGTGAACTCAAAAAGAGGGAAAAAACCACTCCCAAACAATTGTTTTCCCCATATTCTATTCTCCCTAGAGGTATTCCATACAGGAACGACAAAAGAAAAAAAAGCATACAAAATGAGAAAGATGTTCATGTGACATATAAGTACAGTAATAAAATCAACAAGCATATATGGTATTTAAGCAAAATAGTATGTATGCATTGATGGTCATCTGATATAAATCCATCATTTCTGTTGGCCAACATCTAAAACCTTTACTTTTCTGAGGAGACAAGCTATAAATCTATACGGATATTTCTACAACGAGAATTCACTATTACATATGAACCAATATAATTTGATGTCAAATATTCACAATTAGGTTGAAAAAATCCCCTACTTGGCCGGGCGCAGTGGCTCATGCCTGTAATCCCAGCACTTTGGGAGGCCAAGGCGGGTGGATCATGAGGTCAAGAAATCAAGACCATCCTGGCCAACATGGTGAAGCCCTGTCTCTACTAAAAATACAAAAATTAACTGGGCGTGGTGGCAGGCGCCTGTAGTCCCAGCTACTCAGGAGGCTGAGGCAGGAGAATCACTTGAACCCAGGAGGCAGAGGTTGCAGTGAGCTGAGATCGCGCCACTGCACCCCAGCCTGACGACAGAGTGAGACTCGGTCTCAAAAAAAAAAAAAAAAAAATCCCCTACTTATGTTAAGAGTACCAAAAATAGGGCCAGGAATGATGGCTCATGCCTATAATTTTGGCACTTTGGGAAGCCGAGGTGGGAAGATAGCTTGAGTCCAGGAGTAAAATAGTGAGACTCTGTCTCTACAAAAAAATAAAAAATTAGCTGGATGGGGCACACACCTGTAGTCCAGGTACTCACGAGGCTGAAATGGGTGGATCACTTGAGCCTGGGAGGTCAAGGCTGTAGTGAACTGTGATCACACCACTACACCCTACACCCAGCCTGGGCTACAAGGTGAGACCCTGTCTCAAAAAAAAAAAAAAAAAAAAAAGGTACCAAAAATCTATAGCTGTTTCAGAAATAAAATACATGTAGTTAGTGAGGTTTTTCTCTCCCACTGCTATGACTTAATTTTTGGTTGAGATGCTAAGCCAAACATCATTTTAAGTCTGTGGCCCAACCAAAAAAGGGAATCATACTCTCCAAAGAATTGTACATTCCCACTCTAATTGCTAAAATAAAATGTTGGATTATGAAAATCAATTTTGTAGGTATCAATAAGTTATAAGAGCATGGCTTATTTAAAAAAAAAAGTGGGCCAGGTTACCTACATGAGCTGCAAAGCAAGCAAACTGAATTTTCTTATCGAAGAGCCCATCCTCATACTTAAAATTTCCCATGACTACATGGAAATTCTTTCACTTACCAAAAACACCTGATTGGCACTTTCACTGAGAGTTGTGTCATCTGGGCTGTCGACAGGTGTCTGACGTGTAAACTTGGAATCAAACTGACTTACATCCTCTTCAGATTGCTCTATACAAACAAAATAATTTAGAAAATAATGAATAGTCCATATGACATCAATCAAATGCACTGTAAGCTCTGGGAGCTCTTTTCGCAGGGGTTAACTATAATAAAGTATTAGAATAGTCTTAGCAGGCACTATTCTAATAGTGGAGAAATGCAAGTGGAAGAAAAAAATGCAAGTGGAAAGTACTGAGTCAAATTACATCTTCAAATCTTAAACATGCACTAAAAAAGATTTTAGTATACTGTTATTCCTATTAAAAATGTGAATATATTGGCTGGGCATGGTGGCTCAGGCCTGTAATCCAGCACTTTGGGAGGCTGAGGCAGGCAGATCATGAGGTCAGGAGTTCAAGACCAGCCTGGCCAATAAAGCGAAACCCCGTCTCTACTAAAAATACAAAACATCAGCCGGGCGTGGTGGCGGGCGCCTGTAATCCTAGCTACTCGGGAGGCTGAGGCAGGAGAATTGCTTGAACCTGGGAGGCAGAGGTTGCCGCAAGCAGAGATCGTGCCACTGCACACCAGCCCAGGTGACGGTGCGAGAGTCTGTCTCAATGAAAAAAAAAAAAAAAAAAGAATATATCGAGCTCAAAACAAGCTGGAAAAAATGTGAATATCAATTTCCCCTCTCACAAAGCTTCAGTGTGCCTAGTCCACTGGCTAAATCCCTGTTTAGAGATAATTAATTCAGTTGGCTACTGCAGGTTTGTAATAAACCTGAAAAACTACTGAAGCAGAGTTAAAACATGAATAATACTGGTAAGATGCTCCAGTTAAAGTTTCTTCCCACAGCTCATTTCATTCCTTCAGAAATCTAAAGGAGCAAAAATAATTTTCTATTCCGCATGGGTTATAAGTTATATTTCCTTGTGAAAGTATAGTTATCACTTCAGTTCTAACCATGAGATTTATTTATTTAATTCCTTCTCTCTTTCCCAAAATATCTGGTTAAACTCTTGGGCCAAATGTAAGAAGTAAATAATAATTTAGAATATCTGACTTAATACTAAAAGATGATGACCACATTGACCTTATAATTCTCTTAGAGCCCAGACTGTGAACCTGCACTCCCTGGAGGAATGGCTGATTCCAAGTGTGGGGAAAATGTACAAGATAAGCATAGAACACCAGTTTCCTTATTTTGCTCTCTCGTACAACACCAGACAATGTGCTCATGTCAAAAGGACTCAGAACCCAACATGAAGATGCACCCAGCATTCACTGCACCCAGCATTCAACGAAGGGAAAAAACGAGCACCAATAAAAATAACTGCTAGGTGCGGTGGCTCACGCCTATCATCCCAACACTTTGGGAGGCAGAGGCAGGTGGATTGCTTTTGAGCTCAGGATTTGAAGACCAGCCTGGTGAACACGGCAAAACCCCGTCTCTACCAGAAACACAAAAATTAGCTGGGCATGATGGTGTACCTGTGGTCCCAGCTACTCAAGAGGGTGAGGTGGGAGGATTGCTGGAGGTCGGGACGTCAAGCCTGCAGTGGGCAGCGATCATACCACTGCACTACAGCTTGGGTGACAGAGTTAAGACCCTGCCTCAAAACAATAAATGAATAAATAAAAATAAAATAAAAATAACTGCGATGAAAGGAAACACAAATATGTTAAAACGTGTAAGTTCATAATATACTAAAAAAGAAAAAAACACACACAAAGTTCATTGGTCAATTTTGGAAGATGCTAGGGAACTAATTCATTATTTTGAAAACTAGGAAAGAATCAAACATACATCCTGCCTTTTCTGTATGAACTGTACCTTGGGTAACTAACTGATCAAAGAGTTTCTCTTTATGAAAGAATTCCAGCTAACAAAGAAAGAAGAAATAACAGTTAGAATAAAACCATTTCACAAACACCTGATGAAACTACAAAAGTAGGCCAGAGTTTCTCAACCTCAGGGCTACTGACATTTTAGGCCTATTAATACTTTGCGTTAGGGGGCTGTGCTGTGCTGTGCTGACTCTTACCCCTGAAGGTACCTATAGCATTCCCTCTCCCAAGCTGTGACAATCAGTGTGTCTCCAGACATTGCCAAATTACCCTGGTAGTGAAATGCTGACACAGGCAGTGACCACTAACATCACTAAAAAAACACACATACGCACACACAAGTACACATTATGCCTCCTGATCAAAGCATATGCGATACTGAGAGTGTAATCTGAATCAGATCAACCACCTAAATTTAACTACCAGTTTTTGGAAATTTGGGGAACAGATGAACATGGTCAATGACACTCTGGGGATAATATCAGCAAAATCAAAATTTGAGAATTCTACAGGACAAATGACCCCGTTTCTTCAGTAAATCACGAGGGGAATCTATAAACGAAAAGAGACCTAAGAGACATAGTAACCAAACTACATACAGACCTTGATTAAATCCTTACAAACAGGAGAAAAAAAAAAAAGAATGGAACAACAACAAAAAAAAAATTAGGTGGGGCAACACAGGGAGACCTCATCTCTAGAAAAATTCAAAAAATTGGTTGTGGTGATGCACCCCTGTGGTCCCAGCTATATGGGAGGATCCCTTGAGCCTGGGAAGATGAGGCTGCCATGAGCCACTATCATGCCGCTGCACTCCAGCCTGGGCAACAGAGAAAGACCCTATCTCAAAAAAAAAAAAAGAGAAAAAAAAAACTGGGGAAACTGTCAACTTCTTAGGTGTGATGATGGGATGACAGTTATGTTTAAAGAAGATGATCTAATTATTTTTAAGCTGGGCAGTAGGTGTATGACAGTTCTCCTCCTTACAATTGTTTGTTGTTTTTTAAAGTGGGTCACATTATGGGGCATGACCAAAAAATAATCACCATCATCATCCTCCTCCTTCTCCACCTACAGCCCAAGGAATGGAAAAAGAAACTGTTTTCTCAGATTCTGAGGTGGCAGAAAGACAATAACACACTAACTCATTTACTCATAAACATATTGTTATGGATTGAATCGTGTCCCTTACCCACCCCCCAGAAAATTTCGTATGTTGAAACTCTAACCTCTAGTTCCTCAGAATGTGACCTTATTTGGAAAGGGTTATTGCAGATGTAATTAGTGAAGATGAGGTCCTACTGGAGTAGAGAGGAACCCTAATCCAATATGCCTGGTATCCTTATAAAAAGGGGAAATTTGTCCACAGATATGCACACAGGTAGAACACCATGTGAACATGAAGGCAGAGATCCAGGTGATGCACCTACAAGCCAAAGTATGCCAAAGATGACCAGCAAACCACCAGAAGCCAGGGGAGAGGCATGGAACATAAGGTTTCTCACAGTTGTCGAAGAAACCAACTCTAACAACGTGATCTAGAACTTCTAGTCTCCAGATCTATGAGATAATAAATTTCTGTTGTCTAAGCCACCCAGTTTGTGGTACTTCGTTGCAGCAAGCCTAGCAAACTAATGCACACATATTCTATATTTTGAAGAAAAAATTCCCAGAGAATCATTTTTAAAATGGTTAAATTAAGCAAAATAAAACAAACCAAAAAAAGAAAAGTCCCAACTACCTGAAATATTTAATTGTCTTAGGAAACTGACTTAAAAATATCTAATACAGGCCGGGCGCGGTGGCTCACGCCTGTAATCCCAACACTTTGGGAGGCCGAGGTGGGTGGATCACAAGGTCAGGAGTTCAAGACCAGCCCGGCCAAGATGATGAAATCCTGTGTCTACTAAAAATACAAAAATTTGCTGGGCATGGTGGCAGGTGTCTGTAATCCCAGCTACTCAGGAGGCAGAGGCAGAGATTTGCTTGAACCCAGGAGGTGGAGGCTGCAGTGATCCGAGATCACACCACTGCACTCCAGCCTGGGGGACAGATCAAGACTCTGTCTCAAAAATAAAAAAATAAAAATAAAGAGGAAGAACGCTATGGAATTTGACTAGAATTAGGGCTAACAATATGAAGCACTTTGGGAAGCCAAGGCAGGTGGATCACCATGTCGGCCAGGAGTTTGAGACCAGCCTGGCCAACATGGTGAAACCTCATCTTTACTAAAAATACAAGAATTAGCCAGGTATGGTGGTGAGCACCTGTACTCCCAGTTACTCCAGAGGCTGAGGCACGAGAATCACTGGAACCCGGGAAGCAGAGGTTGCAGTGAGCTGAGGCAGCCTGGTGTCCAAGCTGTGGTGAGCCATGATCATACCACTGCACTCAAGTCTGGGCAACAGAGGAAGTCCCTGTCTCAAAAAAAAAAAAAAAAAAAAAAGGGCCAGGTGCAGTGGCTCACACCTGCAATCCCAGCATTTTAGGAGGCTGAGGCGGGCAGATCATGAGGTCAGGAGTTGAAGACCAGCCTGGCCAACATAGTGAAACCCCATCCCTACTAAAAATACAAAAATCAGCCGAGTGTGGTGGCATGTACCTGTAATCCCAGCTACTCAGGAGGTTGAGGCAGAAGAATTGCTCGAACCTGGGAGGCGGAGGTTGCAGTGAGCCAAGACCACATCATTGCACTCCAGCCTGGGCAACAGAGTGAACCTCCATCTCAAAAAAAAAAAAAAAAAATTTAAAAAGGGAGTATAGGGCCAGCCACGGTGGCTCACGCCTGTAATCCCAGCACTTTGGGAGGCTGAGGTGGCTGGATCACGGGGTCAAGAGATCAAGACCATCCTGGCCAACATGGTGAGACCCCATCTCTACTAAAAATACAAAAAATTAGCTGGACACAGTGGCAAATGACTGTAGTCCCAGCTACTCTGGAGGCTGAGACAGGAGGATCGCCTGAACCTGGGAGGCAGAAGTTGCAGTGAGCTGAGACCATACCACTGCACTCCGGCCTGGTGACAAAGCGAGACTTCGTCTCAAAAAAAAAAAAAAAAAAAAAGAGTTTAAAAAAATCTTTACAGAAGAATGACAATATAGAAAAAATACAGAAAAAATAGAAAAGTCTCCAATTTCTAATCACTATAGTAATATTTGATTTGGGCAAGAAGCAATCCAGATGAAACCATTAAGTAAAGATTATTATGGGACAGAATATTCACACTGTTTCTATCATGCCATAGATCACTTGTTAATTACAAAAGGAAAAAGAGGCTGAGAATGGAGTCTCACGTCTGTAATCCCAACACTTTGGGAGGCCAAGGAGGGCGGATCACCTTAGGTAAGGAGTTTGAGACCAGACTGGCCAACATGGCAAAACCCCATCTCTACTATAATTACAAAACTTAGGCAGGCATGGTAGCAGGCACCTGTAATCCCAGCTACTTGGGGGGCTGAGGCAGGAGAATCGCTTGAACCCAGGAGGTGGAGGTTGCAGTCAGCCAAGATTGCACCACTGCACCCCAGCCTGGGTGACAGAGTGAGACTCCTTCTCAAAAAAAAAAAAAAAAAATGCCCTTATTCTTAGGAGATGTATAGAAGAAATTAGGGGTGAAGTGCTATGAAATCTGCAGTTAACTCTCAAATTGTACAGAAAGAAAATTTATTAATGTTAAAAAATGTCAATATTCATAGATACACATATATGTGGGGGCAGGTAGAAAGGGAGGGACACAGAGACAAAGAAAATATGGCAAAATGGTAACACCTGGTGATCACTGAACTATTCTTGCAACTCTGAAAAGTTTAAAAAATTTCAAAGGTATATTGTTTTTGAACTGCTCGGGAGGTTTAAATTTTTGAATTTTTAAAATAAGCAATCAATTGTGAGGAAGTCTGAGAAGCCACAGACTTAAGAGATAAGATGAAAAATAAGGAAAGTAGAATCACAGTAATAAGAGGAACAGAGTTTCAAAATGCTGTGGTCAGTCAGTAGCTTCAATGCAAAAGAAAGTTAAATTAAGGACCAACTCAGTAAAGACAACTGGATTCAGCAACTGGGAAGTCAGTGATGACCTAGGGTACAGGAGCTGCATTGAAATAGTAGAGTTGGGCCACGCGTGGCCCACATCTATAATCCAGCAGTTTGGGAGGCCGAGGTAGGTGGACCTCTTGAGGCCAGGAATTCAAGACCAGCCTAGCCAACATGGTGAAACCCCATCTCTACTAAAAATACAAAAATTAACCCGAGACAGTGGCGCACCCCTGTAATCCCAGCTACTCAGGGGCCTGAGGCATGAGAACTGCTTGAACCTGGAAGGCAGAGGCTGCAGTGAGCTGAGATAGGGCCACTGCACTTCAGCCTGAGTGACAGGGGAAGACTCTGTCTAAAAAAACAAAAAATAGGCCTGGCGTGGTGACTCATGCCTGTAATCCCAGCACTTTGGGAGGCCGAGGCAGGCGGATCACGAGGTCAGGAGATCGAGACCATCCTGGCTAACACGGTGAAACCCTGTCTCTACTAAAAATACAAAAAATTAGCTGGGCGTGGTGGCAGGCGCCTGTGGTCCCAGCTCCTCCGGAGGCTGAGGCAGGAGAATGACATGAACCCGGGAGGTGGAGGTTGCAGTGAGCTGAGATTACGCCACTGCACTCCAGCCTGCGTGACAAAGCCAGACTCCCTCTCAAAAAAAAAAAAAAAAAAAAAAGACGTAAACTGGGTATGTGCCTTTAGAGGTGGTGCACATTTTTAGCATTATAAATGAATATAAATGAGTGGCAATTGTTACTTTGGTCCACAGATTTTTGGTATCTTAACTAGTTTTTGGTCTCTTCCACTAAAGGCATTGCCTGTTGAACCTTGTTAGGAATGTAAGTACTGAAGGCAAACTGCCTGGGTTTGAATTTTGTTCTGTCCCTTGCACCCTGCCTGGTTTCAAATCCTAGCTCTGCTTATTACGTTCTTTTAAGGGGATGACCTTTGAGCAAATGTCTTAGCTTCTGTTTTCCCCAGTAAATGGACACAATAGTTGCTACTTTGTGAAAGATTCATGTAATTGACCAGCGTTTACCAAGTAGCATCAGTGTTTAGTTTCAGTCATTGGTGATTCTGCAGTTGGACTGTGAGGGGGTATTGGGGTGGGGGGTGGTGTGTGTGTAGCACTTAATTGCAGGCAGGAAGGAAAAGATACTTTTGATAACCGACAGGCAGCTTTTCTCTGCTTTTGTGTCAAAAGGGAGGAAGGGAGTTTGGAGAGGGAAATGAATTCTCTGTAACACTAAGCTCTCTTCCTCAAAACCAGAGGTAGATAGAATGTGTAATAATTTACAGAATTTCTAGACTTCAACGATCTGATTTTTTAAATTTATTTTTATTTTTTCAGGTTGAGACTGAGCTAAAGTTAATCTGTGGCGACGTTCTGGATGTACTGGACAAACACCTCATTCCAGCAGCTACAACTGGCAAGTCCAAGGTTTTCTATCATGAAATGTAGGTTCTATACTAACAATTAACAAGTGTACTTCAATAAATTTAAACATTCTCAGGAATAGTTGACTTTGTTTCTTTTTTTCTTAGACATTTCATATTATTTTCCTTATTAAATATAACCAAAAATCCCACAGAAATTAACTGAGGAGCCTCTAAATATCAACAAAATTATCACTTGATAGACTAGAATTAAACAAGCAAGTGGTTCCAAGAAATGGCACGAGTGTATTAATCATAAAATAAAATTTCTACATGAAACATTCAGCCATTCTAGACCATTTCTGTCTGTGCAGACTCATCTTTTCCTGTTCTTTGCAAAGCCCAGCTAGAGCAAGCAAGTTCTTCCCAATAGGTTTTTCCCATCTCTGGTTGCTTGGCTGGCTGGGCTTCCTCTACAAACCCCCTTCCTTTCCCCTAAGCAGGGCCCGGTGTCCCCATCCCGCGGAGTTGACCTCATGAGGGCATCTGACCAGGAGTAGCTATTCCTGGTGCTATTGTCATTGTCCTGTTTCATGTGTGAACATGGCTGGCTCTACAGAGATTTGGCGGGTAGCAAGGAGGTTTCTTTTTGAATCTTCTTTTGGAAGTCAGACTTGATGAGGATCTTATGCCCACTTTTTCCTAGCTCTGTGGTGTCAGGCAAAGTCTGTTTCTGCAAATGGGGGTTAAGAATTCCTACCTCACAGCAGTCTTTTGATAATAAGATCTTAAGTGTAAATTATTCCACTAGAAATTGCACAGTCACTTTGGTCTTCATCCTGGAGGTCCACTGACAAGCCTCATGCAAACCTGTGGCCCTGTTCATAAAGTGTTTTGATCCATACTTTCAAATGGCCTCAGGAAGACCTTTTATAAAGTAAAAATGTTAGGCAGCCACATGATATCCATTGACCCAGTGAGGCTGTTTTACTGGATATAAGAGGTTTGACCCGGCATTTTGGGGGGCCGAGACAGGCAGATCACTTGAGGCCAGGAGCTGGAGACCTGCCTGGCCAACATGGAGAAACCCCATCTCTATTAAAAATACCAAAAAAATTAGGTGGGCATGGTGGCACATGCCTGTAATCCCAGCTACTTGGGAGACTGAGGCACAAGAATCGCTTGAACCCGGGAGTCAGAGGTTGCAGTGAGCCAAGCCGAGATGGCGCCACTGCACTCCAGCCTGGGCAACAGAGTGAGACTCTGTCTCAGGGGAAAAAAAAGGGTGAGGGGAGGGTTTGAAAAAATAGTAGCATGTAGTTATGTTTCTACAATATTTAATATATATAAGGATTTACCAACCTCTTGCATTAGCTGCTATCCCCTACAGCAGTTGCTGTAGGAAAAAAACATCAAGTTCTGAGCTCCTACTGTTTGCCAGGCATATTCTGAGATGATCACGTTGAAATCTCAGAGTTACCCTGCAGAGTAGTCAGGGTATCACTGCCTGACAGATGAAGAAGCTGAGGCTTCCAGCAGTTAAATGACTTACCCCAGGCCACATAGAAAATGAGTGGGAGAGCCCAGGTCTGTCTGTGAGGTATAATGAAATTAGCATAAACCCTCCACATTGGCGCCACTTGCATAAATTAACATATATTCTCTCACAGAAAGTATTTTATTGGGCATAACAGTTTGTATCATTTACCGTTTAACATTAGCCGTGGATCTTCCCACATCACATGACTATGCCTCATTCTTTTTGGATAATATGATTACTATTGAATGGATTTACTATCATTCACTTAATCAATACTCCTTTTGATGGCCATTTTAATTGTCTATTTTTTCCTTTTGCACAGATTGGTGTAATAAACCTGATTTTATAGTAATATTTTTGTCTGCCTGTGAAAATGTTTGCTGGACAATAAATTCCTAGGAGTCAAATAAGGTCAAAGATTATAAATACAGTATTTATTTTCATAAATATTACCAAGTCAGCCACAAATGTTTAAATTACTAATGGTTTCAGATTATTGTATTTAATGAGTAAACACTTTTATAGGGTTTACTTTTATGAACACTTTTATTTGCCAGATATCATTCTAAGTCCTTTACAAAATTAACTTTTTAAATTTGTAATATAACCCTGAGATGTATATTAGGATTATCCCCATTCTACAGATAAGAACACTGAGAAGTTAATTAACTTGCCACATATCTAGGAAGTGACAAGGCTAGTTGCACAGCCAGGCAGTCTGGCTCCTGAGTCCACATTTTAGACAACACTATACCTCCTGGTTCTTTTGAGGCATTACTGCTGGAACTATCCTAATACTCATAAATAAACATTTCTTTTGGGGAGGGCCAAATAAAATTTTAAACAGAAAAGTTTTCACCAACTGTCAAGCTCATAAAGTTGTACGTTATACACTTTTTTCATGATGCCCACAGATAATTTATTAATGATATCATCTATTTTAAAAGACGTATGTAAAACCCAACCCTTAAGAAAGGATTCCTATCACTGTTCCCACAGGCACCCTCCTCAGTCTTATACCTTTCCATTCCACCCCCCAAAACAAATCATTCAGCATATTTATTTCATACTGTAATAGAGGAAGTAGCTTCTTTTTAGATTTTCTTAGATTATTAACATTGATCATACAAACATGGAATAGAAATTCCTTATGTTTTATCTGGATTTAAGGTGCTACATAATGGAATCTATTTCTATCAAGCCATACACATTGGAGATAATGAAATCACTTGTGTTCTAGCCTAAACGTTATGGGAATTTCAGAACTGCAACATAACAGATAATCCTTGGACGAAAACTAAATCTCTCCTCTGGTCAGGCATCTATGTGCATCAGTGAAGAGAAGACGGGGACTGTGGAAGGGAAAACAGTGAGTCAGGAAGGACTGTGGCCACATCTGTTCCCCGGACCCTCAAGTAGTTAAATCCTGACCTCCTCTACCCCAGACTGTCCTGGGGAACGGCCAACACTGGCTTTTCACAACTGTGTGTTACCAGAAATGCAACAGAAACCCAGCTGAATCCCCAGGGTTTCCCTTCTGCCCTTCTCAATGGAAAGATCTGTCCCAGGACCATTTATTCCAACATTTTCAATTATGAGAAATCTGGGAAGATAAAGTTATTTTCACATTTCTCAAGAAATACATACTTATTCATACTCATTACAGGAAAGTCAGAATCTACAGAAAACCAAGAAGATTTTTAAAAATCCATGATACCACCATCAAAAGAGCCACACTTAGTATGTTGGTCCACAGGTTTCCTAGCACCCTTTTCTGTTGGTGTATGCACAAAATACACAATCACATTCTGTCTACATTTTACAATTTGCCATTTTTTGATTAACACTATATATTGACCAATTTTTAAGACCTGCAACATATGTCGACAACATTATTTCAGAATAATATATTTATAAATAAACGCACACACAAACTGTCTGTCTTATATACAACACGTCTTACTTTCTAATTCTCCACTCTGGAAGATTTAGGTTTTCCTAACTTTTTAATATACTCACCAGGAATCAGTAAACTTTTTTTATAAAAGGCCAAAGGGTAGATATTTTAAACTCTGCAGGCCATAGGTTTCTGTTGCAACACTCAACTCTGCTGTTGCAGGGAAAGAAGCCATACACAATTTGTAAATGAATGGGCATGACTGTGTTCTGATAAACTTTACAAAAACAGGTGGTGGACTAGATGCAGCCTGCTCCTCTGGACATGGCTTACCAGCCCCTGACATATACCACTACAGAGGATGCTGTTAGAATGAAATCTCTTTACACATCTCTGATCATCTCCTTAGGACTAATTGCTAGACATGACATCATGGTAGCTGTGGGTCAAAGGGCATGCACGCTCTGGGATGTACATTGCCAGATTGCTCATGATCAGCCTTTCTCATGTCAAAATGTTTTGTGACCACCAGAAGGCTGGTTCTGCTTTTATTATCCATTGACTGAGGAGTAGAAATGACATGGCATGTATGCAGGATATTTAACCATCGTATAGATAATCCTTGTGCACAAGTGCATTCTATATTCTTTCCCAATAGGTCTACATCTGCCAGAGTTGAAATAAAATAAAACAAAACAAACCTATTTAGCACCTTCTGTGTAGCAGGTCCATTCATGTATGTTGTTGTATTTCATTCTCAGAATTCTTATGACCTAGGCATTTTAAACATTTTTTTAAAAATATTGAGTTGACAAGGATTGTGTATATTTAATGCATACAATGTGATGATTTCATATATGTATATATTGTGTACTAATTATCACAATCAAATTTATTACATCCATTACCACCTATGCTGTACATTAAATCTCCAGAATTTGTTCATCTTATAACTGAAAGTTTACACCCTTTGATTAATAGCTTCCCATTTTCCCCACCTCCAGCCCTTGGCAACCACCATTCTACTATCTGTTTTTATGAGTTTGACTCTCTTAGATCCCACATATAAGTGAGATCATACAAAACTTGTCTTTCGGTGTCTGGCTTATTTCACTTAGCGTAATGTCCTCCAGGTTTATCCAGGACAGGAGTTTCTTCTTTTGAATGGCTAATAGTCCATTGTTTATATGTGTTTTATTTATCCATTCATCTGTTGCTGGACACTTAGGCTGTTTCCATATCTTGGGTATTGTGAATAGTGTTGTAATAAACATGGGGCGCAGATCTCTCTTCAAGGTTCTAACCTGATTGCTGAATCGTATGGTAGTTCTGCTTCTAATTTTTTGAGGAACCTCCATACTGTTTTCTGTAAAGGTTATACCACTTTACATTCCAACCAACAGTGTACAAGGGTTCTCTTTCCTCTATGCTTTCGCCAACACTTGTTATCTCTTGTCGTTTTTTTATAAGAGCCATCCTATCCTATGAGGCAATATCTCACTGTGGTTTTGATTTGCATTTCTCTGATGATTAGTGGTGTTGAGCACCTTTTCATATGCTGGCTGGCCATTTGTATATCTTCCTTGGGGAAAAAAGTCCATTGGGGTCCTTTGCCTATTTTTAATTGCGTTATTCATGTATTTATTAATTTTTGCTATTGAATTGTGTGAATTCCTTATATTTTTTCAAATAACCCCTTATCAAATATATGGGTCGCAAATATTTTCTTCCATCCCGTAGGTTGCCTTTTCATTTTGTCATGGTTTCCTTTGCTGTGTAAAACCTTTTAAGATTGATGTAGTCCCATTTATTTATTTTCACTTTTGTTGCCTGTGCTTTGGTGTTACATCAAAAAAAATATTGCCAATTATGACCAATGTCGAGGAGATTTTTCCCTATGTTTACTTCCAGGATTTACATGGTTTCAGATATTACATTTAAATCTTTAATCCACTTTGAGCTAATTTTCGGTATATGATGTAAAACAAGTGTGCAATTTCATTCTTTTTCATGCACTTTCCCCAACACCATTCATTGAAGAGAGTTTCCTTTCTACATTGTGCCTTTTTTTTTTTTTACAGTACAGTGAAAGCAAGTCTATTAAGAAAGTAAAGGAATAAAAGAATCTACATTGTATATCCTTCATGGCCTTGTCAAAGATCTGTTGACCATATATGCACGGGGTTATTTCTGGGTGAGCTTGGCATTTTTTTTTTTTTTTTTTTTTTTTGAGACAGAGTCTCGCTCTGTCGCCCAGGCCGGACTGCGGACTGCAGTGGCGCAATCTCGGCTCACTGCAAGCTCCGCTTCCCGGGTTCACGCCATTCTCCTGCCTCAGCCTCCCGAGTAGCTGGGACCACAGGCGCCCGCCACCGCGCCCGGCTAATTTTTTGTATTTTTAGTAGAGACGGGGTTTCACCTTGTTAGCCAGGATGGTCTCGATCTCCTGACCTCATGATCCACCCGCCTCGGCCTCCCAAAGTGCTGGGATTACAGGCGTGAGCCACCGCGCCCGGCCGAGCTTGGCATTTTTATCTACCTCATTCTACCGATGAGGAGGCCGAGTCTCAGAGAGTTCACAGACCTGCCTAAGGTCACTCAGCTAGAGGTGATACAACCAGGGTTTGAACTGAGATCTGCCAAGCTTCTGAGTTTATTCTTTTTCCCCCACACCAAGGATCCTCAATTCTGCCTTACTGACATCAGGATCCGGTCAATTCTTTGTGATGGGGGCTGTCCTGCACCTGGCAGGATGTTTAGCAGCTTCTCTGGCCTCCACCCACTGGATGCCAGGGGAATGCAGAAGAGGCTTGTTCATTCTCCCATTTAATCCTCAGGACAATATCTGACATAAATGTTACGTCTTTTATTTTATAAATGAAGAAAATGAGACTCAGAAAGGTTTAAGTGAGTTACTTAAGAACACACAGACAGCAAAGGTAGAACTGGAAACCGAACACAGGTGTCCACATGGGACAACAAAAAAGTTCACGTTCCATCTTCTTTTGAGTCTCTCATTTCAATAATTACCATTGTGTGGATATGAGCTGAAGTACAGGAAACCTGGGGCTGAACTCTCCTCCCATCAGGCCTAGGAGCCCCAGACCAGAACCCCAGCCCAAGGTCTCCCAGTCAGGCCCGCTGGCGTGAGCTGGCATCTACACTAGCATGGTCTCCCAAAGCTGCAGGGATGCCAGTCTCGCCGCTGATGAAGAAAATGAAGGGCATTTGCTTCTCATGCAGGCTGTCGGGATTTAACACAGATTCCTTTTCTTGCTCTCTTCTCCCATAGCACAAAACTGGGTGGTCCATCCCCCTCCCAGTGTCCCAAGGCTTTGTTGCGTGTTCTCTTTAATTTCTCCCACTCTTGTGGTGTACCCTACCCTCATCTCCCTGGCAACCTTTCTGCTGTATCCTCTCGACACCTGGATCACAAGAACACTTGTGAGACCCCTTAACAAGTTACATCCCAAATTATCATTCCCCTTTGTCCTCAGCCAGTGCTCAGGTCCAACTTGCTCTCCTGGGGTGACTTTCTTTCCTGCCCAATATGGTTTCATCATCTGTAAATTGGGGATAATTAAAGTCTTGATCCTGATATTTGACTCTCAAAGCAGAAGGAGCAAGCTCAGCCAAGTCACTTCAACAAGAGGAGAAGTTCCTTGTGAACCAAAAGGGCACTGGTCACAAGGGCCGCTCCTTCTTCTGTCAGGCCTCTCCAGCACGCCCTTGGCTCAGCCAAAGAAGAGACTCAGGCTGTGCTTCTGCACTGTTGGGATAACATAGGCCTCTTCCATGTGGTTCCACACCAGGAACATGGGGACAATCAGACCTCTCCCAGTGTGGGCATAAGGATACAAGATCATGTCAATATTGACATTCATAATGGCTGGGCGCAGTGGCACACGCCTGTAATGCCAGCACTTTGGGAGGCTGAGGTGGGCAGATTGCTTGAACCCCAGAGTTCGAAACCAGCCTGGGCGACTTGGCAAAACCAGTCTCTACTGAAAATACAAAAAATTGGCTGGGCTTGGTGGCGCACACCTGTAGTCTCAGCTACTTGGGAGGCTGAGGTGGGAGGATTGCTCAAACCCAGGGAGGTTGAGGCTTCAGTGAGCTATGATGGCACTGCTGTACTCCAACCTGGGCAACAGAGTGAGGCCCTGTCTCAAAACAAAAACAAAGACAAAACAACATTCATAATAGTAGCAATAGCTACTATGTGCCAAGCCCAGGCACCTCTTTGAGTCTTTGCTGGCACTCTATCAGGTAAGCGTGCTTAGAAGTTACACGAAGCACACGGCTCAGTGTTTGGCCCATGGTAAGGGCCTAAAAAGGGATAGCCCCAGTGGTGGGGATGCTGCTGCTGCTGACCATTAACCCCAGTCTGCTCCACCTTCTTCCAGGCAGTCTGTGAGATGTTTCATGTCCGAGGCAAACAGCACATTCAGATCCCCAAGCTCTACACCTCCAGTGTGACCAGGCACCTGCACCACTTCAGGCTCATGCAGGACTCACAGCCTTTGGACCTCAGCTAAAGGACTTGCTTCTCTTCAGCACACGGGGCTTGTTTGTGTTGGGGTCTGAGCCCTGAGCCCATGGTCAAGGAGACCCCCAGGTCTTTCTGAACAGAGACAGCTGGCCTGGGGGCCTCCCTCTCACTGCGTGCAAGAGGCTGTTAGGGTGCAAGACTCAAGGCGCTGAGGGAGGCTGTTTCAGGAGGGAGCCCCAGGAGGGTGGTGGAGACAGAAGGGGGCAGCATCTGCCGAGGCCCTACTGTGTGCCTGGCACCGTGTGGGGTTTCTGGCCCATATGGGCTAAGTGACCCTGCACACTCCTCTTAGGAGAGAGGCTCAGATGGAGAAATTGCAGTTCAGGAAGGTGAAGCAAGCTGCTAGCCTGTGGCCATGTTGGGATCTGGGCCTCAGCCTTCCAGCCACGAAGGCAGCCAAGTGTCATGAAGAAGGCATCACAGAGGCAATTCCAGGCTGTAGTGGTGAACTTTCCACTCTGCATCCCCGGGTGCTGTGCCCTGTGCCCTGTCTAAGGTAGCCCTGTGGGTTTCTATATGTTTAAATTGTCCCCAGCATCAATGATGCTCTCCTGTGGATCCCAAGCCATGGAGATGTCCTGGGACTTTTCATTTTTAGGTACCTAAATTGAATTTCCCAACACACAGAAGCAAGACAGCCGCCCTAACAGACTCTTGCATGCAGTGAGAGGGAGGCCGCCAGGCCAGCTGTCTCTGTTCAGAAAGACCTGGGGGTCTCCTTGACCATGCGCTCAGGGCTCAGACCCCAACACAAACAAGCCCCGTGTGCTGAAGAGAAGCAGGTCCCTTAGCTGAGGTCCAAAGGCTGTGGGTCCTGCATGAGCCTGAAGTGGTGCACGTCCCTGGTCACATTGGAGGTGGAGAGCTTGGGGATCTGAATGTGCTGTTTGCCTTGGATCTTTATTTGTGATTCAGAAACAGTGGAATAAAAGGAAAGGAAAGAAAACCTGAATGGCCACCTCAGCAGGATGCTCCAAGGGTAGTGTCCAGGTGGCACTGACTCAGATATGTGGGGGCTTCCCCCACCCATGCTCAAGAGCCACTTTGCCATTTCACCATCTCTCTGTCCTCCACACCCCTCAGCAGCAAGCACAACAAGAATGTGTTCACCATGAAGCTCAAATCTCAGCAGAATCTAGAGTCTGAAATCCAAGTAAGGGAAAGTGTAGAGCTTCTTGGATGATGCCCTGTCAATTTTATTTTAACGAATGAAAGACCAGAAGAAGTCAGTCTTGAAAGGAGAGGACAGGAGCATCTGCTGGCATTAGCAGCCGTGCCATCGTAGGACCGACTCACCTGGACCCGCGGCCACCTGTGCTTTTACATCTAGTCTTGGTTAACCATGGGCCACTTTTCCAGCTTGGAAACTAAGCATATGCTCCACTTCCTCTCCTTCCTCATTGAACTCTTTCACTAAAAGAACAGTGCAAGAGAGACTTAAACTGTTTGCCTCATTCTTAAGACCTTTCAGGAAAAGTGTTGGCAGGGAAGGAAATCTCCCAGCTCTGGGAAACAGTCTTGTGGATTATCTGCTGGTTTCATTGATCTGTGCTGTCCTCCCTGCATTCATTAGGAAAACTGGCCTTGGTTCAAATAAGAACAGGATTTGTCCTGGTGACAGAGAAAGGTTTCTTCTGATGTCCATATATCTCCGAGGGGGATGCTTTCTCCAGGCAGAGGCTGTGGCCAAGCGATCGGGGGGCTCAGAGGGCTGCTGGGAAGGGGTGGGCCCCTCTCTCCCCAGAGGGAAACTCCTGGGGACCTCTCGAGCACCCCTGCCCATCCTTTAAACATAAATTCATAAATACAAACAAGTAGGCCATTCACAGAAATATATAAAATATGTCATAGGACGGGTGGCACTCTCATATGGCAATAATTATGACAGGGGCCGGCAAATGACCTGAGTGACCCGGAGTGGCCTGAGCACTGACTCCCAAATGCCCTCCATAGGATGTTCTGCATCCCCGAGACCCTTTCCTGGGTCCTCCTGGGCCCTACCACCCCCTAGACCATCCAGACCTCAGGTCATCCCCCTGTCTGTTGACAGAGTAGTCTCCGTTCCTGAATGTGCTGGTCACCAGCAACAGCAGCTGCTCCTCCTCCGGGAAGCTCAGCCTATACTTCTACATGCAGAGAACCTGGACGGCACCCAGGTGGACCTAAGCCTTCAGCTCCCAGTAGACGCTCTGGGTTTCCTACCCTGCCCAGACACTCTGGGCTTCCCCCCACACCTCCCCTCGGCCGGGGCTCCTGTGTGCATCTGTCTCTCCCAGTGCCCAGCACAGGCGTGGAACGGAAGAGGTGAATGGACCGATTTGAACACATCATCCTGGATTCTCCGTTCCCTCTCAAGCCCTGCAGCTAACCCATCGGCAAGCCCTGGAGGCTCTGCCTCCAAAATCCTGCCTATCCCATGTGCAAACGCCTCTCACCACGTCCACTGCTATTTGCAGTTGTGTGTGTGTGGAAATACTTCCACAAATTTGGAATGAACAGGTCACAGCTGTGCCTGGAGGGAATGGCCAGGGAAATGTGCCCTCGCCTTGCTGCTCTATCCAGGCCCACCCAGCTGAGGATGGGGGACCTGCCACCACTCTCCTGGCAGTTCCGGACTCCTGGGAACCGGCAGGTGAGGACCCAAGAGTGTTTTCAGTGACCCGGCTGACCTGGTCATCCGTCAGTCCCACCTTGGCCTAGGCCTCTATACAGCACAGATCACAGCTCATTCCATCCTGGCATTACACTGGCCTGTGCCCTGTCCTCAGGGTCACATCCGTCTCCCAGAAGCCGTGCAACCCTGGAAAACCCAGGTCTAACAGTCAGGTTCCTCCTCCGTGCATTAACAATGGCGTTGACGCCTGCTTTGCGGCACGCTGGGAGGGGAGAGGGAGGTGTATGCTGGAGAGCTCCCCAGGGGCAAGGCCTGGCTCTGCGTCACCCACTGTCAGATCCTGAGAGCCTGGGGCTGGCCCAGCACGTGGCCACCGTTCCCTAAGAGTTGGATTTCATCCCTCAGTGCTGAAGGCAGGGGATAGAGCTTAGACAGACCCCCTGCGTCCTGTCTTCTTTATCTACAGCTTTCTCATCCTTGCCCCTTTCACGTGCACCCGGCAGAGCAGGTGTTCACTGAGCTTGAGCAAAATTCAAGCTAGAGCAGCTGATGGATCTTGAGGCCTAGATTCACTGTCAAAGTGTTTCTCAAACGGTGCTCTCCAGAACACCAAGGAAAACTCATTGACTGTGTAAGTCTGAAAATCCCTGCCCACCGGTCTACCTTTGTGTATGAGCGATCAGCTCTACCATTCAGCCCAGGTGTGTGTTTGCTGGACCATGTGGAGGAAGCTGAAGAGACGTGAGCTGAAGGCAGAGGGTGAGTCCAAGGTGGGATCTTGGGACAGGTACGAGAAGTTAGGCAAAAATGGGATAATTCTAGCCTTCATAACCTTAGATAATAGTTCACATTATTATTTAGTTAATAGAACTGTACCCACATTAAATTTCTTAAATTTTTTTAAGAGATAAAGTCTCACTCTGTCACCCAGGCTGGAGTGCAGTGGTGCAATCATGGCTCACTGCTTCCTGGAACTCGTGGGCTCCAGCAATCCTCCTGCCTCAGCCTCCTGACTAGGTGGGACTATAGGCACACGCCACCATGCCTGGCTAATTTCTTTGACTTTTCTCTAGAGACCGGGTCCACCTAGGTTTCCCAGGCTGGTCTCAGACTTCTAGACTCAAGTGAACCTGAACCTCCCGCCTCGACCTCTCAAATTGCTGGGATTACAGGTGTGAGCCACCACACCCGGCCTAAATTTCTTATGTGCCATGGGACTGCAAAACATCATTATTAGGGGCAGCTGGATGGAAGGTATAGGAGGATACTATAGTGCCTTTTCAATATTTCTGTCTAAAATCTAAAATCATTTCAACAGGAAACATTTATTTCAAAACATGAAGGTGGTTATCCTTCCATGAGTTTGAAGTACAAAGGCAGGCTCACGGTGTCGTCAGAATTCAGAACGATGGTCGTGGGGCTGGGGGTGCTGGGAGGGGCTGGGCATGGTTGGCTTTGTGATCTGGGGTCTGGTGTGTTCCATCTCTGAATCTCTCTCGAGCTGCACTCTTTCTTAATACATTTTCATAAGTTTAACCAAAAATAAAACGAGGATGCGAAGCTTGCTTGGGTTGTTAAGCCTAGGGAAATTATCCAGCCATGAGCCCTGGCCCAGATGCTTCTAGAAGCCTGGAGGGAACTGAGAACTTTCCAAGTGGAGGCCGCAGAGGCAAGGCCCTGAGGTGGGAGCACACGGCTGTTCGTCCCTAGCTCTGAAGGGGGTGCCCTGGTCGGAATCAGTGCTGGGTGCAGCGAAAGCCGATCTCACCCGCTCCGCAGGGTGTTCAGCCTGCCAGCAGGGGGCCAGCTGGTCCTCCTGGGATATGGCACGGACCCAGCAGCTCTGTCTGAAATCATAATGGCGGAACCAAGGGCCCTCTACGTCCAGGTCCGTTGGGAGGCGGGGCATGGAGTTCCACTGCAGGAATCTCCAGGAACCCTGAGGTCCTCCCTGAGCCAGGGCCGGGCTGGGCACACCCTGAGTGCCCACAGGGTAGGTGTCTTCCCGGACAGCCCCACCAGGACAGGGTGTGGAAGAACGAGGTGCCCGTGGCGGGGAAGCTGACCAAATGGGCCGCGGGAACCGGGCTGGTGGGCCTGGAGGGGCCTGCCTGTCCCCCTTGCAGAGGGTCTTCCCGCCACGTGAAGCCGGCACAGGCCTGGATGCCGACGACCCTTGCTCGGGTTTGGCTGAAAGGAAAACAGACGCGGTCAGCATCTCCAGTGAGCCCACGCAGGCCTTTCCGGGCTGGGCCCCACCTGCCTGCGTCTCTGGAGTCCTCGGGGTCTCTGTGTGGCCCCCGTGGCCTGACACCGAGGACACGCCTGTAGTCTGCTGATCCCAGAGGGAGGGGTGCGTGCTGCCTGGCGTGGGGAAGCTGTCGTGGCATGGCGGGTGGCTCCTGGGACTGCCCCCAGGGTTCAGACTGGCTGGGGGCTTCCTGCCACACACCTTCGTCCCAGGGCTGTTGGGCCTGGGATACGGCCCCCAGTCAGAACTCAGGTGGGAGGGGCCTTGGATGTCACCCAGCCCCTTGTCACCTCACGTGGGGACCCGTCTCCGCAGTGGGTGATTGGGCCCGGACGTGGGTCACCCTCTGCCCTCCTGGGCTGCCCAGTCCATGCCAGGACTGACCGTTCCCACTTCTGGCTGAACTCTTGGCTCTGGCTCTGGGCCCGGGGTCCCGCCTGTGCCCTCTCCCTGAATGCTCTGTGGGTCAGGGACACGGATTCCCTTGTCTCCCTGGCTCCAGGCTTCTTGTCCTGGCAACCTTGGAGGAGCGTGCAGGAGTGAGGGGCCTCTGCTGCTCTCTGAGGCTGTGGGTGCTTGCAGGGAGGGGCGGGGTCTCCCACAAATGGGTCTGGGCTCGTCTAGTAACTTGGAGGGCCCTGCGAGGGGGAGAGGGAGACACCGTGGAAAGTGGGAGGGGGCTTGTTGGAGGGTCTTGCCCACATCCCCCTCCTGCGTGCACAGCATGTCCAGTATACACGCACTGAGCGCCTGCCCTGAGGACCGGTGGGCCTCCTGTACTTTCTTAGAGTCCAGGAGGAAGAGGAGGAAGAAAAGGTGAAGAGGAAGGCCCAGGTAGTAGGGTTGCGGGTCCCGGGCACTCCCCTACTACTGACTACCCCAGAGGGTGACATGGGAGGGGACATGGCACTGGAGCCCACCTGGGGGTTGCAGGTCCCCCTGCTTTCTTGTTAGTTTCTTCATAGAGGCCCTAAGATGCTTGAGCACAGTGTCCTCATCCCTGGCCCAGGTATCAACGAACCGGTTGCAAAAACGTGCCCACGGGCCACACCTGGACGTCTTCGTGAGGCGCTCTAGGGACAGGGTGGATATCAGGCCAGGGGAGTTACCTGGGAATGGTCACAGCTCATACCCCGTGGCCACTTCAGTCTCCTACTGGGCGGTGCCGGATCCTTTTGTGGCCACCCCAGGTGTCCAGATACACACAGGAGACTGTGGCTGGGGGGCGATCCGGACAGGGAAGTGCTCACCACACTCTCGACTTTCATCTGGGTCATGTGGGGGATGGGCTCGGTGTCACAGTGTCCTGCCCAGCCCACCTGGCCAGACCTCCCTCTGGGCCAGAACAGAGGATCATGAGGACAGTGTGAGGAAGCTGCCCTCGGGCCAGTCGGGGTCTGACCCCAGGGCTCCCCAGGCCCCGCTGGGCACACGTAGACTTACTCTGCTGAACCTTAAAGGCGATTCTTGTTATCGGCATCAACGCCTGTTCGCCTTCTACCAGATACACGTCCCACAGGCGCAGGGTGAGCCCGAGAGAGATCTGTGGGGACAGCAGGTGTGAAAGAACCTGGTCCTTCCAGGCTGGGGCTGGTGGCTCGAGCTGCGCACACTGGGGCTTCAGTCTCCAGAGTCAGTGACCTTCCCCATGAGGGTCGCCTGAGCCCTCCAGGACGCTGGGTCAGACAAGGTCTTGAAGCTCCTCATGGGGGGCACTCATTTGAGTGGGGATGTGGCTCCTGGAGAGAGGGGCTTGCCCAGGGCTTGAGGCTTCCCTGAGCCCTCTCAAGTCGGGTCCTGGCCCAGTCTGCCCATGAGGCTGGGCCTGAGCCCCAGCCATGGCCCTGGGATGACCCCCCTTGGGCAGAGGGTTTTGCTTGTGTGTCCTTTGGGGACCCGCCTGAGCCTCCTGTGGGCTGGGAGTGAGCCAGACCCCCGGGCTGGGGAAGCAGGGCACTGCAGGGCAAGGAAGGTCCCTGAGCCAGGGTCTCCCTATGCCTCCTTACCCCGTCAATCAATATCCGGATGAGGCAGCCTAACGGGGAACACTGCCCACATAGATCTTTCTTGTCCTGATGGAAGCAACAGAGGTGCTCAGGCCACTGGGCTGCCCTAAAAACCTCCCTCTTCCAGGGCCTCTGAAGACCCTTCCCCTAGTGCAGAACACTGGGCGGTGTCCAGAGCTCCCCACAACACTGTCACCTTCCCACACTCCCGGTGGACACACTGCCCTTTGCCCTGCTCTGCGGGAGCTGGGCCCCCATCCCTGTGCCTCTGTCTCCTCCAGGGCAGGAAAGGAAACCAACTCCCAGCCCATGGAGAACCCGACGTCCCAGGTCAGGCCCTGGCTGGGACTCAGCCAGTCACCAGCCCCACGAGGGGCTCCAGCCCCCCTGCTCCTACAGCCCCACGGGAGGCAGGGCCTCTGGGAAGAGCTGAGGGGACCATAAACTCACCTGATGCCCCATGGTCTTGGGTTGTGACGTGGCTACCACATGCTCCTGTTGGTCTTGGAGC
This sequence comes from Homo sapiens, assembly GCF_000001405.40. Classification (NCBI taxonomy): domain Eukaryota; kingdom Metazoa; phylum Chordata; class Mammalia; order Primates; family Hominidae; genus Homo; species Homo sapiens. Next base: position 37,981,617 of record NC_000017.11, read on the forward strand.
CCCTGGACGGTCCCGCCATTTGGGCTGTGAAATCCTGAGAAGCCCCCAGCCCATCATGAAATCAGAGCCTTCCCCCAAGATGTGGAGCCATCAGCTGCAAGAGCTGGGCAGCTGGAGAGGCCCCCAAACCCCAAGGCCTCCCACCCTCCCATCTGGTGACCCCAACATGCGGCCTTTACCCTGGGGAGGTGGGGCGGGAACATTCCCTGGAGCCTGGCTGGAGGTTCCCCTGGAGGCCTCCTGGGCCAGGGTGCAAAAAGGGCAAGCCTGACTTTCAGGCCACGACAGGGTGGCCGGAACTGGGTGGGCGCTGGGCTTCCCGGTCATCTCCTGGTAGTGGGGTCGGGCCAGGGAACAGGGGATGGGGAGATGCTGCCACCTGGGCTTGGTCGGCCCGTTCGTGGGCACCGATGGCAGCAGGAGCCCGGGCAGCTGGAGGGCAGGAGGACTCTCAGGGAGGGGAGAGTCAGCTGCACAGAATCAGAGCCGGAGGGCGTGGCTCCAGGACACAGAGGGTGGCCACGGGGAGGATGAGATGCCCTCTGCTGATGGGGATGAGAGGCGTCTGATTTGGGCTTTGGGGGTCAGCCGTGGACTCCTGTGGGACCCTCAGCAGAGACATCCTAAAGTCTCCCAACAAGCTGGCGACACAAGGAGGGTGCCTTGGCTGAAAGCTGTGATCACCTGGCCAGGGTGGCCATCCCCAGGTCTGGCTGCAGGAGGTCCCCGGGGCAGCTGTTCACTTACCCTGCAGGGAGTGCCTCTCACTGGCCAGCAGCTGCACCAGTGCCCAGAATGCATCCTCCTCAGGAAGATAGAGGAGGAACAAGGCGGCGATGTGGCTCAGGTCCCTGCAGTAGCCCACCTCCTGCAAGAGCCAGAGTCACCATGGAAGGACATCACCTGGGAGGGCTGAGGTCACCTGGGAGGACTCATGTCATTGGAGAGGGCAGAGGTGACTGGAGAGGCTTCCTCTGAAGGAGAGGCTTCCTCTGAAAAAGAGGCTTCCTCAGGATGCACATTCATTTCATGACAAGAGCCAAGTCCATCAGGCACTTCAGCACCTTGTCCAAAATGTCTGCTGATAGCACCATCCTGTGTGCGATGCTGCCAAGCTCCTGGGCTTTGGGGCAGCCCCAGGAGGAGGGCGTCATTTCTTGTTCTGAGAAGTGGTGGTCAGGCCCAGGTGACACCAGGAGTCCAGGCCCTGACTCCTTTGTGTCTCAGCTTGACCCCTTGAGACCACCCCCTTCCTTGGAGGTTTATGCCAGCGGTGAGCTGACATCCTACCTCCTATATCCTGGTGGGTCACAAATACTAACTGTAAAAGAAGCAACGACACCCCCACCAGACACCCACTCCTGTCAATATGGAAATATGGCCCGGGAACCTCACTGCCGGGAATACTCACCGGGTTATACTCCTCATATGCCAGGAGGATGTGGAGTAGTTCCCGCTGCCTAGGAAACAGAGAAAGGGGGCTTTGGTTTGTTTTGTGCAGATGTTGTTAATTTCACTTTGTCTACAAAGCCTAACAGCAAATCCCATTTCAGGTTCAGATGTTTCACCAGATAAGCAGTGAGCTCTTCAGGGCCTGAGACTCTTGAAGAAATGTTTCAGTAAAATCCACATCTGTGACATGCAAATAGCCCAGTTGTACAGTGACTTGCCTGATCCTTTTCACTCTGAATGATTTTTTTTTTCAGTTTGCACACACGCCAGTTCAGTCTGTGGGTGTACAGTTCCTCCACGGTTCCAAACCGATGTGCAGAGTCTCCCGGCCACCGCTCCAGCCCCTCCTGGGGCGACTCCTTCATCCTCCAAGTCTCCAGGGTGGCCCCTATGCACCCAGCCTCTCCCCGATCCGTCAGCCCCTGGCCACCCAGACTGCTTCTCAGTCCCTGTGGTTTGGCCTTTTCCAGAATGGCCTAGGAATGGGAATCCTACTGTGGTAGCTTATTGGGTCTGGCTTCTGTCCCTCAGCAAAATGCATCTAGGATCCACCCACGTTCGTGCGGGCATCACCGGCTCGTTCCCTTTTCTCACTGGGTCTTCCGTTTGAAGGGAGGACCAGCCTTGCTCTCCCCATCCCCGTGTTGAAGGCCGTCCCCGAAGGCTCCGTGTGTGAGTGACGAGGAGTCAAGCAGTGAACCTGGCATGCTGGTTTCATGTGGATGTCAGTTTGCAAATCAGTGGGTTCAATATCTGTGACACTTTGGGGATGTGTGGTTCAAGTCCATCGAGCTTTGTGAGCCACTGCCCAACGGGCTGCCAACGTGGCTGTGCCATGTCATGTTCCCAGCGGACCTGGATGAGAGTTTCCAGGACCCCTAATTCTCCCAGCATTTGGTGCTGTCACTGTTGCCTGGGGGTGGCTCATGGGCCCTCTATCCTGCCACCCTCCCGTGGGTCCTACCATGGGTCCCCATGGGTCAGGGAGAGCACCCTTCACCATTGTGCATGATTTTGTTTGCTGCCTTCCATCTCCTCAGGATCCTCCTGGGTTCTGGCCCCACATGTTCCAGTCTGGCCCAGGGCTTGGAACCAGGGAGGTGCTCGGTTCATGGTGCCGGCTGCTCCCTGGGCCGGGAGAGCTCTTGGCAGCTGTGTCATCCCTCCTGGGTGACCCTGGCTTCTGCTCCGGGGAAGCCCCCATCCCTCTCATTCACCCCATCTCTGCTGGGACCCTGTGGCTCCCGTAGGCTTACTTGGTTCCGTATCGATCCCTGAAGAATATATGCTTCCTTAATGTCCCGCTTACGTCCCGGTCGATGCGCTGGATGTGCTCAGATGACCTCTTGCCCTTCTCCTTCATGATCTGTAGGGCAGGGCCAAGAGGAGGAAGCAGTCTCAGAACAGATGGAAGACTCCCTGCCCCCAGTGGCAGTCAGCCCACAGTCAGCACTTCGGGAAGGAAGGACAGAAGGAAGGTTTCCTTCTGCAGAAAGCTGCATTTTGGCTTGTTACTGAAGCCAGGGAGGGTCACCAGAGCTGAGTTTGTCTGTGGTGACTGTGTCACCATCTGTGCCCAGGGTGTTCATCTGACCTTCACCCCCAGCTCCCCAGGGTGGTCTTGACGTTCCCTCCAGCTGGAGACCTGGGCCCCGACACGGCCTGTCCTGTTTGTTGTGCTCTGGCTGAGCGTACCTGGTATCTTCCGGGGTTTTTCAACTTCATTTCCTCAGTGTTCAGGAGGACTGACCACATCGGGCCCCGGATGTTCATGGGCATTCCCTTGTACGCTCGATCTATGAGCTGTGGGCAGAAAACGATCTGGTGTCACAGGCCACGGGGTGACCCCAGTGAGGACCAGAGCCCGGGGATTCTGGAAATTGTCGGTTTTGGCCCCATGATTCCTCAGTAGAGGTGAGATCAAGCTGGGACAGGGTCTCCCTTCCCAGGACTGAAAGAGTGGATGGACACTCAGAGTCGAAACTCTGATCTGAACCTTTTCCTTCCTTCAGGTCACCAGGGCATCCCTAGCCTTGAGCTCCGGGTAGTCCCAGCCCTAGATTCAGATTCCCTCCCTGCAAGGTGACGCTTGCACGAATAGGCAGGAAATCTGGCGACCAGGCCTGCAGTCCTCTGGGCGAGGACAGTGTGCCGCCCACCCTCTGAGAGGCTGATGGTGCCAGGCCACAGCCATGGGTGCCTGTCCCCTGTCTCTGCAGAGAGTGCTTCCTCCCTCCACACGTTACCTTTCTGCTGCTTTTGTATTTCTCCCAGTCTCCCAGCATATCCACCCACTTGCTCTTTCGGCTGATCTCCCGCCGAATTTGCTGTCAAATGAGGCATGTTGGAGTTAGCGGAGCTGCCAGGCTTCCCAGAGCCGCCCGCGGATGCTGGGTCTTGGGCTCTGGAGCCCTGGTGGGAGCCAGCTGGAAGGAGCCAGGGAAGGGCAGACCTCAAGGGCTGAGAGCCTTTGAGCAAATGAGCACCAGTGGGCTGGCTTTGGGACCCCGGGATGTACCATCCTCAGGCCACAGACACACCAGTCTTAGGTCCCAGCCTCTAGGTGGGGTCCTGACACAAGCGCGCAGCCACCCCCAAGCCAGGACTGTGGTTCTCCTTTTGGAATTTTATCAAACTGCCAAAGTGAACAGCAACCTGGGGTCAGGTCCAGCAGGGACTGCTGCCCCTCCCAGTGACAGCGTGTTGCCCTCACCCGCCACCGCTCAGGCCAGCTGCTTCCTCTGCCTCACTGACCACCCGCCCAGTCCCTACGTCCCTGGACCAGCCCCTCCACGCATCAGGCTCTTACCTTCGCCTCCCGCGCAGTCAGAGGAGGCAGCTCCGTCTCACTGTAAGGCAACCCAGGCAGAGCTGAGGAACTGCACGGGGCCTGGAGCGGCCCCAGCCTGGGTGCCGACCCCCAGAAAGGACTGGCTCTGTCCCTTTCCAGCTCAGGGCTCAGCCCAGGAGAAGGCACAGGGAAGGGAGGACAAGGGCCTTCCTGTGGGGCTGACTCCCAGGAGGGGCAGGACCTGGGAGAAGAAGGAGTGTAGGGACAGCCTGGCCGGGGTTACTGGGGCCCCTGGCGTGGGGGGCGGTCAGGCTGCCCAATGGGGCTGCCCGTCCTGGACTCGAGGTGGTGCTTTCTGCTGGAGCTGAGAAAGGTTAGCCCTGAGATGGGATGGGGGCCGCCCAGGGTGGGCGACCGGGCCCTGACAGGAGTCCCTCAGGGAGTGACCACATCCCCCCGCCAGGGTCAAGGGAGCCTGCCCTGAGACCTGCCCGGTGTACTCTGGCTGCACCAGGGGCCCACCCCACTTGACAGCCCCAAGGCCCTTGCAGGTTCTGACCTCCCAGCATCCACCTGCCTCTCCCTGCACCCGAGCCACACACCCTGCGTTTCAGAAGTGGCACGGCTCGTCAGCTCCCTCCCGCCCTACCTCCCCAGGGATCCTCTGTCTCTCCATCCTGTGATCCCTGAGGGATGGGCTCCTGGCTGGGCTCCTCTTACCCGGCCCCAGATCCCTTCCCAGCACCAGACCCAGGTCTTTAGCCGCGAGCCCTGCTGCCTCCCTGGCCTCACCGTGAGATGCCCAGAACGGGGCCCTGCCCATCTTCTCCCCCGTTCTCCTAGGGCTACAGCCCCCATTGTCACCATGCCTTTTCCCCTCACGGGACAGTGAGGGCTGTAGCTCTAGGGGAATGGGGGAGAACAGGGGCAGGTGGGCCCTCAGAGACCTGCTGGACAACAGCCCTGAGGCTGGGCCAGGCGTCTCCTCACCCTGTGGCCATAACCCTTGCATCTCACCGGGGTTGTCTCCAAGTAGACAGGGCCAGACCCTCAGGCTGCCCCGCTCCTCTTGTGCTCACTTGCCGACAGAACTGCTGAGCGCCCAGGGGCCTGACCTAGCCCAGTCTCCATTCCCACCGGCTCCCTAGATGGGCCCCACACCTCTGGCCTAACAACCTCGGGCTGGACCTGCAGGGGAGTCAGGGAGGAGTTCTGTCCCTGGAAAGGAGGTTGACCCGACCTGGTGAGACATGTCCTGCGTCAGAAAGGCCTTTCTAAAAGCAAACCCATCCCTGAGCTGAGACAGGTGCTTTAGGGGTGAGGGGAGTGCAGAGGACTCACTGTACAATCCCCAAATGATCGACGTTGTTGTTGTAGCTTCGAAAAGGCTTAGGCCCCTTGTCCTCTGGCAGCCCAGCTCGGTGTCCCTGTAGCCCAGAGGGAGCCTTGGTGAGGGGTCCAAGGTAAAGGGTGCAAGGGCCTGGGGGCATTGGCCACCCGTCCCTGCCCTGTGCTCCTAGGGAGCCCAGGACCCTTTGACCAGGGCACACTGGAAGAGGCCTCCCTCCAAGAAGCAGACCGACTTGTACCTTTTCGTATTTCATAATGATGTCCTCTCGCTCTTGTGCCCACCAACTGCCCGCGACCTCTACCACGTCCATCCTGTGAGACAGAATTGTCTAAAGGTCACACCGTACGCGGCGGCTTCGGAGAACACCTGAACCGCTCTCGCCGGGCTCCCAGATGCTGGCTGGCTGCGTAACCCCCATTCCACCGCCGCCCCCAGGGAAAAAGGGGCCAGACCCAGTGGCCCACAGCTGCTCCAGTCTCTGGAGTCTCAAGTCCCAAGCAGGGGTGGGCATCTTCCCAAGGACTTGAGTACAGTGGGACCTAGACAGAGAATCCTGTTGTCCCCCAATGCCATGAAATGGGGACACACCGGCCCCAGCAGGTTGAATGGTTTCCACCTGCCAAGGGTGAAGGGCCCATGATGGGCTATTCCAGGGATGTGGAGGCAGACTGGGGTCAGCGACCAGAGGTCTCTGTGCAATCGGCCTCCTGGGATGCTCAGGGCCTCAGCGATGCCCAGTTTCCTACAGGGAACAAGATCTCTCCCGACTGCTCGGTTCTACTCCGCTCATCACTTTGGCTACCGTGGCTCTTCAGTCTGAACAGTGAAGCCACTTTAGGAATAACGCCTGTTGAGCAGGAGGGTGTTGGGTTTGGGGGATGAGAAAGATCTATTGTACGCATGGAAACCACGTCTCTCGCGGAGGGACTGTGGAGTCCACCATTCTGAGCCGTCCCAACAGGAGGAGGCTTCATTTTCCTGGGTCACTGAGGAAGAACAGTGGGTCCTTGGTCCTGGAGAACAGCTGGATGGACCGTCCCTCCTGGGAATACTCGAGGCAAAAGGAGGGCGAGGCCTCAAGAGGACCACGCAGAGCAAGAAATACCTGGGGAGAACCCTAGTGCCCGGACCCCTTTGAACACAAGGGAAGATAGTCTCCCCTCAGCCAGCCCTCCAGGGCTCCTTCATTTTCCACAGCTGCCCAAGGGCAGCAGGCTCCCCCGGACAAGGGACCATGTGTGTTCAGTGGGGCCCACAGCGACCATCAGGACCCAGCTTAGGGCACAGAGGTGTTCTGAGGACCGTCAGTGGATCTGTACCAGTGGCTCTATACCAGTGGCTCTGCCAGGACCAGGCTCTGCCCCATCGGGATGGGAAACCTGGGCAGATTTGGGATCTAGGGCAGGGAGGTCACAGGGTTCAGGCCTGAATTCCAGCACAGCACACGGCAGGGCTGAGAGCAAAACTCAGGGTCATGTCCGGATTCCCAGGCCGGTTACTGCCTCTCTGACCCCAGACGTCTCATCTGTCGAATGGGGACATTTGGGAACAGCACCCACTCTACGAAGCCACCATGGAGACGAAAGAGCCAATCGTCTACACGGGCAGTGTAGAACGGGCGCCTGGTGAGTGCTCAGGGATGACCCTCCTCGGTAGCTGCCCCACAGAGGCCAACACCGCCCGCACCGTAGCCACTGCCCCCAAGTCCGCCTGGAGGGAAGAGAGCAGGTCACGCTCACCTGATTCTGATGAATCAGCTGGCCTGGGTCGTGCCTCTCAGGGAGAAAACCTTTGAGTCCACAGAGCTGCTCACAGATACCACTGCCTGTGTGTAACTGCTGTAGACCACTGAGGCAGACCAGAGAGCAGATAGGTGCTAAGCACCAGTGACATTCTGAGGTCATGGCACGAATCACAGTGGGGCCTTGCCCGGGTCAGCAGCGCCCAGAGTCAGGGTCCTCCGCTGCCTGAGGCGTCAACATGCCTGCCTGCAATGTGTTTGTGCACGTGCGTGCACATGTGTATGTGGGTAAACACATCTGTGCACGTGTGTGCTGCTTCTCTGGCCAGGCCCGGCTGCCCCACTCATGTGTGCACCCAGTTCCTCATCACTGTCACCCCCGAGGCCCAGGGCCAGCATCAGAGCATCCATGGCTGCTCCCTAACCTCAGCCCTCCCCGCCCAGGGTGGTCCTGGGATACACATAGCGGTGGAGGGAAGTGACTGCTGCTGTTGGATCTCAGAATACAAAAGCTAGTACTATTACCTAATGGTCTTTTTAGTGTCTCTAATGGTATCGCTTTTTCATTTCTGATATTTTAACTGGGTATTTCTCTCCATGACCCTTGGATATTCTAGCTAGAGGATCCTGTGGGGAAAGTGCCGGGCACACAGTTAGGGGCTCACTCTTCTAGACATGTTATCTAAAACCTGGTTCATCTGTCCTTCCACACAGGGCCTAGGGGATGCCAAATTCCAGGGGCCAGAAAGAGCTTGGGATAAAAAGAAACTTCAAGGGGACGGCTTTGACCTGGGCTGAGTCTGCCTGTGCCATCCAACTGGAGTCTCAAGTCCTGAGGCAGGACGTCCAGATGCCCCAGTGCAGGGTCCTCCTGATCAACACCTGCTCCCCTGTACTCATTAGCAACCTCACCCACCCTACTCTCAAAGCACACTTGGCTCTCGTATCCAGGAGCTCTGCATCTGTAGATTCAGCAACAGCAGATGGAAAATATTCAGAAAATAAATTGGACGGTTATGTTTCTATTGAACATGTGCAGAGTTTGTTCTTGTCATTATTCCCTAAAGAATCCAGTATCACGACCATTTATGTAGCATCTGCATTGTATTACACATCATGAATAATCCAGAGATGGTCTAATGTCTACGGGAGGATGTGCATAGCTGATATGTAAATACTAGGCCATGTTATGTCAGAGACTTGAGGATCCATGGATTTTGGCATCCCCGGGGACCCTAGAACTAATCCATGGATACCAAGGGATGACTGTATAAACTCACTCAGGAAGGCTTCTCATTGGAGGAAGGTCCCAGTTCAGGACACACAGGGACATCTCCCTGGACTACTGTCCATTCATCCATCCATTCATCCATTGTCTCCCCCCACCCCCCCATCTCGGACTGTCCCAGTGACAGCCCTAGCAAGAAGAGACAAGAAACAAGTTCACGTTGTCCAGTTTTGAGGTAATGGAAGAAGTTGCACCAGTATGAGAATAGTGGGTCAGTTTTCTACAGGATGCAGAAAGCATATCGGGCAGCCTCGGGGTGCGGAAAGGAGCCTGGCCTCTCTAGCAGCCACACAGGCCTGCAGTAGGATGGGGCTGTGGCTGGCCATGTGGATCACTTGGGCCTCATGAGGGGAAAGGAAATACCAGGGGGGCAGAAGAGGAGCATGGGGGCAGCTGGTTGCCTAAGGAGAAGGCACCTCAGGGAAGGGGACTGTATTCATTTGTTTTCACACTGATGTAAAGAAATACCTGAGATTGGGTAATTTATAAAGGAAACAGGCTTAATTGACTTGCAGTTCCGGAAACTTACAATCATGGCAGAAGGGGAAGGGGAAGCAGGCACCTTCTTCACAAGATGGCAGGAGGGAGATTGTGCAGTGGCACAATCTCGGCTCACTGCAACCTCTGCCTCCCGGGTTCAGGCAGTTCTCCTGCCTCAGCCTCCCTAGTAGCTGGGATTACAGGCATGCACCACCACGCCTGGCTAATTTTGTATTTTTAGTAGAGACAGGGTTTCACCATGTTGGCCAGGCTGGTCTTGAACTCCTGACATCAGGTGATCTGCCTGCCTCCGCCTGCCAAAGTGCTGGGATTACAAGTGTGAGCCACCGCGCCAAGCCATATCTGTTCTTTTTTTTTTTTTTTTTTTTTGAGACAGAGTCTCACTCTGTTGCCTAGGCCAGGCTGGAGTGTGCAGTGGTGCGATCTCGGCTCACTGCAACCTCCACTTCCCTAGTTCAAGGGATTCTCCTGCCTCAGCCTCCCTAGTAGCTGGGATTACAGGTGCATGCCACCACACCTGGCTAATTTTTGTATTTCTGTAGAGACCAGGTTTCACCATGTTAGCTAGGCTGGTCTCAAACACCCGACCTCAGGTGATCCGCCCGCCTCTGCCTCCCAAAGTGCTGGGATTACAGGCATGACCCACCGCGCCTAGTCCATATCTGTTCTTTTTTTTTTTTTTTTTTTTTTTGAGACAGAGTCTTGCTCTGTCGCCAAGGCCGGAGTGCAGTGGCGTGATCTCAGCTCACTGCAACCTCCGCCTCCCGGGTTTAAGCGATTCTCCTGCCTCATCCAAGTAGCTGGGACTACAGGCACCTGCCATCATGCCAGGCTAATTTTTGAATTTTTAGTAGAGAAGGGGTTTCACCATATTGGCCAGGCTGGTCTCGAACTCGTGACCTTGTGATCCACCCGCCTCGGCCTCCCAAAGTGCTGGGATTACAGGCCTGAGCCACCGCACCTGGCTAGCCTGTGTCTGTTCTTTAAAATTGTTTTGTTTTCCTTACTCTCAGATTCTTCTTGCTGCTTATTGTGCCTTGTTGCTGCCTGTTGTGCAATTTCTTCCCTCTTGTATTTTACTGAACTTCATCTGAAGAAGCCTTAGTAGCCAGATAAACAAGCTTGTTTGGGCTAAAAAATCAATTGCTGTGTGAGAGTTTGTTGGATTCTCTTCTGAGTAAAGGGTATGTGTTTTATTGTACGGACTTTGTATCACCTATTTTGGCTTTTCATCCAGGCCTTTTTTTTTTTTCTTTCTTTTTAGCTTCCTGGTTCTAGATACAACTGATACTCTGATACAACCTGGGTAAATGTGGTCTTGAGTAGTAAATTATCTGTGAAGCTTCTCCGAACTTTGCCACATAAATGAGCCTGCTCTTGTTGTGAAGTAAATCTTACTCTAATCTGTATGTGAGTCAGTGGGAAATAACTGAGCCTTCGGATGGCTTTTGTTGTTAACTGAGATTAGTTCTCTAGATTTTAGTGATTTTGTTTTGAACACCATACAAGTATGTGGTTCTTGGTTTATTTGGTCACTTGTAATCTCTTTAAAATTTTATTTTAAATTAGGAAGTATTTTAGAAATACAAGAAAGTCACACACTATGAGATTAAACAGATGTTAACATTTTGCCCCATTTTCATCAGACTGTGCATGCTTTTTTTGGGGGGGAATAAAATGTCACAGATACCACTAAAGCCCGTTTCCATCTCGTCCCACCCTGCCTCTAGAAGTAACTTCTTTCTTCAGGTAGGTGCGTATTATTCCTTTTTATTCCTACGTATAGTTTAAAACTTTAATTGCATATTAGTAGCCACAAACATCACATACCAATATTCTGTGCCTTTTGCATTTTTACATTAATGGTAATTATTTTTGACCTTCTGCAAATGGCTCTTTTCAGTGTTTCTTGTTAGAAAACTTGGCTCAACTTGAGTTTACTAATTATCTGCTTCTTCTTGTCTTTAGCTATTATAGAACTGTTCCACCAAGGCAACAATTATTGCTATTTTAATGGTGAAATCAGTTTTATTAGGCAAATTGACTCAGGCTTCAGACTGGCATTTGGAATTGTCACACTGGAGATTTTCTTTTACTGAAGTCTCAGGACATTGACAATCAGAAAAAAACCCTCTTGAGTCTTACTATCGTACATGTAAGATATGTTCCTGAGTGACTATAGTAAAGACTCATTCAGGAAAATGTTATCTCCGATTTCTGCCTCCCTAGCTCATAGGAAACTTCCATTGTAAAGTTGTTACCAGGCGTCAAGCTGCCTCTTTGGTACAGCCCTTACTTAGTATTTGGCTCAGTTGAAGTGCAGTCTATATAGGAGGCCAAGAAGACTTAATCCTGGGTTTGAAACAAAGCAAGGATACACTAACATTCTATCCTTTAATAACATCAAGTAGAAAAATTGAAAATGAGCTTGTTATCAGTGCACTTTTATATGCCAACCTTGTTTCACTTGTGTTTTAAACTGGGAAACTGAAGATTTTAATGCTGAAATTTCTTTGAATTATTACCTGTTTTTTTGATAGTGGAACACACAGCTAATATTTACTAATATGAAGGTGTCAAAGGTGAGAAATCATGTACTACACCATCAGGTCAGCACTACTGTTTGGAAGAGCAGCATCACAAAGAGCAGTGTTATACTGCGTTGTAGTCAGCACATACACTTATGTCCAGACAGATATTTTAAATTACCTTCTTGGGGTAGTACACATATGCTGATATCCAAAGTGCCATATAATACAATACATAGTTTTTAAACTTCATATCATTCTGATCAGAAGCTTTATAAACTGTTAGGTGAATGCTGTTAGATGATATGAGAGCACAATTTAACCTGTGTGTGTGTATATGTATGTCTTAACATCTATTAAGTGATGACTACATATGAGGCACTAAGTGCTAAAACAGAGACTTTACATAGATTATCCCATTATTGGTCAACTTTTTAAATAAGTGCATCTCTAATATAAGACAAGATGCTGACCAATTTTTAAAATGTGAATGGATTTCTATTTTTAAGATAAGTACCTTTGTTCCTTTGGTTCCTCCCTCCCACCCTTCCAGAAATGGTAGTATCCTGGAAAAAAAAAATTAGTAGCAATTCAAGAAACAGCTTAATTCATTAGTATAAATAGATGAGTTTCCCCTAAACACAGGAGGAGTTGGAAGGTACTTGAAATTGGATGTTGTGCATGGTGCCTTTCCAAAATGCACAAATACTTTCTCTCAAATGGTTGCAGTAGTAATGTGCTGTGTGATTTGGCATGTATAATGTTGTACAGGTATCTTGACATTGGTGGATTAACTGCTTGGCTACTGTGAAATTCACTGTAGATGTTGATGGATGAAAGTGTGGTTGCCTAGGTAATGATTAAGACCAGTAACTAAACCACAGTTATTATTTTGCTGGCATAAACTTCAAACTCAGAAAGGTTTTTATTCATTTTACCCATTGGAGCATACCCCAGTAAGTGCTTCATTTCTTTGTGTTTCTGATTTTTTTTTTTTTTAAGATGGAGTCTTGCTTTTGTCGCCCAGGTTGGAGTGCAATGGCGCGATTTCGGCTCACTGCAACCTCCACCTCCTGGGTTCAAGCGATTCTCCTGCCTCAGCCTCCCGAGTAGCTGGGATTACAGGTGCCTGCCACCACGCCCAGCTAATCTTTGTATTTTTAGTAGAGATGGGGTTTCACCATGTTAGCCAGGCTGGTCTCGAACCCCTGACCTCGTGATCCACCCACCTTGGCCTCCCAAAGTTCTGGGATTACAGGCATGAGCTGCCGTGCCCAGCCATGTTTCTGAATTTTTAAGTCAACTTCTGAATAGGCAAAGAATTCTTTTTGTTTTTTTGTTCAACTTTAGTGCTATAAATCGCCAGTTGGACACAAAGGTTTTAGTGCTATTTAGGTATGTTTTGGTGAAATAGTGTGAAGGAATATTGCTGCTTAAAAGATAAGCCATTCATTAAATGACGTCTTTGTTTTGAAACATGAAGACTTATGAGAAGCATTTTTTTTGTAAGCCAAAGTAGTTTCACTTTATGTGTTACAGATTTTGAATAGCTCATTATAGACTTTGTAATTTACTGTCTCTCATTTAGGCAGGTAATTTTAGTTGCCAGCTAATCATGTTTAAATATGTATTGGTTATTAATAAATGATTACCCGTATACAGGTCTTTCATGCAGATAGCGTACTACTCTGATGTTCTTACCTAGTTTTGTGGTATGTTCAGTTGTCTAAGAGCATTGTTGATCTGCACACAGATTTTGTTTGGTCTATACAGTGTTTCTGAAAACTTGAATTAGTTACCATTAATAAAAAATAGAGAGACTGCACATGAAATCTGAATTTGTAGCTTTTAAAAAAAAAAATTGGAAGATCAGGCCAGGTGCGGTGGCTCATGCCTGTAATCCCAGCACTTTGGGAGGCCGAGGCGGTCAGATCACCTGAGGTCGGGAGTTCGAGACCAGCCTGACCAACATGGAGAAACCCCGTCTGTACTAGAAATACAAAATTTACCGGGCGTGGTGGCACATGCCTGTAATCCCAGCTACTAGGGAGGCTGAGGCAGGAAAATCGCTTGAACCTGGGAGGCGGAGGTTGCGGTGAGCCGAGATCACGCCATTGCACTCCAGCCTGGGCAACAAGAGCAAAACTCCGTCTCAAAAAAAAAAAAAAAAATTGGAAGATCTGTCAGCACTAAACCTGCCAGTCACCATAGCGATAATTCTTTGGCTCCAAGAAATGGCTACCACCTCCTTCTTTTAAGGGGTTGTGCACAGCTTCCACATGGCTTGCTACACTTACCTGCCTCAGGAAGCATTTCTTTGTGATTTAGGGCATCTGTGTTTTTGTTATTTTAGATTTAGAACATTCAAATGTCTGGAAATGAATTTGAAGTTTTGTTTTAAGCAAGGTTATGACTAAATTGAAAAATGCACAAGAGGCCAGGCGTGGTGGCTGACGTCTGTAATCTCAGCACTTTGGGAGGCTGAGACGGGCGAATCACGAGGTCAGGAGTTTGAGACCAGCCTGACCAACAAGGTGAAACCCCATCTCTACTAAAAATACAAAAATTAGATGGGTGTGGTGTTGCACACCTGTAATCCCAGCTACTCAGGAGGCTGAGGCAGGAGAATCACCACCGAGTGTGGTGGCTCACACCTGTAATCCTAGCACTTTTGGAGGGTCAGGCAGGCAGATCACTTGAGGCCAGGAATTCAAGACCAGCCTGGCTGACATAGAGAGTAGAGAGACCCCATCTCCACTAAAAATACAAAAATTAAGGCCGGGCACGGTGGCTCACGCCTGTAATCCCAGCACTTTGGGAGGCCGAGGCAGGCGGATCATGAGGTCAGGAGATCGAGACCATCCTGGCTAACATGGTGAAACCCCGTCTCTGCTAAAAATACAAAAAATTAGCCGGGCATGGTGGCAGGTGCCTGTAGTCCCAGCTACTCGGGAGGCTGAGGCAGGAGAATGATGTGAACCTGGGAGACGGAGCTTGCAGTGAGCGGAGATTGTGCCACCGCGCTCCAGCCTGAGCAACAGAGCAAGACTCTGTCTCAAAAATAAATAAATAAATAAATAAACAAACAAACTAGCATCTTGGTCCATGTTTTCCTGTGCACACATGAGAGAATTTTTCCATGGAAAGGAACCTAATAGTGGACTTTCTGGATTGTTGGACATAAATCTTCAACTTTACCAAGAACTGCCAAATTATCCTCTAGAGTGGTGTCAACTGACATTCCCATGAGCAAAGAATGAAGAAATCCCACTTTCAGCATGTTCTGAAAAACTTTAGTATTTTTGACAATCTAATGGGTATTAAATGATAGTCCTGGCCAGGCACAGTGGCTCACGCCTGTAATCCCAGCACTTTGGGAGGCTGAGGTGGGTGGATCACTTGAGGTCAGGAGTTCAACACCAGCCTGACCAACATGGTGAAACCCCATTTCTACTAAAAAAAAAAAAAAAAAAAAAAAAAAAAAAAATTAGCCAGGCCTGTGGTGCGTGCCTGTAATCCCAGCTACTTGGAAGGCTGAAGCAGGAGAATCACTTGAACCCAGGTAGTGGAGGTTGCAGTGAGCTAGATTGAGCCATTGCACTCCAGCCTGGGCAACAAGAGCAAAACTTTGTCTCAAAAATTAAAAAAAAAAATTTTTGTACTGATAGTCCATTGGTTTAATCAGAATTTCCCTGATTACTAATAACATTGGTTACTATGCATCTTTTCTCGTGTGTGTGTGTGTGTGTGTGCACGCGCCATTAAGTTTTTCCACTGTGAACTGCTTGTTTAACACTCTTGTGCATTTTTCTTTTTTTTTTTTTTTTTTGAGATGGAGTCTCGCTCTCTCACCCAGGCTGGAGTGCAATGATGCGATCTTGGCTCACTGCAACCTCCATCTCCTAGGTTCAAGTGATTCTCCTGCCTCAGCCTCCTGAGTAGCTGGGATTACAGGTGTGCAACACCACACCCATCTAATTTTTGTATTTTTAGTAGAGATGGGGTTTCACCTTGTTGGTCAGGCTGGTCTCAAACTCCTGACCTCGTGATTCGCCCGTCTCAGCCTCCCAAAGTGCTGAGATTACAGACGTCAGCCACCACGCCTGGCCTCTTGTGCATTTTTCAATTTAGTCATAACCTTGCTTAAAACAAAACTTCAAATTCATTTCCAGACATTTGAATGTTCTAAATCTAAAATAACAAAAACACAGATGCCCTAAATCACAAAGAAATGCTTCCTGAGGCAGGTAAGTGTAGCAAGCCATGTGGAAGCTGTGCACAACCCCTTAAAAGAAGGAGGTGGTAGCCATTTCTTGGAGCCAAAGAATTATCGCTATGGTGACTGGCAGGTTTAGTGCTGACAGATCTTCCAATTTTTTTTTTTTTTTTTGAGACGGAGTTTTGCTCTTGTTGCCCAGGCTGGAGTGCAATGGCGTGATCTCGGCTCACCGCAACCTCCGCCTCCCAGGTTCAAGCGATTTTCCTGCCTCAGCCTCCCTAGTAGCTGGGATTACAGGCATGTGCCACCACGCCCGGTAAATTTTGTATTTCTAGTACAGACGGGGTTTCTCCATGTTGGTCAGGCTGGTCTCGAACTCCCGACCTCAGGTGATCTGACCGCCTCGGCCTCCCAAAGTGCTGGGATTACAGGCATGAGCCACCGCACCTGGCCTGATCTTCCAATTTTTTTTTTTAAAAGCTACAAATTCAGATTTCATGTGCAGTCTCTCTATTTTTTATTAATGGTAACTAATTCAAGTTTTCAGAAACACTGTATAGACCAAACAAAATCTGTGTGCAGATCAACAATGCTCTTAGACAACTGAACATACCACAAAACTAGGTAAGAACATCAGAGTAGTACGCTATCTGCATGAAAGACCTGTATACGGGTAATCATTTATTAATAACCAATACATATTTAAACATGATTAGCTGGCAACTAAAATTACCTGCCTAAATGAGAGACAGTAAATTACAAAGTCTATAATGAGCTATTCAAAATCTGTAACACATAAAGTGAAACTACTTTGGCTTACAAAAAAAATGCTTCTCATAAGTCTTCATGTTTCAAAACAAAGACGTCATTTAATGAATGGCTTATCTTTTAAGCAGCAATATTCCTTCACACTATTTCACCAAAACATACCTAAATAGCACTAAAACCTTTGTGTCCAACTGGCGATTTATAGCACTAAAGTTGAACAAAAAAACAAAAAGAATTCTTTGCCTATTCAGAAGTTGACTTAAAAATTCAGAAACATGGCTGGGCACGGCAGCTCATGCCTGTAATCCCAGAACTTTGGGAGGCCAAGGTGGGTGGATCACGAGGTCAGGGGTTCGAGACCAGCCTGGCTAACATGGTGAAACCCCATCTCTACTAAAAATACAAAGATTAGCTGGGCGTGGTGGCAGGCACCTGTAATCCCAGCTACTCGGGAGGCTGAGGCAGGAGAATCGCTTGAACCCAGGAGGTGGAGGTTGCAGTGAGCCGAAATCGCGCCATTGCACTCCAACCTGGGCGACAAAAGCAAGACTCCATCTTAAAAAAAAAAAAAATCAGAAACACAAAGAAATGAAGCACTTACTGGGGTATGCTCCAATGGGTAAAATGAATAAAAACCTTTCTGAGTTTGAAGTTTATGCCAGCAAAATAATAACTGTGGTTTAGTTACTGGTCTTAATCATTACCTAGGCAACCACACTTTCATCCATCAACATCTACAGTGAATTTCACAGTAGCCAAGCAGTTAATCCACCAATGTCAAGATACCTGTACAACATTATACATGCCAAATCACACAGCACATTACTACTGCAACCATTTGAGAGAAAGTATTTGTGCATTTTGGAAAGGCACCATGCACAACATCCAATTTCAAGTACCTTCCAACTCCTCCTGTGTTTAGGGGAAACTCATCTATTTATACTAATGAATTAAGCTGTTTCTTGAATTGCTACTAATTTTTTTTTTCCAGGATACTACCATTTCTGGAAGGGTGGGAGGGAGGAACCAAAGGAACAAAGGTACTTATCTTAAAAATAGAAATCCATTCACATTTTAAAAATTGGTCAGCATCTTGTCTTATATTAGAGATGCACTTATTTAAAAAGTTGACCAATAATGGGATAATCTATGTAAAGTCTCTGTTTTAGCACTTAGTGCCTCATATGTAGTCATCACTTAATAGATGTTAAGACATACATATACACACACACAGGTTAAATTGTGCTCTCATATCATCTAACAGCATTCACCTAACAGTTTATAAAGCTTCTGATCAGAATGATATGAAGTTTAAAAACTATGTATTGTATTATATGGCACTTTGGATATCAGCATATGTGTACTACCCCAAGAAGGTAATTTAAAATATCTGTCTGGACATAAGTGTATGTGCTGACTACAACGCAGTATAACACTGCTCTTTGTGATGCTGCTCTTCCAAACAGTAGTGCTGACCTGATGGTGTAGTACATGATTTCTCACCTTTGACACCTTCATATTAGTAAATATTAGCTGTGTGTTCCACTATCAAAAAAACAGGTAATAATTCAAAGAAATTTCAGCATTAAAATCTTCAGTTTCCCAGTTTAAAACACAAGTGAAACAAGGTTGGCATATAAAAGTGCACTGATAACAAGCTCATTTTCAATTTTTCTACTTGATGTTATTAAAGGATAGAATGTTAGTGTATCCTTGCTTTGTTTCAAACCCAGGATTAAGTCTTCTTGGCCTCCTATATAGACTGCACTTCAACTGAGCCAAATACTAAGTAAGGGCTGTACCAAAGAGGCAGCTTGACGCCTGGTAACAACTTTACAATGGAAGTTTCCTATGAGCTAGGGAGGCAGAAATCGGAGATAACATTTTCCTGAATGAGTCTTTACTATAGTCACTCAGGAACATATCTTACATGTACGATAGTAAGACTCAAGAGGGTTTTTTTCTGATTGTCAATGTCCTGAGACTTCAGTAAAAGAAAATCTCCAGTGTGACAATTCCAAATGCCAGTCTGAAGCCTGAGTCAATTTGCCTAATAAAACTGATTTCACCATTAAAATAGCAATAATTGTTGCCTTGGTGGAACAGTTCTATAATAGCTAAAGACAAGAAGAAGCAGATAATTAGTAAACTCAAGTTGAGCCAAGTTTTCTAACAAGAAACACTGAAAAGAGCCATTTGCAGAAGGTCAAAAATAATTACCATTAATGTAAAAATGCAAAAGGCACAGAATATTGGTATGTGATGTTTGTGGCTACTAATATGCAATTAAAGTTTTAAACTATACGTAGGAATAAAAAGGAATAATACGCACCTACCTGAAGAAAGAAGTTACTTCTAGAGGCAGGGTGGGACGAGATGGAAACGGGCTTTAGTGGTATCTGTGACATTTTATTCCCCCCCAAAAAAAGCATGCACAGTCTGATGAAAATGGGGCAAAATGTTAACATCTGTTTAATCTCATAGTGTGTGACTTTCTTGTATTTCTAAAATACTTCCTAATTTAAAATAAAATTTTAAAGAGATTACAAGTGACCAAATAAACCAAGAACCACATACTTGTATGGTGTTCAAAACAAAATCACTAAAATCTAGAGAACTAATCTCAGTTAACAACAAAAGCCATCCGAAGGCTCAGTTATTTCCCACTGACTCACATACAGATTAGAGTAAGATTTACTTCACAACAAGAGCAGGCTCATTTATGTGGCAAAGTTCGGAGAAGCTTCACAGATAATTTACTACTCAAGACCACATTTACCCAGGTTGTATCAGAGTATCAGTTGTATCTAGAACCAGGAAGCTAAAAAGAAAGAAAAAAAAAAAAGGCCTGGATGAAAAGCCAAAATAGGTGATACAAAGTCCGTACAATAAAACACATACCCTTTACTCAGAAGAGAATCCAACAAACTCTCACACAGCAATTGATTTTTTAGCCCAAACAAGCTTGTTTATCTGGCTACTAAGGCTTCTTCAGATGAAGTTCAGTAAAATACAAGAGGGAAGAAATTGCACAACAGGCAGCAACAAGGCACAATAAGCAGCAAGAAGAATCTGAGAGTAAGGAAAACAAAACAATTTTAAAGAACAGACACAGGCTAGCCAGGTGCGGTGGCTCAGGCCTGTAATCCCAGCACTTTGGGAGGCCGAGGCGGGTGGATCACAAGGTCACGAGTTCGAGACCAGCCTGGCCAATATGGTGAAACCCCTTCTCTACTAAAAATTCAAAAATTAGCCTGGCATGATGGCAGGTGCCTGTAGTCCCAGCTACTTGGATGAGGCAGGAGAATCGCTTAAACCCGGGAGGCGGAGGTTGCAGTGAGCTGAGATCACGCCACTGCACTCCGGCCTTGGCGACAGAGCAAGACTCTGTCTCAAAAAAAAAAAAAAAAAAAAAAAGAACAGATATGGACTAGGCGCGGTGGGTCATGCCTGTAATCCCAGCACTTTGGGAGGCAGAGGCGGGCGGATCACCTGAGGTCGGGTGTTTGAGACCAGCCTAGCTAACATGGTGAAACCTGGTCTCTACAGAAATACAAAAATTAGCCAGGTGTGGTGGCATGCACCTGTAATCCCAGCTACTAGGGAGGCTGAGGCAGGAGAATCCCTTGAACTAGGGAAGTGGAGGTTGCAGTGAGCCGAGATCGCACCACTGCACACTCCAGCCTGGCCTAGGCAACAGAGTGAGACTCTGTCTCAAAAAAAAAAAAAAAAAAAAAGAACAGATATGGCTTGGCGCGGTGGCTCACACTTGTAATCCCAGCACTTTGGCAGGCGGAGGCAGGCAGATCACCTGATGTCAGGAGTTCAAGACCAGCCTGGCCAACATGGTGAAACCCTGTCTCTACTAAAAATACAAAATTAGCCAGGCGTGGTGGTGCATGCCTGTAATCCCAGCTACTAGGGAGGCTGAGGCAGGAGAACTGCCTGAACCCGGGAGGCAGAGGTTGCAGTGAGCCGAGATTGTGCCACTGCACAATCTCCCTCCTGCCATCTTGTGAAGAAGGTGCCTGCTTCCCCTTCCCCTTCTGCCATGATTGTAAGTTTCCGGAACTGCAAGTCAATTAAGCCTGTTTCCTTTATAAATTACCCAATCTCAGGTATTTCTTTACATCAGTGTGAAAACAAATGAATACAGTCCCCTTCCCTGAGGTGCCTTCTCCTTAGGCAACCAGCTGCCCCCATGCTCCTCTTCTGCCCCCCTGGTATTTCCTTTCCCCTCATGAGGCCCAAGTGATCCACATGGCCAGCCACAGCCCCATCCTACTGCAGGCCTGTGTGGCTGCTAGAGAGGCCAGGCTCCTTTCCGCACCCCGAGGCTGCCCGATATGCTTTCTGCATCCTGTAGAAAACTGACCCACTATTCTCATACTGGTGCAACTTCTTCCATTACCTCAAAACTGGACAACGTGAACTTGTTTCTTGTCTCTTCTTGCTAGGGCTGTCACTGGGACAGTCCGAGATGGGGGGGTGGGGGGAGACAATGGATGAATGGATGGATGAATGGACAGTAGTCCAGGGAGATGTCCCTGTGTGTCCTGAACTGGGACCTTCCTCCAATGAGAAGCCTTCCTGAGTGAGTTTATACAGTCATCCCTTGGTATCCATGGATTAGTTCTAGGGTCCCCGGGGATGCCAAAATCCATGGATCCTCAAGTCTCTGACATAACATGGCCTAGTATTTACATATCAGCTATGCACATCCTCCCGTAGACATTAGACCATCTCTGGATTATTCATGATGTGTAATACAATGCAGATGCTACATAAATGGTCGTGATACTGGATTCTTTAGGGAATAATGACAAGAACAAACTCTGCACATGTTCAATAGAAACATAACCGTCCAATTTATTTTCTGAATATTTTCCATCTGCTGTTGCTGAATCTACAGATGCAGAGCTCCTGGATACGAGAGCCAAGTGTGCTTTGAGAGTAGGGTGGGTGAGGTTGCTAATGAGTACAGGGGAGCAGGTGTTGATCAGGAGGACCCTGCACTGGGGCATCTGGACGTCCTGCCTCAGGACTTGAGACTCCAGTTGGATGGCACAGGCAGACTCAGCCCAGGTCAAAGCCGTCCCCTTGAAGTTTCTTTTTATCCCAAGCTCTTTCTGGCCCCTGGAATTTGGCATCCCCTAGGCCCTGTGTGGAAGGACAGATGAACCAGGTTTTAGATAACATGTCTAGAAGAGTGAGCCCCTAACTGTGTGCCCGGCACTTTCCCCACAGGATCCTCTAGCTAGAATATCCAAGGGTCATGGAGAGAAATACCCAGTTAAAATATCAGAAATGAAAAAGCGATACCATTAGAGACACTAAAAAGACCATTAGGTAATAGTACTAGCTTTTGTATTCTGAGATCCAACAGCAGCAGTCACTTCCCTCCACCGCTATGTGTATCCCAGGACCACCCTGGGCGGGGAGGGCTGAGGTTAGGGAGCAGCCATGGATGCTCTGATGCTGGCCCTGGGCCTCGGGGGTGACAGTGATGAGGAACTGGGTGCACACATGAGTGGGGCAGCCGGGCCTGGCCAGAGAAGCAGCACACACGTGCACAGATGTGTTTACCCACATACACATGTGCACGCACGTGCACAAACACATTGCAGGCAGGCATGTTGACGCCTCAGGCAGCGGAGGACCCTGACTCTGGGCGCTGCTGACCCGGGCAAGGCCCCACTGTGATTCGTGCCATGACCTCAGAATGTCACTGGTGCTTAGCACCTATCTGCTCTCTGGTCTGCCTCAGTGGTCTACAGCAGTTACACACAGGCAGTGGTATCTGTGAGCAGCTCTGTGGACTCAAAGGTTTTCTCCCTGAGAGGCACGACCCAGGCCAGCTGATTCATCAGAATCAGGTGAGCGTGACCTGCTCTCTTCCCTCCAGGCGGACTTGGGGGCAGTGGCTACGGTGCGGGCGGTGTTGGCCTCTGTGGGGCAGCTACCGAGGAGGGTCATCCCTGAGCACTCACCAGGCGCCCGTTCTACACTGCCCGTGTAGACGATTGGCTCTTTCGTCTCCATGGTGGCTTCGTAGAGTGGGTGCTGTTCCCAAATGTCCCCATTCGACAGATGAGACGTCTGGGGTCAGAGAGGCAGTAACCGGCCTGGGAATCCGGACATGACCCTGAGTTTTGCTCTCAGCCCTGCCGTGTGCTGTGCTGGAATTCAGGCCTGAACCCTGTGACCTCCCTGCCCTAGATCCCAAATCTGCCCAGGTTTCCCATCCCGATGGGGCAGAGCCTGGTCCTGGCAGAGCCACTGGTATAGAGCCACTGGTACAGATCCACTGACGGTCCTCAGAACACCTCTGTGCCCTAAGCTGGGTCCTGATGGTCGCTGTGGGCCCCACTGAACACACATGGTCCCTTGTCCGGGGGAGCCTGCTGCCCTTGGGCAGCTGTGGAAAATGAAGGAGCCCTGGAGGGCTGGCTGAGGGGAGACTATCTTCCCTTGTGTTCAAAGGGGTCCGGGCACTAGGGTTCTCCCCAGGTATTTCTTGCTCTGCGTGGTCCTCTTGAGGCCTCGCCCTCCTTTTGCCTCGAGTATTCCCAGGAGGGACGGTCCATCCAGCTGTTCTCCAGGACCAAGGACCCACTGTTCTTCCTCAGTGACCCAGGAAAATGAAGCCTCCTCCTGTTGGGACGGCTCAGAATGGTGGACTCCACAGTCCCTCCGCGAGAGACGTGGTTTCCATGCGTACAATAGATCTTTCTCATCCCCCAAACCCAACACCCTCCTGCTCAACAGGCGTTATTCCTAAAGTGGCTTCACTGTTCAGACTGAAGAGCCACGGTAGCCAAAGTGATGAGCGGAGTAGAACCGAGCAGTCGGGAGAGATCTTGTTCCCTGTAGGAAACTGGGCATCGCTGAGGCCCTGAGCATCCCAGGAGGCCGATTGCACAGAGACCTCTGGTCGCTGACCCCAGTCTGCCTCCACATCCCTGGAATAGCCCATCATGGGCCCTTCACCCTTGGCAGGTGGAAACCATTCAACCTGCTGGGGCCGGTGTGTCCCCATTTCATGGCATTGGGGGACAACAGGATTCTCTGTCTAGGTCCCACTGTACTCAAGTCCTTGGGAAGATGCCCACCCCTGCTTGGGACTTGAGACTCCAGAGACTGGAGCAGCTGTGGGCCACTGGGTCTGGCCCCTTTTTCCCTGGGGGCGGCGGTGGAATGGGGGTTACGCAGCCAGCCAGCATCTGGGAGCCCGGCGAGAGCGGTTCAGGTGTTCTCCGAAGCCGCCGCGTACGGTGTGACCTTTAGACAATTCTGTCTCACAGGATGGACGTGGTAGAGGTCGCGGGCAGTTGGTGGGCACAAGAGCGAGAGGACATCATTATGAAATACGAAAAGGTACAAGTCGGTCTGCTTCTTGGAGGGAGGCCTCTTCCAGTGTGCCCTGGTCAAAGGGTCCTGGGCTCCCTAGGAGCACAGGGCAGGGACGGGTGGCCAATGCCCCCAGGCCCTTGCACCCTTTACCTTGGACCCCTCACCAAGGCTCCCTCTGGGCTACAGGGACACCGAGCTGGGCTGCCAGAGGACAAGGGGCCTAAGCCTTTTCGAAGCTACAACAACAACGTCGATCATTTGGGGATTGTACAGTGAGTCCTCTGCACTCCCCTCACCCCTAAAGCACCTGTCTCAGCTCAGGGATGGGTTTGCTTTTAGAAAGGCCTTTCTGACGCAGGACATGTCTCACCAGGTCGGGTCAACCTCCTTTCCAGGGACAGAACTCCTCCCTGACTCCCCTGCAGGTCCAGCCCGAGGTTGTTAGGCCAGAGGTGTGGGGCCCATCTAGGGAGCCGGTGGGAATGGAGACTGGGCTAGGTCAGGCCCCTGGGCGCTCAGCAGTTCTGTCGGCAAGTGAGCACAAGAGGAGCGGGGCAGCCTGAGGGTCTGGCCCTGTCTACTTGGAGACAACCCCGGTGAGATGCAAGGGTTATGGCCACAGGGTGAGGAGACGCCTGGCCCAGCCTCAGGGCTGTTGTCCAGCAGGTCTCTGAGGGCCCACCTGCCCCTGTTCTCCCCCATTCCCCTAGAGCTACAGCCCTCACTGTCCCGTGAGGGGAAAAGGCATGGTGACAATGGGGGCTGTAGCCCTAGGAGAACGGGGGAGAAGATGGGCAGGGCCCCGTTCTGGGCATCTCACGGTGAGGCCAGGGAGGCAGCAGGGCTCGCGGCTAAAGACCTGGGTCTGGTGCTGGGAAGGGATCTGGGGCCGGGTAAGAGGAGCCCAGCCAGGAGCCCATCCCTCAGGGATCACAGGATGGAGAGACAGAGGATCCCTGGGGAGGTAGGGCGGGAGGGAGCTGACGAGCCGTGCCACTTCTGAAACGCAGGGTGTGTGGCTCGGGTGCAGGGAGAGGCAGGTGGATGCTGGGAGGTCAGAACCTGCAAGGGCCTTGGGGCTGTCAAGTGGGGTGGGCCCCTGGTGCAGCCAGAGTACACCGGGCAGGTCTCAGGGCAGGCTCCCTTGACCCTGGCGGGGGGATGTGGTCACTCCCTGAGGGACTCCTGTCAGGGCCCGGTCGCCCACCCTGGGCGGCCCCCATCCCATCTCAGGGCTAACCTTTCTCAGCTCCAGCAGAAAGCACCACCTCGAGTCCAGGACGGGCAGCCCCATTGGGCAGCCTGACCGCCCCCCACGCCAGGGGCCCCAGTAACCCCGGCCAGGCTGTCCCTACACTCCTTCTTCTCCCAGGTCCTGCCCCTCCTGGGAGTCAGCCCCACAGGAAGGCCCTTGTCCTCCCTTCCCTGTGCCTTCTCCTGGGCTGAGCCCTGAGCTGGAAAGGGACAGAGCCAGTCCTTTCTGGGGGTCGGCACCCAGGCTGGGGCCGCTCCAGGCCCCGTGCAGTTCCTCAGCTCTGCCTGGGTTGCCTTACAGTGAGACGGAGCTGCCTCCTCTGACTGCGCGGGAGGCGAAGGTAAGAGCCTGATGCGTGGAGGGGCTGGTCCAGGGACGTAGGGACTGGGCGGGTGGTCAGTGAGGCAGAGGAAGCAGCTGGCCTGAGCGGTGGCGGGTGAGGGCAACACGCTGTCACTGGGAGGGGCAGCAGTCCCTGCTGGACCTGACCCCAGGTTGCTGTTCACTTTGGCAGTTTGATAAAATTCCAAAAGGAGAACCACAGTCCTGGCTTGGGGGTGGCTGCGCGCTTGTGTCAGGACCCCACCTAGAGGCTGGGACCTAAGACTGGTGTGTCTGTGGCCTGAGGATGGTACATCCCGGGGTCCCAAAGCCAGCCCACTGGTGCTCATTTGCTCAAAGGCTCTCAGCCCTTGAGGTCTGCCCTTCCCTGGCTCCTTCCAGCTGGCTCCCACCAGGGCTCCAGAGCCCAAGACCCAGCATCCGCGGGCGGCTCTGGGAAGCCTGGCAGCTCCGCTAACTCCAACATGCCTCATTTGACAGCAAATTCGGCGGGAGATCAGCCGAAAGAGCAAGTGGGTGGATATGCTGGGAGACTGGGAGAAATACAAAAGCAGCAGAAAGGTAACGTGTGGAGGGAGGAAGCACTCTCTGCAGAGACAGGGGACAGGCACCCATGGCTGTGGCCTGGCACCATCAGCCTCTCAGAGGGTGGGCGGCACACTGTCCTCGCCCAGAGGACTGCAGGCCTGGTCGCCAGATTTCCTGCCTATTCGTGCAAGCGTCACCTTGCAGGGAGGGAATCTGAATCTAGGGCTGGGACTACCCGGAGCTCAAGGCTAGGGATGCCCTGGTGACCTGAAGGAAGGAAAAGGTTCAGATCAGAGTTTCGACTCTGAGTGTCCATCCACTCTTTCAGTCCTGGGAAGGGAGACCCTGTCCCAGCTTGATCTCACCTCTACTGAGGAATCATGGGGCCAAAACCGACAATTTCCAGAATCCCCGGGCTCTGGTCCTCACTGGGGTCACCCCGTGGCCTGTGACACCAGATCGTTTTCTGCCCACAGCTCATAGATCGAGCGTACAAGGGAATGCCCATGAACATCCGGGGCCCGATGTGGTCAGTCCTCCTGAACACTGAGGAAATGAAGTTGAAAAACCCCGGAAGATACCAGGTACGCTCAGCCAGAGCACAACAAACAGGACAGGCCGTGTCGGGGCCCAGGTCTCCAGCTGGAGGGAACGTCAAGACCACCCTGGGGAGCTGGGGGTGAAGGTCAGATGAACACCCTGGGCACAGATGGTGACACAGTCACCACAGACAAACTCAGCTCTGGTGACCCTCCCTGGCTTCAGTAACAAGCCAAAATGCAGCTTTCTGCAGAAGGAAACCTTCCTTCTGTCCTTCCTTCCCGAAGTGCTGACTGTGGGCTGACTGCCACTGGGGGCAGGGAGTCTTCCATCTGTTCTGAGACTGCTTCCTCCTCTTGGCCCTGCCCTACAGATCATGAAGGAGAAGGGCAAGAGGTCATCTGAGCACATCCAGCGCATCGACCGGGACGTAAGCGGGACATTAAGGAAGCATATATTCTTCAGGGATCGATACGGAACCAAGTAAGCCTACGGGAGCCACAGGGTCCCAGCAGAGATGGGGTGAATGAGAGGGATGGGGGCTTCCCCGGAGCAGAAGCCAGGGTCACCCAGGAGGGATGACACAGCTGCCAAGAGCTCTCCCGGCCCAGGGAGCAGCCGGCACCATGAACCGAGCACCTCCCTGGTTCCAAGCCCTGGGCCAGACTGGAACATGTGGGGCCAGAACCCAGGAGGATCCTGAGGAGATGGAAGGCAGCAAACAAAATCATGCACAATGGTGAAGGGTGCTCTCCCTGACCCATGGGGACCCATGGTAGGACCCACGGGAGGGTGGCAGGATAGAGGGCCCATGAGCCACCCCCAGGCAACAGTGACAGCACCAAATGCTGGGAGAATTAGGGGTCCTGGAAACTCTCATCCAGGTCCGCTGGGAACATGACATGGCACAGCCACGTTGGCAGCCCGTTGGGCAGTGGCTCACAAAGCTCGATGGACTTGAACCACACATCCCCAAAGTGTCACAGATATTGAACCCACTGATTTGCAAACTGACATCCACATGAAACCAGCATGCCAGGTTCACTGCTTGACTCCTCGTCACTCACACACGGAGCCTTCGGGGACGGCCTTCAACACGGGGATGGGGAGAGCAAGGCTGGTCCTCCCTTCAAACGGAAGACCCAGTGAGAAAAGGGAACGAGCCGGTGATGCCCGCACGAACGTGGGTGGATCCTAGATGCATTTTGCTGAGGGACAGAAGCCAGACCCAATAAGCTACCACAGTAGGATTCCCATTCCTAGGCCATTCTGGAAAAGGCCAAACCACAGGGACTGAGAAGCAGTCTGGGTGGCCAGGGGCTGACGGATCGGGGAGAGGCTGGGTGCATAGGGGCCACCCTGGAGACTTGGAGGATGAAGGAGTCGCCCCAGGAGGGGCTGGAGCGGTGGCCGGGAGACTCTGCACATCGGTTTGGAACCGTGGAGGAACTGTACACCCACAGACTGAACTGGCGTGTGTGCAAACTGAAAAAAAAAATCATTCAGAGTGAAAAGGATCAGGCAAGTCACTGTACAACTGGGCTATTTGCATGTCACAGATGTGGATTTTACTGAAACATTTCTTCAAGAGTCTCAGGCCCTGAAGAGCTCACTGCTTATCTGGTGAAACATCTGAACCTGAAATGGGATTTGCTGTTAGGCTTTGTAGACAAAGTGAAATTAACAACATCTGCACAAAACAAACCAAAGCCCCCTTTCTCTGTTTCCTAGGCAGCGGGAACTACTCCACATCCTCCTGGCATATGAGGAGTATAACCCGGTGAGTATTCCCGGCAGTGAGGTTCCCGGGCCATATTTCCATATTGACAGGAGTGGGTGTCTGGTGGGGGTGTCGTTGCTTCTTTTACAGTTAGTATTTGTGACCCACCAGGATATAGGAGGTAGGATGTCAGCTCACCGCTGGCATAAACCTCCAAGGAAGGGGGTGGTCTCAAGGGGTCAAGCTGAGACACAAAGGAGTCAGGGCCTGGACTCCTGGTGTCACCTGGGCCTGACCACCACTTCTCAGAACAAGAAATGACGCCCTCCTCCTGGGGCTGCCCCAAAGCCCAGGAGCTTGGCAGCATCGCACACAGGATGGTGCTATCAGCAGACATTTTGGACAAGGTGCTGAAGTGCCTGATGGACTTGGCTCTTGTCATGAAATGAATGTGCATCCTGAGGAAGCCTCTTTTTCAGAGGAAGCCTCTCCTTCAGAGGAAGCCTCTCCAGTCACCTCTGCCCTCTCCAATGACATGAGTCCTCCCAGGTGACCTCAGCCCTCCCAGGTGATGTCCTTCCATGGTGACTCTGGCTCTTGCAGGAGGTGGGCTACTGCAGGGACCTGAGCCACATCGCCGCCTTGTTCCTCCTCTATCTTCCTGAGGAGGATGCATTCTGGGCACTGGTGCAGCTGCTGGCCAGTGAGAGGCACTCCCTGCAGGGTAAGTGAACAGCTGCCCCGGGGACCTCCTGCAGCCAGACCTGGGGATGGCCACCCTGGCCAGGTGATCACAGCTTTCAGCCAAGGCACCCTCCTTGTGTCGCCAGCTTGTTGGGAGACTTTAGGATGTCTCTGCTGAGGGTCCCACAGGAGTCCACGGCTGACCCCCAAAGCCCAAATCAGACGCCTCTCATCCCCATCAGCAGAGGGCATCTCATCCTCCCCGTGGCCACCCTCTGTGTCCTGGAGCCACGCCCTCCGGCTCTGATTCTGTGCAGCTGACTCTCCCCTCCCTGAGAGTCCTCCTGCCCTCCAGCTGCCCGGGCTCCTGCTGCCATCGGTGCCCACGAATGGGCCGACCAAGCCCAGGTGGCAGCATCTCCCCATCCCCTGTTCCCTGGCCCGACCCCACTACCAGGAGATGACCGGGAAGCCCAGCGCCCACCCAGTTCCGGCCACCCTGTCGTGGCCTGAAAGTCAGGCTTGCCCTTTTTGCACCCTGGCCCAGGAGGCCTCCAGGGGAACCTCCAGCCAGGCTCCAGGGAATGTTCCCGCCCCACCTCCCCAGGGTAAAGGCCGCATGTTGGGGTCACCAGATGGGAGGGTGGGAGGCCTTGGGGTTTGGGGGCCTCTCCAGCTGCCCAGCTCTTGCAGCTGATGGCTCCACATCTTGGGGGAAGGCTCTGATTTCATGATGGGCTGGGGGCTTCTCAGGATTTCACAGCCCAAATGGCGGGACCGTCCAGGGGCTCCAAGACCAACAGGAGCATGTGGTAGCCACGTCACAACCCAAGACCATGGGGCATCAGGTGAGTTTATGGTCCCCTCAGCTCTTCCCAGAGGCCCTGCCTCCCGTGGGGCTGTAGGAGCAGGGGGGCTGGAGCCCCTCGTGGGGCTGGTGACTGGCTGAGTCCCAGCCAGGGCCTGACCTGGGACGTCGGGTTCTCCATGGGCTGGGAGTTGGTTTCCTTTCCTGCCCTGGAGGAGACAGAGGCACAGGGATGGGGGCCCAGCTCCCGCAGAGCAGGGCAAAGGGCAGTGTGTCCACCGGGAGTGTGGGAAGGTGACAGTGTTGTGGGGAGCTCTGGACACCGCCCAGTGTTCTGCACTAGGGGAAGGGTCTTCAGAGGCCCTGGAAGAGGGAGGTTTTTAGGGCAGCCCAGTGGCCTGAGCACCTCTGTTGCTTCCATCAGGACAAGAAAGATCTATGTGGGCAGTGTTCCCCGTTAGGCTGCCTCATCCGGATATTGATTGACGGGGTAAGGAGGCATAGGGAGACCCTGGCTCAGGGACCTTCCTTGCCCTGCAGTGCCCTGCTTCCCCAGCCCGGGGGTCTGGCTCACTCCCAGCCCACAGGAGGCTCAGGCGGGTCCCCAAAGGACACACAAGCAAAACCCTCTGCCCAAGGGGGGTCATCCCAGGGCCATGGCTGGGGCTCAGGCCCAGCCTCATGGGCAGACTGGGCCAGGACCCGACTTGAGAGGGCTCAGGGAAGCCTCAAGCCCTGGGCAAGCCCCTCTCTCCAGGAGCCACATCCCCACTCAAATGAGTGCCCCCCATGAGGAGCTTCAAGACCTTGTCTGACCCAGCGTCCTGGAGGGCTCAGGCGACCCTCATGGGGAAGGTCACTGACTCTGGAGACTGAAGCCCCAGTGTGCGCAGCTCGAGCCACCAGCCCCAGCCTGGAAGGACCAGGTTCTTTCACACCTGCTGTCCCCACAGATCTCTCTCGGGCTCACCCTGCGCCTGTGGGACGTGTATCTGGTAGAAGGCGAACAGGCGTTGATGCCGATAACAAGAATCGCCTTTAAGGTTCAGCAGAGTAAGTCTACGTGTGCCCAGCGGGGCCTGGGGAGCCCTGGGGTCAGACCCCGACTGGCCCGAGGGCAGCTTCCTCACACTGTCCTCATGATCCTCTGTTCTGGCCCAGAGGGAGGTCTGGCCAGGTGGGCTGGGCAGGACACTGTGACACCGAGCCCATCCCCCACATGACCCAGATGAAAGTCGAGAGTGTGGTGAGCACTTCCCTGTCCGGATCGCCCCCCAGCCACAGTCTCCTGTGTGTATCTGGACACCTGGGGTGGCCACAAAAGGATCCGGCACCGCCCAGTAGGAGACTGAAGTGGCCACGGGGTATGAGCTGTGACCATTCCCAGGTAACTCCCCTGGCCTGATATCCACCCTGTCCCTAGAGCGCCTCACGAAGACGTCCAGGTGTGGCCCGTGGGCACGTTTTTGCAACCGGTTCGTTGATACCTGGGCCAGGGATGAGGACACTGTGCTCAAGCATCTTAGGGCCTCTATGAAGAAACTAACAAGAAAGCAGGGGGACCTGCCACCCCCAGGTGGGCTCCAGTGCCATGTCCCCTCCCATGTCACCCTCTGGGGTAGTCAGTAGTAGGGGAGTGCCCGGGACCCGCAACCCTACTACCTGGGCCTTCCTCTTCACCTTTTCTTCCTCCTCTTCCTCCTGGACTCTAAGAAAGTACAGGAGGCCCACCGGTCCTCAGGGCAGGCGCTCAGTGCGTGTATACTGGACATGCTGTGCACGCAGGAGGGGGATGTGGGCAAGACCCTCCAACAAGCCCCCTCCCACTTTCCACGGTGTCTCCCTCTCCCCCTCGCAGGGCCCTCCAAGTTACTAGACGAGCCCAGACCCATTTGTGGGAGACCCCGCCCCTCCCTGCAAGCACCCACAGCCTCAGAGAGCAGCAGAGGCCCCTCACTCCTGCACGCTCCTCCAAGGTTGCCAGGACAAGAAGCCTGGAGCCAGGGAGACAAGGGAATCCGTGTCCCTGACCCACAGAGCATTCAGGGAGAGGGCCCAGAGCCAGAGCCAAGAGTTCAGCCAGAAGTGGGAACGGTCAGTCCTGGCATGGACTGGGCAGCCCAGGAGGGCAGAGGGTGACCCACGTCCGGGCCCAATCACCCACTGCGGAGACGGGTCCCCACGTGAGGTGACAAGGGGCTGGGTGACATCCAAGGCCCCTCCCACCTGAGTTCTGACTGGGGGCCGTATCCCAGGCCCAACAGCCCTGGGACGAAGGTGTGTGGCAGGAAGCCCCCAGCCAGTCTGAACCCTGGGGGCAGTCCCAGGAGCCACCCGCCATGCCACGACAGCTTCCCCACGCCAGGCAGCACGCACCCCTCCCTCTGGGATCAGCAGACTACAGGCGTGTCCTCGGTGTCAGGCCACGGGGGCCACACAGAGACCCCGAGGACTCCAGAGACGCAGGCAGGTGGGGCCCAGCCCGGAAAGGCCTGCGTGGGCTCACTGGAGATGCTGACCGCGTCTGTTTTCCTTTCAGCCAAACCCGAGCAAGGGTCGTCGGCATCCAGGCCTGTGCCGGCTTCACGTGGCGGGAAGACCCTCTGCAAGGGGGACAGGCAGGCCCCTCCAGGCCCACCAGCCCGGTTCCCGCGGCCCATTTGGTCAGCTTCCCCGCCACGGGCACCTCGTTCTTCCACACCCTGTCCTGGTGGGGCTGTCCGGGAAGACACCTACCCTGTGGGCACTCAGGGTGTGCCCAGCCCGGCCCTGGCTCAGGGAGGACCTCAGGGTTCCTGGAGATTCCTGCAGTGGAACTCCATGCCCCGCCTCCCAACGGACCTGGACGTAGAGGGCCCTTGGTTCCGCCATTATGATTTCAGACAGAGCTGCTGGGTCCGTGCCATATCCCAGGAGGACCAGCTGGCCCCCTGCTGGCAGGCTGAACACCCTGCGGAGCGGGTGAGATCGGCTTTCGCTGCACCCAGCACTGATTCCGACCAGGGCACCCCCTTCAGAGCTAGGGACGAACAGCAGTGTGCTCCCACCTCAGGGCCTTGCCTCTGCGGCCTCCACTTGGAAAGTTCTCAGTTCCCTCCAGGCTTCTAGAAGCATCTGGGCCAGGGCTCATGGCTGGATAATTTCCCTAGGCTTAACAACCCAAGCAAGCTTCGCATCCTCGTTTTATTTTTGGTTAAACTTATGAAAATGTATTAAGAAAGAGTGCAGCTCGAGAGAGATTCAGAGATGGAACACACCAGACCCCAGATCACAAAGCCAACCATGCCCGGCCCCTCCCAGCACCCCCAGCCCCACGACCATCGTTCTGAATTCTGACGACACCGTGAGCCTGCCTTTGTACTTCAAACTCATGGAAGGATAACCACCTTCATGTTTTGAAATAAATGTTTCCTGTTGAAATGATTTTAGATTTTAGACAGAAATATTGAAAAGGCACTATAGTATCCTCCTATACCTTCCATCCAGCTGCCCCTAATAATGATGTTTTGCAGTCCCATGGCACATAAGAAATTTAGGCCGGGTGTGGTGGCTCACACCTGTAATCCCAGCAATTTGAGAGGTCGAGGCGGGAGGTTCAGGTTCACTTGAGTCTAGAAGTCTGAGACCAGCCTGGGAAACCTAGGTGGACCCGGTCTCTAGAGAAAAGTCAAAGAAATTAGCCAGGCATGGTGGCGTGTGCCTATAGTCCCACCTAGTCAGGAGGCTGAGGCAGGAGGATTGCTGGAGCCCACGAGTTCCAGGAAGCAGTGAGCCATGATTGCACCACTGCACTCCAGCCTGGGTGACAGAGTGAGACTTTATCTCTTAAAAAAATTTAAGAAATTTAATGTGGGTACAGTTCTATTAACTAAATAATAATGTGAACTATTATCTAAGGTTATGAAGGCTAGAATTATCCCATTTTTGCCTAACTTCTCGTACCTGTCCCAAGATCCCACCTTGGACTCACCCTCTGCCTTCAGCTCACGTCTCTTCAGCTTCCTCCACATGGTCCAGCAAACACACACCTGGGCTGAATGGTAGAGCTGATCGCTCATACACAAAGGTAGACCGGTGGGCAGGGATTTTCAGACTTACACAGTCAATGAGTTTTCCTTGGTGTTCTGGAGAGCACCGTTTGAGAAACACTTTGACAGTGAATCTAGGCCTCAAGATCCATCAGCTGCTCTAGCTTGAATTTTGCTCAAGCTCAGTGAACACCTGCTCTGCCGGGTGCACGTGAAAGGGGCAAGGATGAGAAAGCTGTAGATAAAGAAGACAGGACGCAGGGGGTCTGTCTAAGCTCTATCCCCTGCCTTCAGCACTGAGGGATGAAATCCAACTCTTAGGGAACGGTGGCCACGTGCTGGGCCAGCCCCAGGCTCTCAGGATCTGACAGTGGGTGACGCAGAGCCAGGCCTTGCCCCTGGGGAGCTCTCCAGCATACACCTCCCTCTCCCCTCCCAGCGTGCCGCAAAGCAGGCGTCAACGCCATTGTTAATGCACGGAGGAGGAACCTGACTGTTAGACCTGGGTTTTCCAGGGTTGCACGGCTTCTGGGAGACGGATGTGACCCTGAGGACAGGGCACAGGCCAGTGTAATGCCAGGATGGAATGAGCTGTGATCTGTGCTGTATAGAGGCCTAGGCCAAGGTGGGACTGACGGATGACCAGGTCAGCCGGGTCACTGAAAACACTCTTGGGTCCTCACCTGCCGGTTCCCAGGAGTCCGGAACTGCCAGGAGAGTGGTGGCAGGTCCCCCATCCTCAGCTGGGTGGGCCTGGATAGAACAGCAAGGCGAGGGCACATTTCCCTGGCCATTCCCTCCAGGCACAGCCGTGACCTGTTCATTCCAAATTTGTGGAAGTATTTCCACACACACAGAACTGCAAATAGCAGTGGACGTGGTGAGAGGCGTTTGCACATGGGATAGGCAGGATTTTGGAGGCAGAGCCTCCAGGGCTTGCCGATGGGTTAGCTGCAGGGCTTGAGAGGGAACGGAGAATCCAGGATGATGTGTTCAAATCGGTCCATTCACCTCTTCCGTTCCACGCCTGTGCTGGGCACTGGGAGAGACAGATGCACACAGGAGCCCCGGCCGAGGGGAGGTGTGGGGGGAAGCCCAGAGTGTCTGGGCAGGGTAGGAAACCCAGAGCGTCTACTGGGAGCTGAAGGCTTAGGTCCACCTGGGTGCCGTCCAGGTTCTCTGCATGTAGAAGTATAGGCTGAGCTTCCCGGAGGAGGAGCAGCTGCTGTTGCTGGTGACCAGCACATTCAGGAACGGAGACTACTCTGTCAACAGACAGGGGGATGACCTGAGGTCTGGATGGTCTAGGGGGTGGTAGGGCCCAGGAGGACCCAGGAAAGGGTCTCGGGGATGCAGAACATCCTATGGAGGGCGTTTGGGAGTCAGTGCTCAGGTCACTCCGGGTCACGCAGGTCATTTGCCGGCCCCTGTCATAATTATTGCCATATGAGAGTGCCACCTTTCCTGTGACATAATTTAGACATTCCTGTGAATGGCCTACCTGTTTATATTTACAACTTCATGTTTAAAGGAAATTTGTATCACTCTCATAAATGGAAAGCCAGCAAAACATAAATTCAATGAAAACAAAATGAAGTCAATGAACTTTAGCTAGATACTATTCCCTGACCAAGGCCTGCTGGAGGCCGTACAACCGGGGTTTGAATTGAGATCTGCCAAGCTTCTGAGTTTATTCTGTTTCCCCCACACCAAGGATCCTCAATACTGCATTACTGACATCAGGGGCCAGACAATTCTTTGCGATGGGGGCTGTCCTGCACCTGGCAGGATGTTTAGCAGCTTCTCTGGCCTCCACCCACTGGAAGCCAGGGGAATGCAGAAGAGGCTTGCTTATTCTCCCATTTAATGCTCAGGACAATATCTGACATCAATGTTACGTCTTTTATTTTATAAATGAAGACAATGAGACTCAGAAAGGTTTAAGTGAGTCACCTAAGAACACACAGACAGCAAGAGGTAGAACCCGAAACTGAACACAGGTGTCCACGAGACAACAAAAAAGTTCAGGTTCCAGCTTCCTTTGAGTCTCTCATTTCAACAATGGCCATCGTCTGCATACGAGCTGAAGTACAGGAAAGCTGGGCTGAACTCTCTTCCCATCAGGCCTAGGAGCCCCAGACCAGAACCCCAGCCCAAGTTCTCCCAGTCAGGCCCGCTGGCGTGAGCTGGCATCTACACTAGCATGGTTTCCCAAAGCTGCAGGGATGCCAGTCTCGCCGCTGATGAAGGAAATGAAGGGCATTTGCTTCTCCTGCAGGCTCTCGGGATTTAACACAGATTCCTTTTCTTGCTCTCTTCTCCCATAGCACAAAACTGGGTGGTCCATCCCCCTCCCAGTGTCCCAAGGCTTTGTTGCGTGTTCTCTTTAATTTCTCCCACTCTCGCAGTGCACCCTACCCTCGTCTCCCTGGCAACCTTTCTGCTCTATCCTCTCGCCACCTGGATCACAAGAACACTTGTGAGACCCCTTAACAAGCTACATCCCAAATTATCATTCCCCTTTGTCCTCAGCCAGTGCCCGGGTCCAACTCGCTCTCCTGGGGTGACTTTCTTTCCTGCCCAATATGGTTTCATCATCTGTAAATTGGGGATAATTGAAGTCTTGATCCTGATATTGGGCTCTGAAAGCAGAAGTAGCAAGCTCAGCCAAGTCACTTCAACAAGAGGAGACGTTCCTTGTGAACCAAAAGGGCACTGGTCACAAGGGCCGCTCCTTCTCTCAGGCCTCTCCAGCACGCCCTTGGCTCAGCCAAAGAAGAGACTCAGGCTGTGCTTCTGTGCTGTGGGGATAACGTAGGTACCTGGTCCTTGACCCTGGGACTTTAACAGTTCCCTCTTGTGGCTCAGTTCTACAGCTTCAATGACACAAAGTGGCTTTTGCTCAAAATAGCCTTTGATAGGTTAAGGTACTCCTCTGCCACTCTAAGTCTGTGTGGAACAGACAGGGTTTTGCTTCACAGAGAAGATGCATAAAATTTGGTCTTAAAAATGAGTTCACCATGCACACATACACACGAAAAAAGTAAATACTGCATTACTGTATATATGAGGTTCCAAAATAGGCAAAACTAATTTATGGTGACAGAATAGTGGTGACCTCTGAGGGTCAGTGTTGACTGGGAGAGAACAGAAGAGAGCCTACTGGGGTGCTGGAAATGTTCTGTATCTTAATTTTGCAGGATAATTCCTTGGATGCATCCCTAAAAATTCAGTCAAGCTATATAGTAAGATTTGTGCAGTTTATGTAAGTAATAGGAGAGATAAGAGGGGGAACCTGTGGAGAAGCAGAACATTTCAAGATCTAGAAAGCAACAGTTGCAAGGGTACACAGTGTTCAGACAGGGACCAAATCATAGAAACTACTAGGGCTTGCCATGCTGAAATGACTGACTTCAAACCATAGGGCATACGTACCTTCCACTGAAGAAGAGCACCTGAGTAAAATGACTAGAGGTGCATTTCAAAGATTATTCTATGGGAAATATAAAGAACGAATTGGAGGAGTAGGAGG
Organism: Homo sapiens; assembly: GCF_000001405.40. Classification (NCBI taxonomy): domain Eukaryota; kingdom Metazoa; phylum Chordata; class Mammalia; order Primates; family Hominidae; genus Homo; species Homo sapiens. The sequence continues at coordinate 38,019,046 of NC_000017.11, forward strand.
CAAATAGTCCAAGGGACAGATACAGATCTTTCTTTTTCTTTTTTTTTTTTTTTTTTTGAGATAGGGTCTCCCTCTGTCACCCTAGCTGGAGTGCATTTCTGCGATCATGGCTCACTGCAGCCTCTACTTCCTGCGCTCATGCAATCCTTCCATCTCAGCCTCCCAAGTATCTGGGACTCCAGATGTGCGGACCACACCTGGCTAATTTTTTTATTTTGTTGTAGTAATGGGAATCTCACTGTTGTTTCCCAGGCTGGTCTTGAACTCCTGAACTCAGGCAATCTTCTGGCCTTAACCTCTCAAAGTGCTGGGATTACAGGTATGGGCTACAGTGCCTGGCCTTATTAAAATGTTGATGTAATAAATGGGACTACCTAGTGCTGTGCTTTCTCCTTAAAGGAGAGAGCTGACAGAATAAAACTAGCAGTAATAATCTGGTAAATTGTGCTTTCTACAGAGTAAATTTTGTTTGTCTCATGACATTTATGCAAATATTCAAATGTTTCAGGAATATAAACATTTAAAATTTGGGTTATAAATAATGCCTCCTGGCTCTGAAATTATCTGAATTCATGAAGCAATCAGTAGTAAATATGAAGGAAAAATGAAACACAGCCTTATATGCAAGGACAAACACAAATTTCTAATTCTTGTTATAATTTGGGTGCCCACCTGGTTTTGAAGGTGAGCCTTGGTCTGACTGGTTCTGAGACATTTCTCTCAAATAGCAAATGAGTAGTGGGTATGAATAGGGTACATTGGAAAGTCATGTCAAAATTCCATGTAATTTTTGGAGCGTTTTTTCTCCCATATGATTTATATAATTTGACATGTGTATTCCTATGTAAAATATTTAACCACTTCTCTACAATAAGCATTAAGTGGGCTAATTAGTATGCTCTTCTTATTCCATATTTCTGTGATTTCTCTTATCTGGAACGACTTTTTTATGCCACCCAGGCTGGAGTGCAGTGGCACATTTACTGCTCACTGCAGCCTCAACTCCCCAGGGTCAAGCCATCCTCCTATTTCAGCTTCCCTAGCAGCTAGGACTACAGGTGTGCACCACTATGCCCTGCTAATTTTTGTGTTTTTTTGTAGAGACGGGGTTTTGCTATGTTGCCCCGGCTGGTCTTGAACTCCTGAGCTCAAGAGATCCACCCACCGCAACCTCCCAAAGTGTTGGGATTACAGGCGTGAGCCACTGCACTCAGCTTCTTTTCTAATTTGTTTTTATTCTGAGATCAGATGAGATCGGCATGTTCAGGTTGGTATGGCCATAGACTGCTTTTATCTATTCTAATAATTTTGTATTGTACAATGTGTTGGAAAGGCAAGATGAAGTTAGATTATGAAGGGTTCATTTCCATTCAATTCTGTCTATCCTTCTGGACTTTGCCTAAATCTTACCTTCTTTGGAGCTTTCCTGAACTAACTTATCTCCTTTGAATTCTTACATTTGGATCCTTTGTATTTGAGTATTTTTACATATATATGTACATAAATAACACGTTTTATGTGTAGTAATTTACTCTCCCAACTAGATTGAAAGCTGCTTGAAGAGTAACCTTTTTTTAAAGTCACATTGGACCGTTTTAAGTACAAATTTAGCATATGCTTGATGATTGAGAGAAGAACCATATGGTTACAGTCATTGGTGTGTCTATGATTGTGATATGTTGCTATTTAAAAATCAATAGTTATTTCTTATTTAGTTTTCTGTTAAGCCATAACCTTTTGCTCTCATTTATACGTCTTCTGAACGTTAAGTAACATGTGGCTCATATTTCAAACTCCCAATTTGGAAGTTTATAGCAATGTAACTGAAGTTTATAATTACAGGTCTCAGAAAACTGCACTACACAGAAGTTCTCTATGTGTTAGAAGAATTTATTAGAAGATAGACAATTGTAGGTTACACTGTAATTTAGAAGACTTTTGCGCATCTCATGTATTTGTGTCAGTTTGAGAATTTGAAAATGCCCCCAAAATGTCTGTTCTTCACTAGTGCCTCTTGTGATCCTGGCAGAGATAAGCTAAACTTTTGAAAGGGTAGACTTTTTCTGTTTATCTTAGTATCCTGAGTCCCTAAATCTGGAATGTAGTAGATGTTTGTGCATTTCCCTATGTCAGTGAAGTCAAAATACTAGAGGTGGATTTTTCAGCTTTTCAAAGTTTTCACATTTACTAAGTCCTTCACAGTTATCGCCTACTAGTTAAAAAACTATTTGCCTCAATTTAGGCCAGTGCTACTTTGACATTTGCATTGCTGTAAAACCCTTACTAAAAGGTATATTTTTCTGGTATATAAATACATGTATGCAGCTTTTCTCATATCTTTGAGAAAGCAAAAAATTGTACTAAATTATGATTTCCACTGTAATAGGATTATGGCTTAGTCATGATCAGTATTATGTTTTCAGCTATGTCTTACTAGGATTATTGTAAAAGACTTTCAAAATAGTTCATGTGAATCTTTGTCTGATCTTCACAAACTCGGGTATGTACATAGCTCTCCCCCACCTTCTCCTGGCTTTGGCAATTTATTTTATTTTTATGGTGGTTATATATATATATATATAAAACATACCATTTACCATTTGAACTATTTTAAAAAGTGTACAATTAGTGGCATGAAGTACATTCACAATATTGTATAACCATCACCACTGTCCATTTCCAGAACTTGTTCATCATCCCAAACAGAAATTCTCTATCCCTTTTCTTCCCCAGCCCCTGGTAACCTCTATTCTACTTTCTCTTTTTATGAATTTGCCTATTCTAGACACTTCATGGAAATAGAATCAAACAATATTTGACCTTTCTTATTTCACTTAGGATAATGTTTTCAAGGTTTATCCATGTTGTAGTACATAGCAGAATTTAATTTCTTTTTTTGACTGAATAATTTGTATATACTACATCTTGTTTATACATCCATCTGTTGATGGGACATATTTGGGTTGTTTCCACCTTTTGGCTATTGTGAATAATGTTGCTGTGAACACTGGTGTGCAAATATCTATCTGAGTCCTGCTTTCACTTCTTTTGGATATAAACCTAGGAATGGAATTGCTGGGTCATATGGTAATTCTGTATTTAACCTTTTAAGGAACAGCTAACCTGGTTTCCACGGCTTCTGTACCATTTTATATTTCTACCAGCAATGCACAAGTGCTCCTTCCATTTTCTCCATATCTACCCAATACTTGTTATTTTCTGTTTTCTTTCAATTAATAACCATCCTAATGGGTGTGACATAGTATTGTCATTTTGATTTTTAGCTTCCTAATGGCTAGTGCTAATGAGCATTTTTTTATGTGCTATTGGTCATTTGTATGTCTTCTTTGGAGAAATGTCTGTTCAATCCTTTGCCCATTTTTGAATTGAGATGTGCGCTTTTTTGTTGTTGAGTTGTAGTTCTGTAGTTCTTTATACATTCTGGATATTATTCTCACATCAGATATATGATTTACAAATATTTTCTCCCAAATACTTCTGTGGGTTACAGATATATTAATATCTGTAGATTGTCTTTCATGGTCTTGATAGGATCTTTTAATGCCCAAAAGTTTCTAATTTTGATGAAATAATGTATGTAGTTTTGAACTTAAACAATGTTACAGATTGCGCAAAGGATATAACCATGAAATTCTGATGGAGTGACCCCACAGCTGCAGAAAACCAGAAAGAACCCTACTCTAAAACCCAAAAGACTTCCCTAGATAGAGTCCTTCGAAAATAATTTTCTAAATTATTCACACAGCCTGTGGATAAATTAAGAGGAAATGATATCTGTAACAGTGCTGCTTGTGATGAAAACACAGAAGAGTCAATTATATTATCAAATCTTAGCTGGAATGGAAAATCAGGAGGATATTTATTAGCAAACATTAATAAAAGGTTGGCCTTTATTATTGTAAGCATGTACACAGACGACAGCATGTAGTCTCTACCATAAGAATGAGAAATGCCTCCTATCTTTATGCATTCTGAAATTTAACCTTTCTTAACCCAATTGCTGTAAGGGCCTAGGGTTTATTTGTTATGTGTGTTATTGGAGTAGAGACTGTTTGAAGGTTAAGGGGGTATTTAGTGATGCAAGTGACATTTATATGTTTTAAAATCTTCTGCTTTTCTAGGCACTTTTTAAAATGAAATGCTATATTTTTAAACTTTTAAAAATTATTTTTATTATTTTTTGCAGAGATGAGGTCTTGCTGTGTTGCCCAAGCTGTTCTCAAACTCTTGGCCTCAAGAGATCCTCCTGCCTTGGCCTCCCAAAGTGCTGGGATTACAGGCGTGAACCACGTGCCTGGCCCAAACTTTTTAAAGACTTTATTTCTGGAGGCAGGTTCTCAAAAGATATCCTATCTTAATGGGCATATATAGAGAGAGAGTAGTAGGTGAGTTTAAGGGGGATGTAAATATTGGCCGAAAGAGGTTTCTTTTAGGTATATAACCCCTCAAATGTAGCCCTTTGGATATCAAAAGTTTATTATGGCAATGTTCTTTGTGCATTTTTATTCGATGTTGTCAGCCATTCATCTAATAACTCTTCAGAAGATTTTGTCTCTGGGCAGTGGCATTTTATAACTTCCTATATGGAAGAAAACTTTTATCCAACTGATAACTGATATGCCAATGTGTTAGTATGAAAAAATTTTCCCAACATTCTTACCAGGTGTGGTGGCTCAACCTGTAATCCCAGCACTTTGGGAGGTGGAGTCGGGCGGATCACTTGAAGTCAGGAGTTCGAGACCAGCCTGGCCAACATGGTGAAACCCTGTCTACTAAAAATACAAAAATTAGCTGGGCGTGATGGCAGGCACCTGTAATCCCAGCTACCTGGGAGGCTAAGGCAGGAGAATTGCTTGAATCTGGGAGGTGGAGGTTGCAATGAGCCAAGATTTCCTCACTGCACTCTAGCCTGAGCGACAGAGTGAGACTCTGTCTCAAAAAAAAAAGAAAAGGAAAAAAAAAGAAAATTTCCCAAAATTCAAATGTCGTTTCACTGCGTGGCTTTGTTTGATTATTAATACTTTAATACTGTGTTTAAAATTAATATTTATTATTTTTAAAAATCAGCTTCCTTAGGTCGAAGAAACATTAATGTTTAATATTAAGCTATTATTGTAGCTTAGTGTAGTTATAATAAGATACTGGAACTCATGGAAGGGGTTAGATTTTCTTCATCTTAGAAACCGTTACTTTTCATAAAATATATATTGTGCAATTATATATAAAATTATATAATAATTAGATATACAAATAAAAAATCGGATTATAGTTGGGCTCAGTGGCTCGCATTTGTAATCTCAGCTCCTTGGGAAGCTTAGACTGGAGGATTTCTTGAGTCCAGAAATTTGAGGCTGCAGTGAGCCATGATTGTGCCACTGCATTCCAGCCTGGGCGACAGGAATGAGACCCCGTCTCTAAAAATAAAAACTAAAAAAAAATAGATTATGATTGGCAAAAGATTGAGTGACAGTGAAAATGCAATGAATATTTTGACTACTATTTTTTGATTACATACATAGGAAGATACGAATTTTTCTGTCTTTCCAAATTAGTTTAGAAATTAAAGATTTGGCCGGGCATAGTGGCTCACCCCTGTAATCTGAGCACTTTGGGAGGCTGAGATAGGCAGATCACCTGAGGTCAAGAGTTTGAGACCACCCTGGCCAACATGGTGAAACCTCGTCTCTACTAAAAATACAATAAAAATTAGCTGGGCATGGTGGCATGCACCTGTAGTCCCAGCTACTTGGGGAGACTGAGGCAGGAGAATCACTTGAACTCAGGAGGCGGAGGTTGCAGTGAGCCAAGATCGTGCCACTGCACTCCAGCCTGGGCGACAGAGCGAGACTCTGTCTCAAAAACAAACAAACAACAACAAAACACCAGAAAAAGGAAAAATAGTGTTAAGAGATAACTTAGTATGTACTGTTTGTACACTTCATGGGTGTGCATATATGACGTGTTTGGTTTTATAGTGAAAATTCTAACATTCTGCTGTATGGTTTATGGTGCCTTGTAGACGTTCCTTTAAGCACTCAATGATAAAGATTAAAATTACTAAGATAGAGAGTAAATCTATGTTATATGTAGTCATTTCTCAGTTTGCATAGTAGTATGGGACTGTAAAAATGACCATGCAAGCTAAGACTATTCAAAGGGATCATAGTAATCAGTGGAAAAAATTGTGATTGTTCTGTTGGACCTTTAAAAATTTTTGTCAAAACATTAAAAACTCTCTCACAGTTGGTTATAGATATACAGGGTAAGAAGAAGCGTGGTATCCACAGAGAAGGAGGGAGCTTCATAAACAAAGACAAACAGGAATATCAACTACCAGCCACCAACAGCACTCTTGTAAAACTTATTTAAATATTACAAAAAACAATATACAAGATTACTAAGAGATTGGAAGATAAAGGGAGAAAATTTCACTAATGATCTCATCACCAAACACAGTTAATTATTTGCTGTTACTCTTTTATCAAATTAGTGTTTAGTATTGTTTTAATCATAATGTACATACAATTTTGTATCTTGCTTTTTCTGAGATGTCTGTTTCTGTCCATGTTATACATACCTATACAGTCCTGTGCTGCATGATGATGTTTTGGTTAACGATGGACTGCATACACAACTGTGATCCCATAAGATAATAGTAGAGCTGAAAAATTCCTATTGCCTAGTGACATTGTAGCCATTTACTTGTTTTTGCTTTCTGCTTTTTTTATGTAGTCATTTACTATACTAAACCTTTAATCATTATTTTAGAGTATACTCCTATTTATTTAGAAAGGTCCCCCAAGGGAGGACAGAAAACACTCATAATTTAATGTTATTGTCCTTTTCACACATATGTAGCTATATCTATTATATTTTATTTTACTTTATTTTATTTTAATTTTTGAGACAGAGTTTCACTCTGTCACCCAGGCTGGAGTGCAATGGTGCAGTCTCAGCTCACTGTGACCTCCACCTCCCAGGTTCAAGCAATTCTTCTGCCTCAGCCTCCCGAGTAGCTGGGATTACAGATGTGCACCACCATGCCTAGCTAATTTTTGTATTTTTAGTACAGACGAGGTTTCACCATGTTGGCCAGGCTGGTCTTGAACTCCTGACCTCAGGTGATCCACCTGCCCCAGCCTCCCAAAGTGCCGGGATTACAGCACTTTTACAGCATGAGCTGCCATGCCCAGCCTATTTTATTTTATTTTGTTTTATTTTATTAGAGACAGTCTTGCTCTGTCCCCAAGCCTGGAGTGCAGTGGCGTGATCGTAGCTCACTTGGCTAATTTTTAAACTTTTTGTAGATATGGGGTCTGGGTATGTTGCCCAGCCTGATCTTGAACTCCTAGGCTTAAGTGATCCTCCTGCCCTGACCTCCCAAAGTGCTGGGATTACAGGCGTGAGCCATCCTGCCCAGCCTGTATCTATTATATAAGCTGGTTTTTTTGATTACTTTAATGTAAATGAGATTATACCATACTCTCTTCTCTGTCACTTCCTATTTTCATGTAATTTATGTTAGACATCTGTCAATGTCAGTATAAATAGGTCTAGATCATTTTTTATAGTTGTATACCTTTCGTTACATGGATGTTTCACAATTTACTTAGCTAACTACCTATTGTTGGACATTTGGTTATTTCCAAATTTTTGCTGTTTTATATAATGCTGCGCTTATATAAAATATAGTTCTATATAATTATGTTTAATTATGTACTACCGCTGTATCTGACAACTGACTTGTATCAAGAACATACAAAGAACTGTTACAAGTTGCCAGGCAGAGTGGCTCATGTCTGCAATCCCAGGGCTTTGGGAGGCCAAGGTGGGCGGATCTCTTGAGCCCAGGAGTTGGAGACCAGACCCCGTCTCGACAAAAATACAAAAATTAGCCAGGCATAGGGGCACACATCTGTAGTTCCAGCTACTTAGAGGCTGAGGTGGGAAGACTGCTTGAGCCCAGGAAGTTGAGGCTGCAGTGAGCCAAGATGACACCACGGCACTCCAGCCAGCGCGTCAAAGGCCCTGTCTCAAAAAAAAGGAAGAAGCAGGGGCGGCAAATAAGTAGAGTATAAGCCACCTCATCCAACTTTATTGGAACCAGTAGTTGACTGGTTAATCAGTCCAAGCAAGGAAGCATAAAAACTGATGCATGTGCCGGGCATGGTGGCTCACGCCCGCAATCCCCGCACTTTGTGAGACCGAGGCGGGCCGATCACCTGAGGTTAGGAGTTCGAGACCAGCCTGGCCAACATGGTGAAACCCTGTCTCTACTAAAAATACAAAAGTTAGCCATGCATGGTAGTACACGTCTGTAATCCCAGCTACTCAGGAGGCTGAGGCAAAAAAAGGAGAAGAAATGCTATGTGAAGCCTTTTTATAAGCACATTAATTTCATTCACGAGGGCAGAGCACTCATGACCTAATCACCACCTTGAAAGCCTCACTTCTTAACATCATCACATTAGGTCTTAGGTTATAACATGAATTTTGGAGGACTCCAGAAAAAAAAAGTGAAAGACAACCCACAGAATGGGAGAAAATACTTGCAAATTATGTACAAAGTAGGCTCACTTTATTTGTGGAAAATATGTAGCCAGACACAGTGGCTCATGCCTGTAATCCCAGAACTTTGGAAAGCTGAGGTGGGAGGATCACTTGAGCCCAGGAGCTCAAGACTAACCTGGGCAACATAGGGATACCCTATCTCTACAATAAATAAATAAAATTACCCAGATGTGGTGACATGTGCCTGTGGTCCCAGCTACTTGGGAGGTTGAGGTGGGAGAATCACGTGACCCCAGGAGGTTGAGGCTGCAGTGAGCCAAGATAACATTAATGTATCCCAGCCTGGGCGATAGACCGAGACCTTATCTCAAAAAAAAAAAAAAAATATATATATATATATATATGTATATATTTATCTATCTACCTATATATTCATATATAGATATAGATTAATATAGATATATAAACATATATTTATAGATATATAGACACATAAATATATAGCTATATATAAATATATATTTATAAATATATAGATATATATGTAACAAAATATGTTCCAAGACCTCCAGTGTATACCTGAAACTGCAGATAGTACCAAACTCTATATGTACTATGTTTTTTTCCTATACATACATACATACCTATGATGAAGTTTAATTTATAAATTAGGCACTGTAATAGAATAACAACAATAACTAATAATAAAAGAGAACAATTAGAATATACTTTTTGTTTTTGAGATGGAGTCTTGCTCTGTCACCCAGGCTGGAGTGCCATGGCGCCATCTCGGCTCACTGCAACTTCCACCTCCCAGGTTCAAGCGATTCTCCTGCCTCAGCCTCCCGAGTAGCTGGGCCTACAGGCACCTGCCACCACGCCCGGCTAATTTTTGTATCTTTAGTAGAGGCAGGGTTTCACCATATTGGCCAGGCTGGTCTCCAATTCCTGACCTTGTGATCCACCCACCTCGGCCTCCCAAAGTGCTGGGATTACAGGTGTGAGCCACTGTGCCTGGCTAGAATATACTTTAACATAAGTTACATGAATAGTTTTCTCTGTCTCAAAATACTGTAATATTTGGGATTGCAGCTGCCCGCAGGTAACTGAAACTGCAGAGAGCATACGGGAGACTACAGTATCTGACAATGGACTTGGATCTAGAATACATAAAGAACTCTTACAACTTGATAATAAAAAGGATATAACCCAATTTTAAAATGGACAAAAGATCTGAACAGATATTTCTCCAAAGAAGACATACAAATGGCCAATAAGGGCCAGGTGGTGGCTTATGCCTATAATCCCAACACTTTGGGAGGCCAAGGCAGGTGGATCACTTGAGGCCAGAAGTTCAAGACCAGTCTGGCCAACATGGCGAAAACCCATCTCTACTAAAAATATAAAAATCAGCCAGGCGTTGTGGCGCATGCCTGTAGTCCCAGGTACTCAGGCAGATGAGGCACAAGAATCACTCGAACCCGGGAGGCAGAGGTTGCAATGAGCTAAGATTGCACCACTGCACTCCAGCCTGGGCAACAGAGCAAAACCCCACCTAAAAATAAATAAATAAATAAAAATAAAAGAAAGAAAATAAATGGCCAATAAGCACAAGAAAATACACTCAATTTCTGTCTTAGTCTGTTTGTGCCGCTGTAACAAAATACCTGAGACTAAGTAATTTATAAGTAAAAAAATTTATTCCTCACGGTTCCGGAGGCTGGGAAATCCAAAATCAAGGTGATAGCACATTTGGCATTTGGTGAGGGCCTGTTCCATTGTTCCCGTTCTCGCAGTGGCATCTTCACATGGCAGGAGAAGAAAGGAAAAAAGAAGAAGAAATGTTATGTGAAGCCTTTTTATAAGGGCATTAATTTCATTCACGAGGGCAGAGCCCTCATGACCTAATCACCACCTTGAAGGCCTCACTTCTTAACATCGTCACATTAGGTCTTAGGTTATAACATGAATTTTGGAGGACTCCAACATTCAAACCATAGAAACATCATTAGCCATCGGGGAAGTGCAAATCCAAACCATGTTAAGATACCACTTCACACTCACAAGAATGGCTATAATAAACAGACACATAATAACAAGTGTTGGAGAAAATGTGGAAAAATTGAAACACTCACATGTTGCTGGAGGGAATGTAAAATGCTTTGCAATGAAGTTGGAACTGCTTTGGAAATAGTCTGGCAGTTCCTCCAAAGCTTAAACATAGAGTTATCATATGACCTGGCAATGCCAGGCTTCATCATATTCCCAAGGGAAAGGAAAACATATGTCCACACAAAAACTTACACATGAATGTTCATAGCAGCATTATTCATAATAGTCAAAAAGTGGAGACAGCTGGGTGTGGTGTCTCCCAACACTTTGGGAGGCCAAGGCGGGAGGATTGCTTGAGGTCAGGAGTTCGAGACCAGCCTGGCCAACAGAGTGAAATCCGATCTCTACTGAAAATACAAAAATCAGCGGGACATGGTATACGTGCCTGTAATCCCAGCTACTTGGGAGGCTGAGGCAGGTGAATGGCTTGAATCCAGGAGGCGGAGGCCGCAGTGAGCCAAGATCACACCACCGTACTCCAGCCTGAGTGACAGACTGAGACTCCATCTCAAAAAAAAAAAAAAAAAAAGTGATAAACAGATAAATGAAATGTGTTATATTCCTACAACAGAATATTATTGAGCCATAAAAAAAAAGGAAATAAGTACTGACACATGCTATAACATGAATGAACCTTGAAAACATTAGGTTACTTGAAAAAAGCCAGTCACAAAAGATCACAAATTGTATGGTTCCATTTATATGAAATGTCCAAATAGGCAAATCCTATCCTAAAAGAAAGTAAATTAGTGGTTGCCTAGGACTGAGGGCTGGAGGAAATGGGGAGTGACTGCTCATAGGTATGGTATTTTTTTTTGAGAGAAATGAAAATATTCTAAAATTGATTGTGGTGGCCAGGCACAGGGGCTCACGCCTGTAATCCCAGCACTTTGAGAGGCCGAGGCGGGCGGATCACCTGAGGTCGGGAGTTCGAGACTAGCCTGACCAACATGGAGAAACCCCGTCTCTACTAAAAATACAAAATTAGCCGGGCATGGTGGTGCATACCTGTAATCCCAGCTACTCGGGAGGCTGAGGCAGGAGAATCGCTTGAACCAGGGAGGTGGAGGTTGCAGTGAGCTGAGATCGTGCCACTGCACTCCAGTCTGGCGAGAGAGTGAGGCTCCATCTCATAAAAAAAAAAAAAAAAAGAAAGAAAGAAAAAAGAAAAAAAAGAATGTTTCAGGCAAAGGGAAGAGAAGTGCAATGGTGCTATTTCAGGCAGAAGCTTGTCAGGTTTGCTGTGGTGTGGTAGTGTGGAAGGACTCAGTGGGAAGGAAAAGAAATGAGGGCACAGTAGTGGGCAGGGCCAAGATAAAGCCATACGCATACTGCTACATTTTTTCCTTGTCCAATATATTTCATTAAATGTAGACAAAACTTATTATAAAGACATAACTTTTGATGTTTGTAAGGTCATCTGTTATTTGCACTCCTTTTTTTTTTGAGATAGGGTCTCACTCTGTCACCCAGGCTGGAGTGCAGTGTTGCCACCACAGCTCACAGCAGCCTCGACCTCCTGGGCTCAAGCACTCCTCCCACCTTAGCCTCCTGAGTATCTGGGACTACAGGCACATGCCACCGTGCCCCACTAATTTTTTATTTTTTGTAAAGACAGGGTTTCTCCATGTTACCCAGGCTGGTCTCAAACTCTTGAGCTCAAACAATCTACCCACCTTGGTCTCCCAAAGAGCTAAGATTACAGGCGTGAGCCACTGTGCCTGGCTTGTTATTTGCATTTGTGATTTTAAAATTCCATGTTTTTTATCATAAGATTGTCAGGTGCTTTCTGGACAGGAAATGCCTTAATTTATGACTCAAAATACAAACAAGTGTAGGTGATCAAATGCATATCTATGTCTTCAATGGAAATATATATACATACAAGTCATTAACGAAGACAAATGAGAACATGAAATTCATGACCTATTTTCCTTTCCATCACCTAGCCCCCTAAAGGAGAGATCTTTTTCATTCAGAGCCCTGGGTTTTGTTTTGTTTCATGATTTGCTTTTTTTTTTTTAAAAATAAGAGTTTATTTATTTATTTATTTGAGACAAGGTTTCACTCCCATCAGCCAGGCTGGAGTGCAATGGCGTGATCTCAGTTCACTGCAACTTCTGCCTCCTGGACTCAAGTGACTCTCTTGCCTCAGCCTCCTGAGTAGCTGGGACTACAGGCACGTGCCGCTGCATCCAGCTAATTTTTTGTAGAGACAGGGTTTCACCGTGTTGGCCAGGCTGGTCTTGAACTCCTGAGTTCAAGCGATCCGTCTGCCTCTGAGTCTCAAAGTGCTAGGGTTACAGGAATGAGCCGCCGCGTGGCCAAAAGAGTTTATTTTTTAAAGAAAATTGACTTCTTTGAAAACGTAGAAATGAGGCCGGGCGCAGTGGCTCACACCTGTAATTCCAGCACTTTGTGAGGCCGAGGCAGGTAGATCGCTTGAACTGAAGAGTTTGAGACCAATCTGGCCAACATGGTGAAACCCCATCTCTACTAAAAATACAAACATTAGCCGGGTGTGGTGGCAGGTGCCTGTAATCCCAGCTACTCGGGAGGCTGAGGCAGGAGAATCGCTTGAACCCGGGAGGCGGAGGTTGCAGTGAGCCAAGATTGCGCCATTGCACTCCAGCCTGGGCAACAAGAGCAAAACTCCATCTCAAAAAGAAAAGAAAAAGTAGAAATGAGGAAGCGGCCAGCCTGTGTGGGGATCTAATCAAACAAATCTTCCCCTGATGAGGGTAGCACTTAAGTTGAAAAAAATTTGCCTATATAATAAATATTGCAATACTTTATTTATTTATTTATTTATTTATTTTTCGAGATGAGGGTCTCGCTGTGTTGCCCAGGCTAGTCTTGAACTCTTGGGCTCAAGGGCTTCTCCTGCCTCAGCCTCCCCAGTGGCTGGGCTAATAGGCACACACCACCATGCCCAGCTCTACATACTGATTTTTTTTTTTTGAGATGGAGTCTTCGCTCTGTCGCCCAGGCTGGAGTGCAGTGGCGCGATCTCCGCTCACTGCAAGCTCCGCCTCCCGCGTTCACGCCATTCTCCTGCCTCAGCCTCCCGAGTAGCTGGGACTACAGGCGCCTGCCACTGCGCCCACTAATTTTTTGTATTTTTAGTAGAGACGGGGTTTCACCGTGTTAACCAGGATGGTCTCGCTCTGCTGACCTCGTGATCCGCCCGCCTCGACCTCCCAAGGTGCTGGGATTACAGGCGTGAGCCACCGCGCCCGGCCCATACTGATTTTGAAATTTAAAAAATCTACATTCTATATTCGCATCATAGCTTCTCCCTAATAAAATCTTTGTGAGTGTTTATGGGACTTATTCCCCGAAAAATCTGCAAGCAGCCTGGTAGCTTTATATACACAGGAAAGCCAAAGGACAAACTAGGAATTACCTCAGAGATGGGGAAAGACTAAGGATCTTACCCAAATCAGTTGAGAATCAGCCTTAAGTATAAATGGGCCAGGTGTTGGTGGCTCACACCTGTAATCCTAGCACTTTGGGAGGCCAAGGCGGGCAGATCACTTGAGGTCAGGAGTTCGAGACCACCCTGGCCAACATGGTGAAACCCCGTCTCTACTAAAAGTACCAAAATTAGCCAGGCGTGGTGGCACGTGCCTGTGGTCCCAGCTACTTGGGAGGCTGAGGCAGGAGAATCGCTTGAACCTGGGAGGCAGAGGTTGCAGTGAGCTGAGATCACGCCACTGCACTCCAGCCTGGGTGACAGAGTAAGACTCCGTCTCAAAAAAAAAAAAAAAAGTATAAATGAAGCACAATTAACATTTGTTAATTTTATAAAGCAAAAGTTCATAAAAATAAATATTCTAATTAACTCTCCTACATCTTATAAACACTATTACCAAACCCATTTAAGATTGAAGATAAATTATATCATGGCATGGGTAAAGATTTTCAATAAGGAGTTGCTAGGATAAAAGTCAAAATTCTCCAGCATAAATTCACTGACAGGGATTTCTGTTTAATCTTTTCAAAATTCTAATACCCAATTTGTTTCCTCTAGAGAATAACTCGTGTAACATCATAACCTCTTTGGTGGACCTTGATTTTTCCATCTGTAAAAGTATAGAACTAGTTTTGACTTAACAGTCAACAAATGCCTACCCTCTCCACATCTAGCTGATTAGAGCGCCCTCATGTGCGCATTTGCTGTAATGTTTTAGAAATCTGAAAAAGACAATATTAATCTCAGCAGTAATACAATAAATAATGTCTTCATTTGCACATTTATAGCAAATGCTATAAATATATAGCTCCAAGTATTACTCAGTAAAAGCTAAAGGCAAATGCTGTAGTAGGTTAATCTTACTGTCGTTCACTATCAAACCTTTCATATGCCAATTTTATCCTAAAACAGTGAAGTTATTGTTTTGGTTTCAATTTTAATTTAATGACTTAAAGGATTTTTTCCCTTAAAACTTCTAAGTATTTCATTATAATATTATTTCATCATTAGGCTTAAAGGAAAATATGTGGTCAATTGAGTTGTTATTTATTATACATGATAGCTTGACATCATCTTTTTAGGGATGGAAAACAGCTCCAGGGACCAAGTCTAACTCAGTTTTTTGATATAAGAATTTACCTGTCGGCCGGGCGCAATGGCTCACACCTGTAATCCCAGCACTTTGGGAGGCCGAGGCGGGCGGATATAGGTCAGCAGATCAAGACCAGGAGTTCAAGACCAGCCTGGCCAAGATGGTGAAACCCCATCTGTACTAAAACTACAAAAATTAGCCAGGCGTGATGGCAGGCACCTGTAATCCCACCTACTTGGGAGGCTGAGGCAGGAGAATCACTTGAACCCGGTTCAAGTGAGCCGGCTGCAGTGAGCCAAGATCACGCCACTGCACTCCAGCCTGGGCAATAAGAGCAAGACTCCATCTCAAAAAAAAAAAAAAAAAAAGAATTTACTAGTTTGAATCATAACAATTTCTTCCTACTCAAAGAGACTACATTGGAGGAAGCCAAAACAGAAGCTTATTTATTTATTTATATACTTTATTTATTTATTTTTGAGACAGAGTCTTGCTCTGTCACCCAGGCTGGAGTACAGTGGTGTGATCTTGGCTCACTGCAACATCTGCCTCCCGGGTTCAAGCGATTCTCCTGCCTCAGCCTCCCTAGTAGCTGGGATTACAGGTGTGTGCCACCACGGCCAGCTAATTTTTGTATTTTTAGTAGAGACGGGTTTTCACCATGTTGGCCAGGCTGGTCTCAAACTCCTGACCTCAGGTGATCCACCTGCCTCAGCCTCCCAAAGTGCTGGGATTACAGGCATGAGCCACCAAGCCCAGCTTAGAGAAGCTTATTTTTTAAAAGAAAATACACAAAAAAATCAAAATCTCATAAGTCCAATTGTAATTTTTTTTTGGCTTTTAAAAATTGTTAATGCCCTCAAATATTCTCCTATCCAATCACTGTATTTTAAATGGCATTCCTCCAGCAAATATTTGTTGAGCCCCCACTATGTGCCAGGATTGAAATGTCAAATTGAAGGAGGCAATAGCTACTGAAGTAAAGCAAAAAAAAGTACTGGTTATTTTTCCTTCTATAAAATGACCTAGTAATAACCGCTTTACCCAGGAGAGTTGCTGTAAAGATCTAATAACATGACACATATAACCACACCCCTAAAGAATGAGGTGTTACTGCATGTTCTCACTCATAGGTGGGAATTGAACAATGAGAACACATGGACACAGGAAGGGGAACATCACACTCTGGGGACTGTTGCGGGGTGTGGGGAGGGGGGAGGGATAGCATTAGGAGATATACCTAATGCTAAATGACGAGTTAATGGGTGCAGCACACCAGCATGGCACATGTATACATATGTAACTAACCTGCACATTGTGCACATGTACCCTACAACTTAAAGTGTAATAATAATAAAATAATAAAATAAAAAAAAGAAATTTTGCTTAAATAAATATTATAATAAAAAAAACAAATGAGGTGTTATTAAAATGTTTGCAAGAGAAACCCTAGTAATTCCAAACACATATTTTAGGAATGGTTTCTTGTGTAGAAAATCCTGGAATGTGAGGCTCTGCTGATTTTTTTAATGCATATTCTCTTCTTATGTATGCGGAATTTTTTTTTTTTTTGAGATAGAGCCTTGCTCTGTTGCCCAGGCTGGAATGCACTGGCACGATCTTGGCTCACTGCAACTGCCACCTCCTGGTTTCAAGTGATTCTCCTGCCTCAGCCTCCCGAGTAGATGGAATTACAGGCGTGTGCCACCGCACTTGGCTAATATTTGTATTTTTAGTAGAGATGGGGTTTCACCATATTGGCCAGGCTGTTCTAGAACTCCTGACCTTGTGATCCACCCACTTCAGCCTCCCAAAGTGCTGGGATTACAGGCATGAGCCACTGCACCTGGCCTATTTTTGTTTTTACTAATGTTTCAAGAGACCCACTTTATGTACAGAATTCTGGCTACAACCTAACAAATGAGTTGCTCTGTTCATCAGTTATAGCCAATTTAAGTAATTATGAAAAGCTCAACAATACTTTTAACTGGCAATGAAAGCGTCAATAGCTCACATTTACCACCACAACTTAGGATTTCTTGGTAGCTAAATAAAATGCTTCTATTTTGTGGGGGGAAACTGTCACATAAGTTGAAATTCTGCAATGTTCAATTGATGAAAAGGTCTCTATGTTAAATCAAAGGTATAAATTCCACATCAGTAGTACATGAAAGAGAAAAAAAAAGCCAAAATTAAAGTGATTCATGCCCACTTCCCTGAGTGAACCTAAGATTTTACTAACAGAGATGCCGTAACTTTGATCATGCACACATCCAACTTGAATTTAAAAACATGCATGCACTCACTCATCTTTTATCTCTTATGTAATTAATACTGTAAGATTATATTTTGCCTACGTGCTCTATATTACTAATTTATAGGATTATTACTATTCAGTGTTGTTTACTTGAAACCATACTGTACTATACACAACTTTTGCATTCCATGCTAACTTTATTTTTTTAATTATTTTTTTTTTATACAGAGTCTCACTCACTCTATTGCCCAGGCTGGAGTGCAGTGGCACGATCTTGGCTCCTGCAACCTCTGCCTCTCGGGTTCAAGTCATTCTCCTACCTCAGCCTCCCAAGTAGTTGGTACCACAGGTACATGCCACCACACCCGGCTAATTTTTGTATTTTTGGTAGAGATGGGGTTTCACCATGTGGGCCAGGCTGGTCTCGAACTCCTGACCTCAAGGTTATAGGCCTGAGCCACCATGTCCCAGCTCCATGCTAACTTTAGAGCTTATTTCCCATCCCATAAGATACAACACTACTTGTGTTATATAGTGAGCAGTGTGGGGAAGAAAAGCATAGAATTAAGTTAGTGACAAATCCAGTGAACTCAAAAAGAGGGAAAAAAACACTCCCAAACAATTGTTTTCCCCATATTCTATTCTCCCTAGAGGTATTCCATACAGGAACGAAAAAAGAAAAAAAAGGATACAAAATGAGAAAGATGTTCATGTGACATATAAGTACAGTAATAAAATCAACAAGCATATATGGTATTTAAGCAAAATAGTATGTATGCATTGATGGTCATCTGATATAAATCCATCATTTCTGTTGGCCAACATCTAAAACCTTTACTTTTCTGAGGAGACAAGCTATAAATCTATACGGATATTTCTACAACGAGAATTCACTATTACATATGAACCAATATAATTTGATGTCAAATATTCACAATTAGGTTTAAAAAATCCCCTACTTGGCCGGGCGCAGTGGCTCATGCCTGTAATCCCAGCACTTTGGGAGGCCAAGGCGGGTGGATCATGAGGTCAAGAAATCAAGACCATCCTGGCCAACATGGTGAAGCCCTGTCTCTACTAAAAATACAAAAATTAACTGGGCGTGGTGGCAGGCGCCTGTAGTCCCAGCTACTCAGGAGGCTGAGGCAGGAGAATCACTTGAACCCAGGAGGCAGAGGTTGCAGTGAGCTGAGATCGCGCCACTGCACCCCAGCCTGACGACAGAGTGAGACTCAGTCTCAAAAAAAAAAAAAAAAAAATCCCCTACTTATGTTAAGAGTACCAAAAATAGGGCCAGGAATGATGGCTCATGCCTATAATTTTGGCACTTTGGGAAGCCGAGGTGGGAAGATAGCTTGAGTCCAGGAGTAAAATAGTGAGACTCTGTCTCTACAAAAAAATAAAAAATTAGCTGGATGGGGCACACACCTGTAGTCCAGGTACTCACGAGGCTGAAATGGGTGGATCACTTGAGCCTGGGAGGTCAAGGCTGTAGTGAACTGTGATCACACCACTACACCCTACACCCAGCCTGGGCTACAAGGTGAGACCCTGTCTCAAAAAAAAAAAAAAAAAAAAAGGTACCAAAAATCTATAGCTGTTTCAGAAATAAAATACATGTAGTTAGTGAGGTTTTTCTCTCCCACTGCTATGACTTAATTTTTGGTTGAGATGCTAAGCCAAACATCATTTTAAGTCTGTGGCCCAACCAAAAAAGGGAATCATACTCTCCAAAGAATTGTACATTCCCACTCTAATTGCTAAAATAAAATGTTGGATTATGAAAATCAATTTTGTAGGTATCAATAAGTTATAAGAGCATGGCTTATTTAAAAAAAAAAGTGGGCCAGGTTACCTACATGAGCTGCAAAGCAAGCAAACTGAATTTTCTTATCGAAGAGCCCATCCTCATACTTAAAATTTCCCATGACTACATGGAAATTCTTTCACTTACCAAAAACACCTGATTGGCACTTTCACTGAGAGTTGTGTCATCTGGGCTGTCGACAGGTGTCTGACGTGTAAACTTGGAATCAAACTGACTTACATCCTCTTCAGATTGCTCTACACAAACAAAATAATTTAGAAAATAATGAATAGTCCATATGACATCAATCAAATGCACTGTAAGCTCTGGGAGCTCTTTTCGCAGGGGTGAACTATAATAAAGTATTAGAATAGTCTTAGCAGGCACTATTCTAATAGTGGAGAAATGCAAGTGGAAGAAAAAAATGCAAGTGGAAAGTACTGAGTCAAATTACATCTTCAAATCTTAAACATGCACTAAAAAAGATTTTAGTATACTGTTATTCCTATTAAAAATGTGAATATATTGGCTGGGCATGGTGGCTCAGGCCTGTAATCCCAGCACTTTGGGAGGCTGAGGCAGGCAGATCATGAGGTCAGGAGTTCAAGACCAGCCTGGCCAATAAAGCGAAACCCCGTCTCTACTAAAAATACAAAACATCAGCCGGGCGTGGTGGCGGGCGCCTGTAATCCTAGCTACTCGGGAGGCTGAGGCAGGAGAATTGCTTGAACCTGGGAGGCAGAGGTTGCCGCAAGCAGAGATCGTGCCACTGCACACCAGCCCAGGTGACGGTGCGAGAGTCTGTCTCAATGAAAAAAAAAAAAAAAAAAGAATATATCGAGCTCAAAACAAGCTGGAAAAAATGTGAATATCAATTTCCCCTCTCACAAAGCTTCAGTGTGCCTAGTCCACTGGCTAAATCCCTGTTTAGAGATAATTAATTCAGTTGGCTACTGCAGGTTTGTAATAAACCTGAAAAACTACTGAAGCAGAGTTAAAACATGAATAATACTGGTAAGATGCTCCAGTTAAAGTTTCTTCCCACAGCTCATTTCATTCCTTCAGAAATCTAAAGGAGCAAAAATAATTTTCTATTCCGCATGGGTTATAAGTTATATTTCCTTGTGAAAGTATAGTTATCACTTCAGTTCTAACCATGAGATTTATTTATTTAATTCCTTCTCTCTTTCCCAAAATATCTGGTTAAACTCTTGGGCCAAATGTAAGAAGTAAATAATAATTTAGAATATCTGACTTAATACTAAAAGATGATGACCACATTGACCTTATAATTCTCTTAGAGCCCAGACTGTGAACCTGCACTCCCTGGAGGAATGGCTGATTCCAAGTGTGGGGAAAATGTACAAGATAAGCATAGAACACCAGTTTCCTTATTTTGCTCTCTCGTACAACACCAGACAATGTGCTCATGTCAAAAGGACTCAGAACCCAACATGAAGATGCACCCAGCATTCACTGCACCCAGCATTCAACGAAGGGAAAAAACGAGCACCAATAAAAATAACTGCTAGGTGCGGTGGCTCACGCCTATCATCCCAACACTTTGGGAGGCAGAGGCAGGTGGATTGCTTTTGAGCTCAGGATTTGAAGACCAGCCTGGTGAACACGGCAAAACCCCGTCTCTACCAGAAACACAAAAATTAGCTGGGCATGATGGTGTACCTGTGGTCCCAGCTACTCAAGAGGGTGAGGTGGGAGGATTGCTGGAGGTCGGGACGTCAAGCCTGCAGTGGGCAGCGATCATACCACTGCACTACAGCTTGGGTGACAGAGTTAAGACCCTGCCTCAAAACAATAAATGAATAAATAAAAATAAAATAAAAATAACTGCGATGAAAGGAAACACAAATATGTTAAAACGTGTAAGTTCATAATATACTAAAAAAGAAAAAAACACACACAAAGTTCATTGGTCAATTTTGGAAGATGCTAGGGAACTAATTCATTATTTTGAAAACTAGGAAAGAATCAAACATACATCCTGCCTTTTCTGTATGAACTGTACCTTGGGTAACTAACTGATCAAAGAGTTTCTCTTTATGAAAGAATTCCAGCTAACAAAGAAAGAAGAAATAACAGTTAGAATAAAACCATTTCACAAACACCTGATGAAACTACAAAAGTAGGCCAGAGTTTCTCAACCTCAGGGCTACTGACATTTTAGGCCTATTAATACTTTGCGTTAGGGGGCTGTGCTGTGCTGTGCTGACTCTTACCCCTGAAGGTACCTATAGCATTCCCTCTCCCAAGCTGTGACAATCAGTGTGTCTCCAGACATTGCCAAATTACCCTGGTAGTGAAATGCTGACACAGGCAGTGACCACTAACATCACTAAAAAAACACACATATGCACACACAAGTACACATTATGCCTCCTGATCAAAGCATATGCGATACTGAGAGTGTAATCTGAATCAGATCAACCACCTAAATTTAACTACCAGTTTTTGGAAATTTGGGGAACAGATGAACATGGTCAATGACACTCTGGGGATAATATCAGCAAAATCAAAATTTGAGAATTCTACAGGACAAATGACCCCGTTTCTTCAGTAAATCACGAGGGGAATCTATAAACGAAAAGAGACCTAAGAGACATAGTAACCAAACTACATACAGACCTTGATTAAATCCTTACAAACAGGAGAAAAAAAAAAAAAGAATGGAACAACAACAACAAAAAAATTAGGTGGGGCAACACAGGGAGACCTCATCTCTAGAAAAATTCAAAAAATTGGATGTGGTGATGCACCCCTGTGGTCCCAGCTATATGGGAGGATCCCTTGAGCCTGGGAAGATGAGGCTGCCATGAGCCACTATCATGCCGCTGCACTCCAGCCTGGGCAACAGAGAAAGACCCTATCTCAAAAAAAAAAGAGAAAAAAAAAACTGGGGAAACTGTCAACTTCTTAGGTGTGATGATGGGATGACAGTTATGTTTAAAGAAGATGATCTAATTATTTTTAAGCTGGGCAGTAGGTGTATGACAGTTCTCCTCCTTACAATTGTTTGTTGTTTTTTAAAGTGGGTCACATTATGGGGCATGACCAAAAAATAATCACCATCATCATCCTCCTCCTTCTCCACCTACAGCCCAAGGAATGGAAAAAGAAACTGTTTTCTCAGATTCTGAGGTGGCAGAAAGACAATAACACACTAACTCATTTACTCATAAACATATTGTTATGGATTGAATCGTGTCCCTTACCCACCCCCCAGAAAATTTCGTATGTTGAAACTCTAACCTCTAGTTCCTCAGAATGTGACCTTATTTGGAAAGGGTTATTGCAGATGTAATTAGTGAAGATGAGGTCCTACTGGAGTAGAGAGGAACCCTAATCCAATATGCCTGGTATCCTTATAAAAAGGGGAAATTTGTCCACAGATATGCACACAGGTAGAACACCATGTGAACATGAAGGCAGAGATCCAGGTGATGCACCTACAAGCCAAAGTATGCCAAAGATGAGCAGCAAACCACCAGAAGCCAGGGGAGAGGCATGGAACATAAGGTTTCTCACAGTTGTCGAAGAAACCAACTCTAACAACGTGATCTAGAACTTCTAGTCTCCAGATCTATGAGATAATAAATTTCTGTTGTCTAAGCCACCCAGTTTGTGGTACTTTGTTGCAGCAAGCCTAGCAAACTAATGCACACATATTCTATATTTTGAAGAAAAAATTCCCAGAGAATCATATTTAAAATGGTTAAATTAAGCAAAATAAAACAAACCAAAAAAAGAAAAGTCCCAACTACCTGAAATATTTAATTGTCTTAGGAAACTGACTTAAAAATATCTAATACAGGCCGGGCGCGGTGGCTCACGCCTGTAATCCCAGCACTTTGGGAGGCCGAGGTGGGTGGATCACAAGGTCAGGAGTTCAAGACCAGCCCGGCCAAGATGATGAAATCCTGTGTCTACTAAAAATACAAAAATTTGCTGGGCATGGTGGCAGGTGTCTGTAATCCCAGCTACTCAGGAGGCAGAGGCAGAGATTTGCTTGAACCCAGGAGGTGGAGGCTGCAGTGATCCGAGATCACACCACTGCACTCCAGCCTGGGGGACAGATCAAGACTCCGTCTCAAAAATAAAAAAATAAAAATAAAGAGGAAGAACGCTATGGAATTTGACTAGAATTAGGGCTAACAATATGAAGCACTTTGGGAAGCCAAGGCAGGTGGATCACCATGTCGGCCAGGAGTTTGAGACCAGCCTGGCCAACATGGTGAAACCTCATCTTTACTAAAAATACAAGAATTAGCCAGGTATGGTGGTGAGCACCTGTACTCCCAGTTACTCCAGAGGCTGAGGCACGAGAATCACTGGAACCCGGGAAGCAGAGGTTGCAGTGAGCTGAGGCAGCCTGGTGTCCAAGCTGTGGTGAGCCATGATCATACCACTGCACTCAAGTCTGGGCAACAGAGGAAGTCCCTGTCTCAAAAAAAAAAAAAAAAAAAAAAGGGCCAGGTGCAGTGGCTCACACCTGCAATCCCAGCATTTTAGGAGGCTGAGGCGGGCAGATCATGAGGTCAGGAGTTGAAGACCAGCCTGGCCAACATAGTGAAACCCCATCCCTACTAAAAATACAAAAATCAGCCGAGTGTGGTGGCATGTACCTGTAATCCCAGCTACTCAGGAGGTTGAGGCAGAAGAATTGCTCGAACCTGGGAGGCGGAGGTTGCAGTGAGCCAAGACCACATCATTGCACTCCAGCCTGGGCAACAGAGTGAACCTCCATCTCAAAAAAAAAAAAAAAAAAATTTAAAAAGGGAGTATAGGGCCAGCCACGGTGGCTCACGCCTGTAATCCCAGCACTTTGGGAGGCTGAGGTGGCTGGATCACGGGGTCAAGAGATCAAGACCATCCTGGCCAACATGGTGAGACCCCATCTCTACTAAAAATACAAAAAATTAGCTGGACACAGTGGCAAATGACTGTAGTCCCAGCTACTCTGGAGGCTGAGACAGGAGGATCGCCTGAACCTGGGAGGCAGAAGTTGCAGTGAGCTGAGACCATACCACTGCACTCCGGCCTGGTGACAAAGCGAGACTTCGTCTCAAAAAAAAAAAAAAAAAAAAAAGAGTTTAAAAAAATCTTTACAGAAGAATGACAATATAGAAAAAATACAGAAAAAATAGAAAAGTCTCCAATTTCTAATCACTATAGTAATATTTGATTTGGGCAAGAAGCAATCCAGATGAAACCATTAAGTAAAGATTATTATGGGACAGAATATTCACACTGTTTCTATCATGCCATAGATCACTTGTTAATTACAAAAGGAAAAAGAGGCTGAGAATGGAGTCTCACGTCTGTAATCCCAACACTTTGGGAGGCCAAGGAGGGCGGATCACCTTAGGTAAGGAGTTTGAGACCAGACTGGCCAACATGGCAAAACCCCATCTCTACTATAATTACAAAACTTAGGCAGGCATGGTAGCAGGCACCTGTAATCCCAGCTACTTGGGGGGCTGAGGCAGGAGAATCGCTTGAACCCAGGAGGTGGAGGTTGCAGTCAGCCAAGATTGCACCACTGCACCCCAGCCTGGGTGACAGAGTGAGACTCCTTCTCAAAAAAAAAAAAAAAAAATGCCCTTATTCTTAGGAGATGTATAGAAGAAATTAGGGGTGAAGTGCTATGAAATCTGCAGTTAACTCTCAAATTGTACAGAAAGAAAATTTATTAATGTTAAAAAAAGTCAATATTCATAGATACACATATATGTGGGGGCAGGTAGAAAGGGAGGGACACAGAGACAAAGAAAATATGGCAAAATGGTAACACCTGGTGATCACTGAACTATTCTTGCAACTCTCAAAAGTTTAAAAAATTTCAAAGGTATATTGTTTTTGAACTGCTCGGGAGGTTTAAATTTTTGAATTTTTAAAATAAGCAATCAATTGTGAGGAAGTCTGAGAAGCCACAGACTTAAGAGATAAGATGAAAAATAAGGAAAGTAGAATCACAGTAATAAGAGGAACAGAGTTTCAAAATGCTGTGGTCAGTCAGTAGCTTCAATGCAAAAGAAAGTTAAATTAAGGACCAACTCAGTAAAGACAACTGGATTCAGCAACTGGGAAGTCAGTGATGACCTAGGGTACAGGAGCTGCACTGAAATAGTAGAGTTGGGCCACGCGTGGCCCACATCTATAATCCAGCAGTTTGGGAGGCCGAGGTAGGTGGACCTCTTGAGGCCAGGAATTCAAGACCAGCCTAGCCAACATGGTGAAACCCCATCTCTACTAAAAATACAAAAATTAACCCGAGACAGTGGCGCACCCCTGTAATCCCAGCTACTCAGGGGCCTGAGGCATGAGAACTGCTTGAACCTGGAAGGCAGAGGCTGCAGTGAGCTGAGATAGGGCCACTGCACTTCAGCCTGAGTGACAGGGGAAGACTCTGTCTAAAAAAACAAAAAATAGGCCTGGCGTGGTGGCTCATGCCTGTAATCCCAGCACTTTGGGAGGCCGAGGCAGGCGGATCACGAGGTCAGGAGATCGAGACCATCCTGGCTAACACGGTGAAACCCTGTCTCTACTAAAAATACAAAAAATTAGCTGGGCGTGGTGGCAGGCGCCTGTGGTCCCAGCTCCTCCAGAGGCTGAGGCAGGAGAATGACATGAACCCGGGAGGTGGAGGTTGCAGTGAGCTGAGATTACGCCACTGCACTCCAGCCTGCGTGACAAAGCCAGACTCCCTCTCAAAAAAAAAAAAAAAAAAAAAAAAAAAAGACGTAAACTGGGTATGTGCCTTTAGAGGTGGTGCACATTTTTAGCATTATAAATGAATATAAATGAGTGGCAATTGTTACTTTGGTGCACAGATTTTTGGTATCTTAACTAGTTTTTGGTCTCTTCCACTAAAGGCATTGCCTGTTGAACCTTGTTAGGAATGTAAGTACTGAAGGCAAACTGCCTGGGTTTGAATTTTGTTCTGTCCCTTGCACCCTGCCTGGTTTCAAATCCTAGCTCTGCTTATTACGTTCTTTTAAGGGGATGACCTTTGAGCAAATGTCTTAACTTCTGTTTTCCCCAGTAAATGGACACAATAGTTGCTACTTTGTGAAAGATTCATGTAATTGACCAGCATTTACCAAGTAGCATCAGTGTTTAGTTTCAGTCATTGGTGATTCTGCAGTTGGACTGTGAGGGGGTATTGGGGTGGGGGGTGGTGTGTGTGTAGCACTTAATTGCAGGCAGGAAGGAAAAGATACTTTTGATAACCGACAGGCAGCTTTTCTCTGCTTTTGTGTCAAAAGGGAGGAAGGGAGTTTGGAGAGGGAAATGAATTCTCTGTAACACTAAGCTCTCTTCCTCAAAACCAGAGGTAGATAGAATGTGTAATAATTTACAGAATTTCTAGACTTCAACGATCTGATTTTTTTAATTTATTTTTATTTTTTCAGGTTGAGACTGAGCTAAAGTTAATCTGTGGCGACGTTCTGGATGTACTGGACAAACACCTCATTCCAGCAGCTACAACTGGCAAGTCCAAGGTTTTCTATCATGAAATGTAGGTTCTATACTAACAATTAACAAGTGTACTTCAATAAATTTAAACATTCTCAGGAATAATTGACTTTGTTTCTTTTTTTCTTAGACATTTCATATTATTTTCCTTATTAAATATAACCAAAAATCCCACAGAAATTAACTGAGGAGCCTCTAAATATCAACAAAATTATCACTTGATAGACTAGAATTAAACAAGCAAGTGGTTCCAAGAAATGGCACGAGTGTATTAATCATAAAATAAAATTTCTACATGAAACATTCAGCCATTCTAGACCATTTCTGTCTGTGCAGACTCATCTTTTCCTGTTCTTTGCAAAGCCCAGCTAGAGCAAGCAAGTTCTTCCCAATAGGTTTTTCCCATCTCTGGTTGCTTGGCTGGCTGGGCTTCCTCTACAAACCCCCTTCCTTTCCCCTAAGCAGGGCCCGGTGTCCCCATCCCGCGGAGTTGACCTCATGAGGGCATCTGACCAGGAGTAGCTATTCCTGGTGCTATTGTCATTGTCCTGTTTCATGTGTGAACATGGCTGGCTCTACAGAGATTTGGCGGGTAGCAAGGAGGTTTCTTTTTGAATCTTCTTTTGGAAGTCAGACTTGATGAGGATCTTATGCCCACTTTTTCCTAGCTCTGTGGTGTCAGGCAAAGTCTGTTTCTGCAAATGGGGGTTAAGAATTCCTACCTCACAGCAGTCTTTTGATAAATAAATAAGATCTTAAGTGTAAATTATTCCACTAGAAATTGCACAGTCACTTTGGTCTTCATCCTGGAGGTCCACTGACAAGCCTCATGCAAACCTGTGGCCCTGTTCATAAAGTGTTTTGATCCATACTTTCAAATGGCCTCAGGAAGACCTTTTATAAAGTAAAAATGTTAGGCAGCCACATGATATCCATTGACCCAGTGAGGCTGTTTTACTGGATATAAGAGGTTTGACCCGGCATTTTGGGGGGCCGAGACAGGCAGATCACTTGAGGCCAGGAGCTGGAGACCTGCCTGGCCAACATGGAGAAACCCCATCTCTATTAAAAATACCAAAAAAATTAGCTGGGCATGGTGGCACATGCCTGTAATCCCAGCTACTTGGGAGACTGAGGCACAAGAATCGCTTGAACCCGGGAGTCAGAGGTTGCAGTGAGCCAAGCCGAGATGGCGCCACTGCACTCCAGCCTGGGCAGCAGAGTGAGACTCTGTCTCAGGGGAAAAAAAAGGGTGAGGGGAGGGTTTGAAAAAATAGTAGCATGTAGTTATGTTTCTACAATATTTGATATATATAAGGATTTACCAACCTCTTGCATTAGCTGCTATCCCCTACAGCAGTTGCTGTAGGAAAAAAACATCAAGTTCTGAGCTCCTACTGTTTGCCAGGCATATTCTGAGATGATCACGTTGAAATCTCAGAGTTACCCTGCAGAGTAGTCAGGGTATCACTGCCTGACAGATGAAGAAGCTGAGGCTTCCAGCAGTTAAATGACTTACCCCAGGCCACATAGAAAATGAGTGGGAGAGCCCAGGTCTGTCTGTGAGGTATAATGAAATTAGCATAAACCCTCCACATTGGCGCCACTCGCATAAATTAACATATATTCTCTCACAGAAAGTATTTTATTGGGCATAACAGTTTGTATCATTTACCGTTTAACATTAGCCGTGGATCTTCCCACATCACATGACTATGCCTCATTCTTTTTGGATAATATGATTACTATTGAATGGATTTACTATCATTCACTTAATCAATACTCCTTTTGATGGCCATTTTAATTGTCTATTTTTTCCTTTTGCACAGATTGGTGTAATAAACGTGATTTTATAGTAATATTTTTGTCTGCCTGTGAAAATGTTTGCTGGACAATAAATTCCTAGGAGTCAAATAAGGTCAAAGATTATAAATACAGTATTTATTTTCATAAATATTACCAAGTCAGCCACAAATGTTTAAATTACTAATGGTTTCAGATTATTGTATTTAATGAGTAAACACTTTTATAGGGTTTACTTTTATGAACACTTTTATTTGCCAGATATCATTCTAAGTCCTTTACAAAATTAACTTTTTTAATTTGTAATATAACCCTGAGATGTATATTAGGATTATCCCCATTCTACAGATAAGAACACTGAGAAGTTAATTAACTTGCCACATATCTAGGAAGTGACAAGGCTAGTTGCACAGCCAGGCAGTCTGGCTCCTGAGTCCACATTTTAGACAACACTATACCTCCTGGTTCTTTTGAGGCATTACTGCTGGAACTATCCTAATACTCATAAATAAACATTTCTTTTGGGGAGGGCCAAATAAAATTTTAAACAGAAAAGTTTTCACCAACTGTCAAGCTCATAAAGTTGTACGTTATACACTTTTTTCATGATGCCCACAGATAATTTATTAATGATATCATCTATTTTAAAAGACGTATGTAAAACCCAACCCTTAAGAAAGGATTCCTATCACTGTTCCCACAGGCACCCTCCTCAGTCTTATACCTTTCCATTCCACCCCCCAAAACAAATCATTCAGCATATTTATTTCATACTGTAATAGAGGAAGTAGCTTCTTTTTAGATATTCTTAGATTATTAACATTGATCATACAAACATGGAATAGAAATTCCTTATGTTTTATCTGGATTTAAGGTGCTACATAATGGAATCTATTTCTATCAAGCCATACACATTGGAGATAATGAAATCACTTGTGTTCTAGCCTAAACGTTATGGGAATTTCAGAACTGCAACATAACAGATAATCCTTGGACGAAAACTAAATCTCTCCTCTGGTCAGGCATCTATGTGCATCAGTGAAGAGAAGACGGGGACTGTGGAAGGGAAAACAGTGAGTCAGGAAGGACTGTGGCCACATCTGTTCCCCGGACCCTCAAGTAGTTAAATCCTGACCTCCTCTACCCCAGACTGTCCTGGGGAACGGCCAACACTGGCTTTTCACAACTGTGTGTTACCAGAAATGCAACAGAAACCCAGCTGAATCCCCAGGGTTTCCCTTCTGCCCTTCTCAATGGAAAGATCTGTCCCAGGACCATTTATTCCAACATTTTCAATTATGAGAAATCTGGGAAGATAAAGTTATTTTCACATTTCTCAAGAAATACATACTTATTCATACTCATGACAGGAAAGTCAGAATCTACAGAAAACCAAGAAGATTTTTAAAAATCCATGATACCACCATCAAAAGAGCCACACTTAGTATGTTGGTCCACAGGTTTCCTAGCACCCTTTTCTGTTGGTGTATGCACAAAATACACAATCACATTCTGTCTACATTTTACAATTTGCCATTTTTTGATTAACACTATATATTGACCAATTTTTAAGACCTGCAACATATGTCGACAACATTATTTCAGAATAATATATTTATAAATAAACGCACACACAAACTGTCTGTCTTATATACAACACGTCTTACTTTCTAATTCTCCACTCTGGAAGATTTAGGTTTTCCTAACTTTTTAATATACTCACCAGGAATCAGTAAACTTTTTTTATAAAAGGCCAAAGGGTAGATATTTTAAACTCTGCAGGCCATAGGTTTCTGTTGCAACACTCAACTCTGCTGTTGCAGGGAAAGAAGCCATACACAATTTGTAAATGAATGGGCATGACTGTGTTCTGATAAACTTTACAAAAACAGGTGGTGGACTAGATGCAGCCTGCTCCTCTGGACATGGCTTACCAGCCCCTGACATATACCACTACAGAGGATGCTGTTAGAATGAAATCTCTTTACACATCTCTGATCATCTCCTTAGGACTAATTGCTAGACATGACATCATGGTAGCTGTGGGTCAAAGGGCATGCACGCTCTGGGATGTACATTGCCAGATTGCTCATGATCAGCCTTTCTCATGTCAAAATGTTTTGTGACCACCAGAAGGCTGGTTCTGCTTTTATTATCCATTGACTGAGGAGTAGAAATGATATGGCATGTATGCAGGATATTTAACCATCGTATAGATAATCCTTGTGCACAAGTGCATTCTATATTCTTTCCCAATAGGTCTACATCTGCCAGAGTTGAAATAAAATAAAACAAAACAAACCTATTTAGCACCTTCTGTGTAGCAGGTCCATTCATGTATGTTGTTGTATTTCATTCTCAGAATTCTTATGACCTAGGCATTTTAAACATTTTTTTAAAAATATTGAGTTGACAAGGATTGTGTATATTTAATGCATACAATGTGATGATTTCATATATGTATATATTGTGTACTAATTATCACAATCAAATTTATTACATCCATTACCACCTATGCTGTACATTAAATCTCCAGAATTTGTTCATCTTATAACTGAAAGTTTACACCCTTTGATTAATAGCTTCCCATTTTCCCCACCTCCAGCCCTTGGCAACCACCATTCTACTATCTGTTTTTATGAGTTTGACTCTCTTAGATCCCACATATAAGTGAGATCATACAAAACTTGTCTTTCTGTGTCTGGCTTATTTCACTTAGCGTAATGTCCTCCAGGTTTATCCAGGACAGGAGTTTCTTCTTTTGAATGGCTAATAGTCCATTGTTTATATGTATTTTATTTATCCATTCATCTGTTGCTGGACACTTAGGCTGTTTCCATATCTTGGGTATTGTGAATAGTGTTGTAATAAACATGGGGCGCAGATCTCTCTTCAAGGTTCTAACCTGATTGCTGAATCGTATGGTAGTTCTGCTTCTAATTTTTTGAGGAACCTCCATACTGTTTTCTGTAAAGGTTATACCACTTTACATTCCAACCAACAGTGTACAAGGGTTCTCTTTCCTCTATGCTTTCGCCAACACTTGTTATCTCTTGTCGTTTTTTTATAAGAGCCATCCTATCCTATGAGGCAATATCTCACTGTGGTTTTGATTTGCATTTCTCTGATGATTAGTGGTGTTGAGCACCTTTTCATATGCTGGCTGGCCATTTGTATATCTTCCTTGGGGAAAAAAGTCCATTGGGGTCCTTTGCCTATTTTTAATTGCATTATTCATGTATTTATTAATTTTTGCTATTGAATTGTGTGAATTCCTTATATTTTTTCAAATAACCCCTTATCAAATATATGGGTCGCAAATATTTTCTTCCATCCCGTAGGTTGCCTTTTCATTTTGTCATGGTTTCCTTTGCTGTGTAAAACCTTTTAAGATTGATGTAGTCCCATTTATTTATTTTCACTTTTGTTGCCTGTGCTTTGGTGTTACATCAAAAAAAATATTGCCAATTATGACCAATGTCGAGGAGATTTTTCCCTATGTTTACTTCCAGGATTTACATGGTTTCAGATATTACATTTAAATCTTTAATCCACTTTGAGCTAATTTTCTGTATATGATGTAAAACAAGTATGCAATTTCATTCTTTTTCATGCACTTTCCCCAACACCATTCATTGAAGAGAGTTTCCTTTCTACATTGTGCCTTTTTTTTTTTTTACAGTACAGTGAAAGCAAGTCTATTAAGAAAGTAAAGGAATAAAAGAATCTACATTGTATATCCTTGATGGCCTTGTCAAAGATCTGTTGACCATATATGCACGGGGTTATTTCTGGGTGAGCTTGGCATTTTTTTTTTTTTTTTTTTTTTTTTGAGACAGAGTCTCGCTCTGTCGCCCAGGCCGGACTGCGGACTGCAGTGGCGCAATCTCGGCTCACTGCAAGCTCCGCTTCCCGGGTTCACGCCATTCTCCTGCCTCAGCCTCCCGAGTAGCTGGGACCACAGGCGCCCGCCACCGCGCCCGGCTAATTTTTTGTATTTTTAGTAGAGACGGGGTTTCACCTTGTTAGCCAGGATGGTCTCGATCTCCTGACCTCATGATCCACCCGCCTCGGCCTCCCAAAGTGCTGGGATTACAGGCGTGAGCCACCGCGCCCGGCCGAGCTTGGCATTTTTATCTACCTCATTCTACCGATGAGGAGGCCGAGTCTCAGAGAGTTCACAGACCTGCCTAAGGTCACTCAGCTAGAGGTGATACAACCAGGGTTTGAACTGAGATCTGCCAAGCTTCTGAGTTTATTCTTTTTCCCCCACACCAAGGATCCTCAATTCTGCCTTACTGACATCAGGATCCGGTCAATTCTTTGTGATGGGGGCTGTCCTGCACCTGGCAGGATGTTTAGCAGCTTCTCTGGCCTCCACCCACTGGATGCCAGGGGAATGCAGAAGAGGCTTGTTCATTCTCCCATTTAATCCTCAGGACAATATCTGACATAAATGTTACGTCTTTTATTTTATAAATGAAGAAAATGAGACTCAGAAAGGTTTAAGTGAGTTACTTAAGAACACACAGACAGCAAAGGTAGAACTGGAAACCGAACACAGGTGTCCACATGGGACAACAAAAAAGTTCACGTTCCATCTTCTTTTGAGTCTCTCATTTCAATAATTACCATTGTGTGGATATGAGCTGAAGTACAGGAAACCTGGGGCTGAACTCTCCTCCCATCAGGCCTAGGAGCCCCAGACCAGAACCCCAGCCCAAGGTCTCCCAGTCAGGCCCGCTGGCGTGAGCTGGCATCTACACTAGCATGGTCTCCCAAAGCTGCAGGGATGCCAGTCTCGCCGCTGATGAAGAAAATGAAGGGCATTTGCTTCTCATGCAGGCTGTCGGGATTTAACACAGATTCCTTTTCTTGCTCTCTTCTCCCATAGCACAAAACTGGGTGGTCCATCCCCCTCCCAGTGTCCCAAGGCTTTGTTGCGTGTTCTCTTTAATTTCTCCCACTCTTGTGGTGCACCCTACCCTCATCTCCCTGGCAACCTTTCTGCTGTATCCTCTCGACACCTGGATCACAAGAACACTTGTGAGACCCCTTAACAAGTTACATCCCAAATTATCATTCCCCTTTGTCCTCAGCCAGTGCTCAGGTCCAACTTGCTCTCCTGGGGTGACTTTCTTTCCTGCCCAATATGGTTTCATCATCTGTAAATTGGGGATAATTAAAGTCTTGATCCTGATATTTGACTCTCAAAGCAGAAGTAGCAAGCTCAGCCAAGTCACTTCAACAAGAGGAGAAGTTCCTTGTGAACCAAAAGGGCACTGGTCACAAGGGCCGCTCCTTCTTCTGTCAGGCCTCTCCAGCACGCCCTTGGCTCAGCCAAAGAAGAGACTCAGGCTGTGCTTCTGCACTGTTGGGATAACATAGGCCTCTTCCATGTGGTTCCACACCAGGAACATGGGGACAATCAGACCTCTCCCAGTGTGGGCATAAGGATACAAGATCATGTCAATATTGACGTTCATAATGGCTGGGCGCAGTGGCACATGCCTGTAATGCCAGCACTTTGGGAGGCTGAGGTGGGCAGATTGCTTGAACCCCAGAGTTCGAAACCAGCCTGGGCGACTTGGCAAAACCAGTCTCTACTGAAAATACAAAAAATTGGCTGGGCTTGGTGGCGCACACCTGTAGTCTCAGCTACTTGGGAGGCTGAGGTGGGAGGATTGCTCAAACCCAGGGAGGTTGAGGCTTCAGTGAGCTATGATGGCACTGCTGTACTCCAACCTGGGCAACAGAGTGAGGCCCTGTCTCAAAACAAAAACAAAGACAAAACAACATTCATAATAGTAGCAATAGCTACTATGTGCCAAGCCCAGGCACCTCTTCGAGTCTTTGCTGTCACCCTATCAGGTAAGCGTGCTTAGAAGTTACACGAAGCACACGGCTCAGTGTTTGGCCCATGGTAAGGGCCTAAAAAGGGATAGCCCCAGTGGTGGGGATGCTGCTGCTGCTGACCATTAACCCCAGTCTGCTCCACCTTCTTCCAGGCAGTCTGTGAGATGTTTCATGTCCGAGGCAAACAGCACATTCAGATCCCCAAGCTCTACACCTCCAGTGTGACCAGGCACCTGCACCACTTCAGGCTCATGCAGGACTCACAGCCTTTGGACCTCAGCTAAAGGACTTGCTTCTCTTCAGCACACGGGGCTTGTTTGTGTTGGGGTCTGAGCCCTGAGCCCATGGTCAAGGAGACCCCCAGGTCTTTCTGAACAGAGACAGCTGGCCTGGGGGCCTCCCTCTCACTGCGTGCAAGAGGCTGTTAGGGTGCAAGACTCAAGGCGCTGAGGGAGGCTGTTTCAGGAGGGAGCCCCAGGAGGGTGGTGGAGACAGAAGGGGGCAGCATCTGCCGAGGCCCTACTGTGTGCCTGGCACCGTGTGGGGTTTCTGGCCCATATGGGCTAAGTGACCCTGCACACTCCTCTTAGGAGAGAGGCTCAGATGGAGAAATTGCAGTTCAGGAAGGTGAAGCAAGCTGCTAGCCTGTGGCCATGTTGGGATCTGGGCCTCAGCCTTCCAGCCACGAAGGCAGCCAAGTGTCATGAAGAAGGCATCACAGAGGCAATTCCAGGCTGTAGTGGTGAACTTTCCACTCTGCATCCCCGGGTGCTGTGCCCTGTGCCCTGTCTAAGGTAGCCCTGTGGGTTTCTATATGTTTAAATTGTCCCCAGCATCAATGATGCTCTCCTGTGGATCCCAAGCCATGGAGATGTCCTGGGACTTTTCATTTTTAGGTACCTAAATTGAATTTCCCAACACACAGAAGCAAGACAGCCGCCCTAACAGACTCTTGCATGCAGTGAGAGGGAGGCCGCCAGGCCAGCTGTCTCTGTTCAGAAAGACCTGGGGGTCTCCTTGACCATGCGCTCAGGGCTCAGACCCCAACACAAACAAGCCCCGTGTGCTGAAGAGAAGCAGGTCCCTTAGCTGAGGTCCAAAGGCTGTGGGTCCTGCATGAGCCTGAAGTGGTGCACGTCCCTGGTCACATTGGAGGTGGAGAGCTTGGGGATCTGAATGTGCTGTTTGCCTTGGATCTTTATTTGTGATTCAGAAACAGTGGAATAAAAGGAAAGGAAAGAAAACCTGAATGGCCACCTCAGCAGGATGCTCCAAGGGTAGTGTCCAGGTGGCACTGACTCAGATATGTGGGGGCTTCCCCCACCCATGCTCAAGAGCCACTTTGCCATTTCACCATCTCTCTGTCCTCCACACCCCTCAGCAGCAAGCACAACAAGAATGTGTTCACCATGAAGCTCAAATCTCAGCAGAATCTAGAGTCTGAAATCCAAGTAAGGGAAAGTGTAGAGCTTCTTGGATGATGCCCTGTCAATTTTATTTTAACGAATGAAAGACCAGAAGAAGTCAGTCTTGAAAGGAGAGGACAGGAGCATCTGCTGGCATTAGCAGCCGTGCCATCGTAGGACCGACTCACCTGGACCCGCGGCCACCTGTGCTTTTACATCTAGTCTTGGTTAACCATGGGCCACTTTTCCAGCTTGGAAACTAAGCATATGCTCCACTTCCTCTCCTTCCTCATTGAACTCTTTCACTAAAAGAACAGTGCAAGAGAGACTTAAACTGTTTGCCTCATTCTTAAGACCTTTCAGGAAAAGTGTTGGCAGGGAAGGAAATCTCCCAGCTCTGGGAAACAGTCTTGTGGATTATCTGCTGGTTTCATTGATCTGTGCTGTCCTCCCTGCATTCATTAGGAAAACTGGCCTTGGTTCAAATAAGAACAGGATTTGTCCTGGTGACAGAGAAAGGTTTCTTCTGATGTCCATATATCTCCGAGGGGGATGCTTTCTCCAGGCAGAGGCTGTGGCCAAGCGATCGGGGGGCTCAGAGGGCTGCTGGGAAGGGGTGGGCCCCTCTCTCCCCAGAGGGAAACTCCTGGGGACCTCTCGAGCACCCCTGCCCATCCTTTAAACATAAATTCATAAATACAAACAAGTAGGCCATTCACAGAAATATATAAAATATGTCATAGGACGGGTGGCACTCTCATATGGCAATAATTATGACAGGGGCCGGCAAATGACCTGCGTGACCCGGAGTGACCTGAGCACTGACTCCCAAATGCCCTCCATAGGATGTTCTGCATCCCCGAGACCCTTTCCTGGGTCCTCCTGGGCCCTACCACCCCCTAGACCATCCAGACCTCAGGTCATCCCCCTGTCTGTTGACAGAGTAGTCTCCGTTCCTGAATGTGCTGGTCACCAGCAACAGCAGCTGCTCCTCCTCCGGGAAGCTCAGCCTATACTTCTACACGCAGAGAACCTGGACGGCACCCAGGTGGACCTAAGCCTTCAGCTCCCAGTAGACGCTCTGGGTTTCCTACCCTGCCCAGACACTCTGGGCTTCCCCCCACACCTCCCCTCGGCCGGGGCTCCTGTGTGCATCTGTCTCTCCCAGTGCCCAGCACAGGCGTGGAACGGAAGAGGTGAATGGACCGATTTGAACACATCATCCTGGATTCTCCGTTCCCTCTCAAGCCCTGCAGCTAACCCATCGGCAAGCCCTGGAGGCTCTGCCTCCAAAATCCTGCCTATCCCATGTGCAAACGCCTCTCACCACGTCCACTGCTATTTGCAGTTCTGTGTGTGTGGAAATACTTCCACAAATTTGGAATGAACAGGTCACGGCTGTGCCTGGAGGGAATGGCCAGGGAAATGTGCCCTCGCCTTGCTGTTCTATCCAGGCCCACCCAGCTGAGGATGGGGGACCTGCCACCACTCTCCTGGCAGTTCCGGACTCCTGGGAACCGGCAGGTGAGGACCCAAGAGTGTTTTCAGTGACCCGGCTGACCTGGTCATCCGTCAGTCCCACCTTGGCCTAGGCCTCTATACAGCACAGATCACAGCTCATTCCATCCTGGCATTACACTGGCCTGTGCCCTGTCCTCAGGGTCACATCCGTCTCCCAGAAGCCGTGCAACCCTGGAAAACCCAGGTCTAACAGTCAGGTTCCTCCTCCGTGCATTAACAATGGCGTTGACGCCTGCTTTGCGGCACGCTGGGAGGGGAGAGGGAGGTGTATGCTGGAGAGCTCCCCAGGGGCAAGGCCTGGCTCTGCGTCACCCACTGTCAGATCCTGAGAGCCTGGGGCTGGCCCAGCACGTGGCCACCGTTCCCTAAGAGTTGGATTTCATCCCTCAGTGCTGAAGGCAGGGGATAGAGCTTAGACAGACCCCCTGCGTCCTGTCTTCTTTATCTACAGCTTTCTCATCCTTGCCCCTTTCACGTGCACCCGGCAGAGCAGGTGTTCACTGAGCTTGAGCAAAATTCAAGCTAGAGCAGCTGATGGATCTTGAGGCCTAGATTCACTGTCAAAGTGTTTCTCAAACGGTGCTCTCCAGAACACCAAGGAAAACTCATTGACTGTGTAAGTCTGAAAATCCCTGCCCACCGGTCTACCTTTGTGTATGAGCGATCAGCTCTACCATTCAGCCCAGGTGTGTGTTTGCTGGACCATGTGGAGGAAGCTGAAGAGACGTGAGCTGAAGGCAGAGGGTGAGTCCAAGGTGGGATCTTGGGACAGGTACGAGAAGTTAGGCAAAAATGGGATAATTCTAGCCTTCATAACCTTAGATAATAGTTCACATTATTATTTAGTTAATAGAACTGTACCCACATTAAATTTCTTAAATTTTTTTAAGAGATAAAGTCTCACTCTGTCACCCAGGCTGGAGTGCAGTGGTGCAATCATGGCTCACTGCTTCCTGGAACTCGTGGGCTCCAGCAATCCTCCTGCCTCAGCCTCCTGACTAGGTGGGACTATAGGCACACGCCACCATGCCTGGCTAATTTCTTTGACTTTTCTCTAGAGACCGGGTCCACCTAGGTTTCCCAGGCTGGTCTCAGACTTCTAGACTCAAGTGAACCTGAACCTCCCGCCTCGACCTCTCAAATTGCTGGGATTACAGGTGTGAGCCACCACACCCGGCCTAAATTTCTTATGTGCCATGGGACTGCAAAACATCATTATTAGGGGCAGCTGGATGGAAGGTATAGGAGGATACTATAGTGCCTTTTCAATATTTCTGTCTAAAATCTAAAATCATTTCAACAGGAAACATTTATTTCAAAACATGAAGGTGGTTATCCTTCCATGAGTTTGAAGTACAAAGGTAGGCTCACGGTGTCGTCAGAATTCAGAACGATGGTCGTGGGGCTGGGGGTGCTGGGAGGGGCTGGGCATGGTTGGCTTTGTGATCTGGGGTCTGGTGTGTTCCATCTCTGAATCTCTCTCGAGCTGCACTCTTTCTTAATACATTTTCATAAGTTTAACCAAAAATAAAACGAGGATGCGAAGCTTGCTTGGGTTGTTAAGCCTAGGGAAATTATCCAGCCATGAGCCCTGGCCCAGATGCTTCTAGAAGCCTGGAGGGAACTGAGAACTTTCCAAGTGGAGGCCGCAGAGGCAAGGCCCTGAGGTGGGAGCACACTGCTGTTCGTCCCTAGCTCTGAAGGGGGTGCCCTGGTCGGAATCAGTGCTGGGTGCAGCGAAAGCCGATCTCACCCGCTCCGCAGGGTGTTCAGCCTGCCAGCAGGGGGCCAGCTGGTCCTCCTGGGATATGGCACGGACCCAGCAGCTCTGTCTGAAATCATAATGGCGGAACCAAGGGCCCTCTACGTCCAGGTCCGTTGGGAGGCGGGGCATGGAGTTCCACTGCAGGAATCTCCAGGAACCCTGAGGTCCTCCCTGAGCCAGGGCCGGGCTGGGCACACCCTGAGTGCCCACAGGGTAGGTGTCTTCCCGGACAGCCCCACCAGGACAGGGTGTGGAAGAACGAGGTGCCCGTGGCGGGGAAGCTGACCAAATGGGCCGCGGGAACCGGGCTGGTGGGCCTGGAGGGGCCTGCCTGTCCCCCTTGCAGAGGGTCTTCCCGCCACGTGAAGCCGGCACAGGCCTGGATGCCGACGACCCTTGCTCGGGTTTGGCTGAAAGGAAAACAGACGCGGTCAGCATCTCCAGTGAGCCCACGCAGGCCTTTCCGGGCTGGGCCCCACCTGCCTGCGTCTCTGGAGTCCTCGGGGTCTCTGTGTGGCCCCCGTGGCCTGACACCGAGGACACGCCTGTAGTCTGCTGATCCCAGAGGGAGGGGTGCGTGCTGCCTGGCGTGGGGAAGCTGTCGTGGCATGGCGGGTGGCTCCTGGGACTGCCCCCAGGGTTCAGACTGGCTGGGGGCTTCCTGCCACACACCTTCGTCCCAGGGCTGTTGGGCCTGGGATACGGCCCCCAGTCAGAACTCAGGTGGGAGGGGCCTTGGATGTCACCCAGCCCCTTGTCACCTCACGTGGGGACCCGTCTCCGCAGTGGGTGATTGGGCCCGGACGTGGGTCACCCTCTGCCCTCCTGGGCTGCCCAGTCCATGCCAGGACTGACCGTTCCCACTTCTGGCTGAACTCTTGGCTCTGGCTCTGGGCCCGGGGTCCCGCCTGTGCCCTCTCCCTGAATGCTCTGTGGGTCAGGGACACGGATTCCCTTGTCTCCCTGGCTCCAGGCTTCTTGTCCTGGCAACCTTGGAGGAGCGTGCAGGAGTGAGGGGCCTCTGCTGCTCTCTGAGGCTGTGGGTGCTTGCAGGGAGGGGCGGGGTCTCCCACAAATGGGTCTGGGCTCGTCTAGTAACTTGGAGGGCCCTGCGAGGGGGAGAGGGAGACACCGTGGAAAGTGGGAGGGGGCTTGTTGGAGGGTCTTGCCCACATCCCCCTCCTGCGTGCACAGCATGTCCAGTATACACGCACTGAGCGCCTGCCCTGAGGACCGGTGGGCCTCCTGTACTTTCTTAGAGTCCAGGAGGAAGAGGAGGAAGAAAAGGTGAAGAGGAAGGCCCAGGTAGTAGGGTTGCGGGTCCCGGGCACTCCCCTACTACTGACTACCCCAGAGGGTGACATGGGAGGGGACATGGCACTGGAGCCCACCTGGGGGTGGCAGGTCCCCCTTCTTTCTTGTTAGTTTCTTCATAGAGGCCCTAAGATGCTTGAGCACAGTGTCCTCATCCCTGGCCCAGGTATCAACGAACCGGTTGCAAAAACGTGCCCACGGGCCACACCTGGACGTCTTCGTGAGGCGCTCTAGGGACAGGGTGGATATCAGGCCAGGGGAGTTACCTGGGAATGGTCACAGCTCATACCCCGTGGCCACTTCAGTCTCCTACTGGGCGGTGCCGGATCCTTTTGTGGCCACCCCAGGTGTCCAGATACACACAGGAGACTGTGGCTGGGGGGCGATCCGGACAGGGAAGTGCTCACCACACTCTCGACTTTCATCTGGGTCATGTGGGGGATGGGCTCGGTGTCACAGTGTCCTGCCCAGCCCACCTGGCCAGACCTCCCTCTGGGCCAGAACAGAGGATCATGAGGACAGTGTGAGGAAGCTGCCCTCGGGCCAGTCGGGGTCTGACCCCAGGGCTCCCCAGGCCCCGCTGGGCACACGTAGACTTACTCTGCTGAACCTTAAAGGCGATTCTTGTTATCGGCATCAACGCCTGTTCGCCTTCTACCAGATACACGTCCCACAGGCGCAGGGTGAGCCCGAGAGAGATCTGTGGGGACAGCAGGTGTGAAAGAACCTGGTCCTTCCAGGCTGGGGCTGGTGGCTCGAGCTGCGCACACTGGGGCTTCAGTCTCCAGAGTCAGTGACCTTCCCCATGAGGGTCGCCTGAGCCCTCCAGGACGCTGGGTCAGACAAGGTCTTGAAGCTCCTCATGGGGGGCACTCATTTGAGTGGGGATGTGGCTCCTGGAGAGAGGGGCTTGCCCAGGGCTTGAGGCTTCCCTGAGCCCTCTCAAGTCGGGTCCTGGCCCAGTCTGCCCATGAGGCTGGGCCTGAGCCCCAGCCATGGCCCTGGGATGACCCCCCTTGGGCAGAGGGTTTTGCTCGTGTGTCCTTTGGGGACCCGCCTGAGCCTCCTGTGGGCTGGGAGTGAGCCAGACCCCCGGGCTGGGGAAGCAGGGCACTGCAGGGCAAGGAAGGTCCCTGAGCCAGGGTCTCCCTATGCCTCCTTACCCCGTCAATCAATATCCGGATGAGGCAGCCTAACGGGGAACACTGCCCACATAGATCTTTCTTGTCCTGATGGAAGCAACAGAGGTGCTCAGGCCACTGGGCTGCCCTAAAAACCTCCCTCTTCCAGGGCCTCTGAAGACCCTTCCCCTAGTGCAGAACACTGGGCGGTGTCCAGAGCTCCCCACAACACTGTCACCTTCCCACACTCCCGGTGGACACACTGCCCTTTGCCCTGCTCTGCGGGAGCTGGGCCCCCCATCCCTGTGCCTCTGTCTCCTCCAGGGCAGGAAAGGAAACCAACTCCCAGCCCATGGAGAACCCGACGTCCCAGGTCAGGCCCTGGCTGGGACTCAGCCAGTCACCAGCCCCACGAGGGGCTCCAGCCCCCCTGCTCCTACAGCCCCACGGGAGGCAGGGCCTCTGGGAAGAGCTGAGGGGACCATAAACTCACCTGATGCCCCATGGTCTTGGGTTGTGACGTGGCTACCACATGCTCCTGTTGGTCTTGGAGCCCCTGGACGGTCCCGCCATTTGGGCTGTGAAATCCTGAGAAGCCCCCAGCCCATCATGAAATCAGAGCCTTCCCCCAAGATGTGGAGCCATCAGCTGCAAGAGCTGGGCAGCTGGAGAGGCCCCCAAACCCCAAGGCCTCCCACCCTCCCGTCTGGTGACCCCAA
Source organism: Homo sapiens (assembly GCF_000001405.40). Classification (NCBI taxonomy): domain Eukaryota; kingdom Metazoa; phylum Chordata; class Mammalia; order Primates; family Hominidae; genus Homo; species Homo sapiens. Next base: position 38,061,321 of record NC_000017.11, read on the forward strand.
CATGCGGCCTTTACCCTGGGGAGGTGGGGCGGGAACATTCCCTGGAGCCTGGCTGGAGGTTCCCCTGGAGGCCTCCTGGGCCAGGGTGCAAAAAGGGCAAGCCTGACTTTCAGGCCACGACAGGGTGGCCGGAACTGGGTGGGCGCTGGGCTTCCCGGTCATCTCCTGGTAGTGGGGTCGGGCCAGGGAACAGGGGATGGGGAGATGCTGCCACCTGGGCTTGGTCGGCCCATTCGTGGGCACCGATGGCAGCAGGAGCCCGGGCAGCTGGAGGGCAGGAGGACTCTCAGGGAGGGGAGAGTCAGCTGCACAGAATCAGAGCCGGAGGGCGTGGCTCCAGGACACAGAGGGTGGCCACGGGGAGGATGAGATGCCCTCTGCTGATGGGGATGAGAGGCGTCTGATTTGGGCTTTGGGGGTCAGCCGTGGACTCCTGTGGGACCCTCAGCAGAGACATCCTAAAGTCTCCCAACAAGCTGGCGACACAAGGAGGGTGCCTTGGCTGAAAGCTGTGATCACCTGGCCAGGGTGGCCATCCCCAGGTCTGGCTGCAGGAGGTCCCCGGGGCAGCTGTTCACTTACCCTGCAGGGAGTGCCTCTCACTGGCCAGCAGCTGCACCAGTGCCCAGAATGCATCCTCCTCAGGAAGATAGAGGAGGAACAAGGCGGCGATGTGGCTCAGGTCCCTGCAGTAGCCCACCTCCTGCAAGAGCCAGAGTCACCATGGAAGGACATCACCTGGGAGGGCTGAGGTCACCTGGGAGGACTCATGTCATTGGAGAGGGCAGAGGTGACTGGAGAGGCTTCCTCTGAAGGAGAGGCTTCCTCTGAAAAAGAGGCTTCCTCAGGATGCACATTCATTTCATGACAAGAGCCAAGTCCATCAGGCACTTCAGCACCTTGTCCAAAATGTCTGCTGATAGCACCATCCTGTGTGCGATGCTGCCAAGCTCCTGGGCTTTGGGGCAGCCCCAGGAGGAGGGCGTCATTTCTTGTTCTGAGAAGTGGTGGTCAGGCCCAGGTGACACCAGGAGTCCAGGCCCTGACTCCTTTGTGTCTCAGCTTGACCCCTTGAGACCACCCCCTTCCTTGGAGGTTTATGCCAGCGGTGAGCTGACATCCTACCTCCTATATCCTGGTGGGTCACAAATACTAACTTTAAAAGAAGCAACGACACCCCCACCAGACACCCACTCCTGTCAATATGGAAATATGGCCCGGGAACCTCACTGCCGGGAATACTCACCGGGTTGTACTCCTCATATGCCAGGAGGATGTGGAGTAGTTCCCGCTGCCTAGGAAACAGAGAAAGGGGGCTTTGGTTTGTTTTGTGCAGATGTTGTTAATTTCACTTTGTCTACAAAGCCTAACAGCAAATCCCATTTCAGGTTCAGATGTTTCACCAGATAAGCAGTGAGCTCTTCAGGGCCTGAGACTCTTGAAGAAATGTTTCAGTAAAATCCACATCTGTGACATGCAAATAGCCCAGTTGTACAGTGACTTGCCTGATCCTTTTCACTCTGAATGATTTTTTTTTTTTTTTTTCAGTTTGCACACACGCCAGTTCAGTCTGTGGGTGTACAGTTCCTCCACGGTTCCAAACCGATGTGCAGAGTCTCCCGGCCACCGCTCCAGCCCCTCCTGGGGCGACTCCTTCATCCTCCAAGTCTCCAGGGTGGCCCCTATGCACCCAGCCTCTCCCCGATCCGTCAGCCCCTGGCCACCCAGACTGCTTCTCAGTCCCTGTGGTTTGGCCTTTTCCAGAATGGCCTAGGAATGGGAATCCTACTGTGGTAGCTTATTGGGTCTGGCTTCTGTCCCTCAGCAAAATGCATCTAGGATCCACCCACGTTCGTGCGGGCATCACCGGCTCGTTCCCTTTTCTCACTGGGTCTTCCGTTTGAAGGGAGGACCAGCCTTGCTCTCCCCATCCCCGTGTTGAAGGCCGTCCCCGAAGGCTCCGTGTGTGAGTGACGAGGAGTCAAGCAGTGAACCTGGCATGCTGGTTTCATGTGGATGTCAGTTTGCAAATCAGTGGGTTCAATATCTGTGACACTTTGGGGATGTGTGGTTCAAGTCCATCGAGCTTTGTGAGCCACTGCCCAACGGGCTGCCAACGTGGCTGTGCCATGTCATGTTCCCAGCGGACCTGGATGAGAGTTTCCAGGACCCCTAATTCTCCCAGCATTTGGTGCTGTCACTGTTGCCTGGGGGGGGCTCATGGGCCCTCTATCCTGCCACCCTCCCGTGGGTCCTACCATGGGTCCCCATGGGTCAGGGAGAGCACCCTTCACCATTGTGCATGATGTTGTTTGCTGCCTTCCATCTCCTCAGGATCCTCCTGGGTTCTGGCCCCACATGTTCCAGTCTGGCCCAGGGCTTGGAACCAGGGAGGTGCTCGGTTCATGGTGCCGGCTGCTCCCTGGGCCGGGAGAGCTCTTGGCAGCTGTGTCATCCCTCCTGGGTGACCCTGGCTTCTGCTCCGGGGAAGCCCCCATCCCTCTCATTCACCCCATCTCTGCTGGGACCCTGTGGCTCCCGTAGGCTTACTTGGTTCCGTATCGATCCCTGAAGAATATATGCTTCCTTAATGTCCCGCTTACGTCCCGGTCGATGCGCTGGATGTGCTCAGATGACCTCTTGCCCTTCTCCTTCATGATCTGTAGGGCAGGGCCAAGAGGAGGAAGCAGTCTCAGAACAGATGGAAGACTCCCTGCCCCCAGTGGCAGTCAGCCCACAGTCAGCACTTCGGGAAGGAAGGACAGAAGGAAGGTTTCCTTCTGCAGAAAGCTGCATTTTGGCTTGTTACTGAAGCCAGGGAGGGTCACCAGAGCTGAGTTTGTCTGTGGTGACTGTGTCACCATCTGTGCCCAGGGTGTTCATCTGACCTTCACCCCCAGCTCCCCAGGGTGGTCTTGACGTTCCCTCCAGCTGGAGACCTGGGCCCCGACACGGCCTGTCCTGTTTGTTGTGCTCTGGCTGAGCGTACCTGGTATCTTCCGGGGTTTTTCAACTTCATTTCCTCAGTGTTCAGGAGGACTGACCACATCGGGCCCCGGATGTTCATGGGCATTCCCTTGTACGCTCGATCTATGAGCTGTGGGCAGAAAACGATCTGGTGTCACAGGCCACGGGGTGACCCCAGTGAGGACCAGAGCCCGGGGATTCTGGAAATTGTCGGTTTTGGCCCCATGATTCCTCAGTAGAGGTGAGATCAAGCTGGGACAGGGTCTCCCTTCCCAGGACTGAAAGAGTGGATGGACACTCAGAGTCGAAACTCTGATCTGAACCTTTTCCTTCCTTCAGGTCACCAGGGCATCCCTAGCCTTGAGCTCCGGGTAGTCCCAGCCCTAGATTCAGATTCCCTCCCTGCAAGGTGACGCTTGCACGAATAGGCAGGAAATCTGGCGACCAGGCCTGCAGTCCTCTGGGCGAGGACAGTGTGCCGCCCACCCTCTGAGAGGCTGATGGTGCCAGGCCACAGCCATGGGTGCCTGTCCCCTGTCTCTGCAGAGAGTGCTTCCTCCCTCCACACGTTACCTTTCTGCTGCTTTTGTATTTCTCCCAGTCTCCCAGCATATCCACCCACTTGCTCTTTCGGCTGATCTCCCGCCGAATTTGCTGTCAAATGAGGCATGTTGGAGTTAGCGGAGCTGCCAGGCTTCCCAGAGCCGCCCGCGGATGCTGGGTCTTGGGCTCTGGAGCCCTGGTGGGAGCCAGCTGGAAGGAGCCAGGGAAGGGCAGACCTCAAGGGCTGAGAGCCTTTGAGCAAATGAGCACCAGTGGGCTGGCTTTGGGACCCCGGGATGTACCATCCTCAGGCCACAGACACACCAGTCTTAGGTCCCAGCCTCTAGGTGGGGTCCTGACACAAGCGCGCAGCCACCCCCAAGCCAGGACTGTGGTTCTCCTTTTGGAATTTTATCAAACTGCCAAAGTGAACAGCAACCTGGGGTCAGGTCCAGCAGGGACTGCTGCCCCTCCCAGTGACAGCGTGTTGCCCTCACCCGCCACCGCTCAGGCCAGCTGCTTCCTCTGCCTCACTGACCACCCGCCCAGTCCCTACGTCCCTGGACCAGCCCCTCCACGCATCAGGCTCTTACCTTCGCCTCCCGCGCAGTCAGAGGAGGCAGCTCCGTCTCACTGTAAGGCAACCCAGGCAGAGCTGAGGAACTGCACGGGGCCTGGAGCGGCCCCAGCCTGGGTGCCGACCCCCAGAAAGGACTGGCTCTGTCCCTTTCCAGCTCAGGGCTCAGCCCAGGAGAAGGCACAGGGAAGGGAGGACAAGGGCCTTCCTGTGGGGCTGACTCCCAGGAGGGGCAGGACCTGGGAGAAGAAGGAGTGTAGGGACAGCCTGGCCGGGGTTACTGGGGCCCCTGGCGTGGGGGGCGGTCAGGCTGCCCAATGGGGCTGCCCGTCCTGGACTCGAGGTGGTGCTTTCTGCTGGAGCTGAGAAAGGTTAGCCCTGAGATGGGATGGGGGCCGCCCAGGGTGGGCGACCGGGCCCTGACAGGAGTCCCTCAGGGAGTGACCACATCCCCCCGCCAGGGTCAAGGGAGCCTGCCCTGAGACCTGCCCGGTGTACTCTGGCTGCACCAGGGGCCCACCCCACTTGACAGCCCCAAGGCCCTTGCAGGTTCTGACCTCCCAGCATCCACCTGCCTCTCCCTGCACCCGAGCCACACACCCTGCGTTTCAGAAGTGGCACGGCTCGTCAGCTCCCTCCCGCCCTACCTCCCCAGGGATCCTCTGTCTCTCCATCCTGTGATCCCTGAGGGATGGGCTCCTGGCTGGGCTCCTCTTACCCGGCCCCAGATCCCTTCCCAGCACCAGACCCAGGTCTTTAGCCGCGAGCCCTGCTGCCTCCCTGGCCTCACCGTGAGATGCCCAGAACGGGGCCCTGCCCATCTTCTCCCCCGTTCTCCTAGGGCTACAGCCCCCATTGTCACCATGCCTTTTCCCCTCACGGGACAGTGAGGGCTGTAGCTCTAGGGGAATGGGGGAGAACAGGGGCAGGTGGGCCCTCAGAGACCTGCTGGACAACAGCCCTGAGGCTGGGCCAGGCGTCTCCTCACCCTGTGGCCATAACCCTTGCATCTCACCGGGGTTGTCTCCAAGTAGACAGGGCCAGACCCTCAGGCTGCCCCGCTCCTCTTGTGCTCACTTGCCGACAGAACTGCTGAGCGCCCAGGGGCCTGACCTAGCCCAGTCTCCATTCCCACCGGCTCCCTAGATGGGCCCCACACCTCTGGCCTAACAACCTCGGGCTGGACCTGCAGGGGAGTCAGGGAGGAGTTCTGTCCCTGGAAAGGAGGTTGACCCGACCTGGTGAGACATGTCCTGCGTCAGAAAGGCCTTTCTAAAAGCAAACCCATCCCTGAGCTGAGACAGGTGCTTTAGGGGTGAGGGGAGTGCAGAGGACTCACTGTACAATCCCCAAATGATCGACGTTGTTGTTGTAGCTTCGAAAAGGCTTAGGCCCCTTGTCCTCTGGCAGCCCAGCTCGGTGTCCCTGTAGCCCAGAGGGAGCCTTGGTGAGGGGTCCAAGGTAAAGGGTGCAAGGGCCTGGGGGCATTGGCCACCCGTCCCTGCCCTGTGCTCCTAGGGAGCCCAGGACCCTTTGACCAGGGCACACTGGAAGAGGCCTCCCTCCAAGAAGCAGACCGACTTGTACCTTTTCGTATTTCATAATGATGTCCTCTCGCTCTTGTGCCCACCAACTGCCCGCGACCTCTACCACGTCCATCCTGTGAGACAGAATTGTCTAAAGGTCACACCGTACGCGGCGGCTTCGGAGAACACCTGAACCGCTCTCGCCGGGCTCCCAGATGCTGGCTGGCTGCGTAACCCCCATTCCACCGCCGCCCCCAGGGAAAAAGGGGCCAGACCCAGTGGCCCACAGCTGCTCCAGTCTCTGGAGTCTCAAGTCCCAAGCAGGGGTGGGCATCTTCCCAAGGACTTGAGTACAGTGGGACCTAGACAGAGAATCCTGTTGTCCCCCAATGCCATGAAATGGGGACACACCGGCCCCAGCAGGTTGAATGGTTTCCACCTGCCAAGGGTGAAGGGCCCATGATGGGCTATTCCAGGGATGTGGAGGCAGACTGGGGTCAGCGACCAGAGGTCTCTGTGCAATCGGCCTCCTGGGATGCTCAGGGCCTCAGCGATGCCCAGTTTCCTACAGGGAACAAGATCTCTCCCGACTGCTCGGTTCTACTCCGCTCATCACTTTGGCTACCGTGGCTCTTCAGTCTGAACAGTGAAGCCACTTTAGGAATAACGCCTGTTGAGCAGGAGGGTGTTGGGTTTGGGGGATGAGAAAGATCTATTGTACGCATGGAAACCACGTCTCTCGCGGAGGGACTGTGGAGTCCACCATTCTGAGCCGTCCCAACAGGAGGAGGCTTCATTTTCCTGGGTCACTGAGGAAGAACAGTGGGTCCTTGGTCCTGGAGAACAGCTGGATGGACCGTCCCTCCTGGGAATACTCGAGGCAAAAGGAGGGCGAGGCCTCAAGAGGACCACGCAGAGCAAGAAATACCTGGGGAGAACCCTAGTGCCCGGACCCCTTTGAACACAAGGGAAGATAGTCTCCCCTCAGCCAGCCCTCCAGGGCTCCTTCATTTTCCACAGCTGCCCAAGGGCAGCAGGCTCCCCCGGACAAGGGACCATGTGTGTTCAGTGGGGCCCACAGCGACCATCAGGACCCAGCTTAGGGCACAGAGGTGTTCTGAGGACCGTCAGTGGATCTGTACCAGTGGCTCTATACCAGTGGCTCTGCCAGGACCAGGCTCTGCCCCATCGGGATGGGAAACCTGGGCAGATTTGGGATCTAGGGCAGGGAGGTCACAGGGTTCAGGCCTGAATTCCAGCACAGCACACGGCAGGGCTGAGAGCAAAACTCAGGGTCATGTCCGGATTCCCAGGCCGGTTACTGCCTCTCTGACCCCAGACGTCTCATCTGTCGAATGGGGACATTTGGGAACAGCACCCACTCTACGAAGCCACCATGGAGACGAAAGAGCCAATCGTCTACACGGGCAGTGTAGAACGGGCGCCTGGTGAGTGCTCAGGGATGACCCTCCTCGGTAGCTGCCCCACAGAGGCCAACACCGCCCGCACCGTAGCCACTGCCCCCAAGTCCGCCTGGAGGGAAGAGAGCAGGTCACGCTCACCTGATTCTGATGAATCAGCTGGCCTGGGTCGTGCCTCTCAGGGAGAAAACCTTTGAGTCCACAGAGCTGCTCACAGATACCACTGCCTGTGTGTAACTGCTGTAGACCACTGAGGCAGACCAGAGAGCAGATAGGTGCTAAGCACCAGTGACATTCTGAGGTCATGGCACGAATCACAGTGGGGCCTTGCCCGGGTCAGCAGCGCCCAGAGTCAGGGTCCTCCGCTGCCTGAGGCGTCAACATGCCTGCCTGCAATGTGTTTGTGCACGTGCGTGCACATGTGTATGTGGGTAAACACATCTGTGCACGTGTGTGCTGCTTCTCTGGCCAGGCCCGGCTGCCCCACTCATGTGTGCACCCAGTTCCTCATCACTGTCACCCCCGAGGCCCAGGGCCAGCATCAGAGCATCCATGGCTGCTCCCTAACCTCAGCCCTCCCCGCCCAGGGTGGTCCTGGGATACACATAGCGGTGGAGGGAAGTGACTGCTGCTGTTGGATCTCAGAATACAAAAGCTAGTACTATTACCTAATGGTCTTTTTAGTGTCTCTAATGGTATCGCTTTTTCATTTCTGATATTTTAACTGGGTATTTCTCTCCATGACCCTTGGATATTCTAGCTAGAGGATCCTGTGGGGAAAGTGCCGGGCACACAGTAGGGGCTCACTCTTCTAGACATGTTATCTAAAACCTGGTTCATCTGTCCTTCCACACAGGGCCTAGGGGATGCCAAATTCCAGGGGCCAGAAAGAGCTTGGGATAAAAAGAAACTTCAAGGGGACGGCTTTGACCTGGGCTGAGTCTGCCTGTGCCATCCAACTGGAGTCTCAAGTCCTGAGGCAGGACGTCCAGATGCCCCAGTGCAGGGTCCTCCTGATCAACACCTGCTCCCCTGTACTCATTAGCAACCTCACCCACCCTACTCTCAAAGCACACTTGGCTCTCGTATCCAGGAGCTCTGCATCTGTAGATTCAGCAACAGCAGATGGAAAATATTCAGAAAATAAATTGGACGGTTATGTTTCTATTGAACATGTGCAGAGTTTGTTCTTGTCATTATTCCCTAAAGAATCCAGTATCACGACCATTTATGTAGCATCTGCATTGTATTACACATCATGAATAATCCAGAGATGGTCTAATGTCTACGGGAGGATGTGCATAGCTGATATGTAAATACTAGGCCATGTTATGTCAGAGACTTGAGGATCCATGGATTTTGGCATCCCCGGGGACCCTAGAACTAATCCATGGATACCAAGGGATGACTGTATAAACTCACTCAGGAAGGCTTCTCATTGGAGGAAGGTCCCAGTTCAGGACACACAGGGACATCTCCCTGGACTACTGTCCATTCATCCATCCATTCATCCATTGTCTCCCCCCACCCCCCCATCTCGGACTGTCCCAGTGACAGCCCTAGCAAGAAGAGACAAGAAACAAGTTCACGTTGTCCAGTTTTGAGGTAATGGAAGAAGTTGCACCAGTATGAGAATAGTGGGTCAGTTTTCTACAGGATGCAGAAAGCATATCGGGCAGCCTCGGGGTGCGGAAAGGAGCCTGGCCTCTCTAGCAGCCACACAGGCCTGCAGTAGGATGGGGCTGTGGCTGGCCATGTGGATCACTTGGGCCTCATGAGGGGAAAGGAAATACCAGGGGGGCAGAAGAGGAGCATGGGGGCAGCTGGTTGCCTAAGGAGAAGGCACCTCAGGGAAGGGGACTGTATTCATTTGTTTTCACACTGATGTAAAGAAATACCTGAGATTGGGTAATTTATAAAGGAAACAGGCTTAATTGACTTGCAGTTCCGGAAACTTACAATCATGGCAGAAGGGGAAGGGGAAGCAGGCACCTTCTTCACAAGATGGCAGGAGGGAGATTGTGCAGTGGCACAATCTCGGCTCACTGCAACCTCTGCCTCCCGGGTTCAGGCAGTTCTCCTGCCTCAGCCTCCCTAGTAGCTGGGATTACAGGCATGCACCACCACGCCTGGCTAATTTTGTATTTTTAGTAGAGACAGGGTTTCACCATGTTGGCCAGGCTGGTCTTGAACTCCTGACATCAGGTGATCTGCCTGCCTCCGCCTGCCAAAGTGCTGGGATTACAAGTGTGAGCCACCGCGCCAAGCCATATCTGTTCTTTTTTTTTTTTTTTTTTTTTGAGACAGAGTCTCACTCTGTTGCCTAGGCCAGGCTGGAGTGTGCAGTGGTGCGATCTCGGCTCACTGCAACCTCCACTTCCCTAGTTCAAGGGATTCTCCTGCCTCAGCCTCCCTAGTAGCTGGGATTACAGGTGCATGCCACCACACCTGGCTAATTTTTGTATTTCTGTAGAGACCAGGTTTCACCATGTTAGCTAGGCTGGTCTCAAACACCCGACCTCAGGTGATCCGCCCGCCTCTGCCTCCCAAAGTGCTGGGATTACAGGCATGACCCACCGCGCCTAGTCCATATCTGTTCTTTTTTTTTTTTTTTTTTTTTTTTGAGACAGAGTCTTGCTCTGTCGCCAAGGCCGGAGTGCAGTGGCGTGATCTCAGCTCACTGCAACCTCCGCCTCCCGGGTTTAAGCGATTCTCCTGCCTCATCCAAGTAGCTGGGACTACAGGCACCTGCCATCATGCCAGGCTAATTTTTGAATTTTTAGTAGAGAAGGGGTTTCACCATATTGGCCAGGCTGGTCTCGAACTCGTGACCTTGTGATCCACCCGCCTCGGCCTCCCAAAGTGCTGGGATTACAGGCCTGAGCCACCGCACCCGGCTAGCCTGTGTCTGTTCTTTAAAATTGTTTTGTTTTCCTTACTCTCAGATTCTTCTTGCTGCTTATTGTGCCTTGTTGCTGCCTGTTGTGCAATTTCTTCCCTCTTGTATTTTACTGAACTTCATCTGAAGAAGCCTTAGTAGCCAGATAAACAAGCTTGTTTGGGCTAAAAAATCAATTGCTGTGTGAGAGTTTGTTGGATTCTCTTCTGAGTAAAGGGTATGTGTTTTATTGTACGGACTTTGTATCACCTATTTTGGCTTTTCATCCAGGCCTTTTTTTTTTTTCTTTCTTTTTAGCTTCCTGGTTCTAGATACAACTGATACTCTGATACAACCTGGGTAAATGTGGTCTTGAGTAGTAAATTATCTGTGAAGCTTCTCCGAACTTTGCCACATAAATGAGCCTGCTCTTGTTGTGAAGTAAATCTTACTCTAATCTGTATGTGAGTCAGTGGGAAATAACTGAGCCTTCGGATGGCTTTTGTTGTTAACTGAGATTAGTTCTCTAGATTTTAGTGATTTTGTTTTGAACACCATACAAGTATGTGGTTCTTGGTTTATTTGGTCACTTGTAATCTCTTTAAAATTTTATTTTAAATTAGGAAGTATTTTAGAAATACAAGAAAGTCACACACTATGAGATTAAACAGATGTTAACATTTTGCCCCATTTTCATCAGACTGTGCATGCTTTTTTTGGGGGGGAATAAAATGTCACAGATACCACTAAAGCCCGTTTCCATCTCGTCCCACCCTGCCTCTAGAAGTAACTTCTTTCTTCAGGTAGGTGCGTATTATTCCTTTTTATTCCTACGTATAGTTTAAAACTTTAATTGCATATTAGTAGCCACAAACATCACATACCAATATTCTGTGCCTTTTGCATTTTTACATTAATGGTAATTATTTTTGACCTTCTGCAAATGGCTCTTTTCAGTGTTTCTTGTTAGAAAACTTGGCTCAACTTGAGTTTACTAATTATCTGCTTCTTCTTGTCTTTAGCTATTATAGAACTGTTCCACCAAGGCAACAATTATTGCTATTTTAATGGTGAAATCAGTTTTATTAGGCAAATTGACTCAGGCTTCAGACTGGCATTTGGAATTGTCACACTGGAGATTTTCTTTTACTGAAGTCTCAGGACATTGACAATCAGAAAAAAACCCTCTTGAGTCTTACTATCGTACATGTAAGATATGTTCCTGAGTGACTATAGTAAAGACTCATTCAGGAAAATGTTATCTCCGATTTCTGCCTCCCTAGCTCATAGGAAACTTCCATTGTAAAGTTGTTACCAGGCGTCAAGCTGCCTCTTTGGTACAGCCCTTACTTAGTATTTGGCTCAGTTGAAGTGCAGTCTATATAGGAGGCCAAGAAGACTTAATCCTGGGTTTGAAACAAAGCAAGGATACACTAACATTCTATCCTTTAATAACATCAAGTAGAAAAATTGAAAATGAGCTTGTTATCAGTGCACTTTTATATGCCAACCTTGTTTCACTTGTGTTTTAAACTGGGAAACTGAAGATTTTAATGCTGAAATTTCTTTGAATTATTACCTGTTTTTTTGATAGTGGAACACACAGCTAATATTTACTAATATGAAGGTGTCAAAGGTGAGAAATCATGTACTACACCATCAGGTCAGCACTACTGTTTGGAAGAGCAGCATCACAAAGAGCAGTGTTACACTGCGTTGTAGTCAGCACATACACTTATGTCCAGACAGATATTTTAAATTACCTTCTTGGGGTAGTACACATATGCTGATATCCAAAGTGCCATATAATACAATACATAGTTTTTAAACTTCATATCATTCTGATCAGAAGCTTTATAAACTGTTAGGTGAATGCTGTTAGATGATATGAGAGCACAATTTAACCTGTGTGTGTGTATATGTATGTCTTAACATCTATTAAGTGATGACTACATATGAGGCACTAAGTGCTAAAACAGAGACTTTACATAGATTATCCCATTATTGGTCAACTTTTTAAATAAGTGCATCTCTAATATAAGACAAGATGCTGACCAATTTTTAAAATGTGAATGGATTTCTATTTTTAAGATAAGTACCTTTGTTCCTTTGGTTCCTCCCTCCCACCCTTCCAGAAATGGTAGTATCCTGGAAAAAAAAAATTAGTAGCAATTCAAGAAACAGCTTAATTCATTAGTATAAATAGATGAGTTTCCCCTAAACACAGGAGGAGTTGGAAGGTACTTGAAATTGGATGTTGTGCATGGTGCCTTTCCAAAATGCACAAATACTTTCTCTCAAATGGTTGCAGTAGTAATGTGCTGTGTGATTTGGCATGTATAATGTTGTACAGGTATCTTGACATTGGTGGATTAACTGCTTGGCTACTGTGAAATTCACTGTAGATGTTGATGGATGAAAGTGTGGTTGCCTAGGTAATGATTAAGACCAGTAACTAAACCACAGTTATTATTTTGCTGGCATAAACTTCAAACTCAGAAAGGTTTTTATTCATTTTACCCATTGGAGCATACCCCAGTAAGTGCTTCATTTCTTTGTGTTTCTGATTTTTTTTTTTTTTAAGATGGAGTCTTGCTTTTGTCGCCCAGGTTGGAGTGCAATGGCGCGATTTCGGCTCACTGCAACCTCCACCTCCTGGGTTCAAGCGATTCTCCTGCCTCAGCCTCCCGAGTAGCTGGGATTACAGGTGCCTGCCACCACGCCCAGCTAATCTTTGTATTTTTAGTAGAGATGGGGTTTCACCATGTTAGCCAGGCTGGTCTCGAACCCCTGACCTCGTGATCCACCCACCTTGGCCTCCCAAAGTTCTGGGATTACAGGCATGAGCTGCCGTGCCCAGCCATGTTTCTGAATTTTTAAGTCAACTTCTGAATAGGCAAAGAATTCTTTTTGTTTTTTTGTTCAACTTTAGTGCTATAAATCGCCAGTTGGACACAAAGGTTTTAGTGCTATTTAGGTATGTTTTGGTGAAATAGTGTGAAGGAATATTGCTGCTTAAAAGATAAGCCATTCATTAAATGACGTCTTTGTTTTGAAACATGAAGACTTATGAGAAGCATTTTTTTTGTAAGCCAAAGTAGTTTCACTTTATGTGTTACAGATTTTGAATAGCTCATTATAGACTTTGTAATTTACTGTCTCTCATTTAGGCAGGTAATTTTAGTTGCCAGCTAATCATGTTTAAATATGTATTGGTTATTAATAAATGATTACCCGTATACAGGTCTTTCATGCAGATATCGTACTACTCTGATGTTCTTACCTAGTTTTGTGGTATGTTCAGTTGTCTAAGAGCATTGTTGATCTGCACACAGATTTTGTTTGGTCTATACAGTGTTTCTGAAAACTTGAATTAGTTACCATTAATAAAAAATAGAGAGACTGCACATGAAATCTGAATTTGTAGCTTTTAAAAAAAAAAATTGGAAGATCAGGCCAGGTGCGGTGGCTCATGCCTGTAATCCCAGCACTTTGGGAGGCCGAGGCGGTCAGATCACCTGAGGTCGGGAGTTCGAGACCAGCCTGACCAACATGGAGAAACCCCGTCTGTACTAGAAATACAAAATTTACCGGGCGTGGTGGCACATGCCTGTAATCCCAGCTACTAGGGAGGCTGAGGCAGGAAAATCGCTTGAACCTGGGAGGCGGAGGTTGCGGTGAGCCGAGATCACGCCATTGCACTCCAGCCTGGGCAACAAGAGCAAAACTCCGTCTCAAAAAAAAAAAAAAAAATTGGAAGATCTGTCAGCACTAAACCTGCCAGTCACCATAGCGATAATTCTTTGGCTCCAAGAAATGGCTACCACCTCCTTCTTTTAAGGGGTTGTGCACAGCTTCCACATGGCTTGCTACACTTACCTGCCTCAGGAAGCATTTCTTTGTGATTTAGGGCATCTGTGTTTTTGTTATTTTAGATTTAGAACATTCAAATGTCTGGAAATGAATTTGAAGTTTTGTTTTAAGCAAGGTTATGACTAAATTGAAAAATGCACAAGAGGCCAGGCGTGGTGGCTGACGTCTGTAATCTCAGCACTTTGGGAGGCTGAGACGGGCGAATCACGAGGTCAGGAGTTTGAGACCAGCCTGACCAACAAGGTGAAACCCCATCTCTACTAAAAATACAAAAATTAGATGGGTGTGGTGTTGCACACCTGTAATCCCAGCTACTCAGGAGGCTGAGGCAGGAGAATCACTTGAACCTAGGAGATGGAGGTTGCAGTGAGCCAAGATCGCATCATTGCACTCCAGCCTGGGTGAGAGAGCGAGACTCCATCTCAAAAAAAAAAAAAAAAAAGAAAAATGCACAAGAGTGTTAAACAAGCAGTTCACAGTGGAAAAACTTAATGGCGCGTGCACACACACACACACACACACGAGAAAAGATGCATAGTAACCAATGTTATTAGTAATCAGGGAAATTCTGATTAAACCAATGGACTATCAGTACAAAAATTTTTTTTTTTAATTTTTGAGACAAAGTTTTGCTCTTGTTGCCCAGGCTGGAGTGCAATGGCTCAATCTAGCTCACTGCAACCTCCACTACCTGGGTTCAAGTGATTCTCCTGCTTCAGCCTTCCAAGTAGCTGGGATTACAGGCACGCACCACAGGCCTGGCTAATTTTTTTTTTTTTTTTTTTTTTTTTTTTTTTTTAGTAGAAATGGGGTTTCACCATGTTGGTCAGGCTGGTGTTGAACTCCTGACCTCAAGTGATCCACCCACCTCAGCCTCCCAAAGTGCTGGGATTACAGGCGTGAGCCACTGTGCCTGGCCAGGACTATCATTTAATACCCATTAGATTGTCAAAAATACTAAAGTTTTTCAGAACATGCTGAAAGTGGGATTTCTTCATTCTTTGCTCATGGGAATGTCAGTTGACACCACTCTAGAGGATAATTTGGCAGTTCTTGGTAAAGTTGAAGATTTATGTCCAACAATCCAGAAAGTCCACTATTAGGTTCCTTTCCATGGAAAAATTCTCTCATGTGTGCACAGGAAAACATGGACCAAGATGCTAGTTTGTTTGTTTATTTATTTATTTATTTATTTTTGAGACAGAGTCTTGCTCTGTTGCTCAGGCTGGAGCGCGGTGGCACAATCTCCGCTCACTGCAAGCTCCGTCTCCCAGGTTCACATCATTCTCCTGCCTCAGCCTCCCGAGTAGCTGGGACTACAGGCACCTGCCACCATGCCCGGCTAATTTTTTGTATTTTTAGCAGAGACGGGGTTTCACCATGTTAGCCAGGATGGTCTCGATCTCCTGACCTCATGATCCGCCTGCCTCGGCCTCCCAAAGTGCTGGGATTACAGGCGTGAGCCACCGTGCCCGGCCTTAATTTTTGTATTTTTAGTGGAGATGGGGTCTCTCTACTCTCTATGTCAGCCAGGCTGGTCTTGAATTCCTGGCCTCAAGTGATCTGCCTGCCTGACCCTCCAAAAGTGCTAGGATTACAGGTGTGAGCCACCACACTCGGTGGTAAGAGTTATTGTATAAAGTTTTGACATAATTTATAGTATCAGCCTTCTTCCTCTATCCTCACAGAAGGCCTCATGGTGAGTTTGATGTGCAGGTTAAAATATATAATTATTGCAATATGTTGTAAGAAATGTTTCCTAATTAAGATTTTTATGAAATTAAACGTATTTATTTATTTATTTTGAGATAGAGTTTCACTCTGTTACCAGGCTGGAGTGTAGTGGCAGGATTTCAGCCCACTGCAATCTCTGCCTCCCGGGTTTAAGCAATTGTCGTGCCTCAGCCCCCTGAGTAGCTGGAATTACAGGCCTATGCCACCTTGCCTGGCTGATTTTTGTATTCTTTTTTTTTTTTTTGAGACGTAGGCTCACTCTGTCGCCCAGGCTGCAGTGCAATGGTGCGATCTCGGCCCATTGCAAGCTCACCTCCTGGGTTCAAGTGATTCTCCTGCCCCTGCATCGTGAGTAGCTGGGATTACAGGTGTGTGCCACCAGACCTGGCTAATTTTTAGTAGAGATGGGGTTACACCATGTTGGCCAGGCTGATCTCAAACTCCTGACCTCAAGTGATCCGCCTGCCTCGGCCTCCCAAGGTGCCAAGATTACAGGTGTGAGCCGATGCCCCCAGCCTATTTTTATTTTTTGAGACAGAGTCTCACTCTGTTGTTCAGGCCGGAGGTCAGTGATGTAATCATAGCTCACTGCAGCCTTGCTTGACCTCCTGGGCTTAAGGGATCCTCCTCCTTCAGCCTCTCCTGTAGTTAGGACTATAGGTGGGTACCATCACAACCTCCTAATTTAAAATTTTTTTTTGTCTCACTGTGTTGCCCAAGCTGGTCTTGAATTTTTGACCTCAAGTAATCCTCCTGCCTCAGCCTCCCAAAGTGTTGGGATTACAGGCATGAGCCACTGTGCCCAGCCCTTTAATAGTTTAAAATCAAAGTTTAAGTAGAAAACATTATTTTATTTGGCTCATTGGTTAGATGTAAGTGATGTGAAATACTTAAACATCCATTATTGTTTTTAATATAATTTGGAAAATATGAGTTGCTTTGGATTATTACAACTTCATTTATTTGTACCATTGATGCATAAATTCTCAGTCTAGGTTTTAGCGAAGTCTGGATTTTAAAAAATTGACTGTGATATTAGTTCAAGTCTTACGAACATCATTATTATTATTATTTGAGAGACACAGAGTCTTGCTCAGTTGCCCAGGATGGAGTGCAGCTGCACAATCACAGTTTATTGCAGCCTCAACCTCCTGGGCTCAAGCAGTCCTCCCACTTCAACCTCCCGAGTAGCTGGGACTATAGGCACACATCACAACTCCTGGCCAATTTTTGTATTTTTTGTAGAGATGGGGTTTCGCCATGTTTTCCAGGCTGGTCTCAAACTCCTGGGCTCAAGCGATCCTCTTTGCTTAGCCTCCCAAAGTGCTGGGATTACAGGTGTGTGCCAACACACCTGGCCAAGTTGTATATACTATTAATCTAGGCTATTTCTGACACTGTTGATTTTCCTTTTCCCCTTAGGTGAGGCAGGCGACTAATCAGATTGTGATGAATTGTGCTGATATTGATATTATTACAGCTTCATATGCACCAGAAGGAGATGAAGGTAAGAGCTGTTTTCCATTTTAATTTGCTGTCTGCATGTGCATATGTGGGGGGTGTGTGTGTGTGTGTGTGTGTGAGAGAGAGAGAGAGAGACATTTTCAGGTTAAGACTTCAGTGTTTGTTACTTTAGAAATGGGTAAATTCAGCTGGGTGAAGTGGCTCACGCCTATAATCCCAGCACTTTGGGAGGCTGAGGCGAGCAGATCCCTGAGCCCATGAGTTTGAGACCAGCCTGGGCCACATGGCGAAACAAAAACAAACAAACAAACAAAAATATTAGCTAGGCATAGTGGTGCGTGCCTGTAGTCCCAGCTATTTGGGAGGCTGAGGTGGGAGGATCTATTGAGCCCAGGTGGCCGAGGCTGCAGTGAGCCATGACTGCGCCGCTGCACTCCAGCCTGTGCGACAGAGTGAGACCCTGACTCAAAAAAAGAAAAAGAAAAAGGGTAAAATGTTTATGGGAAATATTGAATAGTATAACCTAACAGTATTGTGAAATAAATGTCACAATTTATTTTACTTTTAAATTTATTTTTATTTTTATTTTTTTTGAGACAGAGTCTTGCTCTGATGCCCAGGCTGGAGTGCAGTGGCATCATCTAAGCTCACTGCTATCTCTGCCTCGTGAGTTCAAGCAGTTCTCCCTGCCTCAGCCTCCTGAGTGGCTGAGATTACAGGTGTCCACCATCATACCTAGCTAATTTTTGTATTTTTAGTAGAGACAGGGTTTTGCTATGTTGGCCAGGCTGGTCTTGAACTCCTGATCTCAGGTGATCTGCATGCCTCCCAAAGTGCTGGGATTACAGATGTGAGCCACCACACCCGGGCAAATGTCACAATTAAAATTCCACTTCCAAGATTAACTTATTTTGTGGTACTAGGGAAATCATATTTTCATAAGTATAAAATGAATATAATACGCATAATAAAGCTGATGAGTTATTTGAAAAATTAAGTACTTTGAACATGAAAGGCTCCTCAAAGAGGCTTCGTTTTTATGTTTTTCTTAAAGTTTTTTTTTCTTTTTGTACTATAGTTTAAAATTGAGATAAGTCATACTCCTAATTCAGAGAAAAACATTTGCTTTATGAGACAATATGAAGATTAGAAGCTAAATAATGGAGTTAGTTACAGGGGAAGAACATGCTAAAAAGAAACATGGTATAGAATGTGGAACTCGATTAGTGTCTATAAAATGAGAACTGTTTTATTTTATTTTATTTTATTTTATTTTTTATTTTTTTTTGAGACGGGGTCTCGCTCTGTCCCCCAGCCTGGAGTGCAGTGGCGCGATCTCGGCTCACTGCAAGCTCCGCCTCCCGGGTTCACGCCATTCTCCTGCGTCACCCTCCGGAGTAGCTGGGACTACAGGCTCCCGCCACCACGCCTGGCTAATTTTTTTGTATTTTTAGTAGAGACGGGGTTTCACCGTGTTAGCCAGGATGGTCTTGATCTCCTGACCTCGTGATCCACCCGCTTCGGCCTCCCAAAGTGCTGGGATTACAGGCGTGAGCCACCGCGCCCGGCCGAGAACTGTTTTAGACCTTATAATTTTAGTATGAAAGTAGTCCGTTTTGACTGGAAATCTTATTCCCGTATGAGCTGATTTTTAAATAGATACCAAGTTTGGCATAAACTCTTACAAGTACATCAGTATTGGAGCTGGATTGCTTTTTACTTTTTTTTTTTTGAGAGAGTCTCGCTCTGTCACCCAGGCTGGGGGGCAGTGGCATGATCTCAACTACCACAACCTCTGTCTCCTGGTCTCAAGCCATCCTCCCACCTCACCCTCCCAAGTAGCTGATATTACAGGCGTGTACCACCATGCCTGGCTAATATTCGTATTTGTATTTTTTTATAGATATGGGGGGGGTCTTCCTATATTGCCCAGGCTGGTCTTGAACTCCTGGGCTCAAGGGATCCGACCTCTTCGGCCTCGCAGGTTGCTGGGATTACAGGCAAGAGCCACCACACCTGGTTGCCTTTTTACTTTTGATTTCACCTAGACATTCCTTGTCAAAATGGTTATTGGTTACTCTGAGACTTCTTTAATAAAAAATAATTTAAGGCCGGGCGCAGTGGCTCACGCCTGTAATCCCAGCACTTTGGGAGGCCCAGGTGGGCGGATCACAAGGTCAGGAGATAGAGACCATCCTGGCTAACTCGGCGAAACCCTGTCTCTACTAAAAATACAAAAAATTAGCCTGGCGTGGTGGCGGGCGCCTGTGGTCCCAGCTACTCGGGAGGTTGAGGCAGGAGAATGGCGTGAACCCGGGAGGCGGAGCTTGCAGTGAGCCGAGATCGCGCCACCGCACTCCAGCCTGGGCGACAGAGCGAGACTCCGTCTCAAAAAAAAAAAAAAATAAATAAATAAAATAAAATAATTTACACATTTGATCTTTTAACTTACATTTTATATTTTGATTTCCTCTCTCCTTTACATTATACTGAAAAGAAGTTTCATTTTAAGGCCTCATAACATTTATGATTTTTTCTTAAACTATTTTGTCTATAGGAAGTCAAAGTAGTAGCAGTTGAACATACTGTTCCGAAGAAGTACTTAAGTTCAATTGATTGTAAATTAGATCAAACTGCTGGAAGAACAGATTCTTCAAATGGACTTGAATGAGTGCCACTTTTAAAAAATTGTCTGGTAAATGAAAGAGTGATTATTTAATTTCTTTAACTGTGGAGAAAAATAGAAGTACTTTAGCCAGGTATATCAAAGCAACAAGGCTTTCTTTGTTGCAGGTAGAGAATGTTTAAATTCGATGTGTGGTTTTAAAGTGGTATGTAGATAGGTAGATCTAGTAATATAAATGTGTACCTTCCAGCTGGCATGGTTTCAGCTCAAGTTTGTTTTTTATCTTCCTGTACTAAAAATGTCGGGATAGAATTCAGGTGACTGAAAAGTTCTTTTTTTTTTTTTTTGAGATGGAGTCTAGCTCTGTCGCCCAACGATCTCAGCTTGCTGCAACCTCCACCTCTGGGGTTCAAGCAATTCTTCTGCCTCAGCCTCCTGAGTAGCTGGGATTACAGGCGTGTGCCACCACACCCGGCTAATTTTTGTATTTTTAGTAGAGATGGGGTTTCACCATGTTTGTTAGGCTGGTCTTGAACTCCTGGCCTCGTGATCCACCCTCCTCAGCCTCCCAAAGTGTTGGGATTACAGGCGTGAGCCACCGCGCCCGACCTGACTGAAAAGTTTTGAATATGTGTAACCGAATGTTGCTAAGCTCATAATGATCTGTATCTCACGGAAGCCCAGTTAGTGTTCTTACTAAGAGAGTCAGGAGAGAAATGAAAACTTAATGGAAAAGAAGATTTGAAGAGAGATTCTGATAAAACATTAAATTATTTTAGATACATAATATATATTCAGTGCTGGGTGCAGTGGCTCACGCCTGTAATCCCAGTACTTTGGGAGGCTGTGGTGGGTGGATCATGACGTCAGAAGTTCAAGACCAGCCTGGCGAAGATGGTGAAACCCCATCTCTACTAAAAATAAAAAAATTAGCTGGGTGTGGTGGCGGGTGCCTGTAATCCCAGCTACTCAGGAGGCTGAGGCAGAGAATTGCTTGAACCCAGGAGGCAGAGGTTGCAGTGAGCCAGGATCGTGCCACTGCACGCCAGCCTGGGTGACAGAGACTCTGTCTCAAAAAAAAAATATTTTCCTTCAGAACTAGCTAAGGTACATTTCTCAACACTTTTCTACCACAGCAACAGGAAAAAACCTGAAGTCATGTGTAAGCCCATGTAATTTTAGAGTTTAAGAGAATGGGAAGTTGTATGAGTTGTTAAAGTTTGAATTGGGGGCAGCCAGGTGTGGTGGCTCACACCTATAATCCTAGCATTTTGGGAGGGCTAGGTGGGCGGATCACCTGTGGTCAGGAGTTTGAGAACAGCCTGGCCAACATGGTGAAACACCGTCTCTACTAAAAACACAAAAATTAGCTGGGCGTGGTGGCAGGCACCTGTAATTCCAGCTACTTGGGATGCTGAAGGCAGGAGAATCGCCTGAACCCGGGAGGTGGAAGTTGCAGTGAGCGGAGATTGTGCCACTGCACGCCAGCCTGGGCGACAGAGCAAGACTCTGTCTCAAAAAAAAAAAAAAAATAGTTTGGATTGGGAACAGGGATAGATTTGGGCTTCCACATGTATGTATGTGTGTGTGTGTGTGTGTGTGTGTGTGTGTATATATATATGTAATAAAAAAAGAAGATAAAAGTAAAATCAGAAAATTACTTTTAAGGCATGAAATTGTTGCTTCTTTTAATTTTTTTTTTTTTTTCTTTTTGAGATGGAGTCTTCACTCTGTCGCCCAGGCTGGAGTGCAGTGGCGCAGTCTCGGCTCACTGCAAGCTCTGCCTCCCGGGTTCACGCCATTCTCCTGCCTCAGCCTCCCCAGCAGCTGGGGCTACAGGCGCACGCCGCCACGCCCAGCTAATTTTTGTATTTTTAGTAGAGACGGGATTTTACCGTATTAGCCAGGATGGTCTCGATCTCCTGACCTTGTGCTCCGCCCGCCTCGGCCTCCCAAAGTGCTGGGATTAAAGGTGTGAGCCACCGTGCCTGGCCAATTGTTGCTTCTTTGTGTAAGTTTTTATTTGAAGAAAAAGGCCATTTTTTTGTGATATGTGCAGTCATCCTAAAAGACCTATGGGCATGTGTCTGTTTTTTTTTTTTTTTTTTTTTTTGAGATGGAGTCTTGCTGTATTGCCCAGGCTGGAGTACAGTGGCGCAGTATCGGCTCACTGCAACTAGTAGAACTTTTTTTTTTTTTTTTTAAAGAACTTGTTTTAAAATAATCCTTAATAGGCTTTTATTAACTCTGTTTGGATATTAGTTATGTACCCTTTTCTCTTTGCAAAAATGAAAAATCATTTCAAGTAGAAATTAAAGGTTTGTTTCTCATCCCTTTCTTTAGATATAGTAACAGTTATACCAGATATATATATATATATGTTTTTTTGTTTTTTTTTTTTGAGACAGAGTTTCACTCTTGTTGCCCAGGCTGGAGTGCAATGGCATGATCTTGCTCACTGCAACCTCTGCCTCCCAGGTTCAAGCAATTCTCCTGCCTCAGCCTCCCGAGTAGCTGGGATCACAGGTGTGCACCACCACGCCCAGCTAATTTTTGTATTTTTAGTAGAGACAGGGTTTCACCATGTTGGCCAGCCTGGTCTCGAACTCGAGACCTCAGGTGATCCACCTACCTCGGCCTCCCAAAGTGCTGGGATTACAGGCATGAGCCACCACGCCCGGCCCAGTTATACCAGATATAAGCAAATTTGCTAGTAGTTTAGATTTCTGGAATTGTGCCAACTACACATCAAGAGACTATTTAGCTTTGTTACAGAAGTCAGTATCAGTTTCTTGTTATAAGACGAGACCTGGTTTTACAGACTTTTCTATTTCTCAATGGAACTTTACTCTGAAGATATACTCTTCCATTTAAATACTAGTTCCAAAACCTACATTATATGGTGGCTGCTTAATAAACATTTAACATTTTGGTTAATTTAAATCTTGTTGATGTGTATACATGAATAACTGGGCTAAAAGCAGATACCTTTGATTATTGTGAAACTTCAAGTAAATATTGTGTGAAAAGGACCCCTTCTGTCTCACAAATTCTGGCCCCTCAGCTCATTGTCTGAACAGTGATTCCCTTGCATATAATAAATTCCCTTGGCTTATATATAATAATAAATGAAGTTTATTATTTATTTGAACTTTTTACCCCTGTAAATACCAAGGTTCTTTTTGCCTAAGTGGTAATTTGTGTCATTCAAAGAGTTTTTATTAAATATTATTATTATTATTTGAGATAGAGTCTCACTCTTATTGCCCAGGCTGGAGTGCAGTGGCACTATCTCGGCTCACTACAGCCTCCGTCTCCTGGGTTGAAGCGATTCTTGTGCCTCAGCCTCCCAAGTCGCTGGGATTACAGGTGTGTGCCACCAAACCTGGCTAATTTTTAAATTTTTGTAGAGATGGGGTTTCCCCATTTTGGCCAGGCTGCTCTCAAACTGTTGACGCCCACCTTGGCCTCCCAAAGTGCTGGGATTACAGGTGTGAACCACTGCACCAGACCTTAAATACTCTGTTTAAGTGATAGTTTGATAAGTGTGAACGCAAGTCTGAAATAGGTTTCTTTGCTTGTGAGAAAGTATAACGAATTGCCAAGACAATAGTGACAAACAGAGGGCATATTTTTCAAAGAGGAAGAGTTTATATAGTGTTAACATTAAGACAAAAGTCTTAAGTTTCTAATTTCTGATCTTGTTTGTTGGGATTTCTTTTTTTTTTTTTTTTTTTTTGAGACAGGTCTTTCTCTGTCATCCAGGCTGGAATGCAGTGGCACAGTCATGGCTTACTGCAGCCTCCTGGGCTCAAGTTACTCTCCCACCACAGCCTCCCGGAGAGCTGGGATGGCAGGCATGTGCCACCACACCTGGCTAATTTTTTAATTTTTGTAGAGATGGGGTTTTGCAATGTTCCCCAGGCTGGTCTCAGACTCCAAGACTCAAGCAGTCCTCCTACCTCAGCTTCCCAAAGTGCTGGGATTACAGATATGAGCCACTGTGCCTGGCCCTTGTTTGGATTTCTATGCTTATCTGTGAAGTATATTCTGGTTTCTATGCAGGATAGATCCATTCTCAAATAAACAACCCTTAAGTATCATTAGTTCAAACTGGAGCCAAATAAATGTCAGCATTAGAAGGAGCAAGTGATAGTTAGCCAGCCCCTTTATTCCTTTTTAGTGCAAATCAGAGATAAAGAACATGAAGTTTGCAGTGTATTTGCATTCTTTCATTTTTACATTTGTTGGTTTTGAATAATATTGAGGGGCTGTCTGATAAAGAACCTGTGTAGGTTTCCATATGGCTATATACAAAGTATATGAGCGTAGAATAGTTTTAAATTTTGTCTTAGTTATACTTGGTAAGTTTTAAAACGTTATTTAAATAGCCTTAAGGTGATATGGATTGCTTTAGTGACTGCTGTTTTAGGAATTTAGTTGGCTTATTGCTGACTATAGAGGGAACGTTTTATCTTCTTTTTAACCTCCAGTTCAGGTTAGGTGCCTAACCAAGTGAAACATTTTTCGTAATATAATGTTTAATAGTGATAATTATAAAAATAATGATGAGTTTAGTGTTTACTCTATACCAGGCACTAAGTGCATTACCTGTTCATATAGAGAACAACCGTAGGCACAGAGAGGGTATCTACTTTAGGTAATAAAACTGATAAATGTTAGAGCCAGGATTCAAACCCAGGCGGTTTGGATCTAGGGTCCATGTACTTGCCACTCTATTGCTTGTCATTAATGTAACCACACCATATTGCAATTATTTGTTTGTGTCATGTCTGTACTACTTTTCAATGGAATCTTAAGATCCTTGAGGGGCCGGGCATGGTAGCTCATGGCTGTAATCCCAGCACTTTGGGAGGCCGAGGCGGGCGGCTCACCTAGGGTCAGGAGTTCAAGACCAGCCTGGCCAACATGGTGAAACCTCGTCTCTACTAAAAAAAAAAGTACAAAAATTAGCTGGGTGTGGTGGTAGGCGCCTGTAATCCTAGCTACTCGGGAGGCTGAGGTGGGAGAATTGCTTGAACCTGGGAGGCAGAGGTTGCAGTGAGCCAAGATCACGCCATTGCACTCCAGCCTGGGGGACAAGAGACTTCTACTCAAAAAAAAAAAAAAAAAGATCCAGTAATTATGATTCATTCTTTTTCATTTGTGGTTTTCCCTGGTATCTGACATATAGTAGGGATTTAATAAATATACATTGAATGAAACGAAGAAAATCTAGATAAATGGAGTAAGTCTGTCATACAGTAGTTCCTCCTTATCTATGGCAGATGTGTTCTAAGACCCCCAATGGTACGCCTGAAACCACAGATAGTAGCAAAACTTATATATGCTATGTTTTTCCCTATACATATGTACTATGATAAAGTTTAATTTTTACATTAGAAATAGTAAGAAATTAACAAAAGCTAATAAAAAATAGAACCATTATAACAATATACTGTAATAAAAGTTACATGAATGTTGTGTGCATCTCTCTCTCTTTTCTTTTTTTTGAGACTTTGCTCTGTCGCCCAGGCTGGAGTGCAATGGTGCGATCTCAGCTCACTGCAATCTCTGCCTCCCAGGTTCAAGCGATTCTCCTGCCTCAGCCTCCTGAGTAGCTGGGACTACAGGCGCATGCCACCACACCCGGCTAATTTTTTGTGTTTTTAGTAGAGACGGGGTTTCACCGTGTTAGCCAGAATGGTCTCCATCTTCTGACCTCGTGATCTGCCCGCCTCGGCCTCCCAAAGTGCTGGGATTACAGGTGTGAGCCACAATATCTTTTTTTTTTTTTGAGATGCAGTTTCACTCTTGTTGCCCAGGCTGGAGTGCGATGGTGTGATCTCGGCTCACTGCAACCACTGCCTCCCGGGTTTAAGCAAGTCTCCTGCCTCAGCCTCCCAAGTAGCTGGGATTACAGGCATGCGCCACCACGCCTGGCTAATTTTGTATTTTTAGTAGGGACAGGGTTTCTCCATGTTGGTCAGCCTGGTCTCAAACTCCTGACCTCAGGTGATCTTCCCCCCTCAGCCTCGTAAAGTGTTGGGATTACAGGCATGAGCCACCGCGCCCAGCCAATATCTTCTTTTTAAAAAAAATTATTTCATTTATTTATTTTTAGAGGCAGAGTCTCTGTTGCCCAGGTTGGAGTGCAGTGGTGCCATCATATCTCACTGCAGCCTCAAACTGCTGGGCTCAAGTGATCCTCCTGCTTCAGCCTCCCAGTTAGCTAGGACTATAGGTATGCACCAACACACCCAGCAAATTTGTAAAAATTTTTTGTGAGTCAGGTCTGGCTTTATTGCTGAAGTTGGTCTTGAACTCCTGGCTTCAAGCGATCCTCCTGCCTCAGCCTCCCAAAGTGCCAGGATTACAGGCATGAGCCACTGTGCCCAGCCTCTCTTATAGTATCTTATTGTATTATACTCACTCTTCTTCTTTGACATTTCCAAACTGCTAGCATCACTACTCTTGTGCTTTGAGGCCATTATTAAGTACAATAAAGGTTACTTAAACACAAGCCTTGTGATACATTGACAGTCAATCTGATAACTGAGATGGCTACTATGTGACTAATGGGCTGGGTGGCATATATATACAGCATGGATAGGTCGGAGAAAGGGATGATTCATGTTCTGGGCAGAATGGAATGGGAGGGCACAAGATTTCATCACACTATTCAGAACAGTACAGTTTAAAACTTATGAATTGTTTGTTTCTGGAATTTTCCATTTAATATTTTCAGACTGTAGTTGACTCTAGGCAATTGAAACTGTGGAAAGTGAAACTGCAGATAAGGGGGACTTGTCAGGTCTGCATTTCTTCATGTGCTCTATCCTAGTAACTTTATGGGTAACAAAATTATTTCGTATTTGAGATTATTTTGTTACCAGCTTTAACTTGTATTTTACTTCCCTTTGAGGACTACCATCAAGATACTTACTAATTGTAAAGATTCTTTACAGTATTTTAAATATTAAGAAAATGGAGAGCATAAAAAACTGCTGTAAATTATGTAGTTTTTGCATTAAATGTAGAGAAAACACTGATTGCATAATGTTAGTAACATTGTAGTGTATGCTGTTCTTTTTTTTTTTTTTTTTGAGATGGAGTTTCGCTCTTATTGCCCAGGCTGGAGTGCAATGGCATGATTTCGGCTCGCCGTAACCTCAGCCTCCCGGGTTCAAGTGATTCTCCTGCCTCAGCCTCCTGAGTAGCTGGGATTACAGGCATGCACCACCACAGCCGGCTAATTTTGTATTTTTAGTAGAGATGGAGTTTATCCATGTTGGTCAGGCTGGTCTCGAACCTCCGACCACAGGTGATCCGCCTGCCTCAGCCTCCCGCAGTGCTGGGATTACAGGCACAAGCCGCCGCGCCCGGCCGTGTATGCTGTTCTTAAGTGTGAAGCTGGAAGAGTTAGTTGTTCTCCAAATCAATGCTTCCTTACTTTTTTTCAAGGCATTAGTAGAAACTGATGTTTTCCTGGTACATAAGGAAGAGGAGGCTCACAACTGGAGGGTATCAGAGATCTTTCATTGCTCTAGGCCTACCAGGCTGGTCCAAGGGCCAAGGGAATTATTATCTTGATAAACCTGTAATACATGTTTGGATCTGCCACAGTTAGGGAAGCTCTGCTATAGTTTCAAGTTAATAGAATTAGAAGGGAAGTTAGGTAGTAGTCAGGGCTCATTTTATTTATTTGTGCCTTCTGTTTTACTTTTTTTTTTTTTTTGAAATGGAGTCTTGTGCTGGCGTGACCTCGGCTCACTACAACCTCTGCCTCCCGGGTTCAAGCAGTTCTCTTGCCTCTGCCTCCCAAGTAGCTGGGACTACAGACGCAGGCCACCACGCCCGGCTAATTTTTGTATTTTTAGTAGAGATGGGGTTTCCCATGTTGGCCAGGCTGGTCTCGAACTCCTGACCTTGTGATCCACCTGCCGTGGTCTCCCAAAGTGCTGGGATTACAGGCATGAGCCACCGCACCCAGCCTGTTTTACTTTTTTCTTGATCCCAGATCTTTTTCAGTTTTCTTGCTTTTTTTCTCAAAGAACTAACCATTGCTTTGTAGACCTCAGTTAACTATTATTTCCTTATTAACTTCTGCTTCCTTTGGGTTTACTTTGCAAGGTTTTTTTTTTTTTATTTTTGAGACGGAGTCTTACTCTGTCACGCAGGCTGGAGTGCAGTGGCGTGATCTTGGCTCACTGCAATCCCTGCCTTCTGGTTTCAAGTGATTCTTATGCCTCAGCCTCCTGATAGCTAGGATTAAAGGCATGTGCCACCACACCCAGCTAATTTTTGTATTTTTAGTAGAGGCGGAGTTTTACCATGTTGGTCAGGCTGGTCTCAAACTCCTGACCTCAAGTGATCGGTTCGCCTTGGCCTCCCAAAGTGCTGGGATTACAGGTGTGAGCCACCGCTACCGTGCCCGGTCTACTTTGCAGATTTAAAAAAACTTCTTTAGGCTGGTCCCAGTGCAGTGGTGTTTATAACTCATCAATCATAGCCAGTTACAGATTTCTTTATTCCTCCTTCACTCCCACTGCTTCACTTGACTGCCCTTAAAAAAAAACAAAAAACAAACAGAAGTCTTGAGATGGATGTTTGGCTTATTACTTTTCAGTCCTTCTTTCTATTATATTCATTTAAATATAAATTTTAATCCTAAAAATGTACTGCTTTTAGCTGCAGCCCACACTTTTTTTGGTTTGTTTGTTTTGGGGGAAATTCTCCAGGCAGTAGTTATGGCTGTTGTTGCTTGCTGCTGCTTCTTTCCTATTTTTGTTGATAGCTTTGTGAGAGTACCTGTAATGTTGACATACTATAAAGGGTACATCTTAAAATATGTAATTTGATAAGTTTTCTCATGAATGTAACCAGGTAATGAGCATATTCATCACCCTAGAACATTTCCTCATGCCCCTTTATAATCCTTTTCTCCCCTTTTCCTTGCTCCTTCCCCAGGCAATTATGATTTGATTCCGTGTTATTTTTTTTTTGTACAGAGTCTCTGTCACCCAGGCTGGGGTACAGTGGCTCTATCTCAACTTACTGCTACCTCCACCTCCCGGCTTAAAGCAATTCTTGTGCCTCAGCCTCCCGAGTAGCTGGGACTTCAGGTGTACGCCACCACACCTGGCTCATTTTTGTGGGTTTTTATTTGTATTAATTAATTAATTTTTATTTATTTATTTAGAGATGGAGTCTCGCTCTGCTGCCCAGGCTGGGGTGTAGTGGTGTGATCTCGGCTCACTGCAACCTCTGCCTCCCAGGTTCAAGCAGTTCTCCTGCCTCAGCCTCCCAAATAGCTGGGATTACAGGCTTGTGCCACCATTCCTGGCTAATTTTTTCTATTTTTAGTAGAGATGGGGTTTCACCATGTTGGCCAGGCTGGTCTTGAGCTCCTGACCTCAAGTGATCCACATGCCTCAGCCTCCAAAGTGCTGGGATTACAGGCATGAGCCACCACACCTGGCCCACCCCCCACTTTTTTTTTTGAGACGGAGTCTCGCTCTGTCACCCATGCTGGAGTGCAGTGGCTAGATCTCGGTTCACTGCAGTCTTTGCCTCCTGGGTTCAAGCAATTCTCCTGTTTCAGCCTCCCAAGTAGCTGGGATTACATGCGCCTGCCACCACGCCTGGCTAATTTTTGTGTTTTTGTAGAGACGGGGTTTCACCATGTTGGCCAGGCTGGTCTTGAACTCCTGTCCTCAGGTGATCTGCCTGCTTTGGCCTCCCGAAGTGCTGGTATTCTAGGCGTGAGCCACCATGCCCGGCCTCTTTTTTTGTTAAGATAGGGTCTTGCGGTTGGGTGTGGTGGCTGACGCTTGTAATCCCAGCACTTTGGGAGGCCGAGGTGGGTGGATCACAAGGTCAGGAGATCGAGACCATCCTGGCTAACATGGTGAAACCCTGTCTCTACTAAAAATACAAAAAATTAGCCGGGCGTGGTGGCGCATGCCTGTAGTCCCCCCTACCTGAGAGGCTGAGGCAGGAGAATTGCTTGAACCCGGGAGGCGGACGGAGGTTGCAGTGAACCGAGATTGCGCCATTGCATTCCAGCCTGGACAACAGAGCGAGACTCCATCTCAAAAAAGAGGGAAAAAAAAAAAAGACAGGGTCTTGCTCTGTCACCCAGGCCAGAGTGCAGTGACAGGATCGCAGCTTACTGCAACCTCAAACTCCTGAACTCAAGTGATCTTCCCACCTCAGCCTCCTGAGTAGCTGGAACTACAGATATACGCTACCATGGTGCCTGGCTAATTTTTTTTAGTAGAGATGGGGTCTTGCTTTGTTGCCTAGGCTGGTCTCGAACTCCTGGCTTCAAGGGATTCTCTCACCTCAGCCTCCCAAAGTGTTGGGATTACAGGCATGAGACACCGTGCCTGGCCTGTTTTTTCTTATTACATATTTTTGTTCTAGAATTAATTTTTCCAGATTTGCTTGTTTTCTTTGTTTTGCTTGGTTTTGGGTTTTTTTGGGGGTTTTGTTTGTTTGTTTGTTTTTTTAAAGTAACTTCGCGTTACTTGCCAAATTTTTCAGGATTGGGATTTTATATTTTTGAACATAGTAAGCAGGTATATGAATAGTTTGCTAGTATCTAGGGGAGCTTTGTTTTGTTCCCCGTTGGTTACTAATACTTAAGGTTCATCTTTTTCCAGTGTCTGGGCTTCAGATGTTCAGAAGTTTAATCACATTCCACTTGTGGACTGCTTTTCTTCTTGTTCATCTTTCCTGGTAGGATATCACTTTTTTGGTTTCAAGCCCAAAGGAGGGGGTCATTTACTCAAGCTTCTTGTCTTGTCTTGTCTTGTCTTGTCTCTTCTAATAGAGATAGAGTCTCACTGTGCTACCTAGATAGACTATGTTACTTAAACTCCTGGGCTTAAGCAGTCCTTCCACCTCGCCTCCCAAAATGCTGGGATTACAGACACAGTGCCCACCCAGCCACAAAGCCCCCAGTGTTGATGGGCCCTGGATTTCCACTTTTGTCCCTGGGGCCTATAGCCTCAGCTTCCAAATCTGCTACATCTCTGCTAGATCAGCAAATGACCCCAGAGCAAAAGTGGCCTAGAATGCAAAGCTTCCTCTTTATGGAATTTCATCCTCTTCTTCATCTTGATCACCTTATCTTGTTCTATGATTCTTTTAAGGAGAAGTTTTCCCTTCCTTCCAGCTTTTTTAGTTTTGTGGGTGTCAAGTAGGAGAGAGATAATTAGTTTGAATTATATACTCCTCTATTACCCAAATATAAAATCCTTTAAAAAAAAAAAAGATAAACTGAGACCTAGACAAATTAAGTAACCGTGTAAGACCACATAATCAATGGAAATCCTGGTCCAGAATCCTGAGTGATTTTAATGAAATAGTTCACAGTCATTTATTAAGAGCAGGGGCACCCTAGAAGGAATTTTTTGATTCTGTTGAACCAGATTTATATTTGGCACATGCTCATTCTTTTTAGACTTTTTAGATAGCCTAATAGGATAGAACCATCACTATGTTATATAAATGTGAAATCCATTTGAAAATATGGGACCTGTCAGTATAGGTACTGCTTGAACTGTAACTATGCATATATCTGATTGGCTTTTATGCCCTACGGTGAGAAGGAGGTCACCTTGAAGCTTTGCAAAGTAAGTTCTTGGTTCCATTTTTCACTTGAATCCCCCTTGGATATCCTCCAGAATGATGTGTTTTCTTTCCCATTGCAACATTATTTTCAGCTTTGTGGAGAAACAAAGTATGTTCCAAGTAGCAGGTAGTCACTGTAGGCCTTCTTTGAACTGTGAACTTTATTTTTTTGCACCTGAACTGCTTTCTAAAACCACATAAACAATATGATAGGGAAGTTGCTATCTGAATAAAAAAACAAAATAAAACCTCACAATGTGTTTGATCTAGTACTGAGCTACACTGGTATATGTGGGCTATATAGAATTATGTGGTTTAGATTACTTGTTTAAGTATAGCAGTGGCTTGGAGGAAAATACATTCTGAGTTTCAAATAGATAATTTGTAAAGGAAAATTTGAAGTACAGTTGACTTGGCACTTCTGATATTGAAATTTTAGAAGATTTTATTTCTGTATCTCAATGTAATGCCTAGGCAGAATCCACTAGATGCTTGTATAGATGGTATAAGCAATAATGATTTCAGCTATTTTAAAAAATTTCAATCTTTTTTTAATGTTGCCTCTTGAAATACCATCTTGTACTTCTCATTTTCCCTATACCTCCTTTTATGTGATTAAGTTTTATTATGTATAGACATAAAGGGGGCCTGGCACAGTGGCTCATGCCTGCAATCCCAGCATTTTGGGAGGCCAAGGCACAAGGATTGCTTGAGCCCAGGAGTTCAAGACAAGCCTACGCAATGCAGTGAGACCCTGTCTCAAACAAAAAAAAAAAAAAAAAAAAAAAAGGTTGGGGAGGGTGCTATGATATTATGATACATATGTTGGTTTTCATCCACAGTTTCTGTCATAGAACACCCATAGTCCCTGTTATTTCCTAAGTGACTAAAACAATATACATATATTTTATTGAAATATTTGGCCTTTTATTCTTGGTTTTTGAAGTGGCTTCAGTACAGCTTCAGATCAATAAAAGTGAAAGATGGTCTTTTGTAATAACGTTGGGGCACTTTAAACCTCAGAAGCAGGCTTCAGAAAACAGAATCGCTCTCTGACCTTTTCTTGCCTTGCTTTTACCTGCTCCTTTTTCTCCCCAAGCAGGCAATAGAAACTAAAAATATACTCTGATCATCCCCCAACATTCTGTCTTGGAGCTGACAGCAAAGAAATTATCTGACCTACCTTGTCTGATTGGAGGTCATAAGACCCCCATTTCAGAAGGCATCCTGCCCTGTACTTGGGAGGAAAGAAGTTGCACAGAGAGGCCAAGAAGACTCTGAACAGAGAGGCCTTGCTAGGTTTCCCCACTCAGTCTGTTAGCATTAGGTCCTACTTTGTCCAATCATATTTCTACCCGGTTGTCCATGCTTCAGTCGTGACGGTCCAGTGAAGTCCTGGACCGGGTACAGAGAGCTTCCAGATAGCTGAACACGTGGAGGGTCCTGGAGGGTGGTGCACCCAGGGAGGGTATGAGAGCTCTGCACCCCTTCCCACATGCCTTGTTCTGTGCACCTCTTCATCTGCATTCTTTGTGCTATTCTTTATAATAAACCAGTACACGTGTTTTCCTGAGTTCTGGGCACAGCTTTAGCAAATTAATCAAACCTAAGAAGGGGGTCATGGGAACACTGACTTGAAGCTGGTTGGCCAGAAGTTCTGGATGAGGCCTGGCCTTACAACTAGTGTCTGAAGTGGGGGCAGTCTTGTGAGACTGAGCCCTCTCTCAGCCTGTGGGATCTAATGCTATCTCCAGGTAGATAGCATGAGAATTGAATTGGATTAGAAGGTGCTCAGCTGGTGGTATCTTCTGCAGAACTGATTGCTTCTTGTTGGTGGGGAGAAATCCCCACACATTTGGTCACAGAAGTCTACTGTGTTGATGATTGTGGTGTAAGAGCAGAGGAAAAGCAATTTGATTTTTCTCCACAAGGGGAAGAAAATGTTTCATGATTCAACTAATGATTTACCTTTCATTGTAAGGTTATCATGCTCAAGTATTAATGTAGGAAGGCTTTTTTGATGCAGAGTGTGTGTGTGTGTGTGTGTGTATATACGTGTGTGTTTGTAGAGGGCTAACATTAAAAAGGGAAATGTAATAAGGAAGAAGAAATGGTGTTCTAAACTTAAAACCCATTTCATCTGCTAAATCGTCCTAGTGAAATACCAACTTTAGTTAATTTTAAAAAAAGTTTAGTTAATTGTAAAAAAAAAAAGAATCTCTTCATTATATTTTAAAAACCATTTGTGTTTCCTTTTTCTGTAATTTATTCATATTTGTCCATTTTAAATTTCAGTGTTATTCTTATTCTTGTTATTGATTTTTTAAAACGTGGTCTTTATATTTGAGTGAAATTAACCTTCCATCATGAGTTGGAGCATTTTTTCCCCAATATATACTTCTCTTTTGATTTTGCTTATGGTCATTTTATAATGCCATGGTTTTTTTTGTTGTTTGTTTTTTTTTTTTTTTTTTTGAGACGGAGTCTCGCTCTCTCAGCCAGGCTGGAGTGCAGTGGCGTGATCTCAGCTCACTGCAACCTCCACCTCCCCGTTTCAAGCGATTCTCCTGCCTCAGCCTCCCGAGTAGCTGGGATTACAGGCGTGCACCACCACGCCTGGCTAATTTTTGTATGTTTAGTAGTAATGGAGTTTCACCATGTTGGACAGGCTGGTCTCAGACTCCTGACCTCAGGTGATCTGCCCATCTTGACCTCCCAAAGTCCTGGGATTACAGGCATGAGCCACCATGCCCAGCCTGGTCATGGTTTTATACATGCTATGTTTATAATCAAATTTTACTTCTATTTAATAGATGACTAACACACTTACACATAGATGCTTATACCCAAATATATATGTTTATAGATTTTAAAATGCTAATTATATTTAAAAGGCCTAATAAGGAGTTTCAGCAAAAGCTGTTATATATATGTATATAATGGACCAATTGCAGTTGGATCAATAAAGAACTGTAAGGTGTGTTATGATCTAGAAAAGTGATTCTTTTTTTTTTTTGAGATGGAGTCTTGCTCTGTTGCCCATGCTGGAGTGCAGTGGCACGATCTCGGCTCACTGCAAGCTCCGCCTCCCGAGTTCACGCCATTTTCCTGCCTCAGCCTCCTGGGTAGCTGGGACTACAGGCACGTGCCACCACACCCAGCTAATTTTTTGTATTTTTAGTAGAGACGGGGTTTCACCATGTTGGCCAGGATGGTCTCGATCTCTTGACCTCGTGATCCGCCCTCCTTGGCCTCCAGAAGTGCTGGTATTACAGGCGTGAGCCACTGCTCCCGGCCCTGAAAAGTGTTTCTTAACAATAACTAGGAACTGTGCTGTGTGTTTTATATAAGAGTATATTATATAATTTTTTTTTTCTTTGAGATGGAGTCTCACTCTGTTGCCCAGACTGAGTGCAGTGGTGCGATCTCAGCTCACTGCAGCCTCTACCTCCCAGGTTCAAGCGATTCTCCTGCCTCAGCCTCCCAAGTAGTTGGGATTACAGGCGCACGCCACCATGCCCTGCTAATTTTTGTATGTTTAGTTTTACCATGTTGGCCAGGCTGGACTCAAACTCCTGACCTCAAGTGATCCTCCCACCTCGGTCTCCCAAAGTGCTGGGATTACAGGTGTGAGCCACCGTGCCTGGCCCCCAATCTTTAATTAAGAAGCAGGTGCCAGGCACAATGGTATACTCCTATAATCTCAGCTACTCAGGAGGCTGAGGTGGGAGGATTGCCAGTGCTTGAGCCCGGGAGTTTGAGACCAGCCTGAACAACATAGTGAGACCCTTATCTCAATTTTAAAAAGAAAGAATTAGGTAATGATATGATTTTAATTTTATAGGTGTGGAAACGGAGGCTTAGAGAATTGAATAATCATATATACCTTATAAGATTCTCTCATACTCCATTTTTAAAAGTTTTCGATCAAGTTTAAGTTGTATTGATACACGATATATAGTGAAGTGTCTATGTACAATGCTTAATTTACATATATATACATTTCCAATTATGAATATATTGCAAACTGTATTAGTGAATGAATTATTCATTTATCATATCAGTATTATATATTACTATAATATATAAATATACTAATTATATATTAGTATTAATGTAAACATTAATTTAGAAATACTTTTTTCTCCAGTGAAGCCTCCTCAGACTTCTCATATGCATCTTCAGTATTTATGGGTTTCTACCCTTTAAACAATCTAACAGTTCCAGAGCAAATATTATCTTCTAAGAGGTTTGAGATAGATCCTTATTTGAATCAGTATATTATGTTGTGACTGGAAATTTTATCCCTAGCCATGTCTCTATTCACATAACATTAGTAAATGTGATTTTTCATTAATATATTTCATATGAGTAGCATTAATGATCTCCATGACATAATTACTTAGTCTGTTGCTTTTGAAGTGATTCATTCATTCTACAGATACTTACTGAACACACACTATGTGCCAGAAACTGCTAGCATTGGAAGTAGAGCTGTGAACAAAATCAAGCATCAACATTTCTGATATTTGAGAAGACAGGCAACAAGCAAATATGTGATGTAAAGTAGTGATAAGTGCTGTAAAATCACAAGAGGGTATAGAATGAGGATTGTTCTTCAAGTTGATAGAACAGATCTTTAAAGAAGTGATTTGAGGCTGGGCGTGGTGGCTTACACCTGTAATCCCAACACTTTGGGAGGCCGAGGCGGGTGGATCATGAGGTCAAGAGACTGAGACCATCCTGGCCAACGTGCTGAAACTCCGTCTCTACTAAAAATACAAAAATTAGCCAGGCGTGGTGGTGCGTGCCTGTAGTCCCAGCTACTCGGGAGGCTGAGGCAGAAGTGCTTGAACCCGGGAGGCGGAGGTTGCAGTGAGCCAAGATCATGCCACTGCATGCCAGCCTGGGCGACAGAGCAAGACTCCATCTCAAAAAAAAAAAAAGATGATTCGAGGCTTCGTGTGGTGGTTCATGCCTGTAATCCCTGCACTTTGGGAGGCTGAGGCAGGAGGATCGCTTGAGCTCGGGAGTTTGAGGCCAGCCTGGGCAACATGGTGAAACCCCATGTCTATAAAAAATACAAAAATTAGTCGGGTGTGATGGTGGGCGCCTGTAGTCCCAGCTATTTGGGAGGCTGAGGTGGGAGGAACACTTGAACCTGAGAGGTCAAGGTTGCAGTGAGCCAAGATGGCAGCACTGTACTCCAGGTTGGGCAACAGAGTGAGACCCTGTCTCAAAAAAAAAAAAAAAAAAGTGATTTGAGCAGAGGCCTGAATGACATAAAGTGTTTAGATATCTGGAGACTTTGCAAGCAGATGCAGAAACCCTGGGGTTGGAAAATGCTTACAGTCTGAATAGTAAAAGAGGCACCACCAGCATGACTTCTAGTTATTGTGCTACACCCTGCACATTTTTTTTTCTTTTTCGAGACAGGGTCTCACTCTGTCACCTAGATGGGAGTGCAGTGGCATGTTCATGGCTCACTCCAGCTTCAACCTCCTAGGCTTCAGCAATGCTCTTGCCTCAGCCTTTGGAGTAGCTGGGACCACAGGTTTGTGTCACCACGTATGACTAATTTTTTTTTATTTTTCCTGTGTTGCCCAGGTTGGTTTTGAACTCCTGGGTTCAGGTGATCCTCCTGCCTTGGCCTCCCAAAGTGCTGGGATTCCAGGCAAGAGCCACCATGCCTGGCCCTGGGCAACATTTTTATTGTCAGTCATTTAATAGCCTAGTCTAATGGATGTGTAGTGATATGTCATTGTGATTTTAATTTGCCTTTCCTTAATGGCTAATGATGCTGAACACTTTTTTATGTGCTTTTTTTTTTTTGCCATTTATAAATTTTCCTTTGTGAAGTTTAAGTCTTGCCATTTTTAAATTGGGTTGTTTACCTTTTTATTCAACAGCTGTAGGTTTTTTGTTTTTTTTTTTTTGATACAGAGTCTCACTCTGTCTCCAGGCTGTAGTGCAGTGGCACATCTTGGCTCACTGCAACCTCCGTTCCCAGGTTCAAGTGATTCTCCTGCCTCAGCCTCCCAAGTAGCTGAGATAACAGGCATGCACCACCACGCATGGTCCACCCACCTCGGCCTCCCAAAGTGCTGGGATTACAGGCGTGAGCCACTGCGCCCAGCCCAGAAAGGAACATTCTTAAGCATTGAAGTGATTCTTGTCAAATTTGATTTCTATTCAAATTTAGGAGCTGGGCCAGGCACGGTGGCTCAGCCCTGTAATCCCAGCACTTCGGGAGGCTGAGGTGGGTAGATTGCCTGAATCCAGGAGTTTGAGACCAGGCTGGACAACCTGGGGAAACCCCTGTCTCTACTAAAAATACAAAAGATTAGATGGGCCTAGTGGCACCTCACGCCTGTAGTCCCCAGCTACCCCGGAGGCTGAGGTGGGAGAATCTCCCGAACCTGATGGGAAAGGTAGCAGTGAGTTGAGATAGTGCCACTGTACTCCAGCCTGGGCAACAAAGTGAGACCCTGTCTCAAAAAACAAAACAAAACCAAACAAATGTAGGAGCTAGCTTGTGATTGTAGAAATAATTTTGGCAATAGAAGTGAAGGAACTGAGTTGTAGTCTAGCTAGTTAACATGTGACAAACCATTAACTTTATATGTCTCATTTTCTTCATCTGTAAAATGAGGAAGATTTGATTAGAGGATTTATTAAAGTTCTTTTAAAATCTGAAATTACAGTTTCTTAATTGGTTTTGTAGAGATTTTGGCTTTATAAAAATGTGTGAACCATAGTGACAGCAGAAACATTTGAAATCCTATATTTGGGTGATTCATAAAAGAAAGGAAGAATTATGGGCATCTTGCCTGTAAAATGTTATGTAATCTGAATCATTGTTACCCACAGCATCCTGTGACTGATAAAGGTACTCATGGCCACCTCTCCTCCCTTGTCTTTCTGTAGTACTTTCCTTTCTCCCCACCTCAATAATAGCTTTATTGATGTATAATTCACATACCATACATGTCATCTATTAATATTTAAAGCATACAATTCAGCGGTTTTTAGTCTATTTACAGAGTTGTACAGCCATCATCACAATCAATTTTAGAACACTTTCTGAACTCCAGAAAGAAAGTACCCTGCCTATTTCCCCTCTATCACCTAGCCCTAGGCAACTATGAATCTACTTTCAGCCTCCATAGATTGCCCTGTTATGGACAAATATGTGGCTGGTTTCTTAGTATAATGTTTTCAAGGTTATTTACATTGTAGCATGTGTCAGCTATTTCATTTCTTTTTATTGTCAAATAACATTCAGTTGTATGGATATACCACATTTTATCTATTCCATCAGTTGATGGACATTTGAGTTGTTTTCATTTTGGGATTATTATAAATAATGCTACTATGAACATTTGTATACAAACATTATGTGGACATGTGTTTTCATTTCTCTTGGACATATACTTAGGAATGGGATTGCTGTATCACATGATACCTCTGTATTTAACCTTTTGAGGAATTGCCAAACTGTTTTCCAAAAGTGGCTGCACCATTTACATTCCCACTATCAATATATGCTCCAGTTTCTCTACATCCTACCTTATACTTTTTTTTTTTTTTTCTTTTTTTGAGACAGAGTCTCGCTCTGTCGCCCAGGCTGGAGTACAGTGGCACAATCTCGGCTCACTGCAACCTCCGCCTCCTGAGTTCAAGCAATTCTAAATTATCATGCCTCAGCCTCCCGCATAGCTGGGGTTAGAGGCGTTTGCCACCATGCCTGGCTAAGTTTTATATTTTTAGTAAAAATGGGGTTTCGCCATGTTGGCCAGGCTGTTCTCGAACTCTTGACCTCAGGTGATCCACACGCCTCGTCCTCCCAAAATGCTGGGATTATAGGTGTGAGCCACCATGTCCGGCCTGATTGGCCAGCTTTTCATTTGGAATGGGGATAGGACATAGTTGGAAGTTGGTGTCTTTGGTTATTTCCCTAACATGTCCAAGCATCCTAAAGTATCAGTCAAATAAGCAGTCTCTTCTCATTCCTGGCAGAGAGTAAGTCAAAGCCTTAATTCAATTTGCATACCTGTTTTCATGTAACAACAAATAATTTTTTTTTTTTTGAGACAGAGTTTCTCTGTTGTTGTTTAGGCTGGAGTGCAATGATGCGATCTTGGCTCACTGCAACCTCTGCCTCCCGGGTTCAAGCGATTCTCCTGCCTTAGCCTCCCAAGTAGCTGAGATTATAGGCATGCACCACCACAGCCGGCTAGTTTTGTATTTTTAGTAGAGACGGGGTTTCTCCGTGTTGGTCAGGCTGGTCTTGAACTCCTGACCCCAGGTGACCCGCCTGCCTCGGCCTCCCAAAGTGCTGGGATTACAGGCGTGAGCCACCACGCCTGGCCACAACAAAGAATTTTACCAGAAGTGGGTATGATTTATATCTTAGTTTGAATTGCTACTTACCTTTGGGGAACAGACCTTTCCTTGATGTATCTTTAACACTGAAATCTTGGCAAGTTGCCAAGTCTCAAATGTTCATGAGTAAGACTGCAATATCACAATATCATAGTCACACAGGAATCTGATAGAAAAGCATCACATTTATAAAGCCTTCTTTCCTGTACATCACTGACATTTTGTGAATTTTAAAGAATTTGTAATTATTTTTAAGGAGCATATTTAATGTAGTTAATGTAACCTAGAATAGGCTCATTTGAAATGAAACTCTTGCTAATAGGAACTTAATTCACCAAATTAAGAATATTTAGTTTTTGTAGAGATTTTGCTCTTGAAAATGTTGCAGTCTTGATTTCGTCTTGTCAGTCCAGTCAGAATTGTGAAGTATTTTTTTTTCTCATTCCAGAAATACATGCTACAGGATTTAACTATCAGAATGAAGATGAAAAAGTCACCTTGTCTTTCCCTAGTACTCTGCAAACAGGTAAGAGACATAGCTTTTGTAAAATCTCGTGATGAATATAGTGACATCTGACTTCCTCCAGAGAAATTTATTGTATGCCATTTTTTCCCTCGTTGTTATTAGCAGATTAAGTATTAAGAGCTTTTTTTTTTTTTTTACTTTGAGACGGAGTCTTACTCTATTGCCCAGGCTGGAGAGTAGTGGCATGATCTTGGCTCACTACAACCTCCACCTTCCAGGTTCGAGTGATTCTCCTGCCTCGGCCTCCCGAGTAGCTGGGATTACAGGTGCCTACCACCACACCGGCTAATTTTTTTGTATTTTTAGTAGAGACAAGGTTTCGCCATGTTGGCCAGGCTGGTCAGGCTGGTCTTGAACTCCTGATCTCAAGCGATCTGCCCGCCCTGGCCTCCCAAAGTGGTAGGATTACAGGCAGGAGCCACCGCGCCCAGCTGTATTAAGAGCTTTTTAAAGAGGTTTGTTGCAACTTTTGGGCCACCAGCATTTCCTTCTGCGGAAGTTGGGCTACGAAAAGCAGGGTTTCCACCTCCTGTCACTCTATATTCTCTTTAAACAAACAAGCCAAGAAAAACAGGACAAAAACTAAAGATCATTCTATCCTAGAATGTAATGTATTGTTTTCCAGTTTTACCTTTTTAAAAATACCTTTACCTAGGCCAGGCGTGGTGGCTCACACCTGCAATCCTAGCGCTTTGGGAGGCCAAGGCGGGCTGATCACTTGAAGCCAGGAGTTAGGGACCAGCCTGGCCAACATGGCAAAACCCCATCTCTACCAAAAAATACAAAAATTACCCAGTGTGGTGGCTCATCCCTATAATCCCAGCTACTCAGAAGGCTGAGGCAAGAAAATCGCCAGAAGTCAGGAAGTGGAGGTTGCAGTGAACCGAGATCATGCCACTGCACTCCAGCCTGGGTGATAGAGTGGGACTCTGTCTAAAACAAACGAACAAAATACTTTTACCTAGCTCCATCTTCTATTAATTCAATCCAAATCCCTGAAGTGAATGGTCACAGATGATTTTGATATACAACCAGAGATCAAATAGGTATTGTGTTATTGAGGGCACAGAAAGAAAGATACGTTGATATGTTACTATTGTTAGGTATAAAAGCACAAAGAAATAGACTTTCTGAGCTTAGTATATGTGGAAGAAATTATATACCAATCAATTGGTGAAGTACTAAGACTTTGATGAATGAACAAATGAAAAGGAACAGATAATTCAAAAGGAAGAAAATGTAAATGACTAATAAACATGTGAAAAGATATTGAGCCTCCTAGTAATGAGAAATTTTTGCTTCTCATGTGAGCTGAAATTTTAAAAATTCCCAATGATATGGCTGCCTTGATATCGCTGGGGGGAGTATAAATCCATGTAATTTTTTTGTAAAGCATTCTGGCAGTATATCAAGAGCCTAAATATGTTCATGTCCTTTGACCCAGCAATTCTGCTAATAGGAATATATCCCAAGGAAAAGTCATAAATACAGAAAATACTTTATGCCCAGAAGTGTCTGAGATATTACTTACGGTAGTAAAAAATTATAATTAATATATTTGTTCAACACTAAGGAAATGATCAAGCCAGGAATGATATATCTATATAGTGAAATATACTTAGCAATTAAAAGTGAGGTTTGCGAATTCTTAACCCTGTAAAGTGCTTATTATAATGTAAAATTGAAAAGAAGAATATAAAATTACATATTTAAGGTGGTGAATCATGTCTCTAAATGGCACAAATAAAATGATAATTATGTCTGGGTGTTGACATAATTGGTGATTTTTATTCTTATTTATATCTTTTGTCTGATTTTCACAATTTTCCTACTGAGAATCTATTGAATTAATATAAAATTATTTTTAGAAAAAATTTAAATTGGAGATGTTTAGTCTTTTATTTCAGTGCTCTTGGAGGCCCTTTATGTGTAATTATTATAAAAATAAATGGGCCGGGCGTAGTGGCTCACGCCTGTAATCCCAGCACTTTGGGAGGCCGAGGCGGGCGGATCACGAGGTCAGGAGATCGAGACCATCCTGACTAACACGGTGAAACCCTGTCTCTACTAAAAATACAAAAAATTAGCTGGGAATGGTGGCAGGTGCCTGTAGTCCCAGCTACTCGGGAGGCTGAGGCAGGAGAATGGCGTGAACCCGGGAGGTGGAGCTTGCAGTGAGCCGAGATCGCACCACTGCACTCC
Source organism: Homo sapiens (assembly GCF_000001405.40). Classification (NCBI taxonomy): domain Eukaryota; kingdom Metazoa; phylum Chordata; class Mammalia; order Primates; family Hominidae; genus Homo; species Homo sapiens. The sequence goes on from NC_000017.11 coordinate 38,103,683, forward strand.
AGCCTGGGTGGCAGAGTGAGACTCCGTCCCAAAAAACAAAACAAAACAAAACAAAAAATGCTTTGCCATGAACATGTATTAAAAGCTATTGAAGAATATAATTTGAAAAGGAAGGAGATTCTTTCGCTGATTTCTTCTACTTCCATTGTCTGGTGAATCTGTCTAGAAATATTCCTATGTATATATAAATTTATGTATATAATTTAACCCACAGATAGGATCACAAATCTCAGTGGCTTATAACCACTGAGATTTCTTTCTTTTTTACACATGGGCCATGAGGACTGCTGATCATATGCAGCCATATCACCAACTCTGCTGGCTCCACTTGGCTCCCAACTGTCTTTCCAGGACTAGTAGTCAGCGAGCAGCCACTCTCTGTATCATGCATGGCAGAGGGCAGAGGCTCAGGGATGGGGAGAAAGCTAGACCACAAAGACACATTTAAAACTTCTGCATGGCCAGGCGTGGTGACTCACACCTGTAATCCCAGCATTTTTGGAGGCTGAGGCAGGAGGATTGCTTGAGCCCAGGAGTTCGAGACCAGCCTAGGCAATGTAGTGAGACCCTGTCTCTATAAAAAATAAAATAAAAAATAAAATTTCTGTGTGATGGTGGTATACTTGATGTCTACTCACATTTCATTGACCAAAGCAAGTAGCATGACCAAGCCCAAAGTCACTGGGGTAGCATTTAACAGACATTTGCGAAAAGTTTCTAATGAAAGATAGGGCAAAAAGCAAAATTATAAGTATAATAGAAATAAAGGAAGTTGGAAAAAGCAAAGACAAATCTAAAGAAAGTTAAAAAAAAAACAAACCCATAGCTAATTACTATCCTTAGAGAGTTAAGAGAAAGCATTGCGTGCATTAAACAAGGACAGGACAGAATGCCATCAGATAGGAAGAATTACAGCAGGAAAACTTGGAAATTATGATAGGTATAAAAAACCCAGTAAAAGTGTTAAAGATGAAGTTGAGGAAACTTCCAAGCAGTAGAAAAAACAGATAGAAAACAGAAAAATAGATTTGAGAACCAGTCCAGCAGAACCAACATCCATCTAGTAAAACAGAAAGCAGAGGAAATGGGAAGAGGATTTTTTAATTTTCATTTTTGCAACAGAATCTTGCTCTGTCACCCAGGCTGGAGTGCAGTGGTGCAATCTCGGCTCACCACAGCCTCCACCTCGTGGGTTCCAGTGATTCTCCTGCCTCAGCCTCCTGGGTAGCTGAGATTACAGGCACACACCACCACGCCCAGCTGATTTTTGTATTTTTAGTAGAGTTGGGGTTTCACCATGTTGGCCAGGCTGGTCTCGAACTCCGGACCTTAGGTGATGTGCCCACTTCGGCCTCTCAAAGTGCTAGGGATTACAGGCGTGTGCCACTGTGCCCGGCCAGAAGAGAAACTCAAAAAGACAGGAACATTTCCTTGAACTGATAGAGCAGGAGCCTTCAGTTTGCAAAGGTACACCATTGAGAGAGACTAGCTTAAAAAATGTAAAAATTGCCACACTGACTGAAATTTTAGAACTTCTGCGATAAAGTAAAACTCCCAGAAAGTTCCTGTCTGGGATAGGGGGCAATAGGAGGGAAGGCAGGTGGCATACTACCTTTAAAATTTAGGAATCAGAATAGTCCTAGACTTACCATTAGGAACAGTGGAAACTTAGACTCTAATGAAGCTGTTCATTCAAAATACAAAGTGAATCTGATTTTCAACCTAAGATTGCATGCTTAGCCCAACTTTGAATTTCGGAGTAAAAATATTTTCAGATTTGCAAGGTCATAGAAAATTTGATTCTTTGTAAAAGATATTGGAGTGGGGGATGGATTAGCTAAAGCATGACTTTCTACAGTGAAGAGAAAATGTCTAAAGTTGAAAAATGAAGAAATAGGCCGTGGTCGTGGCTCATGCCTGTAATCCCAACACTTTGGGAGGCTGAGGTGGGAGGATTGCTTGCCCAGGAATTGAAGGCTGCAGTGAGCCGTGATTGTACCACTGCCCTCGAGCCTGGGCGACAGAGCAAGACTGTCTCAAAGAAAGGAAAAGAAAAAATAGCTGTGTAAGCAAGACATTTAGAAGTCACAGAGTTTGAAATTGATTGCTTCTAGGGGCAGGGTGTGGGGAGTAGGGCCTAGTGTTGAGCAGGGCCTGGAGCTTACGTATTTTAAACTGTGAACTATTACTTTGATAGAAATTTAAAAAATTTTAGAGTTTTAAATCTATATCATTACAGACTATATATATTCTGTGTTTACACTGTGAAAAAATTAGAAGTCAATAGAAAAAGAGAAATGAAAAAAATCCCTTTTTATATATTTGAAAAAATTATACCTCTGAATAATTGAGTCAAAGAAGACTTGTTATGGAAATTAGAAAATATTTAGAACTGAATAATGAAATTACCACATATGAAACATTAGGGATAAACATGTTTCATATGCAGATAAAATATTAGAATATTTAGTTAAGAAGAAAGACTGAAAATTAATTAGCTAAGCATTAAACTCATAAAAACAAAAGGTAACTTGGAGAAAGTAGAAGAAAGTTTTAAGAGCAGAAACAAATGAAATAAGTGAAGTGAGGGGCAGAAATATTAAAAAACTGATATTTAAAAATAGTCCCAAAAGATATATAAACCTAGCCAGTATAGAAAATAAAAGCGTAGATTGAATTGTTGTTCAGCATTAGGAAATATGGTAACCATTTTTCATTAAATTTAAAAAGTTAAACATTCTATATTTATCAAAAGGAATCAGTTTATTTGCTAGAATTCACCAGGGAAGAGTAGACAGAAACTTCTAACATGATAGAAGATATGTATTACACACACACACACACACACACACACACACACGACATAATCTGTGCCAAGTACTGTTTTAAGTGCCTCAAAAATATTAATTTATTTAGTCCTTTCAACAACCTTTTGAGGTAGATTTGTTTTGTGACAAAGTCTCTCTGTCACCCAGGCTGGAGTATAGTGGTGCAGTCACGGCTCACTGCAGCCTCAAACTCCTGGGTTTAAGTGATTCTCCCACTTCAGCCTCCCATGTAGCTAGGACTGCCTACACATGACAGTGCATCTGGTTAATTTTTAAATTTTTTTGTAGAGACAGGGTCTCGTTATGTTGCCTAGGCTGGTCTCAAATGCCTGGCCTCAGGTGATCCTCCTACCTCAGAGAGAGGATCTTGCCATCCTCCCAAATGTTGAGATTACAGGCATGAGCCACTACGCCAGCCAGATTCTGTTACTTCTATTTTGTAGATAAACTAAGGCAGAAAAATGATTTCAGTAACTTAAATAATTTGTCCAAGGTAACATAGCTAGTAAGTAACATAGCTGGGATTTAAACCCAAGCAGTTTAACTCAAAAGTCTGCACTTTTAACCACCACATTGTGCTATCTTTATTTTTCAAATTAAATATTTCAAAAACATAGTACATTTACATAATTTGAAATTCAAATGCTATGCAATGAAATTTTGTTTGCCAGTCTACCCTGTCTTCTTTCTCAGCTCCATTCCTCAACAGAATGAAATGAAATTTTCCTTTCAAAACTATACCCTGCTTTTGTAAGCATTTATATATATACTTTTTAAGAACACAGAAATCACCATGCCATACATAATGTTCTGCACCTTTCTTCTTTTCCCCTTAACTGTAAATATTGGAGGCCATTTATTACTAGTATATAAGAGATGTATCATTCTTGATAAGGTCTGTTTACAGCAGACATGCTAAATGGTGAAGCTATTTCAAATAATAACAAACAAGTTAGAGAAGGTTATGACCATTAGTATAGTATGATTTAACATAATTTTTGATATTTTTGGCCAATATAACAATTTTGAGCTAATATAACAACTGATATAAATATTAGAACAGAAAAATTATCTTGCAGGTGTGACAATATTGAATTATTATTATTATTATTTTTTGAGATGGAGTCTCGCTCTGTCGTCCAGGCTGGAGTGCAGTGGCGCGATCTCAGCTCACTGCAAGCTCTGCCTCCTGGGTTCATGCCATTCTCCTGTCTCAGCCTCCCGAGTAGCTGGGACTACAGCTGCCCGCCACCACGCCCGGCTAATTTTGTTTTTGTATTTTTAGTAGAGATGGGGTTTCACTGTGTTAGCCAGGATGGTCTTGATCTCCTGACCTCGTGATCCTCCCGCCTCGGCCTCCCAAAGTGCTGGAATTACAGGTGTGAGCCATCACGCCCAGCCGACAATATTGAATTATTGAATATCTGTTTGAAACCATTGGCTTTCACATTTTCCCAAGGTTTGCTTTAAAAATGAAGTTAATCTTTTTCAAGACAGATTGCACAAGTGATCTATCTGATAATGAAGCAAATACTGAGCTTATCTTAGGAGGACATTAATAACCTTTGTGTTTAGCCTCATCAAATTTAACAGTAATGCAAGCTATTATACAGCTAAGTAAAACCTACTTTTCTGAAATTGGCACCATTCTGGGATAGTGATTAAATTACCATAATTATTGTAAGGTCTAACAACCTTAGAATTAGTGGCTGAGGGTCCTGAGGGTGGCATTTATATGGAGAAACACTGGTAGTTGTCAGCATTTTGAAGAGTCAAAAACAAGATAATAAAAAGTGGTGACACATGGCGAAACCCTGTTTCTACTAAAAACAAAAATTAGTCAGGCCTGGTGGCGCACGCCTGTAGTTCCAGCTACTCAGGAGGCTGAGGCAGGAGAATTGCTTGAACCCGGGAGCCGAAGGTTGCAGTGAGCCGAGATTGCACCACTGCACTTTAGCCTGGGTGACAGACTGAGACTGAGACTCCATTTTCCAAAGAAAAAAAGAGGTGGTGACACAAAGGCAACGATCTTTATTCCCTTTTTGTATAAATTAATCTCTTTATTTTTATAGCATTTAGTAGACTCATTAAATTTCTTATTATTAAAGTATTTCAAGATTTACTCCAGGTTTTACAATTGTTATACTCTCCTAAGCTTTAAACATTTAAGGTTTTTGATGGAAGTCCCAATTTTTCAGTTGTTTACTTTATAAACGAGCTTGATGTATGTTTCAAAAGGTTTACAACCCCAAACATAAATATTTCATACATTGGATATGAAATAAGGTATCTAATTTGAGGAAGTGGTGTAAATTATGTGTGTTGATAGGTATAAAATTAGACAATTTGGCAATCCGTTCATTAATATGGTGTAAATTTGATAAATGAAATTTATTAAAAAGTCATTTTTTCTCCTACTTGCCCTAAAATTCTACTATATGAATAGTAAGTAAATACTTTGTAATTGGTATCATATAATGTGACACTAATTAAACTTATTAATGATTTTTAAATACTTTAACTTGTGTTTTGTTTGAATTTCAGGTAATAACTCTTTCCAATACTTTGTATTTTGTTTAGTATGCCACTTTTTGGAAGTGGTCACTGTCAATATCTTGTTATGGTTTGATGGCCTTGGAGATTTAAAACCGAGTAAAAGTGTAAGCAGTCTTTCTTATTTAGTTATGAGTTTTAAAACCACTTATGTTCCAACTAGGAAAAAATGCAAGTAGATTTACCATGAAATATGAATTATATTTAAAAAACATCTTAACAGTTGACTGACTTAGTGAAACAGACTGGGCAATTCCACTTATGGAATTGTAACATAAAATTCCATCATATAGTTTCCATTAAAGGTAGTAGGTTTTTATAATCTGTTAGACGTTCTTTGCAAACTTTATTAATGTGAATACATTTGCTTTTTTAAAAAAATTAAGTGAACTTCTAAAGAAAATAGAAATTAAAAATTTTTAATTTAAATTTTGCTTTATAGTTTAATTTTTTAGTATCATTTAGAATTATCAATTATTTTACTATATCCATATATACTGTCCCAGTAACCTGTCATTCTCTTTAAAGAAAAAAGTATTCATTGTCCTCTTTAGATATTTACAAATATCTGATTTCTAAAAAATAAACATCACAAATGTCTATTCAATTAAGCTTCAGTTGAGTTGTTTTTTTCTCAGAATGATTAAGAATATAGCACTTTCATTAGTGGTGACTTTGCTCTAAAGGTCTGAAATTTTCACTTAAATTACTTTCAGAACCAGTTTGAGGCATCAGGCTAGAGACAGTTTGTAGTTTGTCATTCACTTATTCTGTAGACTCGCACTCCCCATAACTTTTGGTCCTTTCCAAAAGCAAATTCAATTTTATAAGATGAAGATTTGACTTTGAGATCATTCAAAAGAGTGTCAGAGGGGCTGGGCACAGTGGCTCATGCCTGTAATCCCAGCACTTCGGGAGGCCAAGGTGGGTGGATCACTTGAGGCCAGGAGTTTAAGACCAGCTGGCCAACATGGCAAACCCCTGTCTCTACTAAAAATGCAAAAATTAGCCAGGCGTGGTGGTGCCCGCCTGTAGTCCCAGCTACTCAGGAGGCTGAGGCACAATTGCTTGAACCCAGGAGGCGGAGGCTGCAGTGAGCCGAGATCACACCACTGTACTCCAGCCTGGGCAACAGAGTGAGCCTCTGTCTCAAAAAAAAAAAAGAGAGAAAGAGAAAGTCACAACATTTTGAACAATGTCAAATGTCATTGCTCTTTAGCGTTCCAAAATGACAATTTGAAACATTAGGATATAAAAGTTTGGTATGATTGGTTAATTACTTTATAGTCATGCCCTATCTTTGATTTGTTAGACTTCCCATGCTTTAAATCTTGATATACGTAGGGCCTTTAAAATGGTCAACTAAAAAGTCACCATTCCTCTACGTTTTTTCGTGACTTGATTTGTAAAACACAGAATGGGATTACTGTTTTGCCATGCATCTGTATTTAGCAGATGATTACTAGATAATAATTATAATTTTTTATGTTATAAAAAAGAAAGTATATAAACTCAAAAAAGCTCACTTTTTTGTCTAAATTGTTTTTGCTCTTATACAATAGAATACATATTTAAGTTGTATTTTTATTTGCATTTAATAATTTATTAATTAAATGTATTTCTTTGTCAGATTTCAAATGATTGAGGTGACTTGTAAGAATTTGTTTTATGCCCTGTTGCTGATCAAATCATTGGTCTTCCCTATAGCTCCTTACAAAATTATGCAATCAGTGTTCCATTTGGAGTAAACATTTAGTGTCTTATCTTGATAGAGTAATTGGCTACATTTCTCTTTCTATGCATGAAGTTGTGTAAAAGGACCAATTCACATGTATAATTGGCAGAGAGCATGAATTCTGGACTTAACATTTTATCCCATTCTCACTACTTACTAATTTTATGACACTGGACAAGTTATTTAGCTTCTCAGCCTCAGTTTCCTCATCTGAAAAAATGAGGACAATATCTACTTCCAGGTTTATAAATAGTTATATATATTTTAAAAGCACTGTGCACAATAGCACATATCAGGCATTTAAGAATAAATGTTTGTTTCCTTTCCTGTTCTTATTTTCACATATTGGTAGTTTGAGACTAAGTTAATAACTTTTTAGGCAGTCACCCTAAACATGACTTTCAAGAGTTATTTTAGGATTAGTCTGCCTTTTACTTTAGTAAGTACTGTATTCTCTCCATTGCCAGGAGGAATATTTGAAAAAGGAAGGAATGATTTGAACATTGTAAATAGCTAACTGAATATAGTGTCTTGAGGACATATTTTTGGTAACTGTGTTTAACATCTCCATAAAAGTGTTTTTTATTTATCTTCAATCACAGGTACAGGAACCTTAAAGATAGATTTTGTTGGAGAGCTGAATGACAAAATGAAAGGTTTCTATAGAAGTAAGTATACTACCCCTTCTGGAGAGGTGCGCTATGCTGCTGTAACACAGTTTGAGGTATGGGTTATTCTTCTCTAAAATATTATTATTCTTAAATTAGGCATTCTGACAAAGGTGTGTTTATTATGTGGGGTGATTATTTGAGGCTAGGTGCCCTTGGCCATGATTGTATTCACAATTTTAGAATTTTTATTTTATATTTAGCCATTATCTCTATAGAAAGGAGGGAATTAAGGGTATGGGTTGGGGAATGATTATATACAGTTATACACACAGACATTCAAACACACGACACATTTTGATACCTGAATTGCCTATATACTGTGTACCTTTCTTAAAATCATTCTCTTAGTATTTGACACCTATGGCTTTTCCTACAGTATTATTAGCTGTTTTCTAGAATTCCTTTCCTTCTTTGACATCTTTTGTTTATCTTACTGTAGTATCTGTGCTGTCTTTGATTTTTTTTCTCTCTCTCTGTGTGTGTGTGTGTGTGTGTGTGTGTGTGTGTGTGTGTATACATATATATATACACACATATATATATTTGCTGTCCTACGTAGGCCAGGATGATTTTTATTTGTCAGGTATTTGCAAATTATATAAATTGTTTTGAATCTGCTAGTCGTATTTTTAAGTGTTAAATCTAATTAAATTTATTTCTATAAATTTCAGTATGGATAAAGAAACAATTCATGATATCCATTCTTATGTTTCTGCCCATATCCCTATATTGTTTGCTTGTTTGGGATAACCTAAAATTTTTTATCCAGTTTACTACTAATTTGTTTTACCTGATGTATCTTCTCTTTCAATAATTTTATGTTACCTTCTGTTTAGAATAATATTTGCCACAGATATTTAGGTTTAATTCTGTGTTTGAATGATTCCAATGCCTTTCTCTACCCACTTTGAACACTTCATCCTGGAATGGTTGGCTGATGTATGTCTCTAAACAATTTTTTTTTTAGGAGAAGGTATGTGGGTAATGTAATTCCTAAACCTTTGCTTTTCTGAAAAATCTTTCATTTGCCTTTATACATGACCAGATTTACTGGGTATATAGATTTGTTGATGAAAAAAGGTAAAAAGAGCAACTTTTGACATCCAGAGGTTGTCTGGCACTCACAGCTAGCCCGTGTTATTCTCCCTATTAGACATAATATTACAGAATACCAACTTTAGACAAGGCTACTTGAGACCATAATAAAGTGAGACAAAACAAGGGATCCATAATTTTGCCTAGGTACAGTACATACAGGATCACTATGCTACCCGCAAAATATCAAACATCTCCATCTCTCAGTTAAAATGAGTGACTACTGCTTCTTTACCAATTACGGTTTTAGATTTGCTCTAGTCTGGCCTCCGTATAGATAAGATTTATTGAGATACATACCCATAGAATTGCCTCATAGGACTTCTTGCAGCACTCAATCTAGAGTGAATCCCTGTTTACTTAGACCCTCTTCCAAATCATGTAAACCAAATCCCAAATCGTATAGTGGGTTCTTTCTTACATTCTTATGGAGACACCAGTGGTTCCCTGTGGTGTGAGTTCTCTCTTGCCATGAGTAATAGGCCCAGCTCATTCAATTGTAAGAGTAGTACAATCAGCTTACAATTTTTCACTTTCAAAAGTCTGTGAATATTGTTTCCAAAGTCTTCTACATCTCACTTTTTCAAGAGGAGGGGTCACAGACTAAAATGTTTCTTCTTCCTTTGTAGGTAAGATGTTGTTTCGTTTTGCTTTATTTTCTTCCTGCTTGCTTGTTAAATTATATCTTGATATCGAAAATTAAACTGTTTTTTAAACCAGGTGTTCACTTTTCATTGATTTTTGCATAGTACTTGGTGAACCCTATTGATTTTTAGATTCAGGTAATTTTTCAGTGTGAAAGAGTTTTTCTGTTATATCTTCACTGTGATATCCATTCCATTCCCTTCTCAGTTAATACTCAGTTTAGCTCTAGTATCTGTCTCTCAAATTATGTTTAATTGCTTTTATCACTTTGTCCTTTAGATATTTTCAAACTTAAATCTTGTTATCTGTCATTAATTTCCTTTAGTATAAATTCATTTCTCTACTGCTGCTGCTTCTAATTTAAATGCTTCTGTGCTGCCATTTCTTTCCTTATACTCTCCCTTCTTTTCAGATGTCTTTTTTATTCATTGATAGAATTCATTATTTATTTAATGTTTTTGAGAATGTAGTCAGCCAAGTTTCTTCTACCTCTTTGGTTTGTTTGTTTGTTTGTTTGTTCGTTTGTTTGTTTGTTTTTTAGTCGGAGCCTTGCTCTGTCGCCCAGGCTGGAGTGCAGTGGTGCAATCTTGGCTCACTGCAACCTCCGCTTCCCAGGTTCGAGCCATTCTCCTGCCTCAGCCTCCCGAGTAGCTGGGATTACAGGCATGTGTCACCATGCCTGGCTTATTTTTGTATTTTTAGTAGAGACGGGGTTTCACCATGTTGACCAGGCTGGTCTCGAACTCCTGACCTCAGGTGATCCGCCCACCTCGGCCTCCCAAAGTGCTGGAATTACAAGCATGAGCCACTGCACCCAGTCTGTTGTTTCTTTTTATGATACAGTATCTTGTCATTGGTTCCATTTTATTTACTAAATAAATGGAAAATTCTGTTTACTGAAGTGTCTTTCCTTTATAACTGATACCCTGCAGAACCCCTAAGTTTTATTTTGCTTTCATAAGGTTGCTCTTTTTTAAATTTTTAATGAAAGAGTAAGGACTCAAGTAGGTCAAGTGGCGACAGTTTTATGTGTAGCATATGGAAGTGCCATTAAATGAATGACCTGTCTTGAATTGATAGAGCATCTGTCTTTATTCCCATTGCTGCCATTCCAGATAAAGAACAAAGCACATCAAAGATTGAGAATATTTTTATTTTTAATTCAAAAATAAAAGCCAGAGAGGCAACTTACCATGTTTTCCCAACTTTGAATTCTTATAGCATACTCTTTACTGTTCTGTGCTCTGTGTTGTGTTAACATTATTGATTTGAAGGCATTTGCATTAAATTTGAAATGTTAAAATGTAAACAAAAATTTAGTTGTAAATAATTATAATATATTGTTAAAATCCATAGCAGACACTGTTCCTGGATATTTGCTGGAATGGCAGTGGTAGCAAGTGTTGTCTTTTCTTTCTAGTTAATGCCTAGCTTGTTGCCTGGCACTGAAGAGAAAGTAAATATTTGAACAAGGGAATGAATGAATGACAGAGGGAAATGGCGACTGCTTTATGAAATAACTTGTTAGGTTAATTCTAAGGTATTTATATTTCATATTCTTTTCTTAAGGCTACTGATGCCCGAAGGGCTTTTCCTTGCTGGGATGAGCCTGCTATCAAAGCAACTTTTGATATCTCATTGGTTGTTCCTAAAGACAGAGTAGCTTTATCAAACATGGTATGTATGTGTTTATAAGTTTATCTAAAATTTTAATAGGCTTTAGCAGATTTAGTTTGCTGATTAGATGGGATAATATGAAACCACCTACCACAGTGCTGGTATATTATAGGAACATAAATAATAGTTTTCTTTATTTTCAATAAGCCTCTTTTTCTTTCTTTTTTTTTTTTTCTGTAGAGTTGGGGTCTCATTATGTTGCCCAGGCTGGTCTCAAACTCCTGGGGTCAATCTGTCTTCCTGCCTCAGCCTCCCAAAGTGCTGGGATTAGAGGCATGAGCCACCATGCCCAGCCAAGACCTCTTTTTCTTGATAGCTTTATTTTTGGAGGATTTTCTCCTTGTCAAATTCCTTGTTAAATACATTTATAAGATTATCTACTTCTTTTAATTTAGAGAGGTAAATTGACAAGTTTAATAGATTTATAGTAACTAAAAGCAAAAGTCTTGGGCTGGATATGGTGGCTTACACCTGTCATCCCAGCACTTTGGGAAGTCAAGGTAGGCAGATCGCTTGAGGTCAGGAGTTGAAGACCAGCCTGGCCAACATGGTGAAATCCTGTCCTTACTAAAAATACAAAAATTATCTGAGTGTGGTTGCACACACCTGTAGTCCCAGCTACTTGGGAGGCTGAGGTGGGAGGATCACTTGAACCCAGGAAGCGGAGGTTGTAGTGAGCTGAGATCACACCACTGCACTCCAGCCTGGGTGACAGAGCCAGACCCTATCTCAGAAAAAAAAAGAAAAAAAAAAGAAAAAGGTCTTGACTTATTAAATGTCATAAGAAAGCCAGGTACAGTGACTCTTGCTTGTAATCTCAGTGCTTTGGGAGGCTAAGGCAGGAGGATTGCTTGAGGCCAGGAGTTTGACACCAGTCTGGGCAACATAGTGAGACCTCATTTCTACAAAAGATTTAAAACTTAAAAGTTAGCCAGGTATGGTGGCAGGTGTCTGTAATCCTAACTACTTGGGAGGCTAATGTGGGAGGATCTCTCGAACTTAGGAGTTTGAGGCTACAGGGAGCCATGATTGCGCCACTGTATTCCAGCCTGGGTGACAGAACAAGACCCCATCTCTTAAAAAAAAAAAATAGGCCAGGCATGGTGGCTCATACCTGTAATCCCAGCACTTCAGGAGGCTGAGGCAGGTGGATCATTTGAGGCCAGGAGTTCGAGACCAGCCTGGCCAACATGGTGAAACCCCATCTCTACTAAAAATACAAAAATTAGCCAGATATGGTGGCAGGCACCTGTAACCCCAGCTACTTGGGAGGCTGAGGCAGGAGAATTGCTTGAACCTGGGAGGCGGAGGCTGCAGTGAGTTGAGATCGCGCCACTCCGCTCCAGCCTGGGTGACAGAGCAAGACTCCATCTCGGGGGGAAAAAAAAAAGGTTGCAACAGAGCAAGACCCTGTCTCTATCTTTTTAAAAAGTTAAAAAAATTCAAAAGATGTAGCTGCATAATGAAGTATATTTAGGTTTCTGGCTGTTTGTATTCTTGGAATGTATTCTCTTCACCAGTGTTATTGATCTCATTCATGAACAGGGTAAGCATTCCCCACTTGAAGTGTGTTGTCTAGGACTGTCTTGTGTGGGGAACTTGGAAAAACCTGCTGCACCTGAAAATAACTCTTTTATGTATTTACTGGGGGAGAGCATCCCATAAATAGAATGTCATTCTCTTCACACATATTCTTAGAAGAGGAGGCTAATACATTAAGCAGAAATATTCATTCACACTTTAGTATGAGTGAATTTATCAGTGTGTTCTTGAATAAGTCTTCCTTGGAAGGAAGAATAGAGAGAGCTTGAGGAAATGGAGCCTGAATAGGAAAAAGAGGGAGAACACCAAAGGAAATTAGGGACTCCAAAGGTAAAGTTGAAATTTCTTCACAAATAAGCTTAGAGCCAACTTTGGTAGAGAATGCCCTCGATCTAGAAGTTTGTATCCTTTGAAATGGGAGATTCTACAATTATATTATATTTTTTTTATTTATTTTTGAGAAGGAGTCTCGCTGTGTCGCCCAGGCTGGAGTGCAGTGGTGTGATCCCAGCTCACTGCAAGCTCCGCCTCCCTGGTTCACGCCATTCTCCTGCCTCAGCCTCCCAAGTAGCTGGGATTACAGGCACCCCCCACCATGCCTGGCTAATGTTTTGTATTTTTAGTAGAGACGGGGTTTCACCATGTTAGCCAGGATGGTCTTGATCTCCTGACCTTGTGATTCGCCCGCCTAAGCCTCCCAAAGTGCTGGGATTACAGGCGTGAGCCACCGCGCCTGGCCCCTATTTTATTTTTATTAATAGTCATTTTCTCCTAAACTTATGTCAGTTGAAAAGTATGAAGCCCTTACTTAAATCATCCCAATGCCTGGCTTATAATAAGTATTCGAGAAAAGTCCATTCCTCTTTTCTCTCACAGGTCCTTGGTAGTTTTAACACTTCAGCCTCCAGCTTCTTAGTATGAGTGTTTTATCAGACCACTTTCCTTCTTAAAGACAGCATAAAAGCACTGGATGAATTGGGGTAGAGAAATAAGCCATGCTAGAATAGAAAGGGGGAAAGAGATGCAATAAAGCCTACAGTTTTTGGCTGGTATTTGCTCTATGGTATTAATGTAAACCTATTTAAATTTTTCTTTTTTTTCTTTCTTAAAGAATGTAATTGACCGGAAACCATACCCTGATGATGAAAATTTAGTGGAAGTGAAGTTTGCCCGCACACCTGTTACATCTACATATCTGGTGGCATTTGTTGTGGGTGAATATGACTTTGTAGAAACAAGGTCAAAAGATGGTGTGTGTGTCTGTGTTTACACTCCTGTTGGCAAAGCAGAACAAGGAAAATTTGCATTAGAGGTAAATGTACTTGAAGAGGATTGTTCCAGCAGTCCATAACTCCAGGTTGGGGAATTTACATTTCTGGTCAATTATTAGTACAGTTATTTATAATTTAATCTGAAAGTTGTGCTACTTGGTTTATTTTTAATAGAATTTAGGAAATGCCAACCTTGGTGTTTCGTTATTTTACAAAATAATAATTAAGAGAATATAAGAGTGGAATTTCTCTAGGGAATGGGTTGGAAAATATGTAGTTATATTTTTCATATCAAGTTATAAATGGATTAAAGTTTGGCCATTGTATTCAAAGTTTGGAGCTAAGGCAGTCTTCGGAGGTAGGGCTCCCTGGGATTCATTTCTAGTAATTTAAGATACATTGGCTTGCAACAGGATTCCTTTGTGGGTTTCAATATGAATTATAATAACATATTTATTAGATGGTTATTTTGTTTATACTTTTATAGGTTGCTGCTAAAACCTTGCCTTTTTATAAGGACTACTTCAATGTTCCTTATCCTCTACCTAAAATTGATCTCATTGCTATTGCAGACTTTGCAGCTGGTAAAGTAAATTTCATTTTATTGCTGAATTGTAATAACTTTTTAAAATTTTGTGACTTTTGATGCAAGAGTATATATATATATATATATATATCTCAATAAATGTTTATATTTATTTTGTGAAGGTGCCATGGAGAACTGGGACCTTGTTACTTATAGGTATGTTAATGATGTATTACCCTGCCTTATCTTTTCAAATCACTGATTTCAAAAGGGCTTCCCTCCTAATCACAGTTGAGTAGCTTCTGCTTTACGATATGGTGTAAATTTTTCTACCTTCCCCCACTTCCATGCACATTTCAAGAATGCAGATGGACACCTCTCCCTTTGGTGCTACTGTCTGAGGGTGTAAGATTTTAAAGTGAGCATCTGGCGGTAGTAGCATTTTTAGATATATTCTTGGCTAAGTTTCTCATTGCAGTGCCTTTCTTTCCTGCCAGTAGTTTCACAGCTATTTATCCAGCTTGGAGAACCTTCCCTAATTTCATATCTTCTAGCCAAGTTTTTACATGTCTGTCACCACAACATAAACATGTGAGTTGAATAACTTTTAAAAGCAGAGTCTGTCTGTAAACAAGTTTTTGCCTTCTACTTTCAATTGCCTTCTTAGATGAGCTAAGTGTTGAACGGCCGGCTCAGTGCTGTTTTTGGGACTATGGAATGCATCTTCCTCCACCACTCCCCTCATTTAATGAAAGGACTTTCTTCTCTCTCCATCTAGCACAGTAATCGCTAATCCCTTAGACAATGTTTTCCCAAAATTTCAGGCAGCTATTCTATCAACAAACTGATAATTAAACTTGTGTCACATCTTTGATATTCTGTTGTATTAATTCTGTTGGGGTAGTCTTTAATCTTCGTGAAACTTTTTCTTTCCATATTAGGAAATATTTTCCTAATATCTCTAAAGCCTAACTTGTCCATCTGACTTACTGTCTGAATCTTCCCAACTTATGCATGCCCACTTTTATTGTTTAAATTTGTTTCTCTTTTTTTTTTTTTAAACATAGGGAGACTGCATTGCTTATTGATCCAAAAAATTCCTGTTCTTCATCCCGCCAGTGGGTTGCTCTGGTTGTGGGACATGAACTTGCCCATCAATGGTTTGGAAATCTTGTTACTATGGTATTTAATATTTTTAAGTGCTCAAATATATTTATCTTCATCCTACTCCACATTATTTTGGCTACATAGTATTTCAAGTTTGGCTGCAACACTGTGCCAAAAAATAATTGAGTGATAGAAAAGTATTATTTTAAAAGGTCCACTTTGAAAGGGCTTATCAGAATCTCTGCATTGAACAAGGGCATATGGACAGTCTTTATTCAACAGACACTTCCTAAACTGTTCTAAAATTTGTCTGCAAATGGGAAAAGTCAAGATACTAATTTGGGTGAGAGGAAAAGATTCCTCTTAGGTGTAGATGAATGAATCATGCAGTGAGATTCCAGGCTAACTGTAGTTTCTTGAATCTTATTTGTTAATCTGACTCACAGCTGAAAAGTAACCTGATGAATAACAGACTGATCTTTAATTAGAGAGAAATGTTTTTAGGAGTCAGTTTTTTCATTGCCTAAAATGTTAAGTTGAAATTTAATGAAATAAAAGTAAACAAACTGCAGAGTGACTGCAGAATAAAGCTGTATTAAAATTCCAGCTGTTCTGTTGAAATCCTTATAATGTTTGCAGTAATGATCTCTGTCCTTCAGTCCTGATTTTTCACTCTTACTCTAAGTAAATACTATTTATGAATGCCAACTGTGTTAGAGCTTGGGAGCACAGGATTTAATAAGTGAACTAGATGTACCTCTGCAATTAAATAACTGGATATTCTGGAGCCAGCTAGATTCCCTGACATTTTAGGCTGCCAAAGAGCAGAACCTGATTTGAATGTAGATTGAGTCCATACGTTATATAAATAAGAATGTAAGACATTTATCAACTGTTACGTGTCTCAGAGAGTTTCTACAGAAAGTCAACCCTTGAAAATAAATCTTTTCCTTTTATTTTGGATGTTTAAAATTTTACAGGTGAAAAAAATTCTTTGAAATATAATTTCAGGCCGGGCACGGTAGCTCACGCCAGTAATCCCAGCACTTTGGGAGGCCGAGGCGGGTGGATCACTTGAGGTCACGTGTTTGAGACCACCCTGACCAATGTTGCGAAACTCCATCTCCACTAAAAAAAAAATAGAAAATTAGCTGGGCGTGGTGGTATGCACCTGTAATCCTAGCTACTCTGGAGGTTGAGGCAGAAGAATCGCTTGAACCTGGGAGGCAGAGGTTGCAGTGAGCCGAGATCACGCCACTGCACTCCAGCCTGGGCAACAAGAGCGAAACTCCATCTCAAAAAAAAAAAAAAAAAGAAATATAATTTCATGTGGAACTATGTGTTGGTGCCTGTATTCAAATATGTGAAGAAATGGCCTTTTCTTCTAATGCAGCGAGTTTGCTACTTTGTACCAAATAATTTTTTTGCTTGGCTTTGAGATAACTTTATGATTTTATTTTGAAACTACAAGCAATAAATTTTAGTAGGGGAAATGTGTACATTCTTATTAAACAACTTTTTACTGGTTTTATGTAACTATTCTAGTTATTAGAACTGAAATTCCAAGGGCTTAGGGATAGGTTGGAAAATAAGTTTCATTTTATGCTAGTTTATTTTAGGAAGCTACTAGGCAAATAGCCACTTATCACTTAATATCAAAATAATTTTTTTTTAAGACAGAGTCTCACTCTGTCAGTTAAACTGGAGTGCAATGGCACAATCATGGTTCATTACAGTCTTGACCTCTGGGCTCAAGCAATCCTCCTGTCTCTGCCTCCTGAGTAGCTGCAATTACAGGTGTGTGGCACCATGCCCAGCTTATTTTTGCACTTTTTGTAGAGACAAGGTTTCACTGTATTGCCTTTTGTAGAGACAGGGTTTCACTTTGTTGCCTAAACTGGTCTCAAACTCCTGGGCTCAAGCAATCCTCCCACCTCAGCCTCCCAAAGTGCTGGGATTACAGGCATGAGCTACCACACCTGGCCTTTTCTGGGGGGACTGGTTGGGGATGGAGAATAGGATCTCACTTTGTTACCCAAGCCGGAGTGCAGTGGCACAATCATGGGTCAGTGCAGCTTCATCTTCCTGGGCTTATGTAATCCTCTTGCCTCAGCCTCCCAAGTAGCTGGGACCACAGGTGTGTGTCACCATGACCAGCTAATTTTTTTTTACTTTTTAATTTTTTTAGAGATGGAGTCTCACTGTGTTACCCAGGCTTATCTCAAACTCCTGGGCTCAAGTGATCTTCCTGCCTTGACCTCCCAGAGTATTGGCATTACAGGAGCAAGCCATTGTGCCTGGCCTGCTTTCTTTCACTAATAGGCTTAATCAACTTTAATAAAATTTAGATTAAGATCTTTAAAATTTTTTAAAAACTGATTTTATCTGTCACTCATATTCTTTGTCCATTCCATTTACTATGCATTCTTATTTAACAGGTGATAATTTCATATTCCATAAGTGCTTAAACACCATTCATTACTGAACTACATTTTTGTTTAATTTCACATAATTTTTATATAAGCAGTACTCTTTCTCAGTTTCTCTTGAACATTCAACTCATTAGTGAGTGGTTTTCCCCAGTCATTTCCATTTTTCTTTATTTGGCTCTGATAGTTTTCTGTTTTTGTTTTTCAGAGATAATCCTTTACTATACTAAATTCTACGTGATTATATTTTCCACCTCTATTTGCCTATATTTATCTGCTGTCTTTTCCTTTTCCATATATGGGCTTATTTTTTTTTTCCCTCTTCTTCCTTTTCTACCTTTGGTATTTAAAAAGTTACTTAGGACTGAGTGCACTGGCTTACGTGTGTAATCCCAGCACTTTGGCAGGCTGAGGCGGGAGGATTGCTTGAGCCCCGGTGTTCAAGGCTGCAGTGAGCTACGATGGTGCCCCTGCCACTCCAGCCTGGGCAACAGAATGAGACCCTGTCTGGGTTTGGGGGAGAAGTTATTTACAATGTTTTGAAAATATCCTTTGGCCCAGGCATGGTGGCTCACACCTGTAATCCCAGCACTTTGGGAGGCCGAGGCAGGTGGATCACTTGAGGTCAGAAGTTTGAGACCAGCCTGGCCAACATGGCAAAACCCCATCTCTACTAAAAATACAAAAATTAGCCAGGCATAGTGATACATGCCTGTAATCCCAGCTACTGGTGAACACTCCAGCCTGGTGACAAAACAAGACTTTGTCTCAAAAAAAAAAAAAAAAAAAAAAAAAAAGAAAGGAAAAGAAAATGACCCTCAGATATAATTCTAATATCACCAGTTGGCCTTTCTTGACATCTCTTTTAGTCTTCTCTCTTTTTCAGAAATGTGAGTTCTTTGCGAAATGTTTTGAACTGAATTTTAGGTCATTAAATTGTGAGTTTTGGAATATAGTGGAAGGGACATGTGAGTGTTTTAGATTAGTAGAATGACAATCATTTCAATTTCTTTAAGTATTTTCATCTTCTGTTTTTAGGAATGGTGGACTCATCTTTGGTTAAATGAAGGTTTTGCATCCTGGATTGAATATCTGTGTGTAGACCACTGCTTCCCAGAGTATGATATTTGGACTCAGTTTGTTTCTGCTGATTACACCCGTGCCCAGGAGCTTGACGCCTTAGATAACAGCCATCCTATTGAAGTGAGCCATACTTTCTAACCATTAGCCTATGACTGCTCTCATTTACAATGAAATACGTAATTTGTTACATAGATACTTTGGACTTTGAAAAGAAGAGAAAATAGCATGGGTGATTTTACTGGTTCATATTTCTAGTCTTGAAAAGCTAGTAAGTCTAAGTTCTAATTAAACATTTCTTTTAAAGGTAGGCAGTAAAAAAAAATTGGTCTGGCCAGGCGCAGTGGCTTACGCCTGTAATCCTAGCATTTTGGGAGGCTGAGGCGGGTGGATCACCTGAGGTCGGGAGTTTGAGACCAGCCTGACCAACATGGAGAAACCCCGTCTTTACTAAAAATACAAAATTAGCTGGGCACGGTGGCGCATGCCTGTAATCCCAGCTACTCGGGAGGCTGAGGCAGGAGAATCACTTGAACCTGGGAGGCAGAGGTTGCGGTGAGCCGAGATCGTGCCATTGCACTCCAGCCTGGGCAACAAGAGCAAAAAACTCTGCCAAAAAAAAGAAAAAGAGTAGTATGGGAGAAGTCATACCTATTGGGTAACACTATGGTTCCATTGTTTATGTCAAGGAAAATTCTGGACATATTTTATTGTCAGGGTCTGTTTTGTGAATACTTTAATTCTCTTGACTTAGCCTATCCCTACTTCAGTTTATATATATAAATTTTGTATCTAAAGAACTAGAGTTATAATCCTACTTCAACATATTTAATTAGGCTCCCATATAATTGTAATTCATTACAATTAGTGCAAGAAATCTAATGTTCTTCACCTCCATGTCTTCCTCATCACTCCTCTGCAACTACCCCAAAAATAAACAGAACCATAGTGGCTTCTTTCCCAGCAGAACAAAGCCAGGACTGGAACCCAAGCTCTAAGGGATGACAGGAATCATGTTCTATTCAACTTTATTATTATTAGTTACTACATTTTTTTGAGGACCATCGTTATACATTATGAGTGAGTTAAAGGCAGAAAAATGTAAGTTAGAAGGGTTTTCCTAGAAAGCGTTTTATGTAATTCAGTATTACAGGCTATCTGCTTCCTGTCATAACCCTGAATCACACTGTCTGCCAGGTCAGTGTGGGCCATCCATCTGAGGTTGATGAGATATTTGATGCTATATCATATAGCAAAGGTGCATCTGTCATCCGAATGCTGCATGACTACATTGGGGATAAGGTAAAAAAAAAAAACTTTAAGTATTTCATTCTTTCATGGTGAAATCATAAGAGTTTTGCATGAAAAAAAGTCTCACTTTATTTGGATTAAGTTCCCAAATAGTTTCTGGCTTGTCATTTTTTTTAATGACCAAAAAGAATGAGAATTCAATTATTTGAAGTTGACTACTGTGGTCTCTCAGATGAGTGATGTGCAGGTGTGTTTGGGAGTGGAAATGGGAGGCTGTTATAAAACTTAAGAGCAAGAATAGAAGGCATAGAGTACGCATTATTAAATAAAAGGCAGTAGGCATCAGAAGGATATATGTGTTTCAGTGTATCTGATACTTGAGTATTTGAGTAAATTTGTTTTTGATTACTAATATACAAATATACTATAAATTCTGAGATCTGACTTCCCTGGATTTTAAAAATTGTGTTTTCTCAGGACTTTAAGAAAGGAATGAACATGTATTTAACCAAGTTCCAACAAAAGAATGCTGCCGCAGGTAATCTTTAATAGCTTGAGATAGAAATGGAGAGAAAGTATTGTCACTCTATCCAGGCTGGGACATTTTATTTTTGTTCTGAATACTTAACTCAAGGTCAGGATCCATGTAATAAATAAATTAGCCTTATTTGAAGCTGTGTTCAGGTTGAATATCTCTAATCTGAAATTTGAAATGCTCCAGAATCTGAAACTTTTTCTTTTCTTTCTTTCTTTTTTTTTAATTAAAGTTCTAGGGTGCATGTGCACAATGTGCAGGTTTGTTACATCAGTATACATGTGCCATGTTGGTTTGCTGCACCCATTAACTCGTCATTTACATTAGGTATTTCTCCTAATGCTATCCCTCCCCCAGCCCCCTACCCCATGACAGGCCCTGGTGTCTGATGTTCCCCGCCCTGTGTTCAAGTGTTCTCATTGTTCAATTCCCACCCAAAATCTGAAACTTTTTGAGTGCCAACGTGATGCTCAAAGGAAATGCTCATTGGAACATTTTAGATTTTGGATATTGCAATTATAGATGCTCAGCTAGTAAGTATAATGCAAATATTCCAAAATCCAAAAGAAATATGAAATTCAAAACATTTCTGGTCCCAAGCATTTTGGATAAGGGACACTCAACCTGCAGTAAGTCATAGGGTCAACATGAATCAGGACTCATTATCCCTTTGGTCATCCTCCAGCATTCTGCTTTCCATAACTGAATATTTTGCCAACTTAAAGAGTCTGGGCCGGGTGTGGTGGCTCACGCCTGTAATCCTAGCACTTTGGGAGGCCAGGATGTGAGGACTGATTGAGCCCAGGAGTTCAAGACCAGCTTGCAACATAGCGAGACCCCACCTCTACAAAAAATACAAAAATATTAGCCGGGTGTGGTGGTATGTGCCTGTAGTCCCAGCTACTCAGGAGGCTGAAGTGGGAAGGGTCACTTGAGCCCAGGAGTTTGAGGTTACAGTGAGCAATCGTGGCACCACTGCACTCCAGCCTGGGCAACAGAACAAGATCCTGTCTCTGAAAAAATAAAAAATCAAGGGAATAGTCATGTGTTGCTTAACAACAGGGATATGTTCTGAGAAATATGTTGTCAGGCAATTTCATCAATATGTGAACATCATAGAATGTACTTACAGAAACCTACACAGTATGTCCTAGGCTATATACACCTAGCCTACATGGTATATACCCTGTTGCTCCTAGGCTACAAAATACCTGTACAGCATGTTACTGTACTGAATACCATAGGCAATTATAACACAATAGTATTTGTATACCTGAACATTTCTCAATATAGAAAAGTTACAGTAAAAATATGATATTAAAGATGCTCCATCAGCTGGCTGATATGCCTATAATCCGAGCACTTTGGGAGGCTGGGGCAGGTGGACTGCTTGAGTCCAGGAGTTTGATACCAGCCTGGGCACCATGCCAATACCTCGTCTCTATAAAAAGTACAAAAATTAGCTGGGTGTGGTGGCATGTGCCTGTAGTCCCAGCTACTTGGGAGGCTGAGGTAGGAGGATCATAGTTTCAAAGTGTGGCACTTACTGGTTCTCCACTCACTCCCTCCTGCCGTCTTGTGAAGAAGGTGCCTGCTTCCCCTTCCCCTTCTTCCATGATTGTAAGTTTCCGGAACTGCAAGTCAATTAAGCCTGTTTCCTTTATAAATTACCCAATCTCAGGTATTTCTTTACATCAGTGTGAAAACAAATGAATACAGTCCCCTTCCCTGAGGTGCCTTCTCCTTAGGCAACCAGCTGCCCCCATGCTCCTCTTCTGCCCCCCTGGTATTTCCTTTCCCCTCATGAGGCCCAAGTGATCCACATGGCCAGCCACAGCCCCATCCTACTGCAGGCCTGTGTGGCTGCTAGAGAGGCCAGGCTCCTTTCCGCACCCCGAGGCTGCCCGATATGCTTTCTGCATCCTGTAGAAAACTGACCCACTATTCTCATACTGGTGCAACTTCTTCCATTACCTCAAAACTGGACAACGTGAACTTGTTTCTTGTCTCTTCTTGCTAGGGCTGTCACTGGGACAGTCCGAGATGCGGGGGTGGGGGGAGACAATGGATGAATGGATGGATGAATGGACAGTAGTCCAGGGAGATGTCCCTGTGTGTCCTGAACTGGGACCTTCCTCCAATGAGAAGCCTTCCTGAGTGAGTTTATACAGTCATCCCTTGGTATCCATGGATTAGTTCTAGGGTCCCCGGGGATGCCAAAATCCATGGATCCTCAAGTCTCTGACATAACATGGCCTAGTATTTACATATCAGCTATGCACATCCTCCCGTAGACATTAGACCATCCCTGGATTATTCATGATGTGTAATACAATGCAGATGCTACATAAATGATCGTGATACTGGATTCTTTAGGGAATAATGACAAGAACAAACTCTGCACATGTTCAATAGAAACATAACCGTCCAATTTATTTTCTGAATATTTTCCATCTGCTGTTGCTGAATCTACAGATGCAGAGCTCCTGGATACGAGAGCCAAGTGTGCTTTGAGAGTAGGGTGGGTGAGGTTGCTAATGAGTACAGGGGAGCAGGTGTTGATCAGGAGGACCCTGCACTGGGGCATCTGGACGTCCTGCCTCAGGACTTGAGACTCCAGTTGGATGGCACAGGCAGACTCAGCCCAGGTCAAAGCCGTCCCCTTGAAGTTTCTTTTTATCCCAAGCTCTTTCTGGCCCCTGGAATTTGGCATCCCCTAGGCCCTGTGTGGAAGGACAGATGAACCAGGTTTTAGATAACATGTCTAGAAGAGTGAGCCCCTACTGTGTGCCCGGCACTTTCCCCACAGGATCCTCTAGCTAGAATATCCAAGGGTCATGGAGAGAAATACCCAGTTAAAATATCAGAAATGAAAAAGCGATACCATTAGAGACACTAAAAAGACCATTAGGTAATAGTACTAGCTTTTGTATTCTGAGATCCAACAGCAGCAGTCACTTCCCTCCACCCCTATGTGTATCCCAGGACCACCCTGGGCAGGGAGGGCTGAGGTTAGGGAGCAGCCATGGATGCTCTGATGCTGGCCCTGGGCCTCGGGGGTGACAGTGATGAGGAACTGGGTGCACACATGAGTGGGGCAGCCGGGCCTGGCCAGAGAAGCAGCACACAACGTGCACAGATGTGTTTACCCACATACACATGTGCACGCACGTGCACAAACACATTGCAGGCAGGCATGTTGACGCCTCAGGCAGCGGAGGACCCTGACTCTGGGCACTGCTGACCCGGGCAAGGCCCCACTGTGATTCGTGCCATGACCTCAGAATGTCACTGGTGCTTAGCACCTATCTGCTCTCTGGTCTGCCTCAGTGGTCTACAGCAGTTACACACAGGCAGTGGTATCTGTGAGCAGCTCTGTGGACTCAAAGGTTTTCTCCCTGAGAGGCATGACCCAGGCCAGCTGATTCATCAGAATCAGGTGAGCGTGACCTGCTCTCTTCCCTCCAGGCGGACTTGGGGGCAGTGGCTACGGTGCGGGCGGTGTTGGCCTCTGTGGGGCAGCTACCGAGGAGGGTCATCCCTGAGCACTCACCAGGCGCCCGTTCTACACTGCCCGTGTAGACGATTGGCTCTTTCGTCTCCATGGTGGCTTCGTAGAGTGGGTGCTGTTCCCAAATGTCCCCATTCGACAGATGAGACGTCTGGGGTCAGAGAGGCAGTAACCGGCCTGGGAATCCGGACATGATCCTGAGTTTTGCTCTCAGCCCTGCCGTGTGCTGTGCTGGAATTCAGGCCTGAACCCTGTGACCTCCCTGCCCTAGATCCCAAATCTGCCCAGGTTTCCCATCCCGATGGGGCAGAGCCTGGTCCTGGCAGAGCCACTGGTATAGAGCCACTGGTACAGATCCACTGACGGTCCTCAGAACACCTCTGTGCCCTAAGCTGGGTCCTGATGGTCGCTGTGGGCCCCACTGAACACACATGGTCCCTTGTCCGGGGGAGCCTGCTGCCCTTGGGCAGCTGTGGAAAATGAAGGAGCCCTGGAGGGCTGGCTGAGGGGAGACTATCTTCCCTTGTGTTCAAAGGGGTCCGGGCACTAGGGTTCTCCCCAGGTATTTCTTGCTCTGCGTGGTCCTCTTGAGGCCTCGCCCTCCTTTTGCCTCGAGTATTCCCAGGAGGGACGGTCCATCCAGCTGTTCTCCAGGACCAAGGACCCACTGTTCTTCCTCAGTGACCCAGGAAAATGAAGCCTCCTCCTGTTGGGACGGCTCAGAATGGTGGACTCCACAGTCCCTCCGCGAGAGACGTGGTTTCCATGCGTACAATAGATCTTTCTCATCCCCCAAACCCAACACCCTCCTGCTCAACAGGCGTTATTCCTAAAGTGGCTTCACTGTTCAGACTGAAGAGCCACGGTAGCCAAAGTGATGAGCGGAGTAGAACCGAGCAGTCGGGAGAGATCTTGTTCCCTGTAGGAAACTGGGCATCGCTGAGGCCCTGAGCATCCCAGGAGGCCGATTGCACAGAGACCTCTGGTCGCTGACCCCAGTCTGCCTCCACATCCCTGGAATAGCCCATCATGGGCCCTTCACCCTTGGCAGGTGGAAACCATTCAACCTGCTGGGGCCGGTGTGTCCCCATTTCATGGCATTGGGGGACAACAGGATTCTCTGTCTAGGTCCCACTGTACTCAAGTCCTTGGGAAGATGCCCACCCCTGCTTGGGACTTGAGACTCCAGAGACTGGAGCAGCTGTGGGCCACTGGGTCTGGCCCCTTTTTCCCTGGGGGCGGCGGTGGAATGGGGGTTACGCAGCCAGCCAGCATCTGGGAGCCCGGCGAGAGCGGTTCAGGTGTTCTCCGAAGCCGCCGCGTACGGTGTGACCTTTAGACAATTCTGTCTCACAGGATGGACGTGGTAGAGGTCGCGGGCAGTTGGTGGGCACAAGAGCGAGAGGACATCATTATGAAATACGAAAAGGTACAAGTCGGTCTGCTTCTTGGAGGGAGGCCTCTTCCAGTGTGCCCTGGTCAAAGGGTCCTGGGCTCCCTAGGAGCACAGGGCAGGGACGGGTGGCCAATGCCCCCAGGCCCTTGCACCCTTTACCTTGGACCCCTCACCAAGGCTCCCTCTGGGCTACAGGGACACCGAGCTGGGCTGCCAGAGGACAAGGGGCCTAAGCCTTTTCGAAGCTACAACAACAACGTCGATCATTTGGGGATTGTACAGTGAGTCCTCTGCACTCCCCTCACCCCTAAAGCACCTGTCTCAGCTCAGGGATGGGTTTGCTTTTAGAAAGGCCTTTCTGACGCAGGACATGTCTCACCAGGTCGGGTCAACCTCCTTTCCAGGGACAGAACTCCTCCCTGACTCCCCTGCAGGTCCAGCCCGAGGTTGTTAGGCCAGAGGTGTGGGGCCCATCTAGGGAGCCGGTGGGAATGGAGACTGGGCTAGGTCAGGCCCCTGGGCGCTCAGCAGTTCTGTCGGCAAGTGAGCACAAGAGGAGCGGGGCAGCCTGAGGGTCTGGCCCTGTCTACTTGGAGACAACCCCGGTGAGATGCAAGGGTTATGGCCACAGGGTGAGGGGACGCCTGGCCCAGCCTCAGGGCTGTTGTCCAGCAGGTCTCTGAGGGCCCACCTGCCCCTGTTCTCCCCCATTCCCCTAGAGCTACAGCCCTCACTGTCCCGTGAGGGGAAAAGGCATGGTGACAATGGGGGCTGTAGCCCTAGGAGAACGGGGGAGAAGATGGGCAGGGCCCCGTTCTGGGCATCTCACGGTGAGGCCAGGGAGGCAGCAGGGCTCGCGGCTAAAGACCTGGGTCTGGTGCTGGGAAGGGATCTGGGGCCGGGTAAGAGGAGCCCAGCCAGGAGCCCATCCCTCAGGGATCACAGGATGGAGAGACAGAGGATCCCTGGGGAGGTAGGGCGGGAGGGAGCTGACGAGCCGTGCCACTTCTGAAACGCAGGGTGTGTGGCTCGGGTGCAGGGAGAGGCAGGTGGATGCTGGGAGGTCAGAACCTGCAAGGGCCTTGGGGCTGTCAAGTGGGGTGGGCCCCTGGTGCAGCCAGAGTACACCGGGCAGGTCTCAGGGCAGGCTCCCTTGACCCTGGCGGGGGGATGTGGTCACTCCCTGAGGGACTCCTGTCAGGGCCCGGTCGCCCACCCTGGGCGGCCCCCATCCCATCTCAGGGCTAACCTTTCTCAGCTCCAGCAGAAAGCACCACCTCGAGTCCAGGACGGGCAGCCCCATTGGGCAGCCTGACCGCCCCCCACGCCAGGGGCCCCAGTAACCCCGGCCAGGCTGTCCCTACACTCCTTCTTCTCCCAGGTCCTGCCCCTCCTGGGAGTCAGCCCCACAGGAAGGCCCTTGTCCTCCCTTCCCTGTGCCTTCTCCTGGGCTGAGCCCTGAGCTGGAAAGGGACAGAGCCAGTCCTTTCTGGGGGTCGGCACCCAGGCTGGGGCCGCTCCAGGCCCCGTGCAGTTCCTCAGCTCTGCCTGGGTTGCCTTACAGTGAGACGGAGCTGCCTCCTCTGACTGCGCGGGAGGCGAAGGTAAGAGCCTGATGCGTGGAGGGGCTGGTCCAGGGACGTAGGGACTGGGCGGGTGGTCAGTGAGGCAGAGGAAGCAGCTGGCCTGAGCGGTGGCGGGTGAGGGCAACACGCTGTCACTGGGAGGGGCAGCAGTCCCTGCTGGACCTGACCCCAGGTTGCTGTTCACTTTGGCAGTTTGATAAAATTCCAAAAGGAGAACCACAGTCCTGGCTTGGGGGTGGCTGCGCGCTTGTGTCAGGACCCCACCTAGAGGCTGGGACCTAAGACTGGTGTGTCTGTGGCCTGAGGATGGTACATCCCGGGGTCCCAAAGCCAGCCCACTGGTGCTCATTTGCTCAAAGGCTCTCAGCCCTTGAGGTCTGCCCTTCCCTGGCTCCTTCCAGCTGGCTCCCACCAGGGCTCCAGAGCCCAAGACCCAGCATCCGCGGGCGGCTCTGGGAAGCCTGGCAGCTCCGCTAACTCCAACATGCCTCATTTGACAGCAAATTCGGCGGGAGATCAGCCGAAAGAGCAAGTGGGTGGATATGCTGGGAGACTGGGAGAAATACAAAAGCAGCAGAAAGGTAACGTGTGGAGGGAGGAAGCACTCTCTGCAGAGACAGGGGACAGGCACCCATGGCTGTGGCCTGGCACCATCAGCCTCTCAGAGGGTGGGCGGCACACTGTCCTCGCCCAGAGGACTGCAGGCCTGGTCGCCAGATTTCCTGCCTATTCGTGCAAGCGTCACCTTGCAGGGAGGGAATCTGAATCTAGGGCTGGGACTACCCGGAGCTCAAGGCTAGGGATGCCCTGGTGACCTGAAGGAAGGAAAAGGTTCAGATCAGAGTTTCGACTCTGAGTGTCCATCCACTCTTTCAGTCCTGGGAAGGGAGACCCTGTCCCAGCTTGATCTCACCTCTACTGAGGAATCATGGGGCCAAAACCGACAATTTCCAGAATCCCCGGGCTCTGGTCCTCACTGGGGTCACCCCGTGGCCTGTGACACCAGATCGTTTTCTGCCCACAGCTCATAGATCAAGCGTACAAGGGAATGCCCATGAACATCCGGGGCCCGATGTGGTCAGTCCTCCTGAACACTGAGGAAATGAAGTTGAAAAACCCCGGAAGATACCAGGTACGCTCAGCCAGAGCACAACAAACAGGACAGGCCGTGTCGGGGCCCAGGTCTCCAGCTGGAGGGAACGTCAAGACCACCCTGGGGAGCTGGGGGTGAAGGTCAGATGAACACCCTGGGCACAGATGGTGACACAGTCACCACAGACAAACTCAGCTCTGGTGACCCTCCCTGGCTTCAGTAACAAGCCAAAATGCAGCTTTCTGCAGAAGGAAACCTTCCTTCTGTCCTTCCTTCCCGAAGTGCTGACTGTGGGCTGACTGCCACTGGGGGCAGGGAGTCTTCCATCTGTTCTGAGACTGCTTCCTCCTCTTGGCCCTGCCCTACAGATCATGAAGGAGAAGGGCAAGAAGTCATCTGAGCACATCCAGCGCATCGACCGGGACGTAAGCGGGACATTAAGGAAGCATATATTCTTCAGGGATCGATACGGAACCAAGTAAGCCTACGGGAGCCACAGGGTCCCAGCAGAGATGGGGTGAATGAGAGGGATGGGGGCTTCCCCGGAGCAGAAGCCAGGGTCACCCAGGAGGGATGACACAGCTGCCAAGAGCTCTCCCGGCCCAGGGAGCAGCCGGCACCATGAACCGAGCACCTCCCTGGTTCCAAGCCCTGGGCCAGACTGGAACATGTGGGGCCAGAACCCAGGAGGATCCTGAGGAGATGGAAGGCAGCAAACAAAATCATGCACAATGGTGAAGGGTGCTCTCCCTGACCCATGGGGACCCATGGTAGGACCCATGGGAGGGTGGCAGGATAGAGGGCCCATGAGCCCCCGCCAGGCAACAGTGACAGCACCAAATGCTGGGAGAATTAGGGGTCCTGGAAACTCTCATCCAGGTCCGCTGGGAACATGACATGGCACAGCCACGTTGGCAGCCCGTTGGGCAGTGGCTCACAAAGCTCGATGGACTTGAACCACACATCCCCAAAGTGTCACAGATATTGAACCCACTGATTTGCAAACTGACATCCACATGAAACCAGCATGCCAGGTTCACTGCTTGACTCCTCGTCACTCACACACGGAGCCTTCGGGGACGGCCTTCAACACGGGGATGGGGAGAGCAAGGCTGGTCCTCCCTTCAAACGGAAGACCCAGTGAGAAAAGGGAACGAGCCGGTGATGCCCGCACGAACGTGGGTGGATCCTAGATGCATTTTGCTGAGGGACAGAAGCCAGACCCAATAAGCTACCACAGTAGGATTCCCATTCCTAGGCCATTCTGGAAAAGGCCAAACCACAGGGACTGAGAAGCAGTCTGGGTGGCCAGGGGCTGACGGATCGGGGAGAGGCTGGGTGCATAGGGGCCACCCTGGAGACTTGGAGGATGAAGGAGTCGCCCCAGGAGGGGCTGGAGCGGTGGCCGGGAGACTCTGCACATTGGTTTGGAACCGTGGAGGAACTGTACACCCACAGACTGAACTGGCGTGTGTGCAAACTGAAAAAAAAAAAAAAAAATCATTCAGAGTGAAAAGGATCAGGCAAGTCACTGTACAACTGGGCTATTTGCATGTCACAGATGTGGATTTTACTGAAACATTTCTTCAAGGGTCTCAGGCCCTGAAGAGCTCACTGCTTATCTGGTGAAACATCTGAACCTGAAATGGGATTTGCTGTTAGGCTTTGTAGACAAAGTGAAATTAACAACATCTGCACAAAACAAACCAAAGCCCCCTTTCTCTGTTTCCTAGGCAGCGGGAACTACTCCACATCCTCCTGGCATATGAGGAGTACAACCCGGTGAGTATTCCCGGCAGTGAGGTTCCCGGGCCATATTTCCATATTGACAGGAGTGGGTGTCTGGTGGGGGTGTCGTTGCTTCTTTTAAAGTTAGTATTTGTGACCCACCAGGATATAGGAGGTAGGATGTCAGCTCACCGCTGGCATAAACCTCCAAGGAAGGGGGTGGTCTCAAGGGGTCAAGCTGAGACACAAAGGAGTCAGGGCCTGGACTCCTGGTGTCACCTGGGCCTGACCACCACTTCTCAGAACAAGAAATGACGCCCTCCTCCTGGGGCTGCCCCAAAGCCCAGGAGCTTGGCAGCATCGCACACAGGATGGTGCTATCAGCAGACATTTTGGACAAGGTGCTGAAGTGCCTGATGGACTTGGCTCTTGTCATGAAATGAATGTGCATCCTGAGGAAGCCTCTTTTTCAGAGGAAGCCTCTCCTTCAGAGGAAGCCTCTCCAGTCACCTCTGCCCTCTCCAATGACATGAGTCCTCCCAGGTGACCTCAGCCCTCCCAGGTGATGTCCTTCCATGGTGACTCTGGCTCTTGCAGGAGGTGGGCTACTGCAGGGACCTGAGCCACATCGCCGCCTTGTTCCTCCTCTATCTTCCTGAGGAGGATGCATTCTGGGCACTGGTGCAGCTGCTGGCCAGTGAGAGGCACTCCCTGCAGGGTTAGTGAACAGCTGCCCCGGGGACCTCCTGCAGCCAGACCTGGGGATGGCCACCCTGGCCAGGTGATCACAGCTTTCAGCCAAGGCACCCTCCTTGTGTCGCCAGCTTGTTGGGAGACTTTAGGATGTCTCTGCTGAGGGTCCCACAGGAGTCCACGGCTGACCCCCAAAGCCCAAATCAGACGCCTCTCATCCCCATCAGCAGAGGGCATCTCATCCTCCCCGTGGCCACCCTCTGTGTCCTGGAGCCACGCCCTCCGGCTCTGATTCTGTGCAGCTGACTCTCCCCTCCCTGAGAGTCCTCCTGCCCTCCAGCTGCCCGGGCTCCTGCTGCCATCGGTGCCCACGAATGGGCCGACCAAGCCCAGGTGGCAGCATCTCCCCATCCCCTGTTCCCCGGCCCGACCCCACTACCAGGAGATGACCGGGAAGCCCAGCGCCCACCCAGTTCCGGCCACCCTGTCGTGGCCTGAAAGTCAGGCTTGCCCTTTTTGCACCCTGGCCCAGGAGGCCTCCAGGGGAACCTCCAGCCAGGCTCCAGGGAATGTTCCCGCCCCACCTCCCCAGGGTAAAGGCCGCATGTTGGGGTCACCAGACGGGAGGGTGGGAGGCCTTGGGGTTTGGGGGCCTCTCCAGCTGCCCAGCTCTTGCAGCTGATGGCTCCACATCTTGGGGGAAGGCTCTGATTTCATGATGGGCTGGGGGCTTCTCAGGATTTCACAGCCCAAATGGCGGGACCGTCCAGGGGCTCCAAGACCAACAGGAGCATGTGGTAGCCACGTCACAACCCAAGACCATGGGGCATCAGGTGAGTTTATGGTCCCCTCAGCTCTTCCCAGAGGCCCTGCCTCCCGTGGGGCTGTAGGAGCAGGGGGGCTGGAGCCCCTCGTGGGGCTGGTGACTGGCTGAGTCCCAGCCAGGGCCCGACCTGGGACGTCGGGTTCTCCATGGGCTGGGAGTTGGTTTCCTTTCCTGCCCTGGAGGAGACAGAGGCACAGGGATGGGGGCCCAGCTCCCGCAGAGCAGGGCAAAGGGCAGTGTGTCCACCGGGAGTGTGGGAAGGTGACAGTGTTGTGGGGAGCTCTGGACACCGCCCAGTGTTCTGCACTAGGGGAAGGGTCTTCAGAGGCCCTGGAAGAGGGAGGTTTTTAGGGCAGCCCAGTGGCCTGAGCACCTCTGTTGCTTCCATCAGGACAAGAAAGATCTATGTGGGCAGTGTTCCCCGTTAGGCTGCCTCATCCGGATATTGATTGACGGGGTAAGGAGGCATAGGGAGACCCTGGCTCAGGGACCTTCCTTGCCCTGCAGTGCCCTGCTTCCCCAGCCCGGGGGTCTGGCTCACTCCCAGCCCACAGGAGGCTCAGGCGGGTCCCCAAAGGACACACAAGCAAAACCCTCTGCCCAAGGGGGGTCATCCCAGGGCCATGGCTGGGGCTCAGGCCCAGCCTCATGGGCAGACTGGGCCAGGACCCGACTTGAGAGGGCTCAGGGAAGCCTCAAGCCCTGGGCAAGCCCCTCTCTCCAGGAGCCACATCCCCACTCAAATGAGTGCCCCCCATGAGGAGCTTCAAGACCTTGTCTGACCCAGCGTCCTGGAGGGCTCAGGCGACCCTCATGGGGAAGGTCACTGACTCTGGAGACTGAAGCCCCAGTGTGCGCAGCTCGAGCCACCAGCCCCAGCCTGGAAGGACCAGGTTCTTTCACACCTGCTGTCCCCACAGATCTCTCTCGGGCTCACCCTGCGCCTGTGGGACGTGTATCTGGTAGAAGGCGAACAGGCGCTGATGCCGATAACAAGAATCGCCTTTAAGGTTCAGCAGAGTAAGTCTACGTGTGCCCAGCGGGGCCTGGGGAGCCCTGGGGTCAGACCCCGACTGGCCCGAGGGCAGCTTCCTCACACTGTCCTCATGATCCTCTGTTCTGGCCCAGAGGGAGGTCTGGCCAGGTGGGCTGGGCAGGACACTGTGACACCGAGCCCATCCCCCACATGACCCAGATGAAAGTCGAGAGTGTGGTGAGCACTTCCCTGTCCGGATCGCCCCCCAGCCACAGTCTCCTGTGTGTATCTGGACACCTGGGGTGGCCACAAAAGGATCCGGCACCGCCCAGTAGGAGACTGAAGTGGCCACGGGGTATGAGCTGTGACCATTCCCAGGTAACTCCCCTGGCCTGATATCCACCCTGTCCCTAGAGCGCCTCACGAAGACGTCCAGGTGTGGCCCGTGGGCACGTTTTTGCAACCGGTTCGTTGATACCTGGGCCAGGGATGAGGACACTGTGCTCAAGCATCTTAGGGCCTCTATGAAGAAACTAACAAGAAAGAAGGGGGACCTGCCACCCCCAGGTGGGCTCCAGTGCCATGTCCCCTCCCATGTCACCCTCTGGGGTAGTCAGTAGTAGGGGAGTGCCCGGGACCCGCAACCCTACTACCTGGGCCTTCCTCTTCACCTTTTCTTCCTCCTCTTCCTCCTGGACTCTAAGAAAGTACAGGAGGCCCACCGGTCCTCAGGGCAGGCGCTCAGTGCGTGTATACTGGACATGCTGTGCACGCAGGAGGGGGATGTGGGCAAGACCCTCCAACAAGCCCCCTCCCACTTTCCACGGTGTCTCCCTCTCCCCCTCGCAGGGCCCTCCAAGTTACTAGACGAGCCCAGACCCATTTGTGGGAGACCCCGCCCCTCCCTGCAAGCACCCACAGCCTCAGAGAGCAGCAGAGGCCCCTCACTCCTGCACGCTCCTCCAAGGTTGCCAGGACAAGAAGCCTGGAGCCAGGGAGACAAGGGAATCCGTGTCCCTGACCCACAGAGCATTCAGGGAGAGGGCACAGGCGGGACCCCGGGCCCAGAGCCAGAGCCAAGAGTTCAGCCAGAAGTGGGAACGGTCAGTCCTGGCATGGACTGGGCAGCCCAGGAGGGCAGAGGGTGACCCACGTCCGGGCCCAATCACCCACTGCGGAGACGGGTCCCCACGTGAGGTGACAAGGGGCTGGGTGACATCCAAGGCCCCTCCCACCTGAGTTCTGACTGGGGGCCGTATCCCAGGCCCAACAGCCCTGGGACGAAGGTGTGTGGCAGGAAGCCCCCAGCCAGTCTGAACCCTGGGGGCAGTCCCAGGAGCCACCCGCCATGCCACGACAGCTTCCCCACGCCAGGCAGCACGCACCCCTCCCTCTGGGATCAGCAGACTACAGGCGTGTCCTCGGTGTCAGGCCACGGGGGCCACACAGAGACCCCGAGGACTCCAGAGACGCAGGCAGGTGGGGCCCAGCCCGGAAAGGCCTGCGTGGGCTCACTGGAGATGCTGACCGCGTCTGTTTTCCTTTCAGCCAAACCCGAGCAAGGGTCGTCGGCATCCAGGCCTGTGCCGGCTTCACGTGGCGGGAAGACCCTCTGCAAGGGGGACAGGCAGGCCCCTCCAGGCCCACCAGCCCGGTTCCCGCGGCCCATTTGGTCAGCTTCCCCGCCACGGGCACCTCGTTCTTCCACACCCTGTCCTGGTGGGGCTGTCCGGGAAGACACCTACCCTGTGGGCACTCAGGGTGTGCCCAGCCCGGCCCTGGCTCAGGGAGGACCTCAGGGTTCCTGGAGATTCCTGCAGTGGAACTCCATGCCCCGCCTCCCAACGGACCTGGACGTAGAGGGCCCTTGGTTCCGCCATTATGATTTCAGACAGAGCTGCTGGGTCCGTGCCATATCCCAGGAGGACCAGCTGGCCCCCTGCTGGCAGGCTGAACACCCTGCGGAGCGGGTGAGATCGGCTTTCGCTGCACCCAGCACTGATTCCGACCAGGGCACCCCCTTCAGAGCTAGGGACGAACAGCAGTGTGCTCCCACCTCAGGGCCTTGCCTCTGCGGCCTCCACTTGGAAAGTTCTCAGTTCCCTCCAGGCTTCTAGAAGCATCTGGGCCAGGGCTCATGGCTGGATAATTTCCCTAGGCTTAACAACCCAAGCAAGCTTCGCATCCTCGTTTTATTTTTGGTTAAACTTATGAAAATGTATTAAGAAAGAGTGCAGCTCGAGAGAGATTCAGAGATGGAACACACCAGACCCCAGATCACAAAGCCAACCATGCCCAGCCCCTCCCAGCACCCCCAGCCCCACGACCATCGTTCTGAATTCTGACGACACCGTGAGCCTGCCTTTGTACTTCAAACTCATGGAAGGATAACCACCTTCATGTTTTGAAATAAATGTTTCCTGTTGAAATGATTTTAGATTTTAGACAGAAATATTGAAAAGGCACTATAGTATCCTCCTATACCTTCCATCCAGCTGCCCCTAATAATGATGTTTTGCAGTCCCATGGCACATAAGAAATTTAGGCCGGGTGTGGTGGCTCACACCTGTAATCCCAGCAATTTGAGAGGTCGAGGCGGGAGGTTCAGGTTCACTTGAGTCTAGAAGTCTGAGACCAGCCTGGGAAACCTAGGTGGACCCGGTCTCTAGAGAAAAGTCAAAGAAATTAGCCAGGCATGGTGGCGTGTGCCTATAGTCCCACCTAGTCAGGAGGCTGAGGCAGGAGGATTGCTGGAGCCCACGAGTTCCAGGAAGCAGTGAGCCATGATTGCACCACTGCACTCCAGCCTGGGTGACAGAGTGAGACTTTATCTCTTAAAAAAATTTAAGAAATTTAATGTGGGTACAGTTCTATTAACTAAATAATAATGTGAACTATTATCTAAGGTTATGAAGGCTAGAATTATCCCATTTTTGCCTAACTTCTCGTACCTGTCCCAAGATCCCACCTTGGACTCACCCTCTGCCTTCAGCTCACGTCTCTTCAGCTTCCTCCACATGGTCCAGCAAACACACACCTGGGCTGAATGGTAGAGCTGATCGCTCATACACAAAGGTAGACCGGTGGGCAGGGATTTTCAGACTTACACAGTCAATGAGTTTTCCTTGGTGTTCTGGAGAGCACCGTTTGAGAAACACTTTGACAGTGAATCTAGGCCTCAAGATCCATCAGCTGCTCTAGCTTGAATTTTGCTCAAGCTCAGTGAACACCTGCTCTGCCGGGTGCACGTGAAAGGGGCAAGGATGAGAAAGCTGTAGATAAAGAAGACAGGACGCAGGGGGTCTGTCTAAGCTCTATCCCCTGCCTTCAGCACTGAGGGATGAAATCCAACTCTTAGGGAACGGTGGCCACGTGCTGGGCCAGCCCCAGGCTCTCAGGATCTGACAGTGGGTGACGCAGAGCCAGGCCTTGCCCCTGGGGAGCTCTCCAGCATACACCTCCCTCTCCCCTCCCAGCGTGCCGCAAAGCAGGCGTCAACGCCATTGTTAATGCACGGAGGAGGAAGCTGACTGTTAGACCTGGGTTTTCCAGGGTTGCACGGCTTCTGGGAGACGGATGTGACCCTGAGGACAGGGCACAGGCCAGTGTAATGCCAGGATGGAATGAGCTGTGATCTGTGCTGTATAGAGGCCTAGGCCAAGGTGGGACTGACGGATGACCAGGTCAGCCGGGTCACTGAAAACACTCTTGGGTCCTCACCTGCCGGTTCCCAGGAGTCCGGAACTGCCAGGAGAGTGGTGGCAGGTCCCCCATCCTCAGCTGGGTGGGCCTGGATAGAACAGCAAGGCGAGGGCACATTTCCCTGGCCATTCCCTCCAGGCACAGCCGTGACCTGTTCATTCCAAATTTGTGGAAGTATTTCCACACACACAGAACTGCAAATAGCAGTGGACATGGTGAGAGGCGTTTGCACATGGGATAGGCAGGATTTTGGAGGCAGAGCCTCCAGGGCTTGCCGATGGGTTAGCTGCAGGGCTTGAGAGGGAACGGAGAATCCAGGATGATGTGTTCAAATCGGTCCATTCACCTCTTCCGTTCCACGCCTGTGCTGGGCACTGGGAGAGACAGATGCACACAGGAGCCCCGGCCGAGGGGAGGTGTCGGGGGAAGCCCAGAGTGTCTGGGCAGGGTAGGAAACCCAGAGCGTCTACTGGGAGCTGAAGGCTTAGGTCCACCTGGGTGCCGTCCAGGTTCTCTGCATGTAGAAGTATAGGCTGAGCTTCCCGGAGGAGGAGCAGCTGCTGTTGCTGGTGACCAGCACATTCAGGAACGGAGACTACTCTGTCAACAGACAGGGGGATGACCTGAGGTCTGGATGGTCTAGGGGGTGGTAGGGCCCAGGAGGACCCAGGAAAGGGTCTCGGGGATGCAGAACATCCTATGGAGGGCATTTGGGAGTCAGTGCTCAGGCCACTCCGGGTCACGCAGGTCATTTGCCGGCCTCTGTCATAATTATTGCCATATGAGAGTGCCACCTTTCCTGTGACATAATTTAGACATTCCTGTGAATGGCCTACCTGTTTATATTTACAACTTCATGTTTAAAGGAAATTTGTATCACTCTCATAAATGGAAAGCCAGCAAAACATAAATTCAATGAAAACAAAATGAAGTCAATGAACTTTAGCTAGATACTATTCCCTGACCAAGGCCTGCTGGAGGCCGTACAACCGGGGTTTGAATTGAGATCTGCCAAGCTTCTGAGTTTATTCTGTTTCCCCCACACCAAGGATCCTCAATACTGCATTACTGACATCAGGGGCCAGACAATTCTTTGCGATGGGGGCTGTCCTGCACCTGGCAGGATGTTTAGCAGCTTCTCTGGCCTCCACCCACTGGATGCCAGGGGAATGCAGAAGAGGCTTGCTTATTCTCCCATTTAATGCTCAGGACAATATCTGACATCAATGTTACGTCTTTTATTTTATAAATGAAGACAATGAGACTCAGAAAGGTTTAAGTGAGTCACCTAAGAACACACAGACAGCAAGAGGTAGAACCCGAAACTGAACACAGGTGTCCACAAGACAACAAAAAAGTTCAGGTTCCAGCTTCCTTTGAGTCTCTCATTTCAACAATGGCCATCATCTGCATACGAGCTGAAGTACAGGAAAGCTGGGCTGAACTCTCTTCCCATCAGGCCTAGGAGCCCCAGACCAGAACCCCAGCCCAAGTTCTCCCAGTCAGGCCCGCTGGAGGGAGCTGGCATCTACACTAGCATGGTTTCTCAAAGCTACAGGGATGCCAGTCTCGCTGCTGATGAAGAAAATGAAGGGCATTTGCTTCTCCTGCAGGCTGTCGGGATTTAACACAGATTCCTTTTCTTGCTCTCTTCTCCCATAGCACAAAACTGGGTGGTCCATCCCCCTCCCAGTGTCCCAAGGCTTTGTTGCGTGTTCTCTTTAATTTCTCCCACTCTCGCAGTGCACCCTACCCTCGTCTCCCTGGCAACCTTTCTGCTCTATCCTCTCGCCACCTGGATCACAAGAACACTTGTGAGACCCCTTAACAAGCTACATCCCAAATTATCATTCCCCTTTGTCCTCAGCCAGTGCCCGGGTCCAACTCGCTCTCCTGGGGTGACTTTCTTTCCTGCCCAATATGGTTTCATCATCTGTAAATTGGGGATAATTGAAGTCTTGATCCTGATATTGGGCTCTGAAAGCAGAAGTAGCAAGCTCAGCCAAGTCACTTCAACAAGAGGAGACGTTCCTTGTGAACCAAAAGGGCACTGGTCACAAGGGCCGCTCCTTCTCTCAGGCCTCTCCAGCACGCCCTTGGCTCAGCCAAAGAAGAGACTCAGGCTGTGCTTCTGTGCTGTGGGGATAACGTAGGTACCTGGTCCTTGACCCTGGGACTTTAACAGTTCCCTCTTGTGGCTCAGTTCTACAGCTTCAATGACACAAAGTGGCTTTTGCTCAAAATAGCCTTTGATAGGTTAAGGTACTCCTCTGCCACTCTAAGTCTGTGTGGAACAGACAGGGTTTTGCTTCACAGAGAAGATGCATAAAATTTGGTCTTAAAAATGAGTTCACCATGCACACATACACACGAAAAAAGTAAATACTGCATTACTGTATATATGAGGTTCCAAAATAGGCAAAACTAATTTATGGTGACAGAATAGTGGTGACCTCTGAGGGTCAGTGTTGACTGGGAGAGAACAGAAGAGAGCCTACTGGGGTGCTGGAAATGTTCTGTATCTTAATTTTGCAGGATAATTCCTTGGATGCATCCCTAAAAATTCAGTCAAGCTATATAGTAAGATTTGTGCAGTTTATGTAAGTAATAGGAGAGATAAGAGGGGGAACCTGTGGAGAAGCAGAACATTTCAAGATCTAGAAAGCAACAGTTGCAAGGGTACACAGTGTTCAGACAGGGACCAAATCATAGAAACTACTAGGGCTTGCCATGCTGAAATGACTGACTTCAAACCATAGGGCATACGTACCTTCCACTGAAGAAGAGCACCTGAGTAAAATGACTAGAGGTGCATTTCAAAGATTATTCTATGGGAAATATAAAGAACGAATTGGAGGAGTAGGAGGCAAATAGTCCAAGGGACAGATACAGATCTTTCTTTTTCTTTTTTTTTTTTTTTTGAGATAGGGTCTCCCTCTGTCACCCTAGCTGGAGTGCATTTCTGCGATCATGGCTCACTGCAGCCTCTACTTCCTGCGCTCATGCAATCCTTCCATCTCAGCCTCCCAAGTATCTGGGACTCCAGATGTGCGGACCACACCTGGCTAATTTTTTTATTTTGTTGTAGTAATGGGAATCTCACTGTTGTTTCCCAGGCTGGTCTTGAACTCCTGAACTCAGGCAATCTTCTGGCCTTAACCTCTCAAAGTGCTGGGATTACAGGTATGGGCTACAGTGCCTGGCCTTATTAAAATGTTGATGTAATAAATGGGACTACCTAGTGCTGTGCTTTCTCCTTAAAGGAGAGAGCTGACAGAATAAAACTAGCAGTAATAATCTGGTAAATTGTGCTTTCTACAGAGTAAATTTTGTTTGTCTCATGACATTTATGCAAATATTCAAATGTTTCAGGAATATAAACATTTAAAATTTGGGTTATAAATAATGCCTCCTGGCTCTGAAATTATCTGAATTCATGAAGCAATCAGTAGTAAATATGAAGGAAAAATGAAACACAGCCTTATATGCAAGGACAAACACAAATTTCTAATTCTTGTTATAATTTGGGTGCCCACCTGGTTTTGAAGGTGAGCCTTGGTCTGACTGGTTCTGAGACATTTCTCTCAAATAGCAAATGAGTAGTGGGTATGAATAGGGTACATTGGAAAGTCATGTCAAAATTCCATGTAATTTTTGGAGCGTTTTTTCTCCCATATGATTTATATAATTTGACATGTGTATTCCTATGTAAAATATTTAACCACTTCTCTACAATAAGCATTAAGTGGGCTAATTAGTATGCTCTTCTTATTCCATATTTCTGTGATTTCTCTTATCTGGAACGACTTTTTTATGCCACCCAGGCTGGAGTGCAGTGGCACATTTACTGCTCACTGCAGCCTCAACTCCCCAGGGTCAAGCCATCCTCCTATTTCAGCTTCCCTAGCAGCTAGGACTACAGGTGTGCACCACTATGCCCTGCTAATTTTTGTGTTTTTTTGTAGAGACGGGGTTTTGCTATGTTGCCCCGGCTGGTCTTGAACTCCTGAGCTCAAGAGATCCACCCACCGCAACCTCCCAAAGTGTTGGGATTACAGGCGTGAGCCACTGCACTCAGCTTCTTTTCTAATTTGTTTTTATTCTGAGATCAGATGAGATCAGCATGTTCAGGTTGGTATGGCCATAGACTGCTTTTATCTATTCTAATAATTTTGTATTGTACAATGTGTTGGAAAGGCAAGATGAAGTTAGATTATGAAGGGTTCATTTCCATTCAATTCTGTCTATCCTTCTGGACTTTGCCTAAATCTTACCTTCTTTGGAGCTTTCCTGAACTAACTTATCTCCTTTGAATTCTTACATTTGGATCCTTTGTATTTGAGTATTTTTACATATATATGTACATAAATAACACGTTTTATGTGTAGTAATTTACTCTCCCAACTAGATTGAAAGCTGCTTGAAGAGTAACCTTTTTTTAAAGTCACATTGGACCGTTTTAAGTACAAATTTAGCATATGCTTGATGATTGAGAGAAGAACCATATGGTTACAGTCATTGGTGTGTCTATGATTGTGATATGTTGCTATTTAACAATCAATAGTTATTTCTTATTTAGTTTTCTGTTAAGCCATAACCTTTTGCTCTCATTTATACGTCTTCTGAACGTTAAGTAACATGTGGCTCATATTTCAAACTCCCAATTTGGAAGTTTATAGCAATGTAACTGAAGTTTATAATTACAGGTCTCAGAAAACTGCACTACACAGAAGTTCTCTATGTGTTAGAAGAATTTATTAGAAGATAGACAATTGTAGGTTACACTGTAATTTAGAAGACTTTTGCGCATCTCATGTATTTGTGTCAGTTTGAGAATTTGAAAATGCCCCCAAAATGTCTGTTCTTCACTAGTGCCTCTTGTGATCCTGGCAGAGATAAGCTAAACTTTTGAAAGGGTAGACTTTTTCTGTTTATCTTAGTATCCTGAGTCCCTAAATCTGGAATGTAGTAGATGTTTGTGCATTTCCCTATGTCAGCGAAGTCAAAATACTAGAGGTGGATTTTTCAGCTTTTCAAAGTTTTCACATTTACTAAGTCCTTCACAGTTATCGCCTACTAGTTAAAAAACTATTTGCCTCAATTTAGGCCAGTGCTACTTTGACATTTGCATTGCTGTAAAACCCTTACTAAAAGGTATATTTTTCTGGTATATAAATACATGTATGCAGCTTTTCTCATATCTTTGAGAAAGCAAAAAATTGTACTAAATTATGATTTCCACTGTAATA
Organism: Homo sapiens; assembly: GCF_000001405.40. Classification (NCBI taxonomy): domain Eukaryota; kingdom Metazoa; phylum Chordata; class Mammalia; order Primates; family Hominidae; genus Homo; species Homo sapiens. Next base: position 38,145,388 of record NC_000017.11, read on the forward strand.
GGATTATGGCTTAGTCATGATCAGTATTATGTTTTCAGCTATGTCTTACTAGGATTATTGTAAAAGACTTTCAAAATAGTTCATGTGAATCTTTGTCTGATCTTCACAAACTCGGGTATGTACATAGCTCTCCCCCACCTTCTCCTGGCTTTGGCAATTTATTTTATTTTTATGGTGGTTATATATATATATATATAAAACATACCATTTACCATTTGAACTATTTTAAAAAGTGTACAATTAGTGGCATGAAGTACATTCACAATATTGTATAACCATCACCACTGTCCATTTCCAGAACTTGTTCATCATCCCAAACAGAAATTCTCTATCCCTTTTCTTCCCCAGCCCCTGGTAACCTCTATTCTACTTTCTCTTTTTATGAATTTGCCTATTCTAGACACTTCATGGAAATAGAATCAAACAATATTTGACCTTTCTTATTTCACTTAGGATAATGTTTTCAAGGTTTATCCATGTTGTAGTACATAGCAGAATTTAATTTCTTTTTTTGACTGAATAATTTGTATATACTACATCTTGTTTATACATCCATCTGTTGATGGGACATATTTGGGTTGTTTCCACCTTTTGGCTATTGTGAATAATGTTGCTGTGAACACTGGTGTGCAAATATCTATCTGAGTCCTGCTTTCACTTCTTTTGGATATAAACCTAGGAATGGAATTGCTGGGTCATATGGTAATTCTATATTTAACCTTTTAAGGAACAGCTAACCTGGTTTCCACGGCTTCTGTACCATTTTATATTTCTACCAGCAATGCACAAGTGCTCCTTCCATTTTCTCCATATCTACCCAATACTTGTTATTTTCTGTTTTCTTTCAATTAATAACCATCCTAATGGGTGTGACATAGTATTGTCATTTTGATTTTTAGCTTCCTAATGGCTAGTGCTAATGAGCATTTTTTTATGTGCTATTGGTCATTTGTATGTCTTCTTTGGAGAAATGTCTGTTCAATCCTTTGCCCATTTTTGAATTGAGATGTGCGCTTTTTTGTTGTTGAGTTGTAGTTCTGTAGTTCTTTATACATTCTGGATATTATTCTCACATCAGATATATGATTTACAAATATTTTCTCCCAAATACTTCTGTGGGTTACAGATATATTAATATCTGTAGATTGTCTTTCATGGTCTTGATAGGATCTTTTAATGCCCAAAAGTTTTTAATTTTGATGAAATAATGTATGTAGTTTTGAACTTAAACAATGTTACAGATTGCGCAAAGGATATAACCATGAAATTCTGATGGAGTGACCCCACAGCTGCAGAAAACCAGAAAGAACCCTACTCTAAAACCCAAAAGACTTCCCTAGATAGAGTCCTTCGAAAATAATTTTCTAAATTATTCACACAGCCTGTGGATAAATTAAGAGGAAATGATATCTGTAACAGTGCTGCTTGTGATGAAAACACAGAAGAGTCAATTATATTATCAAATCTTAGCTGGAATGGAAAATCAGGAGGATATTTATTAGCAAACATTAATAAAAGGTTGGCCTTTATTATTGTAAGCATGTACACAGACGACAGCATGTAGTCTCTACCATAAGAATGAGAAATGCCTCCTATCTTTATGCATTCTGAAATTTAACCTTTCTTAACCCAATTGCTGTAAGGGCCTAGGGTTTATTTGTTATGTGTGTTATTGGAGTAGAGACTGTTTGAAGGTTAAGGGGGTATTTAGTGATGCAAGTGACATTTATATGTTTTAAAATCTTCTGCTTTTCTAGGCACTTTTTAAAATGAAATGCTATATTTTTAAACTTTTAAAAATTATTTTTATTATTTTTTGCAGAGATGAGGTCTTGCTGTGTTGCCCAAGCTGTTCTCAAACTCTTGGCCTCAAGAGATCCTCCTGCCTTGGCCTCCCAAAGTGCTGGGATTACAGGCGTGAACCACGTGCCTGGCCCAAACTTTTTAAAGACTTTATTTCTGGAGGCAGGTTCTCAAAAGATATCCTATCTTAATGGGCATATATAGAGAGAGAGTAGTAGGTGAGTTTAAGGGGGATGTAAATATTGGCCGAAAGAGGTTTCTTTTAGGTATATAACCCCTCAAATGTAGCCCTTTGGATATCAAAAGTTTATTATGGCAATGTTCTTTGTGCATTTTTATTCGATGTTGTCAGCCATTCATCTAATAACTCTTCAGAAGATTTTGTCTCTGGGCAGTGGCATTTTATAACTTCCTATATGGAAGAAAACTTTTATCCAACTGATAACTGATATGCCAATGTGTTAGTATGAAAAAATTTTCCCAACATTCTTACCAGGTGTGGTGGCTCAACCTGTAATCCCAGCACTTTGGGAGGTGGAGTCGGGCGGATCACTTGAAGTCAGGAGTTCGAGACCAGCCTGGCCAACATGGTGAAACCCTGTCTACTAAAAATACAAAAATTAGCTGGGCGTGATGGCAGGCACCTGTAATCCCAGCTACCTGGGAGGCTAAGGCAGGAGAATTGCTTGAATCTGGGAGGTGGAGGTTGCAATGAGCCAAGATTTCCTCACTGCACTCTAGCCTGAGCGACAGAGTGAGACTCTGTCTCAAAAAAAAAAGAAAAGGAAAAAAAAAGAAAATTTCCCAAAATTCAAATGTCGTTTCACTGCGTGGCTTTGTTTGATTATTAATACTTTAATACTGTGTTTAAAATTAATATTTATTATTTTTAAAAATCAGCTTCCTTAGGTCGAAGAAACATTAATGTTTAATATTAAGCTATTATTGTAGCTTAGTGTAGTTATAATAAGATACTGGAACTCATGGAAGGGGTTAGATTTTCTTCATCTTAGAAACCGTTACTTTTCATAAAATATATATTGTGCAATTATATATAAAATTATATAATAATTAGATATACAAATAAAAAATCGGATTATAGTTGGGCTCAGTGGCTCGCATTTGTAATCTCAGCTCCTTGGGAAGCTTAGACTGGAGGATTTCTTGAGTCCAGAAATTTGAGGCTGCAGTGAGCCATGATTGTGCCACTGCATTCCAGCCTGGGCGACAGGAATGAGACCCCGTCTCTAAAAATAAAAACTAAAAAAAAATAGATTATGATTGGCAAAAGATTGAGTGACAGTGAAAATGCAATGAATATTTTGACTACTATTTTTTGATTACATACATAGGAAGATACGAATTTTTCTGTCTTTCCAAATTAGTTTAGAAATTAAAGATTTGGCCGGGCATAGTGGCTCACCCCTGTAATCTGAGCACTTTGGGAGGCTGAGATAGGCAGATCACCTGAGGTCAAGAGTTTGAGACCACCCTGGCCAACATGGTGAAACCTCGTCTCTACTAAAAATACAATAAAAATTAGCTGGGCATGGTGGCATGCACCTGTAGTCCCAGCTACTTGGGGAGACTGAGGCAGGAGAATCACTTGAACCCAGGAGGCGGAGGTTGCAGTGAGCCAAGATCGTGCCACTGCACTCCAGCCTGGGCGACAGAGCGAGACTCTGTCTCAAAAACAAACAAACAACAACAAAACACCAGAAAAAGGAAAAATAGTGTTAAGAGATAACTTAGTATGTATTGTTTGTACACTTCATGGGTGTGCATATATGACGTGTTTGGTTTTATAGTGAAAATTCTAACATTCTGCTGTATGGTTTATGGTGCCTTGTAGACGTTCCTTTAAGCACTCAATGATAAAGATTAAAATTACTAAGATAGAGAGTAAATCTATGTTATATGTAGTCATTTCTCAGTTTGCATAGTAGTATGGGACTGTAAAAATGACCATGCAAGCTAAGACTATTCAAAGGGATCATAGTAATCAGTGGAAAAAATTGTGATTGTTCTGTTGGACCTTTAAAAATTTTTGTCAAAACATTAAAAACTCTCTCACAGTTGGTTATAGATATACAGGGTAAGAAGAAGCGTGGTATCCACAGAGAAGGAGGGAGCTTCATAAACAAAGACAAACAGGAATATCAACTACCAGCCACCAACAGCACTCTTGTAAAACTTATTTAAATATTACAAAAAACAATATACAAGATTACTAAGAGATTGGAAGATAAAGGGAGAAAATTTCACTAATGATCTCATCACCAAACACAGTTAATTATTTGCTGTTACTCTTTTATCAAATTAGTGTTTAGTATTGTTTTAATCATAATGTACATACAATTTTGTATCTTGCTTTTTCTGAGATGTCTGTTTCTGTCCATGTTATACATACCTATACAGTCCTGTGCTGCATGATGATGTTTTGGTTAACGATGGACTGCATACACAACTGTGATCCCATAAGATAATAGTAGAGCTGAAAAATTCCTATTGCCTAGTGACATTGTAGCCATTTACTTGTTTTTGCTTTCTGCTTTTTTTATGTAGTCATTTACTATACTAAACCTTTAATCATTATTTTAGAGTATACTCCTATTTATTTAGAAAGGTCCCCCAAGGGAGGACAGAAAACACTCATAATTTAATGTTATTGTCCTTTTCACACATATGTAGCTATATCTATTATATTTTATTTTACTTTATTTTATTTTAATTTTTGAGACAGAGTTTCACTCTGTCACCCAGGCTGGAGTGCAATGGTGCAGTCTCAGCTCACTGTGACCTCCACCTCCCAGGTTCAAGCAATTCTTCTGCCTCAGCCTCCCGAGTGGCTGGGATTACAGATGTGCACCACCATGCCTAGCTAATTTTTGTATTTTTAGTACAGACGAGGTTTCACCATGTTGGCCAGGCTGGTCTTGAACTCCTGACCTCAGGTGATCCACCTGCCCCAGCCTCCCAAAGTGCCGGGATTACAGCACTTTTACAGCATGAGCTGCCATGCCCAGCCTATTTTATTTTATTTTGTTTTATTTTATTAGAGACAGTCTTGCTCTGTCCCCAAGCCTGGAGTGCAGTGGCGTGATCGTAGCTCACTTGGCTAATTTTTAAACTTTTTGTAGATATGGGGTCTGGGTATGTTGCCCAGCCTGATCTTGAACTCCTAGGCTTAAGTGATCCTCCTGCCCTGACCTCCCAAAGTGCTGGGATTACAGGCGTGAGCCATCCTGCCCAGCCTGTATCTATTATATAAGCTGGTTTTTTTGATTACTTTAATGTAAATGAGATTATACCATACTCTCTTCTCTGTCACTTCCTATTTTCATGTAATTTATGTTAGACATCTGTCAATGTCAGTATAAATAGGTCTAGATCATTTTTTATAGTTGTATACCTTTCGTTACATGGATGTTTCACAATTTACTTAGCTAACTACCTATTGTTGGACATTTGGTTATTTCCAAATTTTTGCTGTTTTATATAATGCTGCGCTTATATAAAATATAGTTCTATATAATTATGTTTAATTATGTACTACCGCTGTATCTGACAACTGACTTGTATCAAGAACATACAAAGGACTGTTACAAGTTGCCAGGCAGAGTGGCTCATGTCTGCAATCCCAGGGCTTTGGGAGGCCAAGGTGGGCGGATCTCTTGAGCCCAGGAGTTGGAGACCAGCCTGGGCAACATGGGGAGAGCCCGTCTCGACAAAAATACAAAAATTAGCCAGGCATAGGGGCACACATCTGTAGTTCCAGCTACTTAGAGGCTGAGGTGGGAAGACTGCTTGAGCCCAGGAAGTTGAGGCTGCAGTGAGCCAAGATGACACCACGGCACTCCAGCCAGCGCGTCAAAGGCCCTGTCTCAAAAAAAAGGAAGAAGCAGGGGCGGCAAATAAGTAGAGTATAAGCCACCTCATCCAACTTTATTGGAACCAGTAGTTGACTGGTTAATCAGTCCAAGCAAGGAAGCATAAAAACTGATGCATGTGCCGGGCATGGTGGCTCACGCCCGCAATCCCCGCACTTTGTGAGACCGAGGCGGGCCGATCACCTGAGGTTAGGAGTTCGAGACCAGCCTGGCCAACATGGTGAAACCCTGTCTCTACTAAAAATACAAAAGTTAGCCATGCATGGTAGTACACGTCTGTAATCCCAGCTACTCAGGAGGCTGAGGCAAAAAAAGGAGAAGAAATGCTATGTGAAGCCTTTTTATAAGCACATTAATTTCATTCACGAGGGCAGAGCACTCATGACCTAATCACCACCTTGAAAGCCTCACTTCTTAACATCATCACATTAGGTCTTAGGTTATAACATGAATTTTGGAGGACTCCAGAAAAAAAAAGTGAAAGACAACCCACAGAATGGGAGAAAATACTTGCAAATTATGTACAAAGTAGGCTCACTTTATTTGTGGAAAATATGTAGCCAGACACAGTGGCTCATGCCTGTAATCCCAGAACTTTGGAAAGCTGAGGTGGGAGGATCACTTGAGCCCAGGAGCTCAAGACTAACCTGGGCAACATAGGGATACCCTATCTCTACAATAAATAAATAAAATTACCCAGATGTGGTGACATGTGCCTGTGGTCCCAGCTACTTGGGAGGTTGAGGTGGGAGAATCACGTGACCCCAGGAGGTTGAGGCTGCAGTGAGCCAAGATAACATTAATGTATCCCAGCCTGGGCGATAGACCGAGACCTTATCTCAAAAAAAAAAAAATATATATATATATATATGTATATATTTATCTATCTACCTATATATTCATATATAGATATAGATTAATATAGATATATAAACATATATTTATAGATACATAGATACATAAATATATAGCTATATATAAATATATATTTATAAATATATAGATATATATGTAACAAAATATGTTCCAAGACCTCCAGTGTATACCTGAAACTGCAGATAGTACCAAACTCTATATGTACTATGTTTTTTTCCTATACATACATACATACCTATGATGAAGTTTAATTTATAAATTAGGCACTGTAATAGAATAACAACAATAACTAATAATAAAAGAGAACAATTAGAATATACTTTTTGTTTTTGAGATGGAGTCTTGCTCTGTCACCCAGGCTGGAGTGCCATGGCGCCATCTCGGCTCACTGCAACTTCCACCTCCCAGGTTCAAGCGATTCTCCTGCCTCAGCCTCCCGAGTAGCTGGGCCTACAGGCACCTGCCACCACGCCCGGCTAATTTTTGTATCTTTAGTAGAGGCAGGGTTTCACCATATTGGCCAGGCTGGTCTCCAATTCCTGACCTTGTGATCCACCCACCTCGGCCTCCCAAAGTGCTGGGATTACAGGTGTGAGCCACTGTGCCTGGCTAGAATATACTTTAACATAAGTTACATGAATAGTTTTCTCTGTCTCAAAATACTGTAATATTTGGGATTGCAGCTGCCCGCAGGTAACTGAAACTGCAGAGAGCATACGGGAGACTACAGTATCTGACAATGGACTTGGATCTAGAATACATAAAGAACTCTTACAACTTGATAATAAAAAGGATATAACCCAATTTTAAAATGGACAAAAGATCTGAACAGATATTTCTCCAAAGAAGACATACAAATGGCCAATAAGGGCCAGGTGGTGGCTTATGCCTATAATCCCAACACTTTGGGAGGCCAAGGCAGGTGGATCACTTGAGGCCAGAAGTTCAAGACCAGTCTGGCCAACATGGCGAAAACCCATCTCTACTAAAAATATAAAAATCAGCCAGGCGTTGTGGCGCATGCCTGTAGTCCCAGGTACTCAGGCAGATGAGGCACAAGAATCACTCGAACCCGGGAGGCAGAGGTTGCAATGAGCTAAGATTGCACCACTGCACTCCAGCCTGGGCAACAGAGCAAAACCCCACCTAAAAATAAATAAGTAAATAAAAATAAAAGAAAGAAAATAAATGGCCAATAAGCACAAGAAAATACACTCAATTTCTGTCTTAGTCTGTTTGTGCTGCTGTAACAAAATACCTGAGACTAAGTAATTTATAAGTAAAAAAATTTATTCCTCACAGTTCCGGAGGCTGGGAAATCCAAAATCAAGGTGATAGCACATTTGGCATTTGGTGAGGGCCTGTTCCATTGTTCCCGTTCTCGCAGTGGCATCTTCACATGGCAGGAGAAGAAAGGAAAAAAGAAGAAGAAATGTTATGTGAAGCCTTTTTATAAGGGCATTAATTTCATTCACGAGGGCAGAGCCCTCATGACCTAATCACCACCTTGAAGGCCTCACTTCTTAACATCGTCACATTAGGTCTTAGGTTATAACATGAATTTTGGAGGACTCCAACATTCAAACCATAGAAACATCATTAGCCATCAGGGAAGTGCAAATCCAAACCATGTTAAGATACCACTTCACACTCACAAGAATGGCTATAATAAACAGACACATAATAACAAGTGTTGGAGAAAATGTGGAAAAATTGAAACACTCATATGTTGCTGGAGGGAATGTAAAATGCTTTGCAATGAAGTTGGAACTGCTTTGGAAATAGTCTGGCAGTTCCTCCAAAGCTTAAACATAGAGTTATCATATGACCTGGCAATGCCAGGCTTCATCATATTCCCAAGGGAAAGGAAAACATATGTCCACACAAAAACTTACACATGAATGTTCATAGCAGCATTATTCATAATAGTCAAAAAGTGGAGACAGCTGGGTGTGGTGGCTCCCAACACTTTGGGAGGCCAAGGCGGGAGGATTGCTTGAGGTCAGGAGTTCGAGACCAGCCTGGCCAACAGAGTGAAATCCGATCTCTACTGAAAATACAAAAATCAGCGGGACATGGTATACGTGCCTGTAATCCCAGCTACTTGGGAGGCTGAGGCAGGTGAATGGCTTGAATCCAGGAGGCGGAGGCCGCAGTGAGCCAAGATCACACCACCGTACTCCAGCCTGAGTGACAGACTGAGACTCCATCTCAAAAAAAAAAAAAAAAAAGTGATAAACAGATAAATGAAATGTGTTATATTCCTACAACAGAATATTATTGAGCCATAAAAAAAAAGGAAATAAGTACTGACACATGCTATAACATGAATGAACCTTGAAAACATTAGGTTACTTGAAAAAAGCCAGTCACAAAAGATCACAAATTGTATGGTTCCATTTATATGAAATGTCCAAATAGGCAAATCCTATCCTAAAAGAAAGTAAATTAGTGGTTGCCTAGGACTGAGGGATGGAGGAAATGGGGAGTGACTGCTCATAGGTATGGTATTTTTTTTTGAGAGAAATGAAAATATTCTAAAATTGATTGTGGTGGCCAGGCACAGGGGCTCACGCCTGTAATCCCAGCACTTTGAGAGGCCGAGGCGGGCGGATCACCTGAGGTCGGGAGTTCGAGACTAGCCTGACCAACATGGAGAAACCCCGTCTCTACTAAAAATACAAAATTAGCCGGGCATGGTGGTGCATACCTGTAATCCCAGCTACTCGGGAGGCTGAGGCAGGAGAATCGCTTGAACCAGGGAGGTGGAGGTTGCAGTGAGCTGAGATCGTGCCACTGCACTCCAGTCTGGCGAGAGAGTGAGGCTCCATCTCATAAAAAAAAAAAAAGAAAGAAAGAAAAAAGAAAAAAAAGAATGTTTCAGGCAAAGGGAAGAGAAGTGCAATGGTGCTATTTCAGGCAGAAGCTTGTCAGGTTTGCTGTGGTGTGGTAGTGTGGAAGGACTCAGTGGGAAGGAAAAGAAATGAGGGCACAGTAGTGGGCAGGGCCAAGATAAAGCCATACGCATACTGCTACATTTTTTCCTTGTCCAATATATTTCATTAAATGTAGACAAAACTTATTATAAAGACATAACTTTTGATGTTTGTAAGGTCATCTGTTATTTGCACTCCTTTTTTTTTTGAGATAGGGTCTCACTCTGTCACCCAGGCTGGAGTGCAGTGTTGCCACCACAGCTCACAGCAGCCTCGACCTCCTGAGCTCAAGTACTCCTCCCACCTTAGCCTCCTGAGTATCTGGGACTACAGGCACATGCCACCGTGCCCCACTAATTTTTTATTTTTTGTAAAGACAGGGTTTCTCCATGTTACCCAGGCTGGTCTCAAACTCTTGAGCTCAAACAATCTACCCACCTTGGTCTCCCAAAGAGCTAAGATTACAGGCGTGAGCCACTGTGCCTGGCTTGTTATTTGCATTTGTGATTTTAAAATTCCATGTTTTTTATCATAAGATTGTCAGGTGCTTTCTGGACAGGAAATGCCTTAATTTATGACTCAAAATACAAACAAGTGTAGGTGATCAAATGCATATCTATGTCTTCAATGGAAATATATATACATACAAGTCATTAACGAAGACAAATGAGAACATGAAATTCATGACCTATTTTCCTTTCCATCACCTAGCCCCCTAAAGGAGAGATCTTTTTCATTCAGAGCCCTGGGTTTTGTTTTGTTTCATGATTTGCTTTTTTTTTTTTAAAAATAAGAGTTTATTTATTTATTTATTTGAGACAAGGTTTCACTCCCATCAGCCAGGCTGGAGTGCAATGGCGTGATCTCAGTTCACTGCAACTTCTGCCTCCTGGACTCAAGTGACTCTCTTGCCTCAGCCTCCTGAGTAGCTGGGACTACAGGCACGTGCCGCTGCATCCAGCTAATTTTTTGTAGAGACAGGGTTTCACCGTGTTGGCCAGGCTGGTCTTGAACTCCTGAGTTCAAGCGATCCGTCTGCCTCTGAGTCTCAAAGTGCTAGGGTTACAGGAATGAGCCGCCGCGTGGCCAAAAGAGTTTATTTTTTAAAGAAAATTGACTTCTTTGAAAACGTAGAAATGAGGCCGGGCGCAGTGGCTCACACCTGTAATTCCAGCACTTTGTGAGGCCGAGGCAGGTAGATCGCTTGAACTGAAGAGTTTGAGACCAATCTGGCCAACATGGTGAAACCCCATCTCTACTAAAAATACAAACATTAGCCGGGTGTGGTGGCAGGTGCCTGTAATCCCAGCTACTCGGGAGGCTGAGGCAGGAGAATCGCTTGAACCCGGGAGGCGGAGGTTGCAGTGAGCCAAGATTGCGCCATTGCACTCCAGCCTGGGCAACAAGAGCAAAACTCCATCTCAAAAAGAAAAGAAAAAGTAGAAATGAGGAAGCGGCCAGCCTGTGTGGGGATCTAATCAAACAAATCTTCCCCTGATGAGGGTAGCACTTAAGTTGAAAAAAATTTGCCTATATAATAAATATTGCAATACTTTATTTATTTATTTATTTATTTATTTTTCGAGATGAGGGTCTCGCTGTGTTGCCCAGGCTAGTCTTGAACTCTTGGGCTCAAGGGCTTCTCCTGCCTCAGCCTCCCCAGTGGCTGGGCTAATAGGCACACACCACCATGCCCAGCTCTACATACTGATTTTTTTTTTTTGAGATGGAGTCTTCGCTCTGTCGCCCAGGCTGGAGTGCAGTGGCGCGATCTCCGCTCACTGCAAGCTCCGCCTCCCGCGTTCACGCCATTCTCCTGCCTCAGCCTCCCGAGTAGCTGGGACTACAGGCGCCTGCCACTGCGCCCACTAATTTTTTGTATTTTTAGTAGAGACGGGGTTTCACCGTGTTAACCAGGATGGTCTCGCTCTGCTGACCTCGTGATCCGCCCGCCTCGACCTCCCAAGGTGCTGGGATTACAGGCGTGAGCCACCGCGCCCGGCCCATACTGATTTTGAAATTTAAAAAATCTACATTCTATATTCGCATCATAGCTTCTCCCTAATAAAATCTTTGTGAGTGTTTATGGGACTTATTCCCCGAAAAATCTGCAAGCAGCCTGGTAGCTTTATATACACAGGAAAGCCAAAGGACAAACTAGGAATTACGTCAGAGATGGGGAAAGACTAAGGATCTTACCCAAATCAGTTGAGAATCAGCCTTAAGTATAAATGGGCCAGGTGTTGGTGGCTCACACCTGTAATCCTAGCACTTTGGGAGGCCAAGACGGGCAGATCACTTGAGGTCAGGAGTTCGAGACCACCCTGGCCAACATGGTGAAACCCCGTCTCTACTAAAAGTACCAAAATTAGCCAGGCGTGGTGGCACGTGCCTGTGGTCCCAGCTACTTGGGAGGCTGAGGCAGGAGAATCGCTTGAACCTGGGAGGCAGAGGTTGCAGTGAGCTGAGATCACGCCACTGCACTCCAGCCTGGGTGACAGAGTAAGACTCTGTCTCAAAAAAAAAAAAAAAGTATAAATGAAGCACAATTAACATTTGTTAATTTTATAAAGCAAAAGTTCATAAAAATAAATATTCTAATTAACTCTCCTACATCTTATAAACACTATTACCAAACCCATTTAAGATTGAAGATAAATTATATCATGGCATGGGTAAAGATTTTCAATAAGGAGTTGCTAGGATAAAAGTCAAAATTCTCCAGCATAAATTCACTGACAGGGATTTCTGTTTAATCTTTTCAAAATTCTAATACCCAATTTGTTTCCTCTAGAGAATAACTCGTGTAGAATCATAACCTCTTTGGTGGACCTTGATTTTTCCATCTGTAAAAGTATAGAACTAGTTTTGACTTAACAGTCAACAAATGCCTACCCTCTCCACATCTAGCTGATTAGAGCGCCCTCATGTGCGCATTTGCTGTAATGTTTTAGAAATCTGAAAAAGACAATATTAATCTCAGCAGTAATACAATAAATAATGTCTTCATTTGCACATTTATAGCAAATGCTATAAATATATAGCTCCAAGTATTACTCAGTAAAAGCTAAAGGCAAATGCTGTAGTAGGTTAATCTTACTGTCGTTCACTATCAAACCTTTCATATGCCAATTTTATCCTAAAACAGTGAAGTTATTGTTTTGGTTTCAATTTTAATTTAATGACTTAAAGGATTTTTTCCCTTAAAACTTCTAAGTATTTCATTATAATATTATTTCATCATTAGGCTTAAAGGAAAATATGTGGTCAATTGAGTTGTTATTTATTATACATGATAGCTTGACATCATCTTTTTAGGGATGGAAAACAGCTCCAGGGACCAAGTCTAACTCAGTTTTTTGATATAAGAATTTACCTGTCGGCCGGGCGCAATGGCTCACACCTGTAATCCCAGCACTTTGGGAGGCCGAGGCGGGCGGATATAGGTCAGCAGATCAAGACCAGGAGTTCAAGACCAGCCTGGCCAAGATGGTGAAACCCCATCTGTACTAAAACTACAAAAATTAGCCAGGCGTGATGGCAGGCACCTGTAATCCCACCTACTTGGGAGGCTGAGGCAGGAGAATCACTTGAACCCGGTTCAAGTGAGCCGGTTGCAGTGAGCCAAGATCACGCCACTGCACTCCAGCCTGGGCAATAAGAGCAAGACTCCATCTCAAAAAAAAAAAAAAAAAAAAAAGAATTTACTAGTTTGAATCATAACAATTTCTTCCTACTCAAAGAGACTACATTGGAGGAAGCCAAAACAGAAGCTTATTTATTTATTTATATACTTTATTTATTTATTTTTGAGACAGAGTCTTGCTCTGTCACCCAGGCTGGAGTACAGTGGTGTGATCTTGGCTCACTGCAACATCTGCCTCCCGGGTTCAAGCGATTCTCCTGCCTCAGCCTCCCTAGTAGCTGGGATTACAGGTGTGTGCCACCACGGCCAGCTAATTTTTGTATTTTTAGTAGAGACGGGTTTTCACCATGTTGGCCAGGCTGGTCTCAAACTCCTGACCTCAGGTGATCCACCTGCCTCAGCCTCCCAAAGTGCTGGGATTACAGGCATGAGCCACCAAGCCCAGCTTAGAGAAGCTTATTTTTTAAAAGAAAATACACAAAAAAATCAAAATCTCATAAGTCCAATTGTAATTTTTTTTTGGCTTTTAAAAATTGTTAATGCCCTCAAATATTCTCCTATCCAATCACTGTATTTTAAATGGCATTCCTCCAGCAAATATTTGTTGAGCCCCCACTATGTGCCAGGATTGAAATGTCAAATTGAAGGAGGCAATAGCTACTGAAGTAAAGCAAAAAAAAGTACTGGTTATTTTTCCTTCTATAAAATGACCTAGTAATAACCGCTTTACCCAGGAGAGTTGCTGTAAAGATCTAATAACATGACACATATAACCACACCCCTAAAGAATGAGGTGTTACTGCATGTTCTCACTCATAGGTGGGAATTGAACAATGAGAACACATGGACACAGGAAGGGGAACATCACACTCTGGGGACTGTTGCGGGGTGTGGGGAGGGGGGAGGGATAGCATTAGGAGATATACCTAATGCTAAATGACGAGTTAATGGGTGCAGCACACCAGCATGGCACATGTATACATATGTAACTAACCTGCACATTGTGCACATGTACCCTACAACTTAAAGTGTAATAATAATAAAATAATAAAATAAAAAAAAGAAATTTTGCTTAAATAAATATTATAATAAAAAAAACAAATGAGGTGTTATTAAAATGTTTGCAAGAGAAACCCTAGTAATTCCAAGCACATATTTTAGGAATGGTTTCTTGTGTAGAAAATCCTGGAATGTGAGGCTCTGCTGATTTTTTTAATGCATATTCTCTTCTTATGTATGCGGAATTTTTTTTTTTTTTTGAGATAGAGCCTTGCTCTGTTGCCCAGGCTGGAATGCACTGGCACGATCTTGGCTCACTGCAACTGCCACCTCCTGGTTTCAAGTGATTCTCCTGCCTCAGCCTCCCGAGTAGATGGAATTACAGGCGTGTGCCACCGCACTTGGCTAATATTTGTATTTTTAGTAGAGATGGGGTTTCACCATATTGGCCAGGCTGTTCTAGAACTCCTGACCTTGTGATCCACCCACTTCAGCCTCCCAAAGTGCTGGGATTACAGGCATGAGCCACTGCACCTGGCCTATTTTTGTTTTTACTAATGTTTCAAGAGACCCACTTTATGTACAGAATTCTGGCTACAACCTAACAAATGAGTTGCTCTGTTCATCAGTTATAGCCAATTTAAGTAATTATGAAAAGCTCAACAATACTTTTAACTGGCAATGAAAGCGTCAATAGCTCACATTTACCACCACAACTTAGGATTTCTTGGTAGCTAAATAAAATGCTTCTATTTTGTGGGGGGAAACTGTCACATAAGTTGAAATTCTGCAATGTTCAATTGATGAAAAGGTCTCTATGTTAAATCAAAGGTATAAATTCCACATCAGTAGTACATGAAAGAGAAAAAAAAAGCCAAAATTAAAGTGATTCATGCCCACTTCCCTGAGTGAACCTAAGATTTTACTAACAGAGATGCCGTAACTTTGATCATGCACACATCAAACTTGAATTTA
This sequence comes from Homo sapiens, assembly GCF_000001405.40. NCBI lineage: Eukaryota > Metazoa > Chordata > Mammalia > Primates > Hominidae > Homo > Homo sapiens. The sequence goes on from NC_000017.11 coordinate 38,160,513, forward strand.
AAAACATGCATGCACTCACTCATCTTTTATCTCTTATGTAATTAATACTGTAAGATTATATTTTGCCTACGTGCTCTATATTACTAATTTATAGGATTATTACTATTCAGTGTTGTTTACTTGAAACCATACTGTACTATACACAACTTTTGCATTCCATGCTAACTTTATTTTTTTAATTATTTTTTTTTTATACAGAGTCTCACTCACTCTATTGCCCAGGCTGGAGTGCAGTGGCACGATCTTGGCTCCTGCAACCTCTGCCTCTCGGGTTCAAGTCATTCTCCTACCTCAGCCTCCCAAGTAGTTGGTACCACAGGTACATGCCACCACACCCGGCTAATTTTTGTATTTTTGGTAGAGATGGGGTTTCACCATGTGGGCCAGGCTGGTCTCGAACTCCTGACCTCAAGGTTATAGGCCTGAGCCACCATGTCCCAGCTCCATGCTAACTTTAGAGCTTATTTCCCATCCCATAAGATACAACACTACTTGTGTTATATAGTGAGCAGTGTGGGGAAGAAAAGCATAGAATTAAGTTAGTGACAAATCCAGTGAACTCAAAAAGAGGGAAAAAAACACTCCCAAACAATTGTTTTCCCCATATTCTATTCTCCCTAGAGGTATTCCATACAGGAACGACAAAAGAAAAAAAAGGATACAAAATGAGAAAGATGTTCATGTGACATATAAGTACAGTAATAAAATCAACAAGCATATATGGTATTTAAGCAAAATAGTATGTATGCATTGATGGTCATCTGATATAAATCCATCATTTCTGTTGGCCAACATCTAAAACCTTTACTTTTCTGAGGAGACAAGCTATAAATCTATACGGATATTTCTACAACGAGAATTCACTATTACATATGAACCAATATAATTTGATGTCAAATATTCACAATTAGGTTTAAAAAATCCCCTACTTGGCCGGGCGCAGTGGCTCATGCCTGTAATCCCAGCACTTTGGGAGGCCAAGGCGGGTGGATCATGAGGTCAAGAAATCAAGACCATCCTGGCCAACATGGTGAAGCCCTGTCTCTACTAAAAATACAAAAATTAACTGGGCGTGGTGGCAGGCACCTGTAGTCCCAGCTACTCAGGAGGCTGAGGCAGGAGAATCACTTGAACCCAGGAGGCAGAGGTTGCAGTGAGCTGAGATCGCGCCACTGCACCCCAGCCTGACGACAGAGTGAGACTCGGTCTCAAAAAAAAAAAAAAAAAAAATCCCCTACTTATGTTAAGAGTACCAAAAATAGGGCCAGGAATGATGGCTCATGCCTATAATTTTGGCACTTTGGGAAGCCGAGGTGGGAAGATAGCTTGAGTCCAGGAGTAAAATAGTGAGACTCTGTCTCTACAAAAAAATAAAAAATTAGCTGGATGGGGCACACACCTGTAGTCCAGGTACTCACGAGGCTGAAATGGGTGGATCACTTGAGCCTGGGAGGTCAAGGCTGTAGTGAACTGTGATCACACCACTACACCCTACACCCAGCCTGGGCTACAAGGTGAGACCCTGTCTCAAAAAAAAAAAAAAAAAAAAAAAGGTACCAAAAATCTATAGCTGTTTCAGAAATAAAATACATGTAGTTAGTGAGGTTTTTCTCTCCCACTGCTATGACTTAATTTTTGGTTGAGATGCTAAGCCAAACATCATTTTAAGTCTGTGGCCCAACCAAAAAAGGGAATCATACTCTCCAAAGAATTGTACATTCCCACTCTAATTGCTAAAATAAAATGTTGGATTATGAAAATCAATTTTGTAGGTATCAATAAGTTATAAGAGCATGGCTTATTTAAAAAAAAAAGTGGGCCAGGTTACCTACATGAGCTGCAAAGCAAGCAAACTGAATTTTCTTATCGAAGAGCCCATCCTCATACTTAAAATTTCCCATGACTACATGGAAATTCTTTCACTTACCAAAAACACCTGATTGGCACTTTCACTGAGAGTTGTGTCATCTGGGCTGTCGACAGGTGTCTGACGTGTAAACTTGGAATCAAACTGACTTACATCCTCTTCAGATTGCTCTATACAAACAAAATAATTTAGAAAATAATGAATAGTCCATATGACATCAATCAAATGCACTGTAAGCTCTGGGAGCTCTTTTCGCAGGGGTTAACTATAATAAAGTATTAGAATAGTCTTAGCAGGCACTATTCTAATAGTGGAGAAATGCAAGTGGAAGAAAAAAATGCAAGTGGAAAGTACTGAGTCAAATTACATCTTCAAATCTTAAACATGCACTAAAAAAGATTTTAGTATACTGTTATTCCTATTAAAAATGTGAATATATTGGCTGGGCATGGTGGCTCAGGCCTGTAATCCCAGCACTTTGGGAGGCTGAGGCAGGCAGATCATGAGGTCAGGAGTTCAAGACCAGCCTGGCCAATAAAGCGAAACCCCGTCTCTACTAAAAATACAAAACATCAGCCGGGCGTGGTGGCGGGCGCCTGTAATCCTAGCTACTCGGGAGGCTGAGGCAGGAGAATTGCTTGAACCTGGGAGGCAGAGGTTGCCGCAAGCAGAGATCGTGCCACTGCACACCAGCCCAGGTGACGGTGCGAGAGTCTGTCTCAATGAAAAAAAAAAAAAAAAAAGAATATATCGAGCTCAAAACAAGCTGGAAAAAATGTGAATATCAATTTCCCCTCTCACAAAGCTTCAGTGTGCCTAGTCCACTGGCTAAATCCCTGTTTAGAGATAATTAATTCAGTTGGCTACTGCACGTTTGTAATAAACCTGAAAAACTACTGAAGCAGAGTTAAAACATGAATAATACTGGTAAGATGCTCCAGTTAAAGTTTCTTCCCACAGCTCATTTCATTCCTTCAGAAATCTAAAGGAGCAAAAATAATTTTCTATTCCGCATGGGTTATAAGTTATATTTCCTTGTGAAAGTATAGTTATCACTTCAGTTCTAACCATGAGATTTATTTATTTAATTCCTTCTCTCTTTCCCAAAATATCTGGTTAAACTCTTGGGCCAAATGTAAGAAGTAAATAATAATTTAGAATATCTGACTTAATACTAAAAGATGATGACCACATTGACCTTATAATTCTCTTAGAGCCCAGACTGTGAACCTGCACTCCCTGGAGGAATGGCTGATTCCAAGTGTGGGGAAAATGTACAAGATAAGCATAGAACACCAGTTTCCTTATTTTGCTCTCTCGTACAACACCAGACAATGTGCTCATGTCAAAAGGACTCAGAACCCAACATGAAGATGCACCCAGCATTCACTGCACCCAGCATTCAACGAAGGGAAAAAACGAGCACCAATAAAAATAACTGCTAGGTGCGGTGGCTCACGCCTATCATCCCAACACTTTGGGAGGCAGAGGCAGGTGGATTGCTTTTGAGCTCAGGATTTGAAGACCAGCCTGGTGAACACGGCAAAACCCCGTCTCTACCAGAAACACAAAAATTAGCTGGGCATGATGGTGTACCTGTGGTCCCAGCTACTCAAGAGGGTGAGGTGGGAGGATTGCTGGAGGTCGGGACGTCAAGCCTGCAGTGGGCAGCGATCATACCACTGCACTACAGCTTGGGTGACAGAGTTAAGACCCTGCCTCAAAACAATAAATGAATAAATAAAAATAAAATAAAAATAACTGCGATGAAAGGAAACACAAATATGTTAAAACGTGTAAGTTCATAATATACTAAAAAAGAAAAAAACACACACAAAGTTCATTGGTCAATTTTGGAAGATGCTAGGGAACTAATTCATTATTTTGAAAACTAGGAAAGAATCAAACATACATCCTGCCTTTTCTGTATGAACTGTACCTTGGGTAACTAACTGATCAAAGAGTTTCTCTTTATGAAAGAATTCCAGCTAACAAAGAAAGAAGAAATAACAGTTAGAATAAAACCATTTCACAAACACCTGATGAAACTACAAAAGTAGGCCAGAGTTTCTCAACCTCAGGGCTACTGACATTTTAGGCCTATTAATACTTTGCGTTAGGGGGCTGTGCTGTGCTGTGCTGACTCTTACCCCTGAAGGTACCTATAGCATTCCCTCTCCCAAGCTGTGACAATCAGTGTGTCTCCAGACATTGCCAAATTACCCTGGTAGTGAAATGCTGACACAGGCAGTGACCACTAACATCACTAAAAAAACACACATACGCACACACAAGTACACATTATGCCTCCTGATCAAAGCATATGCGATACTGAGAGTGTAATCTGAATCAGATCAACCACCTAAATTTAACTACCAGTTTTTGGAAATTTGGGGAACAGATGAACATGGTCAATGACACTCTGGGGATAATATCAGCAAAATCAAAATTTGAGAATTCTACAGGACAAATGACCCCGTTTCTTCAGTAAATCACGAGGGGAATCTATAAAAGAAAAGAGACCTAAGAGACATAGTAACCAAACTACATACAGACCTTGATTAAATCCTTACAAACAGGAGAAAAAAAAAAAAAGAATGGAACAACAACAAAAAAAAAATTAGGTGGGGCAACACAGGGAGACCTCATCTCTAGAAAAATTCAAAAAATTGGATGTGGTGATGCACCCCTGTGGTCCCAGCTATATGGGAGGATCCCTTGAGCCTGGGAAGATGAGGCTGCCATGAGCCACTATCATGCCACTGCACTCCAGCCTGGGCAACAGAGAAAGACCCTATCTCAAAAAAAAAAAAGAGAAAAAAAAAACTGGGGAAACTGTCAACTTCTTAGGTGTGATGATGGGATGACAGTTATGTTTAAAGAAGATGATCTAATTATTTTTAAGCTGGGCAGTAGGTGTATGACAGTTCTCCTCCTTACAATTGTTTGTTGTTTTTTAAAGTGGGTCACATTATGGGGCATGACCAAAAAATAATCACCATCATCATCCTCCTCCTTCTCCACCTACAGCCCAAGGAATGGAAAAAGAAACTGTTTTCTCAGATTCTGAGGTGGCAGAAAGACAATAACACACTAACTCATTTACTCATAAACATATTGTTATGGATTGAATCGTGTCCCTTACCCACCCCCCAGAAAATTTCGTATGTTGAAACTCTAACCTCTAGTTCCTCAGAATGTGACCTTATTTGGAAAGGGTTATTGCAGATGTAATTAGTGAAGATGAGGTCCTACTGGAGTAGAGAGGAACCCTAATCCAATATGCCTGGTATCCTTATAAAAAGGGGAAATTTGTCCACAGATATGCACACAGGTAGAACACCATGTGAACATGAAGGCAGAGATCCAGGTGATGCACCTACAAGCCAAAGTATGCCAAAGATGAGCAGCAAACCACCAGAAGCCAGGGGAGAGGCATGGAACATAAGGTTTCTCACAGTTGTCGAAGAAACCAACTCTAACAACGTGATCTAGAACTTCTAGTCTCCAGATCTATGAGATAATAAATTTCTGTTGTCTAAGCCACCCAGTTTGTGGTACTTTGTTGCAGCAAGCCTAGCAAACTAATGCACACATATTCTATATTTTGAAGAAAAAATTCCCAGAGAATCATATTTAAAATGGTTAAATTAAGCAAAATAAAACAAACCAAAAAAAGAAAAGTCCCAACTACCTGAAATATTTAATTGTCTTAGGAAACTGACTTAAAAATATCTAATACAGGCCGGGCGCGGTGGCTCACGCCTGTAATCCCAGCACTTTGGGAGGCCGAGGTGGGTGGATCACAAGGTCAGGAGTTCAAGACCAGCCCGGCCAAGATGATGAAATCCTGTGTCTACTAAAAATACAAAAATTTGCTGGGCATGGTGGCAGGTGTCTGTAATCCCAGCTACTCAGGAGGCAGAGGCAGAGATTTGCTTGAACCCAGGAGGTGGAGGCTGCGGTGATCCGAGATCACACCACTGCACTCCAGCCTGGGGGACAGATCAAGACTCCGTCTCAAAAATAAAAAAATAAAAATAAAGAGGAAGAACGCTATGGAATTTGACTAGAATTAGGGCTAACAATATGAAGCACTTTGGGAAGCCAAGGCAGGTGGATCACCATGTCGGCCAGGAGTTTGAGACCAGCCTGGCCAACATGGTGAAACCTCATCTTTACTAAAAATACAAGAATTAGCCAGGTATGGTGGTGAGCACCTGTACTCCCAGTTACTCCAGAGGCTGAGGCACGAGAATCACTGGAACCCGGGAAGCAGAGGTTGCAGTGAGCTGAGGCAGCCTGGTGTCCAAGCTGTGGTGAGCCATGATCATACCACTGCACTCAAGTCTGGGCAACAGAGGAAGTCCCTGTCTCAAAAAAAAAAAAAAAAAAAGGGCCAGGTGCAGTGGCTCACACCTGCAATCCCAGCATTTTAGGAGGCTGAGGCGGGCAGATCATGAGGTCAGGAGTTGAAGACCAGCCTGGCCAACATAGTGAAACCCCATCCCTACTAAAAATACAAAAATCAGCCGAGTGTGGTGGCATGTACCTGTAATCCCAGCTACTCAGGAGGTTGAGGCAGAAGAATTGCTCGAACCTGGGAGGCGGAGGTTGCAGTGAGCCAAGACCACATCATTGCACTCCAGCCTGGGCAACAGAGTGAACCTCCATCTCAAAAAAAAAAAAAAAAAAAATTTAAAAAGGGAGTATAGGGCCAGCCACGGTGGCTCACGCCTGTAATCCCAGCACTTTGGGAGGCTGAGGTGGCTGGATCACGGGGTCAAGAGATCAAGACCATCCTGGCCAACATGGTGAGACCCCATCTCTACTAAAAATACAAAAAATTAGCTGGACACAGTGGCAAATGACTGTAGTCCCAGCTACTCTGGAGGCTGAGACAGGAGGATCGCCTGAACCTGGGAGGCAGAAGTTGCAGTGAGCTGAGACCATACCACTGCACTCCGGCCTGGTGACAAAGCGAGACTTCGTCTCAAAAAAAAAAAAAAAAAAAAAAAAAGAGTTTAAAAAAATCTTTACAGAAGAATGACAATATAGAAAAAATACAGAAAAAATAGAAAAGTCTCCAATTTCTAATCACTATAGTAATATTTGATTTGGGCAAGAAGCAATCCAGATGAAACCATTAAGTAAAGATTATTATGGGACAGAATATTCACACTGTTTCTATCATGCCATAGATCACTTGTTAATTACAAAAGGAAAAAGAGGCTGAGAATGGAGTCTCACGTCTGTAATCCCAACACTTTGGGAGGCCAAGGAGGGCGGATCACCTTAGGTAAGGAGTTTGAGACCAGACTGGCCAACATGGCAAAACCCCATCTCTACTATAATTACAAAACTTAGGCAGGCATGGTAGCAGGCACCTGTAATCCCAGCTACTTGGGGGGCTGAGGCAGGAGAATCGCTTGAACCCAGGAGGTGGAGGTTGCAGTCAGCCAAGATTGCACCACTGCACCCCAGCCTGGGTGACAGAGTGAGACTCCTTCTCAAAAAAAAAAAAAAATGCCCTTATTCTTAGGAGATGTATAGAAGAAATTAGGGGTGAAGTGCTATGAAATCTGCAGTTAACTCTCAAATTGTACAGAAAGAAAATTTATTAATGTTAAAAAAAGTCAATATTCATAGATACACATATATGTGGGGGCAGGTAGAAAGGGAGGGACACAGAGACAAAGAAAATATGGCAAAATGGTAACACCTGGTGATCACTGAACTATTCTTGCAACTCTGAAAAGTTTAAAAAATTTCAAAGGTATATTGTTTTTGAACTGCTCGGGAGGTTTAAATTTTTGAATTTTTAAAATAAGCAATCAATTGTGAGGAAGTCTGAGAAGCCACAGACTTAAGAGATAAGATGAAAAATAAGGAAAGTAGAATCACAGTAATAAGAGGAACAGAGTTTCAAAATGCTGTGGTCAGTCAGTAGCTTCAATGCAAAAGAAAGTTAAATTAAGGACCAACTCAGTAAAGACAACTGGATTCAGCAACTGGGAAGTCAGTGATGACCTAGGGTACAGGAGCTGCACTGAAATAGTAGAGTTGGGCCACGCGTGGCCCACATCTATAATCCAGCAGTTTGGGAGGCCGAGGTAGGTGGACCTCTTGAGGCCAGGAATTCAAGACCAGCCTAGCCAACATGGTGAAACCCCATCTCTACTAAAAATACAAAAATTAACCCGAGACAGTGGCGCACCCCTGTAATCCCAGCTACTCAGGGGCCTGAGGCATGAGAACTGCTTGAACCTGGAAGGCAGAGGCTGCAGTGAGCTGAGATAGGGCCACTGCACTTCAGCCTGAGTGACAGGGGAAGACTCTGTCTAAAAAAACAAAAAATAGGCCTGGCGTGGTGGCTCATGCCTGTAATCCCAGCACTTTGGGAGGCCGAGGCAGGCGGATCACGAGGTCAGGAGATCGAGACCATCCTGGCTAACACGGTGAAACCCTGTCTCTACTAAAAATACAAAAAATTAGCTGGGCGTGGTGGCAGGCGCCTGTGGTCCCAGCTCCTCCGGAGGCTGAGGCAGGAGAATGACATGAACCCGGGAGGTGGAGGTTGCAGTGAGCTGAGATTACGCCACTGCACTCCAGCCTGCGTGACAAAGCCAGACTCCCTCTCAAAAAAAAAAAAAAAAAAAAAAAAGACGTAAACTGGGTATGTGCCTTTAGAGGTGGTGCACATTTTTAGCATTATAAATGAATATAAATGAGTGGCAACTGTTACTTTGGTCCACAGATTTTTGGTATCTTAACTAGTTTTTGGTCTCTTCCACTAAAGGCATTGCCTGTTGAACCTTGTTAGGAATGTAAGTACTGAAGGCAAACTGCCTGGGTTTGAATTTTGTTCTGTCCCTTGCACCCTGCCTGGTTTCAAATCCTAGCTCTGCTTATTACGTTCTTTTAAGGGGATGACCTTTGAGCAAATGTCTTAGCTTCTGTTTTCCCCAGTAAATGGACACAATAGTTGCTACTTTGTGAAAGATTCATGTAATTGACCAGCATTTACCAAGTAGCATCAGTGTTTAGTTTCAGTCATTGGTGATTCTGCAGTTGGACTGTGAGGGGGTATTGGGGTGGGGGGTGGTGTGTGTGTAGCACTTAATTGCAGGCAGGAAGGAAAAGATACTTTTGATAACCGACAGGCAGCTTTTCTCTGCTTTTGTGTCAAAAGGGAGGAAGGGAGTTTGGAGAGGGAAATGAATTCTCTGTAACACTAAGCTCTCTTCCTCAAAACCAGAGGTAGATAGAATGTGTAATAATTTACAGAATTTCTAGACTTCAACGATCTGATTTTTTTAATTTATTTTTATTTTTTCAGGTTGAGACTGAGCTAAAGTTAATCTGTGGCGACGTTCTGGATGTACTGGACAAACACCTCATTCCAGCAGCTACAACTGGCAAGTCCAAGGTTTTCTATCATGAAATGTAGGTTCTATACTAACAATTAACAAGTGTACTTCAATAAATTTAAACATTCTCAGGAATAGTTGACTTTGTTTCTTTTTTTCTTAGACATTTCATATTATTTTCCTTATTAAATATAACCAAAAATCCCACAGAAATTAACTGAGGAGCCTCTAAATATCAACAAAATTATCACTTGATAGACTAGAATTAAACAAGCAAGTGGTTCCAAGAAATGGCACGAGTGTATTAATCATAAAATAAAATTTCTACATGAAACATTCAGCCATTCTAGACCATTTCTGTCTGTGCAGACTCATCTTTTCCTGTTCTTTGCAAAGCCCAGCTAGAGCAAGCAAGTTCTTCCCAATAGGTTTTTCCCATCTCTGGTTGCTTGGCTGGCTGGGCTTCCTCTACAAACCCCCTTCCTTTCCCCTAAGCAGGGCCCGGTGTCCCCATCCCGCGGAGTTGACCTCATGAGGGCATCTGACCAGGAGTAGCTATTCCTGGTGCTATTGTCATTGTCCTGTTTCATGTGTGAACATGGCTGGCTCTACAGAGATTTGGCGGGTAGCAAGGAGGTTTCTTTTTGAATCTTCTTTTGGAAGTCAGACTTGATGAGGATCTTATGCCCACTTTTTCCTAGCTCTGTGGTGTCAGGCAAAGTCTGTTTCTGCAAATGGGGGTTAAGAATTCCTACCTCACAGCAGTCTTTTGATAAATAAATAAGATCTTAAGTGTAAATTATTCCACTAGAAATTGCACAGTCACTTTGGTCTTCATCCTGGAGGTCCACTGACAAGCCTCATGCAAACCTGTGGCCCTGTTCATAAAGTGTTTTGATCCATACTTTCAAATGGCCTCAGGAAGACCTTTTATAAAGTAAAAATGTTAGGCAGCCACATGATATCCATTGACCCAGTGAGGCTGTTTTACTGGATATAAGAGGTTTGACCCGGCATTTTGGGGGGCCGAGACAGGCAGATCACTTGAGGCCAGGAGCTGGAGACCTGCCTGGCCAACATGGAGAAACCCCATCTCTATTAAAAATACCAAAAAAATTAGCTGGGCATGGTGGCACATGCCTGTAATCCCAGCTACTTGGGAGACTGAGGCACAAGAATCGCTTGAACCCGGGAGTCAGAGGTTGCAGTGAGCCAAGCCGAGATGGCGCCACTGCACTCCAGCCTGGGCAGCAGAGTGAGACTCTGTCTCAGGGGAAAAAAAAGGGTGAGGGGAGGGTTTGAAAAAATAGTAGCATGTAGTTATGTTTCTACAATATTTGATATATATAAGGATTTACCAACCTCTTGCATTAGCTGCTATCCCCTACAGCAGTTGCTGTAGGAAAAAAACATCAAGTTCTGAGCTCCTACTGTTTGCCAGGCATATTCTGAGATGATCACGTTGAAATCTCAGAGTTACCCTGCAGAGTAGTCAGGGTATCACTGCCTGACAGATGAAGAAGCTGAGGCTTCCAGCAGTTAAATGACTTACCCCAGGCCACATAGAAAATGAGTGGGAGAGCCCAGGTCTGTCTGTGAGGTATAATGAAATTAGCATAAACCCTCCACATTGGCGCCACTCGCATAAATTAACATATATTCTCTCACAGAAAGTATTTTATTGGGCATAACAGTTTGTATCATTTACCGTTTAACATTAGCCGTGGATCTTCCCACATCACATGACTATGCCTCATTCTTTTTGGATAATATGATTACTATTGAATGGATTTACTATCATTCACTTAATCAATACTCCTTTTGATGGCCATTTTAATTGTCTATTTTTTCCTTTTGCACAGATTGGTGTAATAAACGTGATTTTATAGTAATATTTTTGTCTGCCTGTGAAAATGTTTGCTGGACAATAAATTCCTAGGAGTCAAATAAGGTCAAAGATTATAAATACAGTATTTATTTTCATAAATATTACCAAGTCAGCCACAAATGTTTAAATTACTAATGGTTTCAGATTATTGTATTTAATGAGTAAACACTTTTATAGGGTTTACTTTTATGAACACTTTTATTTGCCAGATATCATTCTAAGTCCTTTACAAAATTAACTTTTTTAATTTGTAATATAACCCTGAGATGTATATTAGGATTATCCCCATTCTACAGATAAGAACACTGAGAAGTTAATTAACTTGCCACATATCTAGGAAGTGACAAGGCTAGTTGCACAGCCAGGCAGTCTGGCTCCTGAGTCCACATTTTAGACAACACTATACCTCCTGGTTCTTTTGAGGCATTACTGCTGGAACTATCCTAATACTCATAAATAAACATTTCTTTTGGGGAGGGCCAAATAAAATTTTAAACAGAAAAGTTTTCACCAACTGTCAAGCTCATAAAGTTGTACGTTATACACTTTTTTCATGATGCCCACAGATAATTTATTAATGATATCATCTATTTTAAAAGACGTATGTAAAACCCAACCCTTAAGAAAGGATTCCTATCACTGTTCCCACAGGCACCCTCCTCAGTCTTATACCTTTCCATTCCACCCCCCAAAACAAATCATTCAGCATATTTATTTCATACTGTAATAGAGGAAGTAGCTTCTTTTTAGATATTCTTAGATTATTAACATTGATCATACAAACATGGAATAGAAATTCCTTATGTTTTATCTGGATTTAAGGTGCTACATAATGGAATCTATTTCTATCAAGCCATACACATTGGAGATAATGAAATCACTTGTGTTCTAGCCTAAACGTTATGGGAATTTCAGAACTGCAACATAACAGATAATCCTTGGACGAAAACTAAATCTCTCCTCTGGTCAGGCATCTATGTGCATCAGTGAAGAGAAGACGGGGACTGTGGAAGGGAAAACAGTGAGTCAGGAAGGACTGTGGCCACATCTGTTCCCCGGACCCTCAAGTAGTTAAATCCTGACCTCCTCTACCCCAGACTGTCCTGGGGAACGGCCAACACTGGCTTTTCACAACTGTGTGTTACCAGAAATGCAACAGAAACCCAGCTGAATCCCCAGGGTTTCCCTTCTGCCCTTCTCAATGGAAAGATCTGTCCCAGGACCATTTATTCCAACATTTTCAATTATGAGAAATCTGGGAAGATAAAGTTATTTTCACATTTCTCAAGAAATACATACTTATTCATACTCATGACAGGAAAGTCAGAATCTACAGAAAACCAAGAAGATTTTTAAAAATCCATGATACCACCATCAAAAGAGCCACACTTAGTATGTTGGTCCACAGGTTTCCTAGCACCCTTTTCTGTTGGTGTATGCACAAAATACACAATCACATTCTGTCTACATTTTACAATTTGCCATTTTTTGATTAACACTATATATTGACCAATTTTTAAGACCTGCAACATATGTCGACAACATTATTTCAGAATAATATATTTATAAATAAACGCACACACAAACTGTCTGTCTTATATACAACACGTCTTACTTTCTAATTCTCCACTCTGGAAGATTTAGGTTTTCCTAACTTTTTAATATACTCACCAGGAATCAGTAAACTTTTTTTATAAAAGGCCAAAGGGTAGATATTTTAAACTCTGCAGGCCATAGGTTTCTGTTGCAACACTCAACTCTGCTGTTGCAGGGAAAGAAGCCATACACAATTTGTAAATGAATGGGCATGACTGTGTTCTGATAAACTTTACAAAAACAGGTGGTGGACTAGATGCAGCCTGCTCCTCTGGACATGGCTTACCAGCCCCTGACATATACCACTACAGAGGATGCTGTTAGAATGAAATCTCTTTACACATCTCTGATCATCTCCTTAGGGCTAATTGCTAGACATGACATCATGGTAGCTGTGGGTCAAAGGGCATGCACGCTCTGGGATGTACATTGCCAGATTGCTCATGATCAGCCTTTCTCATGTCAAAATGTTTTGTGACCACCAGAAGGCTGGTTCTGCTTTTATTATCCATTGACTGAGGAGTAGAAATGACATGGCATGTATGCAGGATATTTAACCATCGTATAGATAATCCTTGTGCACAAGTGCATTCTATATTCTTTCCCAATAGGTCTACATCTGCCAGAGTTGAAATAAAATAAAACAAAACAAACCTATTTAGCACCTTCTGTGTAGCAGGTCCATTCATGTATGTTGTTGTATTTCATTCTCAGAATTCTTATGACCTAGGCATTTTAAACATTTTTTTAAAAATATTGAGTTGACAAGGATTGTGTATATTTAATGCATACAATGTGATGATTTCATATATGTATATATTGTGTACTAATTATCACAATCAAATTTATTACATCCATTACCACCTATGCTGTACATTAAATCTCCAGAATTTGTTCATCTTATAACTGAAAGTTTACACCCTTTGATTAATAGCTTCCCATTTTCCCCACCTCCAGCCCTTGGCAACCACCATTCTACTATCTGTTTTTATGAGTTTGACTCTCTTAGATCCCACATATAAGTGAGATCATACAAAACTTGTCTTTCGGTGTCTGGCTTATTTCACTTAGCGTAATGTCCTCCAGGTTTATCCAGGACAGGAGTTTCTTCTTTTGAATGGCTAATAGTCCATTGTTTATATGTGTTTTATTTATCCATTCATCTGTTGCTGGACACTTAGGCTGTTTCCATATCTTGGGTATTGTGAATAGTGTTGTAATAAACATGGGGCGCAGATCTCTCTTCAAGGTTCTAAACTGATTGCTGAATCGTATGGTAGTTCTGCTTCTAATTTTTTGAGGAACCTCCATACTGTTTTCTGTAAAGGTTATACCACTTTACATTCCAACCAACAGTGTACAAGGGTTCTCTTTCCTCTATGCTTTCGCCAACACTTGTTATCTCTTGTCGTTTTTTTATAAGAGCCATCCTATCCTATGAGGCAATATCTCACTGTGGTTTTGATTTGCATTTCTCTGATGATTAGTGGTGTTGAGCACCTTTTCATATGCTGGCTGGCCATTTGTATATCTTCCTTGGGGAAAAAAGTCCATTGGGGTCCTTTGCCTATTTTTAATTGCGTTATTCATGTATTTATTAATTTTTGCTATTGAATTGTGTGAATTCCTTATATTTTTTCAAATAACCCCTTATCAAATATATGGGTCGCAAATATTTTCTTCCATCCCGTAGGTTGCCTTTTCATTTTGTCATGGTTTCCTTTGCTGTGTAAAACCTTTTAAGATTGATGTAGTCCCATTTATTTATTTTCACTTTTGTTGCCTGTGCTTTGGTGTTACATCAAAAAAAATATTGCCAATTATGACCAATGTCGAGGAGATTTTTCCCTATGTTTACTTCCAGGATTTACATGGTTTCAGATATTACATTTAAATCTTTAATCCACTTTGAGCTAATTTTCGGTATATGATGTAAAACAAGTGTGCAATTTCATTCTTTTTCATGCACTTTCCCCAACACCATTCATTGAAGAGAGTTTCCTTTCTACATTGTGCCTTTTTTTTTTTTTACAGTACAGTGAAAGCAAGTCTATTAAGAAAGTAAAGGAATAAAAGAATCTACATTGTATATCCTTGATGGCCTTGTCAAAGATCTGTTGACCATATATGCACGGGGTTATTTCTGGGTGAGCTTGGCATTTTTTTTTTTTTTTTTTTTTTTTGAGACAGAGTCTCGCTCTGTCGCCCAGGCCGGACTGCGGACTGCAGTGGCGCAATCTCGGCTCACTGCAAGCTCCGCTTCCCGGGTTCACGCCATTCTCCTGCCTCAGCCTCCCGAGTAGCTGGGACCACAGGCGCCCGCCACCGCGCCCGGCTAATTTTTTGTATTTTTAGTAGAGACGGGGTTTCACCTTGTTAGCCAGGATGGTCTCGATCTCCTGACCTCATGATCCACCCGCCTCGGCCTCCCAAAGTGCTGGGATTACAGGTGTGAGCCACCGCGCCCGGCCGAGCTTGGCATTTTTATCTACCTCATTCTACCGATGAGGAGGCCGAGTCTCAGAGAGTTCACAGACCTGCCTAAGGTCACTCAGCTAGAGGTGATACAACCAGGGTTTGAACTGAGATCTGCCAAGCTTCTGAGTTTATTCTTTTTCCCCCACACCAAGGATCCTCAATTCTGCCTTACTGACATCAGGATCCGGTCAATTCTTTGTGATGGGGGCTGTCCTGCACCTGGCAGGATGTTTAGCAGCTTCTCTGGCCTCCACCCACTGGATGCCAGGGGAATGCAGAAGAGGCTTGTTCATTCTCCCATTTAATCCTCAGGACAATATCTGACATAAATGTTACGTCTTTTATTTTATAAATGAAGAAAATGAGACTCAGAAAGGTTTAAGTGAGTTACTTAAGAACACACAGACAGCAAAGGTAGAACTGGAAACCGAACACAGGTGTCCACATGGGACAACAAAAAAGTTCACGTTCCATCTTCTTTTGAGTCTCTCATTTCAATAATTACCATTGTGTGGATATGAGCTGAAGTACAGGAAACCTGGGGCTGAACTCTCCTCCCATCAGGCCTAGGAGCCCCAGACCAGAACCCCAGCCCAAGGTCTCCCAGTCAGGCCCGCTGGCGTGAGCTGGCATCTACACTAGCATGGTCTCCCAAAGCTGCAGGGATGCCAGTCTCGCCGCTGATGAAGAAAATGAAGGGCATTTGCTTCTCATGCAGGCTGTCGGGATTTAACACAGATTCCTTTTCTTGCTCTCTTCTCCCATAGCACAAAACTGGGTGGTCCATCCCCCTCCCAGTGTCCCAAGGCTTTGTTGCGTGTTCTCTTTAATTTCTCCCACTCTTGTGGTGCACCCTACCCTCATCTCCCTGGCAACCTTTCTGCTGTATCCTCTCGACACCTGGATCACAAGAACACTTGTGAGACCCCTTAACAAGTTACATCCCAAATTATCATTCCCCTTTGTCCTCAGCCAGTGCTCAGGTCCAACTTGCTCTCCTGGGGTGACTTTCTTTCCTGCCCAATATGGTTTCATCATCTGTAAATTGGGGATAATTAAAGTCTTGATCCTGATATTTGACTCTCAAAGCAGAAGTAGCAAGCTCAGCCAAGTCACTTCAACAAGAGGAGACGTTCCTTGTGAACCAAAAGGGCACTGGTCACAAGGGCCGCTCCTTCTTCTGTCAGGCCTCTCCAGCACGCCCTTGGCTCAGCCAAAGAAGAGACTCAGGCTGTGCTTCTGCACTGTTGGGATAACATAGGCCTCTTCCATGTGGTTCCACACCAGGAACATGGGGACAATCAGACCTCTCCCAGTGTGGGCATAAGGATACAAGATCATGTCAATATTGACATTCATAATGGCTGGGCGCAGTGGCACACGCCTGTAATGCCAGCACTTTGGGAGGCTGAGGTGGGCAGATTGCTTGAACCCCAGAGTTCGAAACCAGCCTGGGCGACTTGGCAAAACCAGTCTCTACTGAAAATACAAAAAATTGGCTGGGCTTGGTGGCGCACACCTGTAGTCTCAGCTACTTGGGAGGCTGAGGTGGGAGGATTGCTCAAACCCAGGGAGGTTGAGGCTTCAGTGAGCTATGATGACACTGCTGTACTCCAACCTGGGCAACAGAGTGAGGCCCTGTCTCAAAACAAAAACAAAGACAAAACAACATTCATAACAGTAGCAATAGCTACTATGTGCCAAGCCCAGGCACCTCTTCGAGTCTTTGCTGTCACCCTATCAGGTAAGCGTGCTTAGAAGTTACACGAAGCACACGGCTCAGTGTTTGGCCCATGGTAAGGGCCTAAAAAGGGATAGCCCCAGTGGTGGGGATGCTGCTGCTGCTGACCATTAACCCCAGTCTGCTCCACCTTCTTCCAGGCAGTCTGTGAGATGTTTCATGTCCGAGGCAAACAGCACATTCAGATCCCCAAGCTCTACACCTCCAGTGTGACCAGGCACCTGCACCACTTCAGGCTCATGCAGGACTCACAGCCTTTGGACCTCAGCTAAAGGACTTGCTTCTCTTCAGCACACGGGGCTTGTTTGTGTTGGGGTCTGAGCCCTGAGCCCATGGTCAAGGAGACCCCCAGGTCTTTCTGAACAGAGACAGCTGGCCTGGGGGCCTCCCTCTCACTGCGTGCAAGAGGCTGTTAGGGTGCAAGTCTCAAGGCGCTGAGGGAGGCTGTTTCAGGAGGGAGCCCCAGGAGGGTGGTGGAGACAGAAGGGGGCAGCATCTGCCGAGGCCCTACTGTGTGCCTGGCACCGTGTGGGGTTTCTGGCCCATATGGGCTAAGTGACCCTGCACACTCCTCTTAGGAGAGAGGCTCAGATGGAGAAATTGCAGTTCAGGAAGGTGAAGCAAGCTGCTAGCCTGTGGCCATGTTGGGATCTGGGCCTCAGCCTTCCAGCCACGAAGGCAGCCAAGTGTCATGAAGAAGGCATCACAGAGGCAATTCCAGGCTGTAGTGGTGAACTTTCCACTCTGCATCCCCGGGTGCTGTGCCCTGTGCCCTGTCTAAGGTAGCCCTGTGGGTTTCTATATGTTTAAATTGTCCCCAGCATCAATGATGCTCTCCTGTGGATCCCAAGCCATGGAGATGTCCTGGGACTTTTCATTTTTAGGTACCTAAATTGAATTTCCCAACACACAGAAGCAAGACAGCCGCCCTAACAGACTCTTGCATGCAGTGAGAGGGAGGCCGCCAGGCCAGCTGTCTCTGTTCAGAAAGACCTGGGGGTCTCCTTGACCATGCGCTCAGGGCTCAGACCCCAACACAAACAAGCCCCGTGTGCTGAAGAGAAGCAGGTCCCTTAGCTGAGGTCCAAAGGCTGTGGGTCCTGCATGAGCCTGAAGTGGTGCACGTCCCTGGTCACATTGGAGGTGGAGAGCTTGGGGATCTGAATGTGCTGTTTGCCTTGGATCTTTATTTGTGATTCAGAAACAGTGGAATAAAAGGAAAGGAAAGAAAACCTGAATGGCCACCTCAGCAGGATGCTCCAAGGGTAGTGTCCAGGTGGCACTGACTCAGATATGTGGGGGCTTCCCCCACCCATGCTCAAGAGCCACTTTGCCATTTCACCATCTCTCTGTCCTCCACACCCCTCAGCAGCAAGCACAACAAGAATGTGTTCACCATGAAGCTCAAATCTCAGCAGAATCTAGAGTCTGAAATCCAAGTAAGGGAAAGTGTAGAGCTTCTTGGATGATGCCCTGTCAATTTTATTTTAACGAATGAAAGACCAGAAGAAGTCAGTCTTGAAAGGAGAGGACAGGAGCATCTGCTGGCATTAGCAGCCGTGCCATCGTAGGACCGACTCACCTGGACCCGCGGCCACCTGTGCTTTTACATCTAGTCTTGGTTAACCATGGGCCACTTTTCCAGCTTGGAAACTAAGCATATGCTCCACTTCCTCTCCTTCCTCATTGAACTCTTTCACTAAAAGAACAGTGCAAGAGAGACTTAAACTGTTTGCCTCATTCTTAAGACCTTTCAGGAAAAGTGTTGGCAGGGAAGGAAATCTCCCAGCTCTGGGAAACAGTCTTGTGGATTATCTGCTGGTTTCATTGATCTGTGCTGTCCTCCCTGCATTCATTAGGAAAACTGGCCTTGGTTCAAATAAGAACAGGATTTGTCCTGGTGACAGAGAAAGGTTTCTTCTGATGTCCATATATCTCCGAGGGGGATGCTTTCTCCAGGCAGAGGCTGTGGCCAAGCGATCGGGGGGCTCAGAGGGCTGCTGGGAAGGGGTGGGCCCCTCTCTCCCCAGAGGGAAACTCCTGGGGACCTCTCGAGCACCCCTGCCCATCCTTTAAACATAAATTCATAAATACAAACAAGTAGGCCATTCACAGAAATATATAAAATATGTCATAGGACGGGTGGCACTCTCATATGGCAATAATTATGACAGGGGCCGGCAAATGACCTGCGTGACCCGGAGTGGCCTGAGCACTGACTCCCAAATGCCCTCCATAGGATGTTCTGCATCCCCGAGACCCTTTCCTGGGTCCTCCTGGGCCCTACCACCCCCTAGACCATCCAGACCTCAGGTCATCCCCCTGTCTGTTGACAGAGTAGTCTCCGTTCCTGAATGTGCTGGTCACCAGCAACAGCAGCTGCTCCTCCTCCGGGAAGCTCAGCCTATACTTCTACATGCAGAGAACCTGGACGGCACCCAGGTGGACCTAAGCCTTCAGCTCCCAGTAGACGCTCTGGGTTTCCTACCCTGCCCAGACACTCTGGGCTTCCCCCCACACCTCCCCTCGGCCGGGGCTCCTGTGTGCATCTGTCTCTCCCAGTGCCCAGCACAGGCGTGGAACGGAAGAGGTGAATGGACCGATTTGAACACATCATCCTGGATTCTCCGTTCCCTCTCAAGCCCTGCAGCTAACCCATCGGCAAGCCCTGGAGGCTCTGCCTCCAAAATCCTGCCTATCCCATGTGCAAACGCCTCTCACCACGTCCACTGCTATTTGCAGTTGTGTGTGTGTGGAAATACTTCCACAAATTTGGAATGAACAGGTCACAGCTGTGCCTGGAGGGAATGGCCAGGGAAATGTGCCCTCGCCTTGCTGTTCTATCCAGGCCCACCCAGCTGAGGATGGGGGACCTGCCACCACTCTCCTGGCAGTTCCGGACTCCTGGGAACCGGCAGGTGAGGACCCAAGAGTGTTTTCAGTGACCCGGCTGACCTGGTCATCCGTCAGTCCCACCTTGGCCTAGGCCTCTATACAGCACAGATCACAGCTCATTCCATCCTGGCATTACACTGGCCTGTGCCCTGTCCTCAGGGTCACATCCGTCTCCCAGAAGCCGTGCAACCCTGGAAAACCCAGGTCTAACAGTCAGCTTCCTCCTCCGTGCATTAACAATGGCGTTGACGCCTGCTTTGCGGCACGCTGGGAGGGGAGAGGGAGGTGTATGCTGGAGAGCTCCCCAGGGGCAAGGCCTGGCTCTGCGTCACCCACTGTCAGATCCTGAGAGCCTGGGGCTGGCCCAGCACGTGGCCACCGTTCCCTAAGAGTTGGATTTCATCCCTCAGTGCTGAAGGCAGGGGATAGAGCTTAGACAGACCCCCTGCGTCCTGTCTTCTTTATCTACAGCTTTCTCATCCTTGCCCCTTTCACGTGCACCCGGCAGAGCAGGTGTTCACTGAGCTTGAGCAAAATTCAAGCTAGAGCAGCTGATGGATCTTGAGGCCTAGATTCACTGTCAAAGTGTTTCTCAAACGGTGCTCTCCAGAACACCAAGGAAAACTCATTGACTGTGTAAGTCTGAAAATCCCTGCCCACCGGTCTACCTTTGTGTATGAGCAATCAGCTCTACCATTCAGCCCAGGTGTGTGTTTGCTGGACCATGTGGAGGAAGCTGAAGAGACGTGAGCTGAAGGCAGAGGGTGAGTCCAAGGTGGGATCTTGGGACAGGTACGAGAAGTTAGGCAAAAATGGGATAATTCTAGCCTTCATAACCTTAGATAATAGTTCACATTATTATTTAGTTAATAGAACTGTACCCACATTAAATTTCTTAAATTTTTTTAAGAGATAAAGTCTCACTCTGTCACCCAGGCTGGAGTGCAGTGGTGCAATCATGGCTCACTGCTTCCTGGAACTCGTGGGCTCCAGCAATCCTCCTGCCTCAGCCTCCTGACTAGGTGGGACTATAGGCACACGCCACCATGCCTGGCTAATTTCTTTGACTTTTCTCTAGAGACCGGGTCCACCTAGGTTTCCCAGGCTGGTCTCAGACTTCTAGACTCAAGTGAACCTGAACCTCCCGCCTCGACCTCTCAAATTGCTGGGATTACAGGTGTGAGCCACCACACCCGGCCTAAATTTCTTATGTGCCATGGGACTGCAAAACATCATTATTAGGGGCAGCTGGATGGAAGGTATAGGAGGATACTATAGTGCCTTTTCAATATTTCTGTCTAAAATCTAAAATCATTTCAACAGGAAACATTTATTTCAAAACATGAAGGTGGTTATCCTTCCATGAGTTTGAAGTACAAAGGCAGGCTCACGGTGTCGTCAGAATTCAGAACGATGGTCGTGGGGCTGGGGGTGCTGGGAGGGGCTGGGCATGGTTGGCTTTGTGATCTGGGGTCTGGTGTGTTCCATCTCTGAATCTCTCTCGAGCTGCACTCTTTCTTAATACATTTTCATAAGTTTAACCAAAAATAAAACGAGGATGCGAAGCTTGCTTGGGTTGTTAAGCCTAGGGAAATTATCCAGCCATGAGCCCTGGCCCAGATGCTTCTAGAAGCCTGGAGGGAACTGAGAACTTTCCAAGTGGAGGCCGCAGAGGCAAGGCCCTGAGGTGGGAGCACACTGCTGTTCGTCCCTAGCTCTGAAGGGGGTGCCCTGGTCGGAATCAGTGCTGGGTGCAGCGAAAGCCGATCTCACCCGCTCCGCAGGGTGTTCAGCCTGCCAGCAGGGGGCCAGCTGGTCCTCCTGGGATATGGCACGGACCCAGCAGCTCTGCCTGAAATCATAATGGCGGAACCAAGGGCCCTCTACGTCCAGGTCCGTTGGGAGGCGGGGCATGGAGTTCCACTGCAGGAATCTCCAGGAACCCTGAGGTCCTCCCTGAGCCAGGGCCGGGCTGGGCACACCCTGAGTGCCCACAGGGTAGGTGTCTTCCCGGACAGCCCCACCAGGACAGGGTGTGGAAGAACGAGGTGCCCGTGGCGGGGAAGCTGACCAAATGGGCCGCGGGAACCGGGCTGGTGGGCCTGGAGGGGCCTGCCTGTCCCCCTTGCAGAGGGTCTTCCCGCCACGTGAAGCCGGCACAGGCCTGGATGCCGACGACCCTTGCTCGGGTTTGGCTGAAAGGAAAACAGACGCGGTCAGCATCTCCAGTGAGCCCACGCAGGCCTTTCCGGGCTGGGCCCCACCTGCCTGCGTCTCTGGAGTCCTCGGGGTCTCTGTGTGGCCCCCGTGGCCTGACACCGAGGACACGCCTGTAGTCTGCTGATCCCAGAGGGAGGGGTGCATGCTGCCTGGCGTGGGGAAGCTGTCGTGGCATGGCGGGTGGCTCCTGGGACTGCCCCCAGGGTTCAGACTGGCTGGGGGCTTCCTGCCACACACCTTCGTCCCAGGGCTGTTGGGCCTGGGATACGGCCCCCAGTCAGAACTCAGGTGGGAGGGGCCTTGGATGTCACCCAGCCCCTTGTCACCTCACGTGGGGACCCGTCTCCGCAGTGGGTGATTGGGCCCGGACGTGGGTCACCCTCTGCCCTCCTGGGCTGCCCAGTCCATGCCAGGACTGACCGTTCCCACTTCTGGCTGAACTCTTGGCTCTGGCTCTGGGCCCGGGGTCCCGCCTGTGCCCTCTCCCTGAATGCTCTGTGGGTCAGGGACACGGATTCCCTTGTCTCCCTGGCTCCAGGCTTCTTGTCCTGGCAACCTTGGAGGAGCGTGCAGGAGTGAGGGGCCTCTGCTGCTCTCTGAGGCTGTGGGTGCTTGCAGGGAGGGGCGGGGTCTCCCACAAATGGGTCTGGGCTCGTCTAGTAACTTGGAGGGCCCTGCGAGGGGGAGAGGGAGACACCGTGGAAAGTGGGAGGGGGCTTGTTGGAGGGTCTTGCCCACATCCCCCTCCTGCGTGCACAGCATGTCCAGTATACACGCACTGAGCGCCTGCCCTGAGGACCGGTGGGCCTCCTGTACTTTCTTAGAGTCCAGGAGGAAGAGGAGGAAGAAAAGGTGAAGAGGAAGGCCCAGGTAGTAGGGTTGCGGGTCCCGGGCACTCCCCTACTACTGACTACCCCAGAGGGTGACATGGGAGGGGACATGGCACTGGAGCCCACCTGGGGGTGGCAGGTCCCCCTTCTTTCTTGTTAGTTTCTTCATAGAGGCCCTAAGATGCTTGAGCACAGTGTCCTCATCCCTGGCCCAGGTATCAACGAACCGGTTGCAAAAACGTGCCCACGGGCCACACCTGGACGTCTTCGTGAGGCGCTCTAGGGACAGGGTGGATATCAGGCCAGGGGAGTTACCTGGGAATGGTCACAGCTCATACCCCGTGGCCACTTCAGTCTCCTACTGGGCGGTGCCGGATCCTTTTGTGGCCACCCCAGGTGTCCAGATATACACAGGAGACTGTGGCTGGGGGGCGATCCGGACAGGGAAGTGCTCACCACACTCTCGACTTTCATCTGGGTCATGTGGGGGATGGGCTCGGTGTCACAGTGTCCTGCCCAGCCCACCTGGCCAGACCTCCCTCTGGGCCAGAACAGAGGATCATGAGGACAGTGTGAGGAAGCTGCCCTCGGGCCAGTCGGGGTCTGACCCCAGGGCTCCCCAGGCCCCGCTGGGCACACGTAGACTTACTCTGCTGAACCTTAAAGGCGATTCTTGTTATCGGCATCAACGCCTGTTCGCCTTCTACCAGATACACGTCCCACAGGCGCAGGGTGAGCCCGAGAGAGATCTGTGGGGACAGCAGGTGTGAAAGAACCTGGTCCTTCCAGGCTGGGGCTGGTGGCTCGAGCTGCGCACACTGGGGCTTCAGTCTCCAGAGTCAGTGACCTTCCCCATGAGGGTCGCCTGAGCCCTCCAGGACGCTGGGTCAGACAAGGTCTTGAAGCTCCTCATGGGGGGCACTCATTTGAGTGGGGATGTGGCTCCTGGAGAGAGGGGCTTGCCCAGGGCTTGAGGCTTCCCTGAGCCCTCTCAAGTCGGGTCCTGGCCCAGTCTGCCCATGAGGCTGGGCCTGAGCCCCAGCCATGGCCCTGGGATGACCCCCCTTGGGCAGAGGGTTTTGCTTGTGTGTCCTTTGGGGACCCGCCTGAGCCTCCTGTGGGCTGGGAGTGAGCCAGACCCCCGGGCTGGGGAAGCAGGGCACTGCAGGGCAAGGAAGGTCCCTGAGCCAGGGTCTCCCTATGCCTCCTTACCCCGTCAATCAATATCCGGATGAGGCAGCCTAACGGGGAACACTGCCCACATAGATCTTTCTTGTCCTGATGGAAGCAACAGAGGTGCTCAGGCCACTGGGCTGCCCTAAAAACCTCCCTCTTCCAGGGCCTCTGAAGACCCTTCCCCTAGTGCAGAACACTGGGCGGTGTCCAGAGCTCCCCACAACACTGTCACCTTCCCACACTCCCGGTGGACACACTGCCCTTTGCCCTGCTCTGCGGGAGCTGGGCCCCCATCCCTGTGCCTCTGTCTCCTCCAGGGCAGGAAAGGAAACCAACTCCCAGCCCATGGAGAACCCGACGTCCCAGGTCAGGCCCTGGCTGGGACTCAGCCAGTCACCAGCCCCACGAGGGGCTCCAGCCCCCCTGCTCCTACAGTCCCACGGGAGGCAGGGCCTCTGGGAAGAGCTGAGGGGACCATAAACTCACCTGATGCCCCATGGTCTTGGGTTGTGACGTGGCTACCACATGCTCCTGTTGGTCTTGGAGCCCCTGGACGGTCCCGCCATTTGGGCTGTGAAATCCTGAGAAGCCCCCAGCCCATCATGAAATCAGAGCCTTCCCCCAAGATGTGGAGCCATCAGCTGTAAGAGCTGGGCAGCTGGAGAGGCCCCCAAACCCCAAGGCCTCCCACCCTCCCATCTGGTGACCCCAACATGCGGCCTTTACCCTGGGGAGGTGGGGCGGGAACATTCCCTGGAGCCTGGCTGGAGGTTCCCCTGGAGGCCTCCTGGGCCAGGGTGCAAAAAGGGCAAGCCTGACTTTCAGGCCACGACAGGGTGGCCGGAACTGGGTGGGCGCTGGGCTTCCCGGTCATCTCCTGGTAGTGGGGTCGGGCCAGGGAACAGGGGATGGGGAGATGCTGCCACCTGGGCTTGGTCGGCCCGTTCGTGGGCACCGATGGCAGCAGGAGCCCGGGCAGCTGGAGGGCAGGAGGACTCTCAGGGAGGGGAGAGTCAGCTGCACAGAATCAGAGCCGGAGGGCGTGGCTCCAGGACACAGAGGGTGGCCACGGGGAGGATGAGATGCCCTCTGCTGATGGGGATGAGAGGCGTCTGATTTGGGCTTTGGGGGTCAGCCGTGGACTCCTGTGGGACCCTCAGCAGAGACATCCTAAAGTCTCCCAACAAGCTGGCGACACAAGGAGGGTGCCTTGGCTGAAAGCTGTGATCACCTGGCCAGGGTGGCCATCCCCAGGTCTGGCTGCAGGAGGTCCCCGGGGCAGCTGTTCACTTACCCTGCAGGGAGTGCCTCTCACTGGCCAGCAGCTGCACCAGTGCCCAGAATGCATCCTCCTCAGGAAGATAGAGGAGGAACAAGGCGGCGATGTGGCTCAGGTCCCTGCAGTAG